>NC_000023.11:102462542-103087542 GCF_000001405.40 Homo sapiens
TTCTAGATATACATAGCACAAATCCACTGTCATTCAATCACGTATATAATGACTCATTTTTAGCAAACACATAAGGAATATTTGTAGCAAACTGGCTTCCACACTCTCCTCTTTGGAAAATAAGTTTTATTTTCTGTATCCCAAACCTCAATACAAATTATCAAAGATACCAAAATCTTTGAAGATCATTTCCAAGGGCCTTTGTGTGGTTTGTGATGAAGAATAAGCAATAATAGTATTGATATTACCTATGTCCCAAATACCACACATTTCCCTCTCTAACAGAGATCTATGAATCTTACCTGGAGATAAATTCCTCAGTTAGGGCCTTGGTGGTGCATTTCAGTCTATCCACAAATTCAGGTGATCTGAATAAAACTTCACCAGAGAAGCTTCTGGCCACTAGCAAGACTGAGGCCAGGACAGTTAACTGGTGCAACTGGAATGCCAGTTCCTGGAGCCGGATTCTGTCCATCAGCAGAGTCTGGTGAGGGAGCGAAGGACAGCCCATCAGAAGAGGAGGGTTTGAATGGAGGCACTGAATACCATAGAACAAGGCAATGCCCAAACACACATCCCTACCTCTGGGAATTCTACGTTTTCAAGATCCCAGAGGAGGAGGTTCAGGTAGCCTTGGTATAGCACCATTGTTGGACTGGGGGGCTCTGAATTGTTACCTGCCCCGCTTGGAAGTGAACACGCCATGCTGCAGGAGGAGCTAGGTGAGTCAGGAGAACTCGGACATAGTGTAGTGATGTCTGTGGCTGCTTTGGTTAGCCATTTTGTGGTATAATCGAGGAGACCTACGACGAGAAGGGAATATGCATCTTAAAATTCCAAGGCTTAAAGATGATGGCTCTGAGACATACTCTTGGTCTATAAAGAAGTGATTTTGTAGATCTTTCTATCTTAGAGAAACATTCCTTCTCCCTACCCCTTGCCCAAGGAAGAAACTTTCTATTCAAAAAATAGAAAATAGCCTCTATTGCTATAAGAAGGCAGACCTGAGGTCAAATCTCCCCTCTCCTGCCCTTGAATTTTAAACATACTGGGCTGTTTATCAAGGAGTTCCTGGAATTTAGCTTGTTCATACTGGATGGAATGTTCCTGCAGGTAGGGTCGAAAGCTCTGGATGGTATAGTTCACCATGTCCATTTTCATTAGGCCCAGAACACGGAGGATGCCCCTGCCGTAGGGAGAAACAGAACATTTACACTATTAAAGGAAATCTAGTCTGGAAGGGTGGAATCCAAGCAAGGAGCCATAAAAGCAGAGTATTTGAGAGTCAGAAGAAGCCTTAAAAACAAACAGTCCTATTTCAACTTATGAATAATGGTACTGTGGCCAGTGACCCAAGGCCATAGAGTGAGTTGATGGCAAAACTAAGGACAGTTATACCTCCTGACACTTTAACAACCAGATGAGAGCTCTTTTGCCTGTAGTCAGTCTGTCACCTTGAAAAAAGGGTAGTCAGTGAAAGGAAAATCACCAAGGTGTTAACAATTATATGTGGGTAGCTGGGATGTGGGTGACTGAATTTCTAACTCATTGAGCAGATCATTTTACTTTTCCGGGTCCTGGTTCTTCTAGCTGTGAAACACGGATAATCCTCTTTCCTGTCCCCTCACAAGGTCTGAGTTGGGACAAACAGGACAACATCTGGGAAAAGGCAATTTGCAATCTATAGGAGAAAGAATTACTGTACCTTAATGTCTTAACAGTATCATGACATAAAGGAGACCCAACTGATCTAAAGATCATCAAAAGGAACCCCGAGAGACTGTCCTTGGAAAATAAAAGCCAATAATCCAGAAAGGAGAAAAGGTGTGTTAGTCAGGTCATCAGTACACAAGAGTTAGATAAGACAGGGGCTATATCCACAGTGGCTGGCTCAGAGTTCTCCGGCACAGTGTCTAAGGCAGATTTGGGGGACAGCACATCTAGACTCTCACCTCAGTAACTGCACTGGATCTCTTATGGTCTCTAGTTTCTGTATCGCTTCATCTCGAACCGGTGCACATAGCAGAGCCATCAAATTGAGAATGTAGTTAGAAAGATGAGGGACATCCAGGGCCCCATGTTCTGCTTCCTGCTTGAGGAGATCTGTGTCCAGAGCTTCTTCTATCTCATTTCTTAGGCGGTTCTGCCATGGTAATAGCAGTGATAGCAAGGTCTGCCCAACAAAGGAAATCAAAGGAGCCAAGTTCTGTTCAGAACCTCAAACTTTCTCCAATGAACTATGCTCTTAGGCCAAAGGCATCCCAGATTATGTCTTCTGGGGGGGCAGAGAACTGAGTCTCTACATTTCTTAGAGAGTATTATTTCTTTCTGTCTAGAGGACAATTACCATTCAAGGCTTCACTGGGATCAGTTATAGTAGTAGTCATTACTATTTTTTAGGTAGAATGAGGTAAAAATATGAATAAAAATAAGAATGTGGTTTTAAATGTGTGGGATATAAGAAATATGAAATACACACCACCACAAGGAGATGAGGCATTCTTAATAAAGGATAAGGATATTTTTAGATTGTTTTACTCCAAAGTGTGAGGATAAAATAGCAAATCTGGAATCTTTAAGGTTCCCTTGAAATAGCCTTTTGACTCAAGCATGCAAGTTCCTTGTGGGCAAGGGCTCGCCTATTCATCTCCGGGATTCTGAAACACATAGACCATAGTGGGGTTTCAGTAAGAATTTGTTTAATTGAGTTATATATTGTTATAGTCATCGCCCAATGGTCAAGTTTCATCTTATACAAATAAAATGGAAGCTGCCCCATCCTATCTATTTAAGTAGTAGGTCACGTTAAAAAAAGTATGCTACTTGATATATTAACAGCCATTGACGATCCAAGGTTCTGAGATGCCCAGGAACTTCCCATCCACGAATGGGAGTTGGTTACTCACCTCCTTAACATCTTTTAGAAGTTCAAGGGCACAAGTGAAGTCAGGAGGAGTACTCAATAGCTGTTCTTTCAGATGGTTCCAAAAAGCATTGTACATTGCCTCCGCAAACCTGCCTTCTACACTATAAGAAGGGTTAAATGAGCAGATTGCTCTTTTACCTAGAAAATTGATACAGGATCATAATTTCCCAAACAGCATTTAAAATTATGAAAGACCATTAACTTGACAGGCTAGGAGGACCTATGTTTAGACTTGAGAAGGGCTGAATAAACTGAAGGTAGTCTCAGATGGAAAAGCATTGGCTAAATTCTCTCAGAAGGGTACCTCAAGGTTCCAGAGACACTCTCTTCCTGCAGCAGGAAGAACCATAAACTAGGAGTTGAGACTCTGACTTCTAACCCTAGTTCTGCACCTAGCCTGGATGTGTGACTTAGTTTCCACTGCCATAGACTTAAAACTTTGAACCAGATGCTATTTTTCCTTCAGGCCTGAAATCTAGGAAAGGATTTTACCTCTTGATAATACCTGAAGGTCTTCTGAGACACTTTAAATTCAGCAAGCCCAAAACTGAACTCCTTATCTTCCTTCTTTAAATTTGTTCCTCATGTATACTTAGTTCTGTAACCAGAAATCTGAGACTTTTTCTCTTTAAAAAAATATAATAGTAGGCCGGGCGCGGTGGCTCACGCCTGTAATCCCAGCATTTTGGGAGGTCGATGCGGGCGGATCACGAGGTCAGGAGTTTGAGACCATCCTGGCCAACATGGTGAAACCCCGTCTCTACTAAAAACACAACAATTAGCTGGGCGTGGTGGCGGGTGCCTATAGTCCCAGCTACTCCGGAGGTTGAGGCAGGAGAATTGCTTAAACCCGGGAAGCAGAGTTTGCAGTGAGCCGAAATAGTGCCACTGCACTCCAGCCTGGTGACAGAGCGAGACTCGGTCTCAAAAAAAAAAAAAAAAAAAAAAAAAAAAATATATATATATATATATATGTATATACACACACACACATATATACACACACGTGTGTATATATACGTGTATGTATATAATAGTAATGTATGTTTTCTGTTTACAAAAATACAAGTGATTAAAAAATATATGAAACAAAAATTCAAAGTTTCTCCTCCAACACAACAATCTAACCTGTGAAAGTTCAACTATTATCTATCTGGTGTGTACTGTAGTCCTTCTTAATTCCTTTCCCCTCATGTCCTTTATCCACTCAGTCACCCAATTCCAGAGATTTTGCTTCCTAAATATCTCTGGAATCGGCCCCCACCCACTGTCATCTCTTTCCTGAACTATTGCTATAGTCTATTAAATGGCCACCTTACACCCACAAAACCTTACCCCAACAATGGTACATATTTTTGATAAAAATCAATGAGTTTTCTAAGATACAAATCTGATCATAATAGTATACTCATTTAAAGTTCTTCAGACGCTACCTATCTCTAGCAGTGTACGTGGCCTTTAAGTCCCTTCACGATCCTATTCTGCCACTTCTCCTACCTTAACCTTCTTTCTCCTCCTACATCCTGTGCTCTAACAATCACAGTCCACTTATAATTAATATATAATTGTCTTCCATCCCTCTATGGCTCTGAAATGACATTTCCTCTTCCAGGAGAGTCCCTTCTCCCCTAAACCACCTGAAAAGACTCAATTCAAGTGTTACCTTATTAGGAAAGTCTTCGCTGACCTTCCCCAGGTAGCTGAGCACTGCATAGAACTCCACACACTAGATATGAGATAACTTATCACTCTGCACAGTAGCTATTTGACTATCTTCCCTACAGAAGCTTTTTGATGGCAAAGACAGTGACTCACTCAACTATATGTCTTCAGCTTTCAACATTCTGCCTTCCACCTAATAAGTACTCAATAAATGTTTGTTGAATAAATGTCTTATTATGAGATTTCCCCTAAAAACCGATAACTGTGCTTAGTATAATTTTATAAGTCCAAAGGGAAAACTGTCAATTATCTGTAGATAATGGATAACCCCAAACTCTATTTCAACCTCTTATCCAGTATACATTTTGTATTACTACATTTGAAAAAGCCTGTTAATTTAAAAAACACAGTGAAATCCAAGCCCTAAATAATATTATTCCTCCTGCTTCATCTATCCACCCCCTGAGATCCCTAGCCACTTTAACAGACCTTCATTCTCTTAGCTTCACTTTTTTCTGCACCCCTACCAGGAGAAAAACAAATCTAACTCGGGCCGCAGGGACTATAAAGGCAATGAGGGAGATGCTACGAGACCTGTGTTTTGGTAAAAACTTCCTTCAGGTAACCCATCCTTGGCAACAGACAAAGGAAAATCTAAGAAGTATGAAGATCAAGAGAACCACTGACAAAGCAAGGGGCTTTACGTAACAGAATCCCAAAAGTGGCAAAATAACAGAAGCATTTAAGGTGGGAAATTAGAAATACCGTAAAATATAGATTCTGACAAAGAAATCAACCCATTTAACTCTTAATAAACACTAGAAGCATTCAATCCATAAATGCTGGATGATTCTTAATCATATATTGTTATATCAATATAATTAAGAGAAACCAATATAAAGCCTAATTGTAGAAGCACACTATTTATCGATGGGGTTCTAATCTTGATTCACAGAATCTTTATTACACTGATTATGAAGCAGAAGTGTCCCCTGAAATTTCCTACTCCTGAAGAGTGAACAAAACCACTATTAGAAAATCTGCTCATCTCTGCCTGTTTAATCTGCAGATAATTAAAAGTTGAACGGCTAGGAGTTACCTCTTCCAAGTCTGTCTGAAAAGATCTGAAAATCACTCTACGTTTCATTATTAACTAAGATCCTGAAATGAACATTTTGACAATACAGAATGAATACCCCTTTTCCAAGATGTTTGGGACGGGAGTATTTTGGATTACGGATTATTATTGTTATTATTATTATTTGAGACAGGGTCTCACTCTGTCGCCCAGACTGGAGTGCAGTGGCGTGTTCGCGATCTCAGTTCACTGCAACCTCTGCTTCCCAGGCTCAAGGGATCCTCCCACCTCAGCCTCCTGAGTAGCTGGGACTACAGGCATGCACCACCATGCCCGGCTAATTTTTGTATTTTTTGCATAGACAAGGTTTCGCCATGTTGCCCAGGCTGGCCTTGACTTCCTGGACTCAAGCAATCCACCTGCCTCGGCCTCCCAAAGTGTTGGAACTTAACAGTCGTGAGACACTGCGCCTAGCCAGATTACGGATTTCTTGGATTTTGGAATATTTGCAGCATACTTGTATACCGCAATGAGCATTTCCTTTGAGCATCATGTTGGCGCTCAAAATGTTTTGGATTTTGGAGCATCGTGGATTTCCGATTTGGGATGTTCAACCTGTAACTGCATTGGTTTATTACCTGTTTAAATATAATTTGCTGCTTTGACACTTTTAAAGTAATACTTACACTAATTTGTCGGTACTATATAAGACACACTCAACCATTAAATTTATTAATAAGATGCTTCAAGTCTGACCAAAAGTCATTTGTGCTATGTACCTATGCCCCGAAGAGTAAAATGGAAAAAAACTGAATAATCTGTACCTGTTTGGAGGCAAAATGGTCTCTTCCACATAGAAATCTTGGTTTACTACAATTTCATGTGAAATGCTCAGCTTGGAAACTTCATTAACTGTCTCTATCAGATCTGTGACAGAAAAGACATCAGGTCTGCTTTCCGGAAAAAGAAAGAAAAAAAGCATAGCCATCATCAACAGGGAACCCACACAAAGAGAATTTTTATTTTATTTAGAGATTCACTCTGCCAAGTAAGGCTCCCAAGTTTAGATTCATCAAACGGATCTTACACAGACTTATTCAATCATTTTACCACCAGAAGTTTTCTGAACTCTTTGCTCTTCAGTAACACTGAACATCTCAGAGAAGTCAGGCATGGGAGGAAGAAATTAGTTTTTGAAAAACATAAAACAGTTTTGAAAACCTTCCACTTGAAATGTAAAACCATAAGCAAAACACAGCAAACAATGAATAAGTTGTGATTTGTAAAATTAATGTGTATCTAAAAGTTATTGTGTTCCCACTGTTCTCTTCCTACCTCAGGGGCTACACACAAGATGAAGGCTAAAATCTCCTTATAGATACCACACGAATCTTACTAGATGGCTCTAAAGCTGAAACCTGCTCCTAAAACAGTAGTTTCCAAATCTGGGTATTCAACAGACAACACTTCAAAACAACATGAGTGACAGATAATGATTTGACAATTTTTATTTTTCCACATATGGACATGAAAGCAAACAAGCAAACAATGAAACTACCCTACCATCATCAAAATAATCACTTCATAAAAAGAAAACATATTTTAACACCTCAGAAAGTATAAAGAAAACACAGTCAGCATTAAGAGTACTCTTTTAAATTGAATCAATTTAATATTATTTTAAAAACTCATTACAACCTCTTTATTGTTTTATTTCATTCAATATTGGTAAGAACTATGTCCTAGCCCAGCATTCGAATTTGGGAACCAGTGTTCTAAATTCATCATACAGAGTACTTTCAGTAGTAAAACAAAGTATATATAGTAGTCACAATTATTACTTGATATGTAAAATAAAATATGCAATAAAACTATTTTGTAACTCAATTTTAATGTAGTTTCATAACTTGGTCAGAGAGAACGATTTATCCTTAAGATATAATAAAACTCACATATAAGAATCCTAAAGCTCACTCCAAGAAGATGGTCCATTTATGCCCATTTATTTTTCATTTAAAAAACCGTTGATAAGACTTCTGTTGAAAAGTTGGTCCATCAACTGGTATTTCCCTTCTATACTAACTAAAAAGCTACATATGTTAAAATATACCATCTAATTAATTCATTAAGACATCATTTCTTTGAGAGATATTATGAAGTATGAATTGTGCCATTCTGCTTACTAGCAGTGACCCCAAGTGGCCACCAGAGAAACACACGTAATTCAACTTCATATTTTTTCCCCGTTTCAGTGTTCAAGAGGTTGGATCAAATTGCTACATCTGGAGAGGTCTGCAGATTAACCTTTGGTTAAATTCACTGGAGATTATTGTAAAAGAACTGCAATTTGAGTTCCTGTGAGGTTGGACTAGTCAAGCCAAAGCTTCAAATGCCTAACATAAGGTGTGAAAAAGACTTAAAGTCCCAATGTTCACATAAAAATGCTATTATTAAAGACCTAAATAATTTTACCCCAGAGCAGTGGTAATTTTTATGTCAACAAAGCACCCCTGGAAAAGGACAGAACACAACTGAAGCAACAGATAATTTGGATCACTTCGATCTGTCCTAGATCTACCATTTGCACTTTACAAAATCAAAATACAAGAATGCTATTTATTTCCCAGGCTTTGAACTGACTAAATCACTCTCGACTGTTGTCAAACACAAGTAACTTGCTTTGTCGGTCTCTTTCTCTAAAACCAAAATCTTTTAATTTTACTTACCAATTAGGGGCCTAAGTCCTGCATGTAAAAATTAGAGGGGGCAGAAAGACAAGAGAAAGAATAATCCAAAAGAGGACTAACAGAAGGATTAGTAAGGAAAAATGCAAGGTTGCAAGAGCCTTCTATATCCCTTAAAGGCCCTTAAATCACAGGCTGTCTATTCCTTTAGCCTAATTGCTGTCCATAGAAGTGATGACATGATTCTAGACCTACCAGGAGACTGGTCATCTAAACAGAAACTCTTGCTTTTCTGGCTCTGCCCTGGTGTTTTAGGCTCAGGGGCCCCATTCTCTGCTACACTGGGATCATTCTGGAGCACAGTTTCCTCAGTCTTCGGCATCTTGATGTTATCTGGAATTGGAGAGAAAAGAAGAGGCAAGCTGTGTAAGACCTGACTCTCGCCCAGGGACAAAAAGAAAGAGCGCTCTTCAACTACAATTGTGTGTCCTGGTGACTGAACCCGCTGCCGTCAGTTGAAAGGATTAAGTACCAGGGCTCAAAGGTTCTCAAAGGAACAACTAGGGTCTTCAAACAGGCCTCGAGGGGAAGGGGAATTAGTGGCACTTCCTTTACTGAAATCAAAGAAGTCTGGTCTTGGGCAAGCAGAAGAGGAAAACAAGGCCCAGAGATGGACAATTAACTCGCCAGAAGCGGGGCACACTGCACATTACTGACCAAGCTAGGAAAGGAATCTTCCTCGGCTCTGGCTACCTTTCATTGGTCCTGGAATACCTTCTAACTCCTTAGCTACTGCTCCAGACCTTCCTGAAGGGGCTCTGCCGGCCTGGACTCAGGCAGCAGGGTATCCCCCACAGCCCTCGCGACCCTGGTCCCTCACCTCCTCCTCGTCCTCGACTGGCGGCCTCGCCTCTGCGTCTGCTAGCGAAGCCCCTCTGCCTCCCCAACCTGGTCTGGGAAGTACCATTGTAGCCAGGAAGAGAGGGGAGATCATCAGGGAGGAGTAGGACGGAACCATGGAGATTATGAGGTCCACCTGGAGCGCACCCCTACCTGTGACACAAGATAGGAGAGTCCAAACATGAAAACAAAGGGTGATCCGTTTCCAGGGTAGCGGGGTGGTATCACTTGCCCAGGGTGCCTTGGAAACCAAGACGGCAGGAAACGCAAGCAGAGCCTCACCATTGGGTGACAAAGGCAGGAGGCTGAGATAGACGTAAGGAGGCTTCATGTCCATACCCTCCCGCCCAGGCTCGGAACCCCTCAGGAGCTTGGAAGTCATCTTCTCAAGCCCTGCTCCTCGTGAACGAACTGTTCAAAGCTTTTATCCTTACTGCCCCAGAAACAAAAATAGCATTTAAATAACTATTTAGGGGGAAAAAATAAGCGTTTGTTGTTTATTTGTTTCACTTCATGCTGTTCATACAGCCCCTACAAATGAAGAACCAACAGGGCTACAAAATTCCAGAAGTCTGTTTTGGGTTTTCTTTTATCTTTTGTATAAGTGAATCCTCCACACAAAGTAAGGAGAGACACATGAACTGTTAAACTCTCATTTTACAAATATGCAAATCAAGAATCATTTTAAAGGGCTAGCCACAGAAGCTGTGTGGTAAAGGGGCAAGACCATAAGCCTGAGAGGAATCCTACATTTTGGTTTGGGTTCTTTCAGCTCAATTCTTGGCATGTTCTTCATTGCAATCCAATTGTGAGCTTTGGAGCTCATCTGTAAACTGAGGGCACTGGAACGGACGATCCTAAGGGGCCTCATGTTGCTCACTCTTCAGTCCTAGTCTACTTTGTCACTCCACTGGCCAGTCACCACAGTGATATGAGGACCCCTGGATTGGCCTATTTCCAGCATATATACATTTCCACACTATACTAGTTGATCCCTCTCTTACCCTGACTTAATTTCTTAACACATTAACTTGTTTCTTTTATAAATCAAGACTATACTTTGACCAGATTCTCACCACAATCCTCGCCTTGTTAGTGGCAACAGTACCGTGTGAATATCTTGCACAACATGGGGATTTTGAAGAAGAAAGTTATGGGGAAGAGGTCCAAGAACTTTCCAGCCTAGGAAAAATCCACCTTAACTTCCAGGCACAGGAGGATATGAGGGGACTTGGCTAGTAAAGTTAGCGCTTAGCTAAAGAGTTTATTTTACTAATGAATACTAAATCTGAATTCCCTCCTCATCCTCTCCTAGTATTTCCTTCAGTAATATCAGCTGTGAAACAAATTGCTCTCATATCAACCCCAGGATAAATGTTTAAATATATTTTTCTTGATTTGAACATAAAATTATACATTCATAAGGCATATGTTTCACTATACCAGAAGTTCATTTCTCATTAAAAAAATCAGAATTCTATTGTATTTCTTTCTAAGAAAACCTTCCAGAATGACACCAATTCATCTTCTCACAAAATTGCATTGTTAAAAAAAAAAAAAACTCTACGCAGTGATAACCTAAAATTCTATCAGCTCTTCATTCAAATAGTGAAATAGTCTTTTGAAGTGTCTTTTAATATTGAAATCCCCTGGGAGAGGTAATGAGGGGAAATAGAAGTGTGGGAAAAATAAAGGGAGAGAACTAGTGGAAAACAGCAAATCACATTTTGCCTAGGGATGGCCCAGATACTGTATTTAATAATACGTATTATCAAGAGTTGTCAAGAACCAACTAGAGGAACAGAGAGAGATGGTGGAATAGAAGGCTATACCTTGTGTACCCCCTGCAGGAACACCAAATTGCAACCACTATCTGCATACAGAAAAGCATCATCATGAGAACCAAAAGTCAGGTGAGCAATCACAGTGCCTGGTTTTAAATTCATATTGTTGGAACAGACATTCAAGAGGTCAGACAGAGACAGTCAGTCTTAAATCGCCGATGCCACCCCTCCCCCGTATCCTGGCAGCAGCTGTGCAGCCCAGAGAGTCTGTACACTTGGGAGAAGAAGAAGGCAGTGACTGGGGAACTTCACATTGAACTCAGTGCTACCCTGCCATACCAGAGAGCAAAGCCGTGCTGGGCTCAGCCAGTGCCCACTCACAGAGGGAGCATCTGGACCAGACCTAGCTAGAGGGGATTCACCCATCCCAGGGCGGAGAACTTGAGTCTCTCGGCAATCCACACCACTACAGGCCAAAGTGCTCTGGGGTCCCAGGTAAACTTGAAGGGATGCCTAGGACACAAAGACTGCAATTCCTAGGCAACTCCTAGGAAATTAAACGATATGCACATAAATGAACAGTGGATCAAAAAAGAAGTTAAAAAGGAAACTGAAAACTTTTACGAAACAAATGATAATGGAAACACAACATACCAAAACCTATGGGATACAGAAAAAGCAGTACTGATATCAAAATTTATAGCTGTAAATGCCTACATTGAAAAGAAGAACGACTTCAAATAAAAAACCTAATGATGCATCATAAAGAACTATAAAAATAAGAGTAAATTAGAGGAAAACAAATTAGAAGAAAAGAAACAATAAAGATCAGAGCAGAAATAAATGAATTTGAAATGAAGAAAACAATACAAAAGATCAATGAAACAAAAAGTTGCTTTTTTGTTAAAGGTAAACAAAATTGACAAATGTTTAGCCGGACTCATGAAGAACAAAATGGAGAAGACCCAAATAAATAAAATCAGAGATGGAAGAGGAGACATTACGACTGATACCACAGAAATTCAAAGAATCACCAGTGGCTACTATGAGCAAGGATATGCCAATAGATTGGAAAATCTAGAAGAAATGGATAAATTTCTAGACACATACAATCTACCAAGATTGAAACACGAAGAAATCCGAAACCTGAGCAGACCAATAACAGGTAACACAGTAAAGCCTTAATAAATAGTCTCCGTCTATAGTAAAGCAAAGCCCGAGACCTTATGACCTCACTGCTAAATTCTACCAAACATTTAAAGAAGAACTAATGCCAGTCCTACTCAAACTACTCTGAAAAATAGAGGAGGAGAAAATATTTTCAAACTCATCCTACAATGCCAGTATTACCCTGATACCAAAACCAGACAAACACACATCAAAAAAGGAAAACTACAGGCCAATGTCTCTGATGAATATTGATGCAAAAATCCTCGACAAAATACTAGTGAACCCAATTCGACAATACACTAGAAAGATCTTTAATCATGACCAGGAAGGATTTATCCCTGGGATGCAAAGATGGTTCAACATGCACAAATAAATCAGTGTGACACATCATACCAACAGAATGAAGGACGAAAACCATATTATCATTTCAAGTGATGCTGAAAAAGCATTTGATAAAATTCAACATTACTTTATCATAAAAGCCCCCAAAACACTGTGTATAGAAGGAACACGCCTCAACATAATAAAAGCCATAAAAAACAGAGATCCACA
This sequence comes from Homo sapiens, assembly GCF_000001405.40. Classification (NCBI taxonomy): domain Eukaryota; kingdom Metazoa; phylum Chordata; class Mammalia; order Primates; family Hominidae; genus Homo; species Homo sapiens. The sequence continues at coordinate 102,475,299 of NC_000023.11, forward strand.
GCTAGTATCATAAGAATGAGTAGAAAGTGAAAGTCTTTCCTGTAAGATCTGGAATACAACAAGGATACCCACTTTCACTCCTGTTGTTTCACCACTATGAAACTACTACTACAAGAAAACATTGGGGAAACTGTCCAGGATATTGGTCTGGGCAAAAAATTCTTGAGTAATATCCCATAAGCACAGGCAAACCAAGGCAAAAATAGACAAATGGAATCACATCAAGTAAAAAGCTTCTGCACAGTAAAGAAAACAATCACAAAATGAAGAGACAACACACAGAATGGGAGAAATATTTGCAAACTACCCACCTGACAAGAGATTAATAACCAGTATATATAAGGAGCTCAAACAACTCTATAGGAGAAAATCTAATAATCCAATTAAAACATGGGCAAAAGATCTGAATAGACATTTCTCAAAAGAAGACATACAAATGGCAAACAAGCGCATGAAAAGGTGCTCGACATTAGTGATCATCAGAGAAATGCAAATCAAAACTACAGTGAGGTATCATCCGCCCCAGTTAAAATGGCTTATATCCGAAAGACAGACAATAACAAATGCTGGCAAAGTTGTGGACAAAAGGGAACCTTTGTACACTGTCGGCAGGAATGTAAATTAGTATAACCACTATGGAGAACACTTGGAAGTTCCTCAAAAAACTAAAAACAGAGCTACCGTATGATCCACCAATACCACTCCTGGGTATATTTCTAAAAGAAAGAAAATCAGTATATTGAAGAGATATCTGCACTCCTCAATATATATTTGTTGGCTTCTTTTATTTCTTGGCGCACTTGGGGTTACCCACTCTGAGTACACATATCACAGTTTGCAAAGTCATTTATGAGAATTTTATGCCTTCAGCAGGGAATTTTTACCCTTCAGATGTGCCTTAACTCTACCTCAATACTGTGACCAATTACCATTTGTTAAATTATACTTTATGTATACTACTCCAAAAAAGAAAATTATCCTGAGAGTCAATCTTATCCATAAGGACACAAAAGAAGACTACGTAAAAGATATTCATAGATGTCCATAAGTGGTATAAAATTACAGAATTTAAGAGGAATACTGGGTAAAAATAATTTAGTTAACACATAAAAATTTAAACATTTCATTTTCAGAAAGAACCATTTGAGACTCAGAGAACTTAAATCACTTCTCTAAGACTGCCACCAGTTTACAGAAAAGTCAGGACTAGAACCCATATCTCAGATTGTTTATTCCACAATATATAGAGCCATGCAACAGCAATTTAACTAAGTATACACATTTGCTAAAGAAAAAAATGTAAATGATAAAATGATACACAATGGATTGTAAAACCAAGAGGTGAAGTTAAATGGGACTTTATTAGTCAAGATTCTCCAGAGGGACAGAACCAATGGGCTATATGTATACATGAAAGGGAGTTTATTAGGGAGAATTGGTTCACATAATTACAAGACGAAGTCCCACAATAGGCTGCCTGCAAGCTGTGGAAGAGAAAAGGCAGTAGTGGCTCAGTCCAAGTCCAAAAGCCTCAAAACCAGGGAAGCCAACAGTGCAGCCTGCAGTCTGTGCCTAAAGGCCTGAGAGCCCTCAGCAAGCCACTGGTGCAAGTCCCCGAGTCCAAAGACCAAAGAATCTGGAGTCTGATGTCCAAGGCAGTAGGAGCGGAAGGAAGCTTCCAGCATGGGAAAAGGAAGCCAGAAGACTCAGCAAGCAAACTTATCCCAGCTTCTTTTGGCTGCTTTGTTCTAGCCATGCTGGCAACCAATTGGATGGTGCCTGCCCACATTAACGGTGGGTCTTCCTCTCCCAGTCCACTGACTCAAATGTCAGTCTCCTCTGGCAACACCCTCACAGACACACACAGAAACAATACTTTACCAGCCACATCCTTCAATTCAATCAAGTTCACACCTGATATTGACTATCCTGGGGCCCAAGATACAGTATAGTGTAGTGGAAGATAAACAGCTAACTAAAGTGGTGGGGACACATAAATACAGGATGGCGCCTTTATTTATTTTGTCTTATTAGAGATGAAGGTCTTGCTATGTTGCCCAGGCTAAACTCAAACTACTGGGCTGAAGCAACCCTCCTTCCTCAGCCTCCCAAGTAGCTGGGACCACGATGCACACCACCATATCCAGCTTTAAATAAAACCACACAGAGTCATAAAATAGATTTATTTCATTACACTTCTCCTTTACAGTACAAAACTACATATCAACATTATCCATGTTAATCTTTTACCAATGTGTTTTCTTCACAGAACACAAAAGGAGTATGAGAAGGTTCTAGGTAATCTGGGGGCTTCCAAGCTAAAAGTGAGGCATGATGGGTGGAGAAACCAGTATAGATCTTCAAGGAAAGGAGAGATACAGAGCAATGGAAGATGAAACTTCTGACAGCAGCATTTAGTGTCTACTTCTACATTCACATCTCACGCCATTCATTCCTAGCGCATGGCAATACTGACCTTTTTTTCCTTTTCCTTAACAGGCCACGTGCCTTCCCACCTCAAGATCTTAATCATGCTATTTTTTCCCCCTATGATGCTTTCTTCCTTCTTTACCCACTTTTCCAGGACTAACTGATTCCTCATTGCTCAAATCTCAGCTTTCAAATTCTAAATTCCTCAGAGAACTTTCTATGGTTCTCCAATCTAAACAAGAGTTCCCTATTAACCCTTCTCTTAACATTCTGTACTTTTTAATAATAGGAATTACCACAGTTTGTAATTATACATTTATTTGCATAATTAGTATTTACTGAATATTGAACTTCACCATGAGTCTAAGCTTTCTGAGGGCAGGGGCTGTGCATTTGGCTCTTCACTGTGCCTAGAACATAATGGATACTCAATAAATAAAGTGTGGAATATGAATAAATGTCCTAACCCCACAGGGCAACAACACTGTTGGGAGAATGACATAAAATGGAACATCCTTCCCTGCCAAATGTGCTGGACTCATCTTAGTTCCCAGAGTCAGCCTTTCTTTCTTTGTGTTATAAACATGTTTCCTCTCTGTGTCTCTTTCAGTTCTTGGCTTCAGAACTCTGATCCACAACCTTCCCAGGAAACTAATCCCCTTATCTATAATTACCAAAGAAGACAGCATGCTGTAAATCAGATTTGCAGGAAGTCAGATTGCTCTCTCTAGTAACAATCCAAGAAACTAAACAACTTCTGTAACAATTGGCCCCAAATGGCAAGTACTTTATTAATAGTTGACAGCTTTTCCAATTTTTGTTCCTGCATCCACCTAACAAACTAAATATGAACCTCCTAACCAATCACATAAATTGTTCTGCTTCTAGTTAGCCCACCTACAGCTTCCCTATGCGAAAAAGCTCCAATCAGGGAATACCTGAAGTCTTCCCTTTTTTCCACTATAAAGTTTTCCCACTTCTCTGCCTGCCTTTGAGTCTCTGCCAAAACACAAGTGATGATGGCTGACTCATTTGCTATAGTAAGTTCCGAATAAACAGTCTTCGCTTATTCTCATTTGGTTGCTTTTCATTTATTTCCATGCCAGCAAGTGTCTTTAAAGCCGAGAACGAATAAAGCATCAGCTTGGGAAAAAAGAGAGAACATTTTAGGTCCTGAGACCACAGGGGTTTTCCCAGGACATGTGGCAGCAGAGGGCAGCAGCATCCCAGAAGTGACTCAGAGAGGCCTATTCCTGGGTAAGGGATCTCTCACTATTACCCTCACTCTTGCTCTTTCTCATTCGCTGTCCTGCTTGTTTATAAGATGGTGTTAGAGGCAACCTCAGCCCAAAGATACCAGGCTGATTTTAAAGCCCTACCAAGAGCTGCATCACCACAATTGTACCTGGTGCTCCAGGACATGAATGAGTTACACACTTAGAGCAGTTTCAACAAAAATACACTCAGCTGGTTTTGAATTCTGGCAAAAGTTGGTAGCTTATTTATGGGGTTTTTTGTTTGGTTGTTTTTAACTAGAGAGATTTTTTGTGGACCCCAGAATGCATCTTTACTGGCCAAAAATTTTTAAAATTATCTTTACTTAGAAAATAAAATCCACTTTCTGGCAGCAGGTAATATTTTCTGACATCTCATAATGGAATCGAGTACAGTATTCCCTTGGTATCCATGGAATATTAATTCCAGGACCTCCCCCAGCACCCACGTATACCAAAATCCACACATACTCAAGTCCAGCAGTTGGTCCTGCAGAACTCGACTATACTAAAAGTCGGCTCTCCGTATATATGCAAGTTTTGAATCCTGTGAATATGGCATTTTAAATCCACGTTTGGTTGAAAAGATCTGCACATAAATAGACCCATAAAGTTCAAACCTCTGTTGTTCAAGGGTCAACTGTACATATCTGAATGCCTTCATAATTATGGAAGGTGTTGGAGAAGTTAGAATTTTGATTCAAAGTTGGTATATGCCTTTTCTCAAAATAAGTACATCAAAGGCCTTAGGCTTTTCTGGTCTTAAATAAATCATATGAACCGTGGGAGCTCTTGAAGAAAGTTGTTTGGGGGTTAAAGCCAAGAAAACTCACCTTGCTACCTCTGTGTTAACTAATCTAAAACTATCCATTTGTCAATGGATAAATTCCTTTAATTCCCACTTCTTAATTCCCATCTCCTTTATTTCTACTCTTTTTTTTTTTTTTTTTTCTGAGACAGGGCCTCTCTCTGCCAGCTAGCATGGAATAGAGGCACAATCATGGCTCACTGCAGCCTCAACCTCCTGGACTCAAAAGATCCTCACATCTTAGCCTCCCAAGTACCTGGGACTACAGGCGTGCGCCATCATGCCTGACTAATTTTTATTCTTTGTAGACATGTGGTTTCGCCATGTTGCCCATGCTTGTCTTGAACTCCTGGGTGCAAGCAATCCATCTGCCTCAGCCTCCCAAAGTGCTGGGATTACAGGCATGGGTTACCATGTCCGACCAATTTTCACTCTTAAAACACAGTGTAATGCATTTATATATTTACAGAGTGGGTATTCTTGAAAGGCTAGGGACATTTTTTTTGCTCCAATAATTTCATTAAATGAACCATGGGATTCACAACTTAAAGGAACTTTTAAATTAGTTCTTTAATTGAGCAAATCTTCTTTCATAAAGGAAATAATTATCCACTAATTTGTTTCCTAAACCTGAGATTTTACACAGCAGATTTTCCTAAACAAAGACCCTTTTAGATGGTGGTCTGTAGATTTTCTCGTTTTTCTTGACTCCGGTAAAGACACACTTGTCATAAAAGGCCAATATGGGATGATGTTAGTGAGAACGGCAGAGGAAGGACCTTGGAAAATTCTTCTCTCCATAAAAACAGTGAGTACACTGGCAAGTATTGTAAAAGTCAACTTTTTCGGAACTATGGAAATTAACCAAGGCTTTGAAAAATTCAAGGTGAGTTTATTAAAGAAAAATGTTTGAATTTCAGAGACAACAGCAAGCATTGTGGTATTTCAACTTGTTCTATTTCCACCACTTTTTCTTCAGGTCCAAAGTTGTCATAAAACTCAACAGCTATATAATCACTGTGAAAACCAACAGCCAAGGGAGGGAGCAGAGGGTTTGAAGCTGTCCAAAACATCATTCTTAGAGAAACATCATCATAGGAACTATTTGGCAGCTTCCTGGAAACACTCATTTCAAGTCTTGTCTTTATTTCACCTGACCCAGATCTCACTCCGTATGAACAGTCTTTTTCACAGGGGCATTTGATTTAAAGAAAACGGTAGCAATCATATAACACAATAGCTCCCTAAGGTGGCAATAAGAGTTAAGACAAACAAGAAGCTGAACAAAAAGCTTAAAAGGTAAAACTGGGGAATAAGACACTTATAGGGGACTCTGAAAAGCTTAGGCCTTTAAAATACCCATGAATCTGGGAGGCCACTCACATGTGCAGGGCTGTGTGCACATCTAGAAAAGATCTAAGAAGGCTCTAAATTTTCGCCTCTGGGTGATCTTGAGACCCAGCACAAGTTGAAGGTTAAGAGAGAGTTGTAAACTGCTTGCCTGAACATTGAAGGAATTATCCACAATACATACAGGCTCCCTTGAAAACAAGTCTGGGAGACTTGTTGGTTAATGGCTTTTCAGGAAATCTATGTCCAATCATTACCTGACCATTAAGCTACCCAAGTAGAGACTTTAGTGGCCACAAATGACAAACAACACACACACACACAACAGAATTAATTTAAGAAAGTCCCTAACAAGCAATAAAAACAAACAGAACAAAAAAAATATCCTGGAAAGAAAGGAGAATCTGATTTCCAAGGTCCCCACAATTATATAATTTACAATGTCCAGTTATCTTGGACCCTTCTCTTACATCATACACAAAAATCAACTCAAAATGGATTAAAGGCCGAAATGTAAAACAGGAAACCATATAACTCCCAGAAGAAAACATATAGGAAAACTTCCTTTACATTGGCTTTGGCAGTGATTTTTTTTTGTTGTTATCACACCAAAAGCTCAAGCAACAAGAATAATAATAAGTGGGACTACATCAAACTAAAAAGCTTCTGCACAGCAAAGGAAGCATCAACAAAATGAAAAAGCAGTCTATGGATTGGCAGAAAATATTTGCAAACGATATATCTGATAAAGAGTTAATATACAAAATATATAAGGAACACACGCAACTCAATAGCAAAAAAAAAAAACACAAATAGTCCCTTTAAAACATGAGTAAAGGACCTGAATAGACATTTTTCCAAAGAAGACATAAAAGTGGCCAGTAAGTATATGTAAAGGTGCTCAACATCACTAATCATCAGCGAAACGCAAATTAAAACCACAACAAGATGTCATCTTACACCTGTTAAAATATTATGTTGTACATCCTCAACATATACAATAAGAAATAAAATAAACTATCCTGTTATCAAGGGATGACGTTAGCAAGATGGTGGAATAAGAAGTCCTGGACTCTCCTTCCCCAATAGACACACTGATTCAATAGCAAGATGATTGATCCATTTCTTTCGTGAGAAATGGATCAATTTCTTTTGTGAGAAATCCAGAAACTAGTTGACAGGCTCCTGCACCCTGAGTGAGTTTGAAACCAGCCACATCAAAACGAGAAGGAAAATTGGAGACCCTCGCACCATAATCCCCACTCTAGGCACAGCATCGTATGACATGAGAGAAGTCCAGGTTCTCAGTGTCTCCTCAAAGAGCAGAGGAGTCACACCACACATCTGGATTTCCAATTTTCCCATGTATTACCCAAGGGACTGGCTTCTATCTCTCCTGTTTCTAAAAGCTGATGGGGCCCAGCAGACACTAGTTCCCTGGGGGCTCCAGACAGCAATGCCTAAAGCGCAAGCACTTCCCACAGCTCCACCCCCTGGCTCAGCCAGTTTAACTCAAGAAGAAATAGAAAATGTGAATAGACATAGAACAAGTAAAGAGATTCTGTCACTCCTCAAAAACCTTACCACAAAAAAAAAAAAAAAAAAAAAAAACCCAGGACACGGTGGCTTCATTGGTTAATTCTACCAAAAGTTCTAAAAAGAAATAACACCGATACTTCACAAACTTTTCCAAAAATAAAAAAAGTGGGAACACTATGATTCAAGTATCACTCTTGTATCAAAGCCAGACAGACATTACAAGAAAAGAAGTAAAAGACCTACGTATTATGAATATAGATAAAAATTCTTCTGCAAAATTATAGCAAAACAGATCCAGCATCATAGAAAAATAAGTATACACTCTGACCCAGTGCAGTTTATCCCAAGAATGCAAGGTTGTTTCAGCATCTGAAAATCAGTCAATTTAATACACAATATAAATAACACAAAGGCAGAACGACATGATCATCTCAACACATGCATTTGACAAAATCCAACACTATTTTATAATAAAAATAATCAACAAACTAAGACTAGAAGGGAACTTTCTCCACATTATAAAGGGCAGCTGTAAAAAACCAATAGCATACTTCATACTTAATGAAACACTGGATACTTTTCCATTAAGATCAGGAACCAGACAGAGATGTCCACCTTCACCACTTCTATTCAATAATGTACTGGAAATTCTAACCAGGGAAATTAGACTAGAAAAAAAGTAAAAGTCATCCAGATTGTAAAGGAAGAAATAAAATTATCTCTATTTGCAGATAACATGATTTTATATTAAAAAATCCACAAAGATATATTAGTGCTAATAAACGAGTTCAGTAAGGTTGCAGAATTAACATACAAAAATCAGTTGTATTTCTATATACTAGAAATAATCAATTAAAAATGAAATTAAGGAACCAATTTTATTTAAAATAGCATCACATTAATAAAATCACTAAAAAATTTAGAAAAGAAGGTAAAAACTTGCACACCAAAGAGTACAAACCATTGCTGAAAGAAATTAAAGAAGGCCTAAATAAATGAAAAGGCATTTGTGTTCATTAATTGGAAAAATTAATATCATTAAGATGTTGCTACTCCCCTAAATTGATCTACCGATCTAATAAAATAACTTTCAAAATTCCAACTGCATTTTCACAGAAATGGGAAAGCTAAAATTCATGTTTGTATTAGTTTGCTCTCACATTGGTATAAAGAACTACCTGAGACTGGGTAATTTATTAAAAAAAAAGAGATTCAATCGGCTCACAGTTCCACAGCCTGTATGGGAAGCATAGCCTGGATGGTCTCAGGAAGCTTACAATCATGGCAGAAGGGGAAGGGGAAGCCTGCACATCCTACGTGGCTGGAGAAGGAGGAAGAGAGAGAGGGAAGGGGGAGGTGCTATACACTTTGAACCAGATCTCGTGAGAACTCTTTCATGAGACAGCACTAGAGGGATGGTGCTAAACCATTAGAAACTACCCCCAGCTCCAATCACCTCTCACCAACACTGAACAATTCTATGAGAGTTGGGTGGGGACACAGAGCCAAATCATCACAATGTGGAAATAGAAGGCGCCCTGAATAACCAACACAATCTTTAAAAAGTAGAACAAATTTGGAGAACTTGCACTCCTGGATTTCAAAACTGTAGTAATCAGTACAGTGTGATACTGATGTTTCCATAAGGATATATATAAGTAAAATAAAATTGAGAGCCCAGATATAACCCATACATCTATGGTAAATTGGTTTTCAATAATCTTTTCAAAAATGGTCCTGGGACAAATGGTTATACACATAGTGGTTGCAAAATAATGAATTTGGTCACTTTCCTCACATTCCATTAAAAAAAAAAAACATTAAAATGGATGGAAGACCTAAATGCAAGAATTAAATTTATAAGCTACTGGAAGAAAAAGATGTAAATCTTTGTGACTTTGGACTAAGAAATGGTTTCCTTGATATTTTGTTAGTCAGTTCAGGCTTATATAACAAATACCATAGTCTGGGTGGCTTATAAACGACAGAAATTTATTTCTCGCAGTTCTGGAGGCCGGAAGTCTAAGATCAGGGTGTCAGCATGGTCAGATTTTGGCAAAGGCACTCCTGTGGGTTGGAAACTGCCAATTTCTTATTGTATCATCACGTGGGAGAGAGCAGAGAGAATGAGAGCAAGCTTTTGTGTCTCTTCTTACAAGGGGAATAATCCCATTAATCAGGGCTCCACCCCCATGAGCTAATTACCCCCTAGGGCCCCACATCCCAATAACATCACACTGGGAATTAGAATTTCAACATATAAATTTGGGAGGACACAAGCATTCAGTCCATAACATATATGACATCAAAACGCAACAACCAAAGAAAAAGTAAACTGGACATCATCAAAATTTAAAACTTTTGTGCATCAAAGGACACTATCAAGATAACACATGTTTATCCATGTAACAAACCTGCACATCCTGCTCATGTACCCCAGAACTTAAAATAAAAATTTAAATTTAAAAAATATAATGAAAAGATAACACAGAGGAGGAGAAAATATTTGCAAATATTTTATGTAATAAAAATCTAGTATCCAGAATATATAAAGAACTCTTACAATTCAATAATAAAAACAAACCCAATTAAAGCTGAGAAAATAATTTGAATAGCTATTTCTATGAAGAAGATACACAAGTGGCCAGTAAGCACATAAAAGAGGATCAGTATCATTAGTCATTAGGGAAATGCAAATGAAAACCACAACTAAATGCTACTTCTTACCCACTAAGACAGCTATCATCAAAAGGACAGACATGACACATAGTGATGAGGATGTGGAGAAATTGGAGCCCTCATATACCGTTGGTAGGAATGTAAAGTGGTGCAGCTACTCAGGAAAACAGTCTGGAAGTTCCTCAGATGATTAAATATAGAGTTACCGTAGGTCCCAACAATTTCACTCGTAGGCATATATCCAGAACTGAAAACATATGTTTACACTAAAACTTGTACACGAATGTTGACCGTAACATTATTCATAATAATCTAAAACTGAAACAAACACAAATAACCATCAATTAATGATTTTATAATTAAAATGTCATATATCCATACAACGCAATATTATTTACCATAAAAGGGATGAAATTCTGCCACATGCTACAACATGGATGAACCTTAAAAAATTATACGTCAAGTGAAAGAAGCCAGTCATAAAAAGCCACATATTGTATGATTCTATTTATGTGAAATGTTAACAATAGACTAAACCATAGAGACAGAAACTAGATTAGTGGTTGCCAAAAGCTGTGGGGAAAGGGCAATAGGGGGACTATTAACAAGTACGGGATTTCTTTTTGGGGTGATAAAAATATTCTGGGATTAAGTAGTGGTGATGGCTGCAAAATTGTGTGAACATACTAAAACCCACTGAATTGTACATTTTAAAATAACAAATTTAATGACATATGAATAATTTCTCAATTTAAAAAAGTTAATCCCAATCACCATCAATACACTATAAGGCTCAACTGGGCATCGGTGGCATAGCCACAATTCTTCTGTGTCTTTCACTGTTGATCTATCTGCATGTAATTATAGAAATGAAGGTTGGACAGACACTGGATCTTGATGTCGGATTCCATACTACGACTGTATATAGATACTTTCCAAATCCAAATTGAAGTTTCACAATAGGTTTTGTTGTAAATGTGTGGCTCTAATTTTATATCCTGTATTTACATGTATTCCATAAATAATGTTCCAAAATTGTATGAGACACACAGATTTCCAGAATACCGTCTTACTTTCCAAGCTTTACTCCAAAAAAATTGAGACTTTCTTCAATAGATTTAGTACAACAAACACAGTCTGTTGTCCTTATTAATATAGTGAAATTTATCCACGGTTCAAACTTTTGTCTGTTGAGTTTTCTGCAGCTATGTGTGCAGCTATGCCACATTGCAGAGACCTGACAAAATAATCCCACCACTTTTACAGCATTAGGTTTGCCTACGGCAGCAAATCAGAAAGACCACATCAAATTTATTTTGGATACACAGACAAAGCTGTGTTTTCCCAAGAAAGTTAGTAAAACAGGTATTGTTGAAATTGCAGTTTCAAAAAAACTCAGCAATGTATATTCTTCTTTCTCTGTCCTTTCTGGAGAGGCACAAGTGGAATATAAACATGGTAAAATAAAATTAATTCAGATTTCATTCCTTTATAACTTTGTAATTGTGATGTGAGCTAGGTATGATGTTTAAACTTTGCAATATTTCCCATTTTAATGTTAATTTTAGAAAAGAAATTTTAACTAACATCAAGCATTTTATACTCCCTTAATATACAAATATTTTATATATTAATGATAAAATTATATCCAGACATTAAAGTAAATCTCCTGAGATCTTTAATTAGATTCACCTTTGATTGGTCCTAATTCTTGACAGTAGTTGAAATTATTAAAACAGCATTTCAAAGAAATCTTTCATGACCTCAAATTTTCAGTGACTGGGACTGGCTTTCCGGTAAGTTTGAATTAGTAAGTCTGAATTAATATCAATTTACTTTTGAGTACCTCCTGAGTGATTAGGACACAGAATGTGGAGTGAGACTGACCAAAGACAAATCATCGTTTCACTATATACAAGCTCGGTGACCACTTAGCCAAGTGACCTCTGTGCTTCAACTGTCCTCATCTGTAAAATTGGAATAATAATAGCACAAATGTCATAAAGTTATGACAATTAAATGTGCTAACCTTTTAAAGTACCTGGAACATTTTAATCATTATACTTTTTATCAACATAATAATTAAAACAGACTTAATTGGTTTGCTTTAATTTCCTTTAAGCCTGCATTAAATCAACAGTACTTAATCTGTACCAAATACCATGCCTAGGTTCTTGCAGCACTCCCTATATTATGACTGTGGTTATAGTTTTATGAAGGACCTATTTTACTGTTATGTGTTAATTTGTTATGTATTAAATTTAATGTGTTAGTAGAAAACAGCATATTAAATGATCACAATAAAAAGGGATGGGGTAGCTAAAGGCGAAGTTCATGTGCTGTGAAGGCCACCTGGAGGCACCACCTTCACTGTGGAGCCCAGGAACATAGGCAATCCCGGATCTCCATGTGTCATGAATCAGATAGACCCCTGAAGCATGCAGAACACTAGGACACTACTGCCAATGAACTCTATTGTCATGAGGCAGAAATAGCCCTTCCAGGCAAGTGAACATTGCAGGCTTCTAATGCTATGGCTCATGTGAATACTACAATCATGTGGCCTCCTACTTTCATGTGGCAATGAGGCCCTCATAATTATGTGGGCACCACAGGTACTCTACTGCTGTTGGTCACATGGATACCATGTGGCTTAGTCTGTTTGGGCTACTATAACAAAATACCATGGACTGTGTAGTCTATAAACAACAGAAATTTATTTTTCACAGTTCTGGAGGCTGGAAAGTCCAAGGTCAAGGCACTGGCAGATTCAGTGTCTGATAAGGGCACTGGCCATATTTTCACTCTAACCTCACATGGAGGAAGGGGAAAGGGATCTTTCTTGGGCCTATTTTGAAAGGACACTAATCCCATTCATGAGGGCTCTACCCTCATGACTTAATCAACTCCCCAGAGTCCCAGCTCCTAATAACATCACCTTAGGGTTTAGGATTTCAGCATATGAATTTTGGGGGAACACAAATATTCAGACCTTAGCACTCTGATCATGTGCTCCCTTATAGTCATTAGGCAGGCTAAACTCTTTGTATTGTGTAAAAACTGTAGACTTTGGAACCCTATGAGTCATGTGAATATTGCCCCCCTTATGGCCCTCACTATTGTGTGGCAGGTTCAGCTCTCTCATCCAGGTGAAGTCACATGAATCCTGTGGGCATGGTCACAGTCCTATGGCCATGTACCATGCCTAGCCCATTAATAGAAACTTCTGAACTGGATCTAATCTTTTAGCCCTCTGTAAATTCAGACCTACAGATGCAGAAAATTGTCAGAACTGTAGTCCATGCTCAGGCAAAACTTTGATCGGACTGTGGCTCAGATCCCAACCTTTCTACCAAATTTTACATCCTGCCTCAGTGGACAGTACTTGGGTATCAGGAGTGATAGCAAATATTAGAAGTTTACTCAGCAAATTGGACACTGAGGGAGCCAAATGGGTCCAAGTGGCAGAGGGACACAGAGGGTTGGTGGAGGGAGGGAGACTTCCTCAGGGTTTGTGGACAAATTTGGCAGATTCAGTGTCTGATAAGGGCCCTGGCTGTTATTGGTAGAGAGGGATGTGGTGTTAGCGGGGGGAAACACTATGAGAGGTATAGGTCATGGACTTGTAGATCATCTGTCTGTGGCAGGGCTCTGGAAGGCTGGTAATTAGTTAAGTCTGAATTAATGTCAATTTACTTTTGGCTACCTCCTTAGTGATTAGGACACAGAATGTGGAGTGAGACTGACAGAGACAAATCATCATTTCACTATATACAAGCTCGGTGACCACTTAGCTAAGTGACCTAATACCTCTGTGCTTCAACTGTCCTCATCTGTAAAATTGGAATAATAATAGGGACACCATACCCTACCCCTCTCCCATCCCTGCAATAAAGCCCTGTACTTGCCTACCCCCCTGCCATATTAACTGTCTGTGGAGATTAATTATCATAATCACCTGTATGTGATGTATCAATTTCCTCCTCCCCTGTTTACACTCCCATAAATGTGTGATGACCTGCTCTGCTCCTCTTCTGCCTATGTTTTTGTTAAGGACATCAGAGATTTTCTAGATGTCAATATGTACAGCATATCCTAAATCAGCTTAATTTCTCTCTTAATTGATTTTGTAATGATTATCTTTATACCGTTACTAATTCTCCCAGTAAACATTCTAAACAAAGGAAAGAGGTTTAATTGACTCACAGTTCCACATGTCTGGGGGAGCTCAGAAAACTTACAATCATGGTGGAAGGTGAAGCAGGCACCTTCTTCACAAGGCAGCAGGCCAGATAAAGAGTGAAAGAGAGAGCAGGGAAAAACTGCCTTATAAAACCATCAGATCTCTAAGAACTCACTTACTATCACGAGAACAGCACAGGGGAAACCATCGCCATGATTCAGTCACCTCCATCCAGGTCTCTCCCTCCACATGTGGAGATTATAGGGATGACAATTCGAAATGAGATTTGAGTGGGGACATAGAGCCAAATCATACTATTCCACCCCTGGTTCCTCCCAAATGTCATGTCCTTTTTGCGTTTCAAAACCAATCATGCCTTCCCAACAGTCCCTGAAAGCCTTAACTCATTCCAGCATTAACCCAAAAGTTTAAGTCCAAAGTCTTGTATGAGACAAGGAAAGTCCCTTCCACTAAGGAGCCTGTCAAATTAAAAGCAAGTTAGTTACTTCCAAGATACAATGGGTATACAGGCATTGGATAAATGTGCCCATTCCAAATGGGAAAAACTGGCCAAAACAAAGGGGCTACAGGACCCATGCAAGTCCAAAACCCAGCAGAGCATCCATTAAATCTGAAATCTCCAAAATGATCTTCTTTGACCTCATGTCTCATATCCAAGGCACAATGATGCAAGGGCTGGGCTACCACAGCCTTGGGCAGCTCCTTCATGGGCTGGCATTGAGTGTCTGCAGCTTTTCCAGGCATACGGTGCAAGCTGTTGGTCGATCTACCATTCTGGGGTCTGAAGGATGGTGGGCCTCTTCTCACAGCTCCACTAGGCAGTGCCACAGTGAGGAGTCTTTGTAAGGGCTTTGACCCCATATTTCCCTTCCACATGGCACTAGTACAAGTTGTCCTTGAGGGCTCTGCCCCTGAAGCAGACTTCTGCCTGGATATCCATGTGTTTCTGTACATCCTCTGAAGCAGAGGTTCCCAAACCTCAATTCTTGACTTCTGTGCATCCGCAAGCCTAACACCATGTGTTGTGAAGAAAGAGTCCAAATTTGTTCTCTTGCATGTGGCTGTCTAGTTACACGGTTTACTGAAAGTCTATTGTTTCCATATGGAATGGTGTTGAAAACTGATTGACCATAACTATGTGGGTTTATTTCTGGACTCCAAATTTTATTCCATTGTTCTATATGCCTATGCTTAAGTCAGTAGCATGCTGTCTTAATTACTATAGCTTTGTAGTAAGTTTTGAAATTGGGAAGTAATTGGGAAGTGTGAATCTTCCAAATTTGTTCTCCTTTTTCAAGATTGTTTTGGCTATTGAAGGTACTTTGTAATTCCATGTGGATTTTAGGATGGTAATTTCATTTCTGGAAAAAAAGGCTTTTGGGACTCGGATAGGGATTGCATTGAATCTGTAGATCAATTGATGGAGTACTGCCATCTTAACAACACTGAGTCTTCCATTCCATGCATGTGGATGCCTTTCCATTTACTTAGTTATTCTATAATTTAACTCAATGATGTTTTATAGTTTTCAGTGCACTTTTTGTGTACCTCCTTAGTTAAATTCATCAGTAAATATTTTATTATTCTTGATGTTGTTATAAACAAAACTGTTTCTTAATTCATTTTCAGATTGTTCATTGCTAGTATATAGAGAGGGAACTTATATTTGTATGTTTCTCTTGTATTCTGGAACCTTGCTGAATTCATTTATGAGCTCAAATAGATGTTTCATGGATTTTTAAATATTTATAAATACAAGGTTGTGTCATCTGTGATTAGAGATAGTGTTGCTTTCCTTTGCAATTTGGATGTCTTTTATTCTTTTTCTTGCCTTGTTGTCCAGTACAATGTTGAATAGAAGTCATGATATTGGACATCCTTCTATTGTTCCTGACTTTATGGGGAAAGCTTTCAGTCTTTCACCTTTAAGTTTGATGCTACTTGTTGCTTTTTTTTTGTAGATGTCCTTCATCAGATTGAGAAATTCCCCTTCTATCCCTAACTGGGATTTCATCAAATGATTTTTCTTCATCAACTGAGATAACTGTGGGGAAATTTTTCCCTTCATTTCCTGTTAATATGTTGTATGGCATTGTTTGATTTTCATATGTTGAATCACTCTTTACTTTTGGAATAAATTCTACGTGGTCATGGTGTATAATCTTTTAAATATGCTGCTGGATTGTGTTTGTTAGTAATTTTTTAGTATTTTTCATCTCTATCTACCTATCTATCTATCTACTTATCTATAGTTTGCTTTGCTTTTGATATCTATGTTTGGCTTTAATATCAGGGTAATTCTGGCTTCATTGTATGAGTCAGGAAGTAGTCCCTACACTTTAATTTTTGAAAGTGAAAGTGTTTGAGAAGGATTGGTATTAATTCATTTTTAAATGTTTGACATAATTCACTGGTGAGGCCATCTGGTTCTAGGCTTTTCTTCATTGCAAGATTTTTGATTCCTGATTCACTCTATTTGTTTTAGACCTATCAGAATGTCTTATTTCTTCTTGAGTTAGTTTGAGTAATTTGTGTTTTCTAGGAATGTCTCCATTTCATCTAGGTTTTTTAGTTTCTTGGCACAAAATTGTTCATAGTATTCTCCTATAATTTTTAAAAAATCATGTAAGGTTGGTAGTAATACCCACACTTTCATTTCTGACTTTCATAAATTGAATATTCTGTCTATTTTTATTGATCAGTGTAACTGGTGGTGTCAATTTTATTGGTCTTTTCAAAGAACCAGTTTCTGGGTTTGTTAATTAACTGTATTGTTTTTCTATTCTCTAGTTTTCTTTTATCTCCTCCCTAATATGTAGTATGTCCTTCCTTTTGCTTCCATTGGGTTTAATGTGTTCATCTTTCCTAGTTTCTTAAGATGAAACCTTAGGTTATTGATTTGAGATCTTTCTTCTTTATTAATGTATACATACAACTGTAAGTTTTACTCTGAACACTGCTTTGGCTGTATCCCATCAGTTTTGGCATGTTGCATTTTCATTTTCAGTCATGTCCAAATATTTTCCAATATCTTTGTGATTTTCTTTGATCCATTGACTTTTTAGGAGTGTGTTGTTTCATTTCTATATATGTATAAAAATTCCCAGTTTTTTTCTGTTATTGATGTCTAGTTTCATTCTGTTGTGGTTGAAGAAAATATTTTGCATTATTTCAATCTTTTCTCTTGTATTTAGATTCGTTTTGTGGGCTAACATATTGTATATCCTGAAAAAAGTTTCATGTGCACTTGAGAAGAATGTATATTCTGACATTGTTAAGCAGAGTGTTCTGTATATGTGTTAGGTTTAGTTGGTTCATGGTTTTGTTCATGTCTTCTGTTTGATGAGTCCAGCACCTGGCTAAAAACCTACATATTATTTTTCATGCCCAACCATTGGCAATTGTAAAGTTTTTACCTGTCAGACCACATGGAAAAAAGCTGCCTTTCCCACACAAACCTTGGTACATAGCCAGTGAATTATAGCTTCTGAAGGGAGTTGCAGTCAAGGACTCAGGCTCACCTGGCTGGCCATGCTCTTATGCATATCTGCATCCCTAGGCCAAGCACCTCCTTTCAGAGGCTTCTTTATCTGGATCTCTGGCAAAAGCCTTCATCAGATACCTATGCCAAGGCCTCCTTATGGAGTGGGAAGGAGTAATCTTAAACAGCTTTTCTCTACTCTGATTCAGTACTCGGAATTTTCCCAATCCTATCCCTTCCCTCTAGCCTTCTGGTCCATAAAGTTGCAGGAGCCTTTTGCTCAAGACTTCCTTGGCTATGAGATGTCCCCTACATCTGTGCTGACCCACCTGATCCTAGACCAACAGTGTGCCACAGAGAAAAATGGGACGGGGGAGCTGGTGTTTTCTCCAGTTTAGCCTCTTGGTTATGTTATCATAGTAAGTGATTAAAAGCTTGATTGTTACTTTCATTTAGGCATTTTTTAATCGGCTACTCTGACACCTGGTAGCTCAGCTCTCTTCAACTCAGCTGAGCTCCTGACAAAGTGGTGCAGCAAGTAGTGTAGTGGATTAAGCACAACTGTAGAAAAACAAGAAGCCTGAAAATCCCATGGGCCACTTTGCCAATGGGGTGCTAGTGGAGTCCATGGGGCACTCTCAGAGGGTGTTAGTAGATGCTTTGCAAGAGTTTGAGGATCCCACAGAGAAGTTTGTCAATGGGTCTTGGGAAATGCTAGCACGTTCCACAGGACACTTTGCCAACTATATGAATGGGTCTTGGGAAATGCTAGCAGAAGCCATGGGGAATTCTTGGATGTTGCCAGTGAACTGTTGGATTTTTAATTTGAGGGGTCCCATTAATCCTTATACATTTCAAACTCTTTTGCTGGATTTATCTAGTGGGTCACATTTGAATTCCAACAGAGGGGCTCTAAGAAATCCAGGGAAGCAATTCCCTGGCTACTGTTTATTGTTCTCCCATGATGAGCCCAAAAGTCATCAGAGATTCTCTTAGGTGAGTTACACCCAATGACTATTGTTAGCTCTAAGCAGGTCCTTGGCAATGATGGAAAGCCTGCAAAGCAGTGAGTTATTGAGATTCAGGCTTTTAATGAAAAAGGATCACATCACCTAGTGTGGCCTGATGAGACCTTAGAGACTTGGTAAGTTTGCTTCCAGAATGAAGGAGATAATCTTGTTAAACTTAGTGAGGGAGATTGGCACCTTGTGGAGTGCACCACTTTGGATGTGTCCTCTAGGGTGCCTTAACATTGGACACTTTGCCTAAGTAGTAGGAAGAAGAGGAGGAAAATGAAAAGTATGAATACTCTTGAGAACTTTTCCTTCCTCAGCTGGTTCCTACTTCAGACCTGACAGGTTTCAAATGCCCATGACAAGTTCCTTAACATTGGATAACATATCTGAACCAGAATCACAAAAGCTATAGATATAGATGTGAGCCACTCTGGTCATCCCTTGGGTCCACAATGAGGAAGTGGGAAGAGTAGATAATAGGATTGTCAACCAAACTCAAATTTCCAGGCCCATTCATACCATTCTTACTGATTATCAAGCTCAATTAAACTTCCTAATGGAATCAGATCAATCAGTCCATGACACAACCTGAATTTTAATGGACAAATTCTCAGGTATGAAAAAAGGGGCTATGTCAAAATAGCAAATATAAACCAACAGAAAGACATAAAAATGGTAAACATGTGCCCTCTCCTGGACAGTCTAGGTAAGGACGCTTCGGAAAAGATCTGTGGGTCTTGCTATTCGATAAAGAGGTCTTAAAAGAGGATATCAAAGGGACACCGCACAAAGAACTCCTAGACAGATACTGGGCCACAGAGGGCTCAACAGGCAACCCTGTTAGGATTTGCACAGTGATTTTTTATAAGTAATACATATGCTATTTTCTGTGCCTCTCTCAGTGCCCCCAGAACCCATACCCTGGGATTTTAACCCAATGGGTAACTATGAGACCTTCAGCAAATCAGACTTGTCTCTATTTCTTTTCTTTTATTTTTATTTATTTATTTATTTATTTATTTATTTATTTATTTATTTATTTATTTATTTTGAAACAGAGTCTCACTATGTCACCCAGGCTGGAGTGGCGCGATCTCGGCTCATTGAAACCTCTGCCTCCGGGGTTCAAGCGATTCTCTTGCCTCCACCTCCTGAGTAGCCAGGACTACAGGCGCGTGCCACCATGCCTGGCTAATTTTTGTATTTTTAGTAGAGATGGGGTTTTGCCATGTTGGCCAGGCTGGCCTCGAACTCCTAACCTCAGGTGATCCATCTGCCTCGACCTCCCAAAGTACTGGGATTACAGGTGTGAGCCACCACACCCAGCCATCTATTTCTTT
The DNA here is from genome assembly GCF_000001405.40 of Homo sapiens. Taxonomy (NCBI): domain Eukaryota; kingdom Metazoa; phylum Chordata; class Mammalia; order Primates; family Hominidae; genus Homo; species Homo sapiens. The sequence continues at coordinate 102,495,420 of NC_000023.11, forward strand.
ATCTACACAATGAGGGTGGAGTTAGATGCTCTTTAAAGTCTCTGTTAATGTTTTCAGTGCTATCTCTTCTTTATGTACATGTATAATTATTTAAATTGAACTTACCTACAAGAAAAAATTCTAAGTACACGCATTCTCACGTGCACACACACACACACACACACACACACAGTCACACACATTTATTACAGAGGTTCCCTATATTTACATGAACTTAAGACAGGGACACTAGTCTCTAATCATGTTTTCTGGTCTTTGAAACAATTATACAGCTTCAGCTAATTTTATTTGGTTAGTCTTGAATCCTAACAGCTCATTTTAAGTAAAATGTTTTTCTCTAAAAATGAGTATTTGTATCTTGATCCATCTGCTCTAATCTTAGGAAGGATGCTAAGCTAAACAGCATCTCTCATTAGTTTTTTTCAAACTCTAACTTTGACATTGTACTGAAAAAAAGTTATTCACAAAGATGTAATTTCACCTTTCACTCCCTGAATTACCAATTCTTATTCTTTCATTCCTCAATCTTATGAAATATGTCTGTCTTGGCAGAACAATGACATTATCAAACTCAACACTTGCTGATAACTAGAAATTTAATCTCCTTCAATGATCGTATAGGAAGTTATAACATTAGTAACAGCTCATGGTCACTCTACCCTTTGTTAAGTCCAAGGATTTACTGTCCCATGAGTTTCAGGATCAAGAAACAAATAGTTAAATGGCATGTGAAGTTCTTGATTTGTGAGACTAGCAACTCCTAGGCTCTGAAAGGGGGAGCAGATGGATATTCCTAGGACATCTGCTTTGCTTGCACACAGCAGGTTAACAGTCCCAAGAGGTTGTGGAGTTTTGTAAAGCAAAGTGCTTTACATTCCTGCTGCCTTTGGTTCTTGGTGATTAAGCTTAATTTAATAGTAAGCCATTTCTATACACTATTTTACTAGCTAGTGTTACTGGAAAGAATATCATTAACCTAACATCAAGGTATAATCTCCCTTGGAATGCTATTAAACTGTGTATATTGCCTAATCTTTAAGGTTTTGATTTACTATTATTGCTACTTGAAAACATCTAATTTACATACATAAAACTTGTTTATGTTATATAACTTTGTGTTATTGCAGACTGAAACCACGTGCTTGAGATGCCAACACTTCCTTCCTCCTGAAGTGGCTTAAAACCTGGTGTTCTAAACTGTAGTGAGTGTAGGGTATGAGGTTTGGGATTTACAGTGTATGGGAATCAGGCTCTTTCTCCTCTTCATAGAGGCTGACCCACTCCTCCTCATTGCCAATGGCTCCAACCTGTGAAAAAGGAGATCCTAAGGTTGGCTGGATAAGCCATGGGGACTGGAGCTGCCATATACACTATGTTCACCTGCTTGGTATGTAGTAGGCTGGGCAGAGCCACACCACAACGCCGACACCTGGGGATAAGTTGAGTCCTGAAAAAACACACACATGTGTACACACACACACACCCTCTCATACCTTGGAAGTACAGGCTCTTGCTATTCCTACCATTGAGGCTGGGTGAGTTTTAGACAAAAGCTCATGGTCAAGAACTGGGCCCCAGAAGGGCTGGGTCTGAAAGGTAAATCCTTTGGGAACAAACCTCTGTGAAAGGAAAATATCCTGGGCCCCCAAAATCCCTAAGCTAAACGGAAAATTCATGCTGGGAACTGCTTAGGGCAAACCTGCCTCGCATTCTATTCAAAGTCATCCCTCTGCTCACTGAGATAAATGCATATCTGATTGCCTCCTTTGGAGAGGCTAATTAGAAACTCAGAAGAATCCAACCATTTGTCTCTCACCTACCTGTGACCTAGAAGCCCATTCCCCACTTTGAGTTGTCCCACTTTTGCTTCAAGTTGTCCCACCTTTCTGGACTGAACCAATGTTCATTTTACATATGTTGATTAATGTCTCATGTCTCCCTAAAATGTATAAAACCAAGCTGTGCTCTAACCACCTTGGGCACATGTCATCAGGACTTCCTGAGGCTGTGTCATAGGTGCACATCCTCAAGCTTGGCAAAATAAACTTTCTAAATTAACTGAGATCTGTCTCAAATTTTGGGGGTTCACACTTCTGAGGGCTCAGAGACCTTGGGTGATGGAAAGGACCTTCAACACCATCTTGTTCTTCCTCTTGTCTGACATGTGAGGACTCAAAGTGGGCCCAGAGAAAAGATTTGGCCAGGATCCCATGGTTAGCAATGATAGAGCTGTGGGCACAGCTGGGTGTCCTCACTTAGGGTCCACAGCCATTTCAACCACATGCTGACCAGGGACTCTCTGTCTTTCCCTGCTCCTACCCTGACCCTTCTGCTCAACACACACCAAAAAGATCACTGCTTAACCACAACATAAGGAAGGTCCTTTTACAGAAATAACTCAGCTTTTGTTCTGGGAGCCAGACCTAGAAGTCCCTTTAAGAACCACGTCAGGGCAGAAGTGACTAGAAAAGAACCAGTCTCTTCAATTAGAGAATTGCCTTTTCCAAATTTATCAACAAAGCCCCCATAGGGTACCCTCCTGATATTGTTTGGCTGTGTCCCCACCAAAATCTCATCTTGAATTGTAGTTCCCATAATCTCCACGTGTCATGGGAGGGACCCGGTGGGAAGTAATTGAATCATGGTGGTGGGTTTTTCCTATGTCATTCTCATGATAGTGAATAAGTCTCATGAGATCTGATGGTTTTATAAAGGGCAATTCCCCTACACAGGCTCCCTTGCCTGCTGCCATGTAAGACATGCCTTCACTCCTTCTTCACCTTCCATCATGATTGTGAGGCCTCCCCAGCCATGTGGAACCGTGAGTCCATTAAACCACTTTTTTAAAATAAATTACCCAATCTCAAGCATGTCTTTATTGGCACCATGGGAACAGACTAATACAGTAAATTGGTACCAGGTAGTGGGGCACTGCTGTAAAGATACCCAAAAATGTAGAAGCAACTTTGGAACTGGGTAACAGGCAGAGGTTGGAACAGTTTGGAGAGCTCAGAAGAAGACAGGAAAATGTGGGAAAGTTTGGAACTTCCTAGAGACTTGTTAAATGTCTTTGACCAAAATGCTGATAGTGACATGTACAATAAACTCCAGGCTGAGGTGGTCTCAGATGGAGATGAGGAACTTGTTGGGAACTGGAGCAAAGGTGACTATTGTTATGCTTTAGCAAAGAGACTGGTAGCATTTGCCCCTGCCCTAGAGATCTGTGGAACTTTGAACTTGAGAGCGATGATTTAGGGTATCTGGTGGAAGAAATTTCTAAGTGGTAAAGGGTTCAAGAGGAAGCAGAGCATAAAAGTTTGGAAAATTTGTAGGCTGATGTTGCAATAGAAAAGAAAAACCCATTTTCTGGGGAGAAATTCAAGCTTGCTGCAGAAATTTGCATCGGTAAAGAGGAGTTGAAGGTTAATCACTAAGACAATGGGGGAAAATGTCTCCAGGGCATGTCAGAGACCTTTGCAGCACCCCTCCTATCACAGGCCCAGAGGCCTAGGAGGAAAAAATGGTTTTGTGGGTTGGGCCCAGGGCCCCCTTGCTTTGTGCAGCCTAGGGACTTGGTGCCTTGAGTCCCAGCTGCTCCAGCCATGGCTAAAAGGGGTCAATGTACAGCTTGGGCCATGGCTTCGGAGGGTCCAAGCCCCAAGTCTTGGCAGCTTCCACATGGTGTTGAAAGCATACAGATGCACAGAAGTCAAGAACTGAGGTTTGGGAGCCTCTGCCTAGATTTCAGAGGATGTATGGAAATGTCTGTATGTCTAGGCAAAAGTTTGCTGCAGGGGTGACACCCTTATGGAGAACTTTTGCTAGAGCAGTACAGAAGGGAATTGTGGGTTTGAAGCACCCACACAGAATCCCCACTGGGGCACTGCTTAGTGGAGCTATGAGAAGAAGGCCACTGTCCTCTAGTCCCCAAAATGGTAGATCCACCGACAGCTTGCAATGTGTACCTAGAAATACCACAGACACTCAACGCCAGCCCATGCAAGCAGCCAGGAGGGGAACTGTACCGTGCAAAGCCACAGGGGGTGGAGCTGCCCAAAACTACGGAAACCCACCTCTTGCATCAGCATGACCTGGATGTGAAACATGAAGTCAAAGGAAACCATTTTGGAGATTTAAGATTTGACTGCCCCACTAGATTTTGCACTTTCATGGGGCCTGTAGCCCCTTCATTTTGCCAATTTCTCCCACTTGGAACAGGTGCATTTACCCAATTCCTGTACTCTCACTGTATCTAGGAAGTAACTAACTTGCTTTTGCTTTTATAAGCTCATAGGCGGAAGGGGCTTACCTTGTCTCAGATGAGACTTCGGACTGTGGACTTTTGAGTTAATGCAGAAAAGAGTTAAGACATTGGGGGACTGTTGGGAAGGCATGATTGGTTTTGAAATGTGAGAACATGAGATTTGGGAGGGGCCAGGGGCAGAATGATATGGTTTGGCTGTGTCCCCACCCAAATCTCATCTTGAATCATAGCTCCCATAATCTCCACATGTCATGGGAGGGACCCAGTGAGAGATAATTGAATCACAGGGGCAGGTTTTTCCCATGCCATTCTCGTGAAAGTGAATAAGTCTCAGATGATCTGATGGTTTTATAAAGGGCAGTTCCCCTACACAGGCTGTCTTGCCTGCTGCCATGTAAGACATGCCTTTGCTCCTTCTTCACCTTCCACCAGGAGGCTCCTGTGAAGCCTCCCCAGCCATGTGGAACTGTGAGTCCATTAAACCTCTTTTTCTTTATAAATCACCCAGTCTCAGGTATGTCTTTATTAGCAGCTTAAGAAAAGACTAATACACCTCCAAACTTCCCCATCTTGTGCCATTCCTGAGTCTTTCATCCTGCCCAATGATCTGTCATTGATGATTTTATTCCCAGCCTTGGACCAGCATATAAAACAAACCCCCCATGAGGAGGAGGCTTTTGGTTAAAAATTAGTCCTACTCCTAGTAAGCTGTTTGTTACCTATATGGATGTTCATCAGAAAGGCCCCTATGTTGACAAAGGGGACTATTACCAAGAAGCAGACAGTGTTTGTCAGCTAAACATGGAGACTGAAGTGTACCCCACAGCAAGCAGATGTGCAACCAATTACCTCCTGGATCCACAAGAAGAGAAGATGGCCCATGGGAATTCAGACACCATCCTAGACTGGGACTACATGCATGGACTGCCACTGCTGTGAGATGTCAAAAAAGCATGAAAAAGCTGTGCTTCCTACCAAACCCTGGCCAAAGCTAAAAATCAGTGCTCAGGGACAGAATTCCCTAAACCAGCAGGCCAGAATGTTTTTGACAGGTAGACCATTTTGGGTGTCTCATCCCATGCAGAAGATTTTACTGGATCCTGACTGCAGTTGGCACTTCTCCAGGTTTGGTCTAGCCCTCCCTGTGCATTCCACTGATTCAGGACACACTATCCAAGTCCTATAAGACCATATTTGTTCTCTGTTCAGTTTTCCTGAGCACACTGCATCTGATAACAGTGCCATATTTGTATCCCAGGCTACACATCAGTGGGCTCAATCATGAGGCGTACAATGGACTCTCCATGTTCTGTATTGCTCCCAAGTTACTGGGATTATTGAGCATTTCAGCGGACAGTTAAGGACGGGCTTACTTGGCTGATGAAGAGAAAAAGATACCCCCGACAGAACTACACATCTCAGGCAAGCATTCTCTCATCTCAGTGCAGCAATTTAATGAAATGGTATTTCTCATTTGCACCTTATATTTGATCAGTCTGTCCCTTTCCTTCAATTGTATAACCTTCTTTTATAGTTATTAAAACCTCAGTCTCTATGGGGAACCCTGCAAGGGCCTTCCATCTCCTTTGACCCCTTTCCTGAAGACTTATAAAGGTGAAAGTTTGAAAGTTTAAAGCAACTATTAAACAGCAATGAATGAAAAGTTATGTGAGCCCATTTAAAATTTTTCTTTCTTTCTTTTTTTTTTTTTTTTTGAGACAGAGGTTCACTCTGTCACCCAGGCTGGAGTGCAATGGCATCATCTCGGCTCACTGCAACCTCTGACTCCCAGGTCCAAGTGATTCTTATGCCTCAGCCTCCTGAGTAGCTGGAATTACAGGTGTGTGCCAACATACCCAGCTAATTTTTTGTGGAGACGGGGTTTCACCATGTTGGCCAGGCTGGTCTTGAACTCCTGGCCTCAAGTGATCCACCTGCCTTGGCTTCCCAAAGTGCTGGGGTTATAGGCATAAGCCACCATGGCTGGCCTATGCTAAAAATTATTAAACATTGTATGTTTTTCTGCTGAAGTTATAGAAAAAATATTTTTTTCTATAAAAAGCCTTTTGTCCCTCTTGCATGCAACCATTCCAGAGAAAAGGTCTGGATGAAAATCGGGGATAGAAAAACAATTTGAGGTTTTGATTACTAAATGGGAGTCAACCAACAACAGCAGAAAAAAAAGCAGCACCTGTGAGGGCACTGGGGAGGGAGAGCATATTAATGAGTTTTATTTTCTCAGAACTGATCTTGATTTTTCAGAACTGTGTTCCCCTCCTCCTGAAAAATAAAAATAAAATCTTCCTTTGCTGCCCTTTCAGGCTTCAGTGATTCACACTAATTGCTAAGCCTAAAACCGTATCTGACAATGCTGACTATGAGAGACGGCAGAAGCTGGTCACAGCTCCTGCAGTGTCCACACAGAACACCTACAGATACTCTACACACTCATAAGGATGATCAGCTGATGTCATGGACTACCTTAACTTTTTGAAACTAACAGCCTCAAGTAGTCCCTCTAAATCCAAGGACTAAACTGAACTATTTGGACTGGACTGGGAACCCTAGAGCAGGAGGCCCCACAATGGGAGATCAAAATGGGGGCCTTGTTAACCTAACCAACTGATTAATCTGTGTCCTTCTTAGGGTGCCCTAACTCTTTGTCTCCAGCAGGACCATGTATGCCCTCTAGGATTATACTCCTTGTGTGTATACCCCAACTATCATGAGAATGCCCTAGCTCTAGAAGATATTTAGGTCAGCTTTAACTTACTGGTCAGAGTTGTGCTGTGCCTGAATTGATATCTTGGGCCAGATAAAAATGATTCATATAAAAACTTTAAAAAGAAGCCTCCTGTATCCTTAAAGTACACCCTAATGTTCTGAGACAATTTTTCCTGGCTTGGTAACTGTTGGGATTCATGGTTATATCCAATCCTCTAGGCAGGTCTAAACGCATCATCCTGTTTAGAATAATTTTGATCATGATCATGGTTTACTGTGGCCTCAGACTAATTACCCAGGTCTTGACACAGCTCCTCAAGTCTGACCCATTCGAGTTCATGATAGGGTAGACTATGTTTCTTACTTGGGTCCTGAGAATTCAATGGGTATAATGGAGGACTCAAGCTCCTGGCTAAACATCTATGTGTAATATTTTAGCCCTGACCATAGGCAATGACAAAGGTATCTGACAGGCCTCACAGGGTAAATCTGCCCTCCCTACACCAGGCTTGATGCATAATCAATGCAATTCAGTCTTTGAAGGAATTTGCAGTCAATGACCCAGCTCCCTCTTGTAACCCATACTCTTATTTCACATCTGCATTCCTGGCCCAGGCACCTCCATTTGGAGGCCTAGTTATTGTGGGGCCTTTGGCAGAGGGCTTCTGTTATGAGTGAAATTGTATCCCATAAGTTAACATTAGTTAAGGTACTAACTCTAGTAACTGTGAATTTGACCTTTACCTGAAAAATGGGGTCTTTGCAGATGATCTAGTTAATATTAGGTTACTAAGGTGGGCCCTAATCCAATATGAGTGGTATCTTCATAAAAAGGGGAAATGTGGAACTGAGACAGACATGCAGAGTGAAGAAATGTGAAGACACAGGGAGAATACTATCTATAAGCCAAGGAATGCCCGAGGCTACCAGGAGCTAGGAGAGAGGGATAGGACAGATTCGTCTCACAGCCTTCAGAAGGAACCAACCCAGAAGACACCTTGATTTTACACTTCTAACCTTCAGAACTGCGAGACAACAAATTTCAACGAATTTCTGTTGCTTACGGCCTCCAGTTTGTGGCCTAAACAGTTTGTGGTACTTTGTATGGCAGCCACAAGAAACTAATATGCCTTCCTCAAGAACGCTGCCAAGGTTTCCTTTTTGGGGGAGATATTGAAAACACTTTTTTCCACTCTGGTTGACTATTCAGTACTTTTCCACTTCTAGCCATTCCCCCTTTCCCTCTCCCCAGGCTTTATAGGAAACTGCAGGAACCTTTTGTTCACTGCTCCCTTGGCAGTGAGAGGACCCCCATGTCTTCTCATGCCCCTGAGTCTATGACCCACCTGCCCCTGAGTCTATGGCTGTCATTCCATGGAGGAAAATAGAATGGGGAGAACTGACATTTTCTCCAGTTCAGACTCTTGTTTATATTATCACAGTGATTATTGGCTTAACTTTTATTTTCATTTTGACTTGACAGTTCTGGAGTCTAGGAAGCTCAAGATCAAGGCATCTGTTGTGGGCCTTCTTGCTACAAACTCACATGGCAGAAGGGCAAGAGACAGCAAACTCACTCCTCGAGGCCCTTTTTATAGTGGCATTAATCCATTCCTGAGGCTAGAGCTCTCATGACCTAAATACCTCCCATTTGGCCCCACCTGTCAACACTGTTTCACTGAGGATTAGGTTTCCAACACATGGATTTGGGGGACACATTCCGACCATAGAACATATCAATAATTATTTTAAATATAAATTGTCTAAATATACAAATTAAAAGATGGAGATTGGCATGATAGATTAAAAAACACTACTCACCTATATGCTATCTGTAAGACTCTTGCTTCATAAAAAGTATAGGAAAGTTAAAAGTAAAAGGATGAAAAGAGAGATATAATAAAAACATTAATCCAAGAATCAACAAGGGAATAAATTTCAGGAACTCAACTGAGCTCAATAGAGCTGAGTTGCCAGGTGTCAGAGTAACTGATAATTCCAACATCTAATTCATCTTGGTGTTGGCATCAATTAATTGTCTTCAATTCAAATTGTGACTTTCTTGGCTTTTGGTAAAATTAGTGATTTTCATTTCTATCCTGGAAATTTTGTTTATTGTGTTAGGAGACTCTTTATCCTATTTAAATATTCTATTTTAGCATGCAGTTTTCCTGGTTAGTTTTATTGTGTAAGTTCTGGCCTACTTCTGTGGGCTTTCATTCCAATAACAGTTTAGTTACCTGAGCCCTTGTAATTCTACTTTAGTCTGCTTTTTCTGGTGCTCCTACTTAATCTCTGATAGCGGTCTCCTCAGTCAGACTACTTACAGGGGCCCTGGTTGTGGGGCAGGAGTTGGAGCTTCTCCGTAGGTTTCTGTTGGACTTTTCCTTTCTTAGTCTTTTAGGGAGAAATTTGGCCATTATTTTCTTGGTCATTTTTGTCTATACTTATTGGTTCCTGAGTGCTAGACACTCCCAAACCCAATCTGGGATATATGGGAGATAAACACCAAACCCAGGAAACAGCATTTTGTCTTTTTTTTTTTTAAGTCAAGTATCCTAGCCATCCTGCCCTCTTCTTTCCAGCTCATAGAGTATTTTTTTGGTTTTGTTTTAGTCATTGTCTGTTAAATAACTGTGTGGTTATTTAATTGTATTTAGACAGTAGGGGCATAGATAAGTGAATCTATACCATCTTCTTTCAGAATTGGAAGTCTAGATTCTTTTTATTTTCTCTAATTCCATGTAAATGGAATCATACAATATGTACTCATTTTTGTCCAATATCTTTTACACAGCATAATTCTCTTGAGATCAACCATGTTGTTTCATGTATTACGTTAATTTCTTTCTATTGATGAGTATTATTCTAATATATGGATATAGCACATTTGTATATTCAGTTTTTGGTAGATGTTTAGTTTGTTTCAACTTCTGAGCGATTACAAATAAAGCTGCTATAAAAATTTGTGTACAAGTCTTTTATGGTCATAAATTTTCACTTCTTTGAATAAATACCTGGTTGGAATGGCTGGGTCATGTGGTAGGTGTATGTCTAACTTTTCAAGAAACTACCTGTTTATCAAAGTGACTGGGCAATTTTCCTTTTCCTCAGCAATGTATGAGCATTTCAATTACTCCACATCCTCAAGAAAATTTGGTATAATCAATCATTTGAGCTTTCTAATAGGTATCCAGTGGTATCACATTGTCATTTTTCCTTTTATTTAATTTGTTAATTGACAAAATAATTGCACATATTTATGCACATAGTGATATTTCGATACATATAGTGTTCAGATTACAATAATTTGCAAATCCACTATCCTAAACATTTGTCATTTCTTTGCATTGGGAACATTCAATATCCTCCTTCTAGCTATTTAAATCTATATATTATTGTTAACTATAGTCATCCTACAGTGGTATAGAATGCTAGAACTCATTACTCCTATCTAGCTGTAATTTTGTGTCCTCTAAAAAAATATCTCCCTACCTTTCCCAGTCTCTAGTATCCTCTGTTCTACATTTTACTTCTATGAGATCAACTTTGCTTAGCTTCCACATATAAGTGAGAACATGTAGTGTTTATCTTTCTGTTCCTAGCTTATTTCACTTAACACAATGTCCTCCAGTTCCGTCTCACATTGTCATTTTAATGTGTTTCTCAATGACTAATTATGTTGAGCATCTTTTGTTTCCCATGGTATATCTTCTTTGATTATGTGTCTATTCTAATATTTAGTCAATTTTTTAATTGCACAGTTGGTTTTCTTACTATTGAGTTTTGAGATAATTCTTTATATATTGTGGATACACATCCATTACGAGATAAATGATTTAATAGTATTTGACGCACTCTGTGACTTATCTTTTTATTATTGTAACAGGGTCTTCCAAAATTCAGAAGATTTATTTTGATAAAGTATGATTTTTTTTTAACAAAGCATGCTTTTGGTGCCATATCTAAGAAATATTTGCCAAATCCGGATCACTTTTGTTTTCCCCTAGTTTTTTCTAGACTTTTATAATTTTAGTTTTAACATTTAGGTCTATGATGAGTTTTAAGTTAATTTTTGTATATGATATGAAGTATGAATTGAATTTGTTTCTTCTTTCCTTCCTTCCTCCTTTTCTTCTTTCCTTTATTCCTTTCTTTCTTTCTTTCTTTCTTTTTGCATATGAAGATACACAAAGTTGCTATTTTCAGTGCTCTTCATTCCCTTGTGTATATTAATGTTTCCCTCTTGGGAAAAAAATCTGCAAGTAAGGAATTCTTTCCCCTTTTGGATATTTGAAATGTCTTTTTTCTGCATTCATTCAAAAAATATTTCCACTGGATATAGCATTCTAGGTTGACAAAAATATCCTTCCATTAATTCAAATACATTGCTCTACAAAATAAAGCCCATCAGTCTTTACCAAATTCTTCCTTAAAAAGAGAGAGAATAATTTCTGACTAATATCATAGTATTACTGTGATAACGAAACCAGAAAAAGACTGTGCAAAGAAAAACTATAGACCAATGTTACTTATTAAATCCATAATAAAATATTAGTAAACCAGCAATATATAAAAATTATTATACACCATGACCAAGTGGGATTTATTCTAGGAATGCAAGATTAGCTTGTTACAAGAAAAATCTAGGACTGTAACACTCCCTCCCACCCCCCAGACTGTGAAGAAGCCAAAGGACCACAAAACAACTGAGACAAGTCTAGCTCGGCAAGTAAATGAGTTTATTAAGACTTACATACAGGACATTCCTGGGCAGCAGCAGGACAACTACAGAGAACTGCCCACCACTCATCTCTAAGCTGCCTGCTTTTAAGCTAATTTTCTGGCTCATTGCCTACTCTGTGTGTGTGTGATGGGAATGTTTCTTTTGGTATGTTCCCAGCTATGCCCCAGGATGTTTGAATTCTTAGGGACACCCCCTCCTTTTCTGGGTGCCATAGCTCTGGCTTACTGCCCAGCCTTTAGTGTTCAAGCAGCAGACAAACACCCTTCAGTAACCTGGTAGAGAACCCATCACACTACATAGCTTAACATATGAGAATCAATTAATGAAATATGTCATATCAATAGAATAAAAATGGAAAAAGAAATGATCATTTCAGTAGACACAGAACAAAGTTGTATACAATCCAAAACCTGTTCATAATAAAAACATTAAACACACTAGGAACAGAATGGAACTTCCTCAACCTAATAAAGGTCATCTATTAAAAACCCACCGCTAGTATCATATTCAGTGGTGAAAGACTGGCAGCTTTCTCCCTCAGATCAGGATGTTTGTTCTTGCTATATCTAGTCAACATTGTATTGGAAGTTCCAGCCATTATAATTATATACAAAATAAACAAAAGGAATCCAGATTGTAAAAGAAGAAGTAAAACTACCTCTTTGTAATTAACATGATTTTGCACATAAAGAGTCCTTTAAAACCCCACTAAAAATTCTTAGAATTAATAAACCAGTTGAGCAAGTTTACAGGATACAAGATTTATATACAAAAATCATTTCTATTTCTATATACTAGCAATCAACAATTCTAAAATGAAATTCTGACAACAATTCAATTTATAATCACATAAAGGGAATAAAATACTCAGGAATGAGTCTACCAAATGAGGGGCAAAACTTGAACTCTGAAAACTATAAAACATAATTGAAGTAATTGTAGAAAATCAAAATAAGTGGAAAGACAACCCATATTCATAAATTGGAATAATTAACATTGTTAACAGGGAAATACTCCCCCAAATTAATCTACAACTCAACATAATTCCTAGCAAAATCCCAGCTGTCATTTTTGTAGAAATTAACAAGCTGATTGTAAGGTTCGTATGCAAATTTAAGTGACACAGAGTAGCAAAAGGAATCTTGAAAAAGAAGTACAAAATTGGAGAACTCACACTTACTGCAAACCTTCAGAAATCAAAACAATATGGTAGTGATATAAGGAAAAACATAGATCAATGGAAAAAATAAGTCTACAAAGCAGCCCATTTATTACAGTCAGTTGATTTTTTGACAACAGTGCCACACTACTCAATGAAGAAAAAAAATAACCTTTAAACAAATGGTGCTAGGACAACTGAATAACCATATACAAAAGAGGGAATTTGGATGTTTTCCTCACACTATATATAAAAATTAACACAAAATGGATCAAATACCTTAAATAAAATATAAAACTCTTAAAAGAAAATATAGAAGTAAATCTTTATGATCTTGGATTTGGCAAAGGATTCTTTGATATGACACTGAAAGTATAAAAAATGACAACAAAAAATATTCAGTACCAATCATCTTTGTATCCTTGAGTGAATCCTGATTTGTCCTTTTAGGTTCTTAATATAATGCCATATTAGATTGTTAATATTTCATGTAGAATTGTTGTATTCTCATTTGTAGGTATGGTTTCCCAGAACTCTTTCACCATGCTCTTGTCAATGGATTTTATCATCATATTTTCTGTAAACAAAAATAATTTTTTCATAGTATGCACACTTTTCATTGGCAGTAGAAATACCTGAGCTTCAATGGTCTGACAGGAAACATCTTTGGAAGACAGGGCATTTGAGATGGTAACTCATTGATAACTTGCTGCTTCCATTCTTCTTAGTCCTTAAGCTTTTTTTTTTTTTTTTTGTAGGAAAGGGGAAGAGTTTTAATTCTGTAATTTGTGTTTTGTTTTGTAACTATCACATTTCATCAATATTTTCTATTATAGATATTCAAAATAGTCATAGATATTTGAAAGAAATATTGTTTTGGTAAAAAAAATTTCCTGTTTTTTCTTCCTAAGGTGGTTACTTAGAGGCATATTAAACAATTTTTTTAAGCCAATGGCAATAACACATTCTCAGTTTGGGTATTTTTCTAGGAATAACTACTGCAAAGAAAATAATTTTAAATTTGATAAATATTTAAGGATGTTTTATACATTCATAACTATCCTTAATTTTGTTTCTGTTGTGTCTTTGGAGACTGCTCTTTTGCCATTTTTTCATCTCTCTGATTCACTGAGGGGGTTTTTTGTTTTCATTTCTGCTTTTGAGACAGGGTCTCACTCTGTTGCCCAGGCTGGAGTAGAGTGATACAAACACGGCTCACTGCAATCTACATCTGCCAGGCTCAAGTGATAATCCCACCTCAGACTCCCGAGTAACTGAGACTACAGGTGTGCACCACCATGCCCGGCTAGTTTTTTGTATTTTTTGGTAGAGATAGGGTTTCACCATGTTGCCCAGGATGGTCCTGAACTCCTGAGCTTGAGCAGTCTGCCTGCCTTCCCCTCCCAAAATGTTAGAATTATAGGCATGAGCCACCACACCCAGGCTGATTCACTGAGGTTTTGATCAGAACTGAAGGCAGTTACTTGTCAGCCAGGTCCCTTGTTTTCCAGAAGCACTCTCCTCCCCCAAGTCAGAGAATTTCTGCTCAAGTCAAGAAAAAGCTTTTATATCCATAGGCCAATCTCTTCTAACAAAATCTAATTCAGGGTGGGAAATGTAGTGCTCTGACGCAGCTGGAAAATCTCAGGGCTTGATTCAGAAGACAAAACTACATCATTTCTCCCAGCCCCCAGTGTAAAGCAAAGAGACTAAAGTAAAGAATGTTTGTATTCTCTTTGTCCACGTGGTAATAATAACAACAATAATCATAGTAATACAGCTCCTTTCTATTCTCCCCCACAGCTATCCCTGCCTCCACTAATTCTCTGCTTACCAGTTGTTTGTCCCCTTAAAATTCAGGTCCAGCCTTCATGAAAATAAATTTAGAGATCGAAAACCTAGCTGCATGGAAACCTGTGATGCTGAAGCATGTACAAGACACATTTTCCCTCATATGAATGTGTTTATTATATCTTACTTGGTTTCTTACCTCTAACAAGAGTACTCTGTCCATGGATCATTGTAGGTCAGTGCATCCTGAAGGCAAGAGAGTGTTACAGCACAAAGACCTGCAAAAGCTATATGCACCTCCCAAGATGTGGCTCTCCCACTTTTGAATCTACTTAAGACACTTCACACACTTTATTTGGCCATTGGCATTCTTACTTTATCCCTTCTATGAGATTGTAAGTCTCTGGAGGGCAAGGATTGTCTCTTATTCATCTCCTATATTCTCTGCACACATGCTTAGATGTAATAGGCTCTTGACAAATGCCTGCTGAATTTCAAAAAACAAAAACAAAAAACTTTATGTTTTCCTAAGTGTCTGTTCTAGCTAGCTACTACAGCCCAGTCCTGAAAGCATTTTCATTTTTACCTAAAGCAGTGGTTCTTAAGCTTAAATGTGCATCAGAATCACCTGGAAAGCATGTTGAAACAGTTTGCTGGGCCCCTCGGCCAGTTTCTGATTCATTAGTTCTAGGATAGAGCCTTAGAATTTGTACTGCTAACAAGCCCAGGTGATGCTAATGTTGCTGTTCCATGAACCAATACTTGGAGAACAAGTAAGCTAAAGTAAAAGTATTGCCAACTGATTACTCCATCTGTTCCTCTCAAGATATCAACAATACCAATTTTCAGGAAGGAAACATTCTGCGTGAAAGAGACACAGAAGACAGATGTTGTAAAAAAATATGAAGTCACAAATCATAAAAGGAAAGAAGTAATGATATATACACCATAATTTTGCAAAATTATGACAAGAGAACATCCCTTGCTCTCACTGAACCTGAATCTCTGGGTATGAGGCCCAGGAATACACACTAATTACCAAGGGTGATCCTAATGCTCATGGCTAAGGGACCACACTTTGAGAAGTTCTCCTGGATATATTCACAAGTAATCATCACGAATCTAAGCTACATCCTATACATTATTCTAAGTTTCCTTGTTTATGTATTGAGCAATAACTTCTCCTGTGTGACCTGAAAAATGTCTCCTTTCCTCTCTGAGCCCTGATTTCTTCACTTAGCAAATGCATTTCTATCACGCAGCACGCTCTAAATCTACTCCAGGCTCTGGCAATGTTACCTCTTTTTCCTTTCTCTATAAATGTAACTGCCCACAAAAATGTAAGGCTACAACAAAGGCTTAGTGCTGTCAGTTTTGCAATTAATAAATGAATTCAGGGTGATAAATCTCAATCTCTTTTTATAGTGGGCTTATGGGGAAAAAAAAATCCTCCCTTGTTTGGGAAAGGTAAGTGAAACTTGAGGCTAAAAGAGTAGCCTGACATTATTTTAAAAATACAGGGAAAAACTACAGTAGGTAAGCAAATGTTTTTCCCATCTCATTTGTGTGAATATTCACTTAGCAACCACAAGTATTTCACCTCTCATCGTATACCTTTCACCTACTCCCACTCAGTTTACCACTTATACTATCCAGGGTAGAATCAATGCCTTAATGAAAAGGATAGATACCAGATGTAATTGAACACTGGGAATTATCGTCCAATCCCAGCTTACCTGACAATATTCACGCTCTCCTTTAGACCCTTTGAAATGGGCCTAACTTTGAGTTGGATTAATATACAAATGCAGAGGCTGCTGGATCTATCATGGATATATAGCATTTTTATCAAATTTGCAAGTAGCAACACTGAAAGGAGAGCAAATGTGTTGGATGATAGAATCAGAATCCAAAGAAATCTGATAATGGCAAACTTGGGCACACCTAACATGCAACCAGCATGGTTCTCCATCCATGTAACTTGGGTCCAAAGGATCTGAGAAGTGTCTCCTGGAGAAGACTTTGAGGTATGAGGGCAGGCACACAAAAGCTGACTTCAAATACTGGAGGGTAGATTAACTACCTTGTGAAAGTATCCAAAAAACTGTCTCAGGACTGTTGGATAGGAGCTAAAGGGAGGCAATTTGGGACACAGTGTAAATAGCATGTCATTGCAAAGGGTTGAGTGACTGTTGGACAACTGTTTCAGATAGGAGGTAAGTTACTGGTGACCGACATGGTTACTTCCAAGGTTCAAATGCTCTGGCTACACTAAGCCCTGTGATTGTGTCACCTCATCGGCACTTGATCAAAGTTGACCCACCTACTGTTTTGCTTGTGGAACTTTCAGCTATAGCGAAAAAATGGCTGCCACTTCCTGTTTAAGAATATGAGCCCTTAGAAAAGGGAGGTAAGAATACTACTTGAGGTTGCAAATAGGTGCTAAAAGCATATTTTTTTTTTTGTAGAAAAAGCTCACAGTCTGGATTAATAGAGCCACAGTCTGGATGGTTATACGGTACACATAAATGCTAACACTTCTAATTAGTGGGATTATATGTAATTGGCTTGAATAAACTTAAAGTGATAAAAGTATTAAGGGCATGGATTGGGAAATGTGCATTTATATGTATTCCTTATTGTATTAGTCAGCTCAAGCTACCATAAGAAAAATATCATAGACTGTGTGGCTTAAACAGAAATTTACTTTCTCACAGTTCTGGATGCTAGAAGTCCCAGATCAAGGTCCTGCAGTGCTCTCTTCCCGGCTTGCAGACAGCCGCCTTCTCACTATGTTCTCACATGGCAGTGATCTCTCTCTCTCGATCGCTCTCTCTCTCTCTCCCTCTTCCTCTTCTTCTTAAGGCTACAGTCCTGTTGGATTAGAACCTGACCCTTATGACCTTATTTAATCTGAATTACTTCCTAGAGAACCTACCTCTAGATATAATCACACTGGAGGTTAGGGCTTCAATATACAAATTTGGGGGTACACAATTCAGTCCATAGCACTTATGTTCATCGTGAACACCAAAAATGCTTGGTTCATAAGACAGCAAATTCTGTTCTACACAAGAACCAAACCAGAAGCTCTCTACTACAGGTCATTAACAGGTATTAGATACGAGTTTATGCTCCACAGAAGGCATATTGTGTTTAGTACAGTGCATGTTAGCAAGTGCCTCTGGCCCCTTCCCCATCAAACCCCAGCCTTGGGTGTCCCCTTCCATTAAGTTGAAAAATACTTTCCAAAAGGCAAGAGCGCTCCGCTTTAATATTCATCTTGAGCAGATCACTTCAGACCTTGTATTTTCATTTCTTCATTCTGAGATAAGGGGTTAGTCCACATGACCTCCCTTCCCAAGGTTTTCTAACTCTGTGATTCCAACTCTAAAGAAATAGCACCTAGCATCCCCAAGTCAGGACTCACTAGACCTGGAGAGAAGTAAATATTTCCCACGTGAATAATCTGCTAAAACAGTTTTCCTTCAACCATTCTGTTTGGCTGAAAAGTATATCCTTGTGTACTTTTCGTTCCATAGAAGACCACCAAGAGTCAACCACAGGAGTCTCAAGATAATGATTATATTGGTTACTTTATTACTACATTAGAAATGCAAATAAACTGTGAAAAGCTGCAAAAGCATGCAACTTCATGAAGATTATGAAGCAATGGAAGCACCCATCATAGCAGGTTAAAACAGGCTTATCCAGTATAGGATGCAAGAACTACATACACAAAGGTCATCAATGGTGAGATTATTGACAGCATCTGCCATCTGGAACATATGCACCAATGGTAAGTTTAAAAATGAATTTAAGGAAACATTGGCTACCTCTGACTTCTTAGCCAGGGAACATAGGTGAGAAGATATCCGAAGACGCCTAAAATCTCTACAAACACATGGGTTTACAAAAAACAAGCCTAAAATCAAGACTCTCAGGTAATGTCGAAATCTGCTGTTGGGAGGCGATCCCCATTTTATGATGTTTGAACACACTCTTTCTCTTGCTGGATAGCTGGGAAGACAAACACAAAAATCATTAACCGTATGTACCTAAGATTAAGTTCAGTTTCTTTCAAAAGAGCTCCTTGCTAAGTCATCGAAGTCTGCATACATGCCTTAAATTTAGAATGCCAAGGCATTAACCACAAATCCTCACATTAGGGTGTGTGCATGTATGTGTGTGTGTTAACTACCTGAATATTCACTACAATCTATAACTGTGGAGGATTTTCTCCCATTTAAGAGATAGAGACATGCTGTTGCCATTTTTTCTTAGATGATTCAAGACTGAGATACGAAGCAATTTCTTCGGATTTATCTATCCATATACAACTAGGAAGTTATACCTTTTCAGACAATTTTGACTAACTTTGGAACTCTCAAAGCTAACAAGACAAAAAGTTCCCCTCAACTTTTGCAAAAACACTTGGAGTTTCTCCAGAAGGCTGTATTTCTGGAGGGCAAAACTGATCACTTATCCCTTGAGTCTGTGAGCCCTACGTGCACCCAAGATCTAAACTTGTTCATTGTCTTTATCTCATCATCAGGTAGAGAAGGCCAAAACTGCAAAGTTTGCATGGATCTTTAGGTATAAGACCACTGACCCAAACTGATGGATGCAGAAAAATGTCTAATAAGCATAAAGTGAACAAAACTAAGATTTTTCTAGTGCTAAATCCAATATTCCAAGATTGATTTTTAAGGTGGTTTTTAGTAATTTTCCAACAAGAAACTAGTTTTCCCCCCCATTCCTATTAAGACTTATGTGAGAACTACTTATATAACCCAAGTAGGAAGATGACTATTTGATGTTTTTAACTGTTACATTAAACACCATGGTACTCTAATTATTGCTTACTTTGTGGCAAAAATTTACTAGAAGATAGGTTTATTTACTGAACCTATTAACTTTCTCTACTGTGTGTTTCCACTAGAACCCCCCATGACTTACTTTCCTTTGAGGGAAGAGTATTTTTTTCTTCAGTATTAGTTTTCTTCAGTTTTGACCTGTCAAACTTCTCCACTTCCGACAAGTCTGGCTTATCACTCATCTTGACTAGAAGATAGCCTGAAAAGAATAAACATTTTTAAGAAAACTTACCTGGCAGAACTGTCTTCGGACTAAGGGGTCACAAGCAAAAATTTTCATATTTCATATCAATGTATATTCTACCCGCTCATTTTCAACAGAAAAACAGCAACAGATCTTAGAAAAGTTATATTTTTGTTAGAATAATTTTAACTCCACATCATTAGCCCATTTTGATATGCAGTAAATGCCGTTGGATCAGAACGCACCAGAAACCAAGATTCTCCAGAAACCCAGAGCCAATATGTCTGACTCTTAAAATCACAGCAAGGGTAAAATGGAGGTGATAGAAGCACAAGAGCAGACAGGGACAGAATAAAAAATAAAGACTGGCTTTAACCAGTTAATGATTTTGTAACAGGAGATAGCACTATTCGAGCATCTTCACTTTCTATTAAATTACTTTTGTTTTTTGGCATTTTTTTTTAGGAGACGGGGAGCAGCACAAAAAAAAAAAGAGTGGCATAAGTTGTACTAATTTCTTTCTATTTTAAATGCCCAAAGATGACAGTACATTAAGGCATTACAATACACGTCTCATAATAGCTCCTTGTGGCATTGGTGTATAAACGTTGTAAGAAGGGACAGCTAACTAGGATCAAACCCAGGACTTCAGCAGAATGGGATAAACCAAATAAAAGCGAGTCTTGTTTCACCATGTTTTCTCTGCAAAGAGAGAGGTAAAGAGATGAGGCTTAGAGGTGCATGGCTGTGGACCTGACGAAATGCCTGGTGCCCTGTAAGCGTCCCGAGTTTGTCCAGAAGAGACAATAGGATATCCCAGAAATCGGAGGGCAGAGTTCTCATTCGCAAGCCCAGCCCCACCCTCGTGCAGTAAGATACTATGTCTAGTGCTTGGGGTAGAATGGAGAGGCCCCCAAGCAGCCAGAAGTGCCGAACATGCCTCCATTCCGTCGAGTTTACCCTAAGACCCTCCTCTGCCAAGCCATTAGACGCCAAGCTCAGAGCTGGAAAACTGGAACTAACAAATAAATAATAGCAGGGCCGGGTGCGTAGGCCAGTCTGTCAAGAGCAGTTTGCATACTTTTAAAAATAACTATTAGCTTTTTCTGGCGCCCAGCCTAACGGCCACGGGAGGAGAAGGAATGAGGACCAAGCCCCAGGGGGCCCATTCCGGGCGGCCTCCAAACTCCTCATCCTCTAAGCCTCCGACCTGCAGCTACTGCGGACAGGTCCCTTTAAGGGTCCGCGCTCCCCGCCTCCCAACCCCGGGGCCTTGTTTCCAGGGACCGGCCCCCAGGAGGGCTCGGCATCGAGCGCAGAAGGCGGCCCCCTGGAAGACAAAGGCGCGGACTCGCTCGCCCGGGCGGCGGTGCAGACGCGAAGCGCCAGCCCCAACCTCGGCTCCTCTGGCTCCCGAAGGCGCGGCATCCCCCGCCTCGCAACCCTGACGCCTTCCCATCCCCATGGTCCTCTGGCTCCTGCGAGGCCGCAGGTCCTCACCTGAAAGCTTGAAGACTCGTGAAAGGCTGTTCGCGGGGCTGAGACCCAGACTCGCTCCGGACCAGGTTAGCGTTCCCGCGCAGAGCCCTGCAGTGCTAAGCCACCCAGCAGGCCCCGCCCCAGCCCTCTCTGATTGGCCAAAGGTTTCCGGGCTCGCCACCCCCCCCCCCCCACCCCGCCCTTCCCCTCCTCCGCTTGAGTGTACAGAGCCCGCGTCCACCCTCTCCTCTAGGATCGGGGCTTGGTGAAGTCAGAGCCGACCCCGCCTCCCCAGGCCCCACCTCCCAGGCCTCTTCCACTGCTTTAGTCCTGAGGGTCCACATACCCTTCATCCTGACTACACTCACTCTTTCACAATAACAGAGGCCTCTGCAATAAGCAGACACATCTCGCCCAGTGAGCTTAGAACATCTGGAACTCCGAGGTCCAAGCTGAATGACCGGTATTTAGGCTCTTTCGGCTTTTTATAGCCATTGGGGCCCAAGGATGCTGTGATAACCTAACAGTAGGTTGGAAGTGGGGCTCGGTGTTGTCTGCTCTAATCCTTGGCCAGGTCGTGGAGTAGGGGTGCTCATAGTGAGGGTGGGTGGTTCAGGGCCATTCACCCCTACAACTGGACATTTCTGTGACAGTAGTGCTCTCCTATGAAATGTAAAAGTCACATTCGCAGCTTTCTCGGCCACTGAACACGATAGCAGTTTATAATAATCACAGAACAACTGAGGCTATTCACCTTTATATCCCTAATCCCTAGCACTTTGGCCCACAAGACACATTGGTTGTGGAGATGTCTATAGATTGAAGTAATAAATACGTGATGGGTGGAAGTTTTGGACAATAGCACCACCCAGTGTCTGTTGGAAGAGAAAATTGAGGATTCGGTATTTACTTGAAAGGACTAAACGTTCAAGATCATTTTCTGGATACTCACCCAGAACCTTAGAGCATTAAGGTAAGATGGAGGTAGAACTATGTCTTTAGCTTGCACCCCATGTGTGGTGGTATAGATCTATATAGATCGAAAGTCACTCTTTCCACAAGGATTTCTCAAGGCTTCCCCAGCTTACTTCATTCCCTTTTCTTTGCTTTTGTAGCACGTTGTGTTAATTTGAGAATTGTGTATGTTTGTTGGAGAAACTTTTAAAACAGAAAGATATGCTCATTCAACAAGTAATATTCATTGAGTACCTACAGTGTTCCTGGCATTAAATATAATAAACACCAGTGTTTTCACTACACAGATTTCAATGTTGTTAACATTTAGGTATACTTACTTTGTCTTTCTTTTAAGGACTAAAAGCGTTACAGAAAAAATTGAGGTTTCCTTGACCTTCACTTCATTTCCATTCCCCCTCCCACTTGCCCAGGGGTAGTCCTATCCTGAATGTGATGTGTAGCTTTCAGCGTATTTTTCTGTCATTACAGATTAATGTGATTTCTGTTTCCAGGAGCAAAATGAAGCATTGTTTGAACAAGTGATCCAAGGCTAAGACCACACCCCTTACTTCACTTGGGGTTGACAGGAAGCTCCAGACAACCACCCCTCCATAGCCCAAACCTCAAAATCCTGCCACCCTGGTCTGCCTTGAATCATTAGAACTTATCTAATGATGACATTTATCTCCATTTGTGCGAGTCACCCCAAGACACCCTTCAACTCCTATATTCTAACTGCCATAAGGTTGTGTCCACATCCGCTCTTTAGTTCACTTTTCTCACCGCTCCTCTACTAATAAAACACAATACACCCTCGGTAATTCCTCCATATTTTAAGCCTCTTCTCTGAATTTCCCCTTCCATGAGGATTCCAGATCCCCTGAAGCCCACTCATGAGGAGCAGATGATTTTTCACTCCTACCACCACTGTACCACAGATCCTAAAGCTTATGTAAGGGACTTTGCTGCTTCTCATTGCTGTCTTTAGATAGCAATTCCCCTCCTACCCCCCTAAAAACTTCCAGCTTTTGACAACTTATGTCATTGACTAGCCTTTGTTGTTGACATATAACAAATTTCAACTATTCCCGGCCGGGCGCGGTGGCTCACGCCTGTAATCCCAGCACTGTGGGAGGCCGAGGGGGGCGGATCACAAGGTCAGGAGATCGAGACCATCCTGGCTAACACGGTGAAACCCCGTCTGTACTAAAAATACAAAAAAAATTAGCTGGGCGTGGTGGTGGGAGCCTGTAGTCCCAGCTACTCGGGAGGCTAAGGCAGGAGAATGGCGTGAACCCGGGAGGCGGAGCTTGCAGTGAGCGGAGATAGCACCACTGCACTCCAGCCTGGGTGACAGAGTGAGACTCTGTCTCAAAAAATAAAAAATAAAAAATAAAAATTCAACTATTCCCCACTCATTTTTCAAAAATTTTAGCTCCTACAACACAGTCATTCTCAAAGGTAGTTGTCCTGCTTTAATTCTTGGTAAATTCAAGAATGATAATTCTGACAAACTGGCGTTTTCAGTTCCTTGAACATTTCTCCCCCATAACATCGTCCTCAACTCCACCTCAGTTACTCACACAGCCATAGTCTAGCCCTTGTCACTATAATTATGGGAAACCCTCCATAATCTCAATTTTAAACATCCCTCTTTCTGACCATAACCTCCTCTCTTTTCAGCTAACTCATTTTGCACCTTTCTTTTGGTCTCCCCAGAATCTCCAATGCATTGATCTTATCAGATTTTCACTATCTCTTCTTCCCTTTATTGTATTCTCTCCCCTCCTTCCCTAGCTCAAATGTCATGTTCAGTCTTTACAATCACTTATCTACATATACCCTCCACTGTCCTGCCTTTTCAGTTTGTATTGCTTCATAGGAAAAATAACAACCCTGGCTAAATTCAACTACACTTCAACAAGCCTGAGCCTACAAAGAGAAATCTGGCCAAAGGAAAATACATAACTACATGACTCATTTCAATTTAAATTCATGACTATTAACTTAAATCAGACTCTTAATATTAATAGGCACTCATTCTTTAGACCTTCTGGTCCTTAACTTTCTGACTATTTTAACTTACTACTTCATAGCTTCTCTCCCATCAAACTCTCTATACCACCTCTCCATCCCAACTCTTCTCTTGCTTTCTATTTATACTAGAAAAGTGTAGCCCTCAGAAGAACACTTCCACAGACCCTATATTAGTCAGGGTTCTCTAGAGGGACAGAACTAATAGGATATATGTATATGAAAGGGAGTTTATTAAAGAGAATTGACCCACATGATCACAAAGTGAAGTCCCACAATAGGCCATCTGCAAGCTGAGGAGCAAGGAAACCAGTAGTGACCCAGTCTGAGTCCCAAAACCTCAAAAGTAGGGAAGCCAACAGTTCAGCCTTCAGTCTGTGGCCAAAGGCCCGAGAGTCCCTGGCAAACCGCTAGTATAAGTCCAAGAGTCCAAAAGCCGAAGAACTTGGAGTCTGATGTTAGAGGGCAGGAAGCATCTAGCAAGGGAGAAAGATGAAGGCCGGAAGACTCAGCAGGTCTGCTCATTCCACTTTCTGCCTGCTTTTTCTAGCCACGCTGGCAGCCAGTTGGATGGTGCCCACCCAGATTGAGAGTGGGTCTGCCTCTCCGAGTCCACTGACTCAAATGTTAATCGCCTCTGGCAACACCCTCACAGACACACCCAGAAACAATATTTTGCATCCTTCAATCCAATCAAGTTGACACTTAATATTAACCATCACGGAACCCTACCACCACATCACTTCACCTACCTGCACCTGCCTACATATATATGACTTTCCTGTTGATATCATACATGAAATTTCCAGACTCCTGTCTAAAAGTTCCCCTCCTTTCCCACTAGATCTCTTTCTCTCAAACCAATTCAGTGACGTTGCTACCATCTTTCTCTCCATTATGTCTAGCATCATCAATATTGTACTCTCTACTGTATCGTTTCTCTCAGGATACAATTGTACTCTTATTTCCTATCTATCTACCTATCTGTCTATACACACATTATTATATATGTGTATATGTTTATATATATACACACATTCTTTTTATGTGTACATATTCTTGACTTCAATCCTTCTACCTACCATTACCCCATTTCTTTGTTCCCCTTTGATGGAAATCTTTTACAGTTACATATGATATATGTTTTCATGTTCAGTGTAAGGCATTATTTGAACCAGGACTCCTGACCTAAGACCACAATCCCCTAGGCTTTCTATCTACATCAATCTAGCATCAAGAAGGATCCCCAAAAATCATCCTTCCTTATCCTCCATTTTCTCTGTCTATTCTATTTCTCATTCCCTCTGTTCCAGATGTGGCCTCCCTCTTATTCCTCAGACAAGCCATGCTCACTATTGTGTTAGGGCCCTTACAATATCTATTCTGTATGTCAAGAAAGTTATTTCCTCAGATATCCAGTGTGACTACTCTGTCATCCTCTTTTAACAGTTGCCTATTTCCAATTTTTCTTCTCCTGGTCTCTCTTGAACATATTCCAATCAGGTATTCACCTCTTCCACTCAACTGAAATTACTTTTGTCAAGGTCATGAATGGCTTTCACATGGCTCAATACAATGGTCAATTCTTAATCCCTCATTTTGAACTATCAGCAGCATTTGGCATAGTTGATGAGTGAGTTCTTCTCACTTCACTTACATTGCATGGCTTCCAGGACACTGCACTCTCCTATTTTATCCATCCTCACTAGCTCTTCCTCTTCTCCCAGACCTGTTTAAATGGGAGTGACCCAGGACTCAGTCCCTGTTCTTCTACTCATTTCTATCTACACTTCCCTGGTGATATCTCCCAGTCCAGTAGCTATAGAAAACATTTTTATGTTAACAATTTCTATATTCATGTCGGCAGGCCAGATCTGCATCCTAAACTCCAGTCTGATATATACAACTGCCTACTCAGCACCTCCACTCAGATGTCTTATAGACATCTCAAATGCAAAATGTCACACACTAAACTACTAATCTTTTCTCCAAAACCCACTCCTCCTACAGCCTTCCCCATCTCAATTGATGGCAACTCCATCATCCATATGGTCATGTCAAAAATCTTGATATCATCCTCAATTCCTCCCTTTCTTTTACACTACACATCCGATCCATCAGGAAATTATTGTGGCTGCACTCAAAATGCATCCAAAATCTAACCATTTATCATCTCCATTTGTATGCATAAAGTCTAATCCACCATCATATCTCATCTGGATAACTGGAGTAGTTTTTGGCAGATCTCTCTACTTCAGCTCTTGCTCCCTAGTTTTTGTATTCTCAACATAGAACCTAAAGTGATTATGTTAAAAATATAAATCAAATCATGGTGCTCCTCTACTCAAAGTCCTGCAAAGGCACCTTATTCTCCTCAGAGTTAGAGTCAACGTTCCTTAAAAAAAAAAAAAAAACACATTTTCTGGCTCACCATCATTTCTCTGACCCATCTATCTACTCTCTTCCTCACTCACTTTGCCCCATCCATGACCTCCTTACTATTCCTAAAGACCAATGACACTATGAAGAAACTGCATCAACTAGTGTGCAAAATAACCAGATAGCATCATGATGACAGGATCAAATTCACAAATAACAATATTAACTTTAAATGTAAATGGGCTAAATGCCCCAATTAAAAGACACAGACTGGCAAATTGGTAAAAGGTCAAGAAGCATTGGTGTGTTGTATTCAGGAAACACATCTCACGTGCAAAGACACACATAGGTTCAAAATAAATGGATGGAGGAAAATTTACCAAGCAAATGGAAAGCAAAAAAAGCAGGGGTTACAATCCTAGATTCATAAAACAAGTTCTTAGAGACCTACAAAGAGACTTATACTCCCACACAATAATAGTGGGAGACATTAACACTCCACTGTCAATATTAGACATATCAACGAGACAGAAAATTAACAAGGATATTCAGGACTTGAACTCAGCTCTGGATCAAGTGGACCTAATAGACATCTACAGAACTCTCCATCTCAGATCAACAGAATATACATTCTTCTCAGTGCTGCATGGCACTTATTCAAAAATCGACCAGATAATCGGAAGTAAAACACTCCTCAGCAAATGCAAAAGAACTGAAATCATAAAAAACAGTCTCTCAGACCAGAGTGAAATCAAATTGGAACTCAGGATTAAGAAACTCACTCAAAACCACACAACTATGTGGAAGTTGAACAACCTGCTCCTGAATGACTCCGGGTAAATAATGAAATTAAGGCAGAAATCAAGAAGCTCTTTGAAACCAACTTGAACAAAGAGACAATGTACGAGAATCTCTGGGACACAGCTGTTAAGAGGGAAATTTATAGCACTAACTGTCCATGTCGGAAAGCTAGAAAGATCTCAAATTGATATCCTAACATCACAACTCAAAGAGCTGGAGAAGCAAGAGCAAACAAATCCCAGAGCTAGCAGAAGACAAGAAATATCTAAGATCAGAGCAGAACTGAAGGAGATAGAGATACAAAAAACCCTTCAAAAAATCAATGATTCCAGGAGCTGGTTTTTTGGAAAAAAAAAACAACAACACAGACCACTAGCTAGAAAAATAAAGAAGAAAAGAGAGAAGAATCAAATAGACACAATAAAAGAATGATAAAGGGGATATCACTACTATGATAAGAGAAGTACGAACTACCATCAGAGAATACTATAAACACCTCTATGCAAATAAACTAGAAAATCTAGAAGAAATGGATAAATTCCTGGAGACATACACTCTCCCAAGACTAAACCAGGAAGAATTTGAATCTCTGAATAGTTCAATAAAAAGTTCTGTAGTTGAGGCAGTAATTAGTAACCTACCAACCAAAAAAAAACCCCAGGACCAGACGGATTCACAGCAGAATTCTACAAGAGGTACAAAGAGGAGCTGGTACCATTCCTTCTGAAACTATTCCCAACAATTGAAAAGGAGGGCCTCCTCCCTGACTCATTTTATGAAGCCAGCATCATCGTGATACCAAAACCTGGCAGAGACACAACAAAGAAAGAAAACTTCAGGCCAATATCCCTGATGAACATCGATGCAAAAATCCTCAATAAAATACTG
Source organism: Homo sapiens (assembly GCF_000001405.40). Taxonomy (NCBI): domain Eukaryota; kingdom Metazoa; phylum Chordata; class Mammalia; order Primates; family Hominidae; genus Homo; species Homo sapiens. Next base: position 102,523,704 of record NC_000023.11, read on the forward strand.
GCAAACCGAATCCAGCAGCACATCAAAAGCTTATCCACCACAATCAAGTCAGCTTCATCCCTGAAATGCAAGGCTGGTTCAATATATGCAAATCAATAAATGTAATCCATCACATAAACAGAACCAATGAAAAAAACTACAGGATTATCTCAATAGATGCAGAAAAGGCCTTTGATAAAATTAAACATCCCTTCATGTTGAAAACTCTGAATAAACTAGGTATCGATAAAACATATCTCAAAATAATAAGAGCTATTTATGACAAACCCACAGCCAATATCATACTGAATGGTCAAAAGCTAAAGCATTCCCTTTGAAAAGTGGCAGAAGACAAGGATGTCCTCTCTCACCATTCCTATTTAACATAGTATTGGAAGTTCTGGCCAGGGCAACCAGGCAAGATAAAGAAATAAGCGTATTCAAATAGGAAGAGAGGAAGTCAAATTGTCTCTCTTTGCAGATGACATGATTCTATATTTAGAAAACCCATTGTCTCAGCCCCAAAACTCCTTAGGTTGATAAGCAATTTCAGCAAAGTCAAAATCAATGTGCAAAAATCACAATAAATCAATGTGCAAAAATCACAAGCCTTCCTATACGCCAACAATGGACAAACAGAGAGCCAAATCATGAATGAACTCCCATTCACAATTGCTGCAAAGAGAATAAAATACCTAGGAATAAAGCTAACAAGGAAAGTGAAGGACCTCTTCAAGGAGAACTACAAACCACTGCTCAAGGGAATAAGAGAGGACACAAACAAATGGAAAAACAGTCCATCCTCGGGGATAGGAAGAATCAATATCATGAAAATGGCCACACTACCCAAAGTAATTTATAAATTCAGTGCTATTCCCATCAAACTACCATTGACATTCTTCACAGAATTAGAAAAAAACTAGTTTTAATTTCATATGGAACAAAAAAAGAGCCCTATAGCGAAGACAATCCTAAGCAAAAAGAACAAAGCTGGAGGCATCACGCTACCTGACTTCAAACTATACTACAAGGCTACAGTAACCAAAATAGCATGGTCCTGGTACCAAAACAGACATATAGACCAATGGAACAGAGTAGAAAACTCAGAAATAACACCACACATCTACAACCATCTGATCTTCAACAAACCTGACAAAAACAAGCAATGGGGAAAGGATTCTGGGAAAACTGGCTAGCCTTATTCAGAAAACTGAAACTGGCCCCCTTCCTTACACCTTATACAAAAATTAACTCAAGATGGATTAAAGACTTAAATGTAAAACCCAAAACCATAAAAGCCCTAGAAGAAAACCTAGGTAATACCATTCAGGACATAAGCATGGGCAAAGATTTCATGACAAAAATGTCAAAAGCAATTGCAACAAAAGCAAAAGTTGACAAATGGGATCTAATTAAACTAAAGAGCTTCTGCACAGCAAAAGAATCTATCAGCAGAGTGAACAGGCACAGGCAACCTACACAATGGGAGAAAAATTTTGCAATCTACCCTTCTGACAAAGGTCTAATACCCAGAATCTTCAAGGAACTTAAACAAACTTACAAGAAAAAAACAGTCCCATCTAAAAGTGGGCAAAGAACAGGAACAGACACTTCTCAAAAGAAAATATGCGGCCAACAAACATATGAAAAAAAAAGCTCAACATCACTGATCATTTGAGAAATGCAAATCAAAACCACAATGAGATACCATCTCATGCCAGTCAGAATGGCAGAATGGTGATTATTAAAAACTCAAGAAACAAGAGATGCTGGTGAGGCTGTGGGGAACTAGGAAAGCTTTTACACTGTTGGTGGGAATGTAAATTAGTTCAACCATTGTGGAAGACGTGGTGGTAATTCCTGAAGGATTTAGAACCAGAAATACTATTTGACCCAGCAACCACATTACTGGGTATATACCCAAAGGAATATAAATCATTCTACTATAAAGACACATGCACACATATGTTTATTGCAGCCCTATTTACAATAGCAAAGACATGCAACCAACCCAAATGCCCATCAATGATAGACTGGATAAAGAAAATGTGGTACATACATACCATGGAATATTATGTAGCCATAAAAATGAATGTGATAATGTACTTTGCAGAGACATGGATGAAGCTGGAAGGCATTATCCTCAGCAAACTAACACAGGAAAAGAAAACCAAACACCACATGTTCTCACTCATAAGTGGGAGTTGAACAATGAGAACACATGGACACAGAGAGGGAAACAACACACATAGGGGCCTGTTGGGGAGTGGAGGTCGAGGGAAGGGAAACTTGATGATGGTTTAATAGGTGCAGCGATGTCTGCTCCCTCTGGAAGGTGTGTTCTTTTCCAGGATAACCACTTGTTTAAACTCTCAATATCTTAAAGGCTCAAATTTCACTGTTTTAATGAGACCTACCTGAATCTATTTAATATTGCCACCTGCCAACCCTATTTTTTCCATCCCCTCACCCTACTTTGCTGTTTCATTTCAGCAGTAAATGTTCCGCTATTAAAACATAAGATCCATGAGGGCAAAGATCTCTGTTTTGTTCACCAATCCCATGTACCAAGGACTGTGCACACAGTGAAGATTTGTTAAATGAATTATTTTCTGGTGATTTTGCATTATAAATTATATTACACTGTGTGCAATTTCTACAACTTGCTTTTTTCACCCAATGTTATGATGATTTAGATTTAGCCATGTTTTACTGTTACACATAGTAGTACATTTATTTTAATTTCTATATAATATTCCATTATATGAATACACCATAGTTTACTTATATATTCTCATTCTTGTGAACATTTTCACTGCTTCTATTTTTTTGTGTTACAAACAGTGCTATAATTAATATTCTCGCAATTCCTTCCTATTAGTCTATAAACATGCCTCATAGAAGGGACATTTCTAGATTACAGAATATGTGCATCTTCAGTCTATCTAGACATGAATTGCCAAATAGCTTTTCACAGTAATTGCACTAATTTATACTCATATTAGCTGTGGTGAGTAGTTCGTCTTTTCCTGCATTCTTGCCAATATCCAGTTTTTCCAGACTTCTTTTTGCCAATCTAATAGGTAAAAATTAGCATCACTTTAGTATTTTTTGTTTCTTTGTTTGTCTTTTGAGACGGAGTCTCACTCTGTCACCCAGGCTGGAGTGCACTTGCGCACTCTCTGCTCACTGCAACCTCCTGGGCTCAAGCAATTCTCCTGCCTCAGCCTCCCCAGTAGCTGGGACTACAGGCGCGTGCCACCAAGCCTGGCTAATTTTTGTATTTTTAGTAGAGACGGGGTTTCATCATGTTGGTCAGGCTGATCTCGAACTCCTGACCTCAAGTGATCTGCCCACCTCGGCCTCCCAAAGTGCTGGGATTACAGATGAGAGCCACCACACCCGGCCCTCCCTACTGTTTGAATCTGCATTTCCCAGATTATGTCATGAGAGTGAACATCTATAGATTTTGTGGCTCTACATATTTCCTCTTCTCTTAATAGCCTTTCAATATATTTTGCCCCACTTCTTTTTAAGTTTCTTGTCTTTATAGTATTGCTTCTTATGGGCTTCTTATGCATTCCATATTCTAATTATTTGCATGTAATACGTTTTGCAAAAAAAATTCTCCAAATCCGTTGCTGGTCTTTATTTGTTTATGTATTGCATGTACATTTTGTTGGTTTATAACAAGTATAACTGGAATAAACTTGTTTGTAGAAAAAAAATTTGATTTCTGATCTGCATGCACCTCAGTTGATGAAAGCCATATATAAAAAATGTATCCTACTAAGCAGGTTTTCAAAACATTTTACTTAAGTAAAATACACATATGGAAAAGTAGATATACTTAAATGTGTATCTTGAATGCTCACAAAGTGAGAACACTCATATAACCAGCCCCCAGATCAAGACACAGAACATGATCAGCCCCCAGAAGCCTCTTTTTTGCTGCCTGCCAGTCACTATGCCCAAGAATGATAACCACTCTTCTGAGTATTAGTTTTGCTTTTTTCATGCTTTAAATAAATGGAATCATTCAGTATATACTCCTCTTTGGCTTCTTTTGATCACCATTAAGCTTGTGAGATTCATCCGTATTGTCACATGTATTTGCAGCATGTCTGTTCTCCTTTCTGTACCACATCTTAGTGCATGAATATACCACAATGTATTCAATCTACTGTTGATGGCTGTTTGGGTTGCTTCTGGTTTTGAACTATTATAAATAATACTGTTATGAGCATAATTATGCATATATTTTCACGCACATGAGCATTTTTCTTGAATATATACTGAAGAATTGCTAGGTATAGGGTACACATATGTTCAGTTTTAGTAGATGTGGCCTATTAGTTTTCTAAAAAGTTTGTATCAATAGACTCTAGACTTCGAATTTTAACTGTTTCTTGTATCTGTTTTTGTAACAGATTTATTGAGATATAATTCACATACCATACAATTCAAACATTTAAAGTATACAATTCAGTTTTTTGGTATATTCACAAACTTGTGTACCCATCACCACAATTGATTTTAAAATAATTTTATCACCCCAAAGAGAAACCCTATAGACTCTAGCTATAGTTCTTCAGTGTTCCAACCCTTCATCCCTGGGTGACCACTTAGATGCTTTCCATATTTATAGATTTGCCTATTCTGGGTATTTTATGCAAATGGAATCATATAACATGTGGTTTATTATGACTACTAATACTTAGCATAATGTTTTCTAAGTTTCATCTGTGTTTTAGTATATCTCAGTACTTCATTTCTCATTATGATCAAATAATAATGCATGTATTGCAATGGTGTATACTACATTGTATTTATCCATTCGATTTCAGGTTTAGGCACCAAAAAATGTTAATAGACATTTGGCTTATTTCCACCTTTAGACTATTATAAATAATGTAGCTATTAACATTCATGTAAAAGTATTTTTGTACATCAATGTTTTTATTTATTTTCAGTACATGCCTGGAAGTGGGATTTGTGGGTCAATTCGTAACTATATTCAACTTTTTTAGGAACCACTAAACTGTTTCCCAAAGTGGAAATGACTGCACCCTTTTTCATTCTCCCTGTCGGTCTATGAGGGTTACAATTTCTCACATCTTGAACAACACTTTTTATTATTTGACTATATGAGCTTAGCCATCCTTTTCTGTGTAAAGTAGTATCTCAGTATGATTTTTATGCATTTAATAATGATGTTGAGAAAACTAGTGAAGGTACTAATGATGTTGAACATGTTTTCATTTGCTTATTGGCTATTTGTATATCTTTGAAGAAATGTCTATTCAGATCCTTTGCCCATTTTTAATTAAATTAGCTGTCTTCTTACTATTGAGTTATGAGTTATTTGTATATTCTAGATTTAAGTCCCTTACCAGATATATGGCTTGTAAATATTTTTCTGATTTTGTGGGTTGACTTTTCACTTGCTTCATAGTGTCTTTTGATTCACAAAGTTTTAAAATTAGACAAAGTCCAATTTATCATTTTTCCTTGTTTTCTTGGACTTTTCATGTCATATATAAGACTCCATGGCTAAATTCAGGATCACAAAGGTCTGTCCCTATGTTTTCTTCTAGAGTTATATAGTTTTAGCTCTTATATTTGGGTCTTTGATACATTTTGAGTTCACTTTTGCATATGTATTAGGTAAGGGTCCAACTTCATTCTTTCGTATGTGGCTATCAAGATGCTTCAACACCATCCGTTAAAAAGACTGTTTTTCCCCCACTGAATGTTCTTAGCCCCTTTGTCAAAAATCAGTCAAGACTTTCAATTTTCTGTACAACATATAAGGAGCTATTCTTCCCAACCTCACAATACGACAAAAGCAGAATAAGCTGAAAATCAACAACTCTTCCTAGAGCCATCAGAGAATTGAGGTCACAGTGCAAACCACTACCTGCAAAATTGGAAAGACAGGTGAACACAGAGAATCAATGCTTATCAGAGTAGAAACCAAGAAATAAAAGTGAGTCATTGGATTGAGTGCCTGGGTAGGAAAACTTTGACTACAATTGATAGGTTGCTGGAAGCTCAGTGTGGACAAGCTTGAGAGCAACCAGGAGGCCCAGTCATAGGGGAGCCCCCACATGTTAATGAGTTTTCCTTTCAGGAGCCTTACCAGGATCTCAGATGGCAGATCAGACAAACATTCCCTAATGCTTTCAGCAAGAAGAAAGGAAGAGTAACCATGTTGAAATATGCCTAGTACATTCTCTTTTTCTTAATAAAAGCCTTCCCTTGTGGGAAACTATTTTACCAGAGCTTGTCTTGAATATTACCAGAGCCTAACCTACCTGGGGAAAGGGAAATACCTCACTACAGTCTCTTTTAGCCTTTAATGTAGGGTACCAAGAAAAAAACTCCACTGAGGTCCCATTTAGAATTTCTATCTCACTAATAGGTGAAGAGAGGAGACTAATAAACATGTTTGAAGATCACAGCCTTTTAACACAGGAGCCACATCAGTAGGGCTCCTGTGTTATAACAGGGAAACAATAGAAAGAACTATGTATCTCAGACCTTATTTAAGGAAAAGTATTTAGGGAAACTCAAAGACAATAGAAGATATAAAAATAGGGACACAAAAGGAAATTTTAGCATATAACACCTATCACTACAGCAAAGAGTAAACATAGCCCAACTCCTAGCCAGATAAACAGAAAAGCTCATACTAAAGGCCTATTTACCTGAGTTCTTTTTACCCATGTCTGACTTTCAACAACAATTACAAGGCATACCAAAAGACAAAAGACGCAGTTTGAAGAGAGAGAGCAAACATTGAAACAAGACTTAGATATGGCAGAGATTTTGGAATTATCAGACTGGGCATTTAAAATAATTATGGTTAATATGCTAATGGTTCTAATGGAAAAAGTGGACAGCATGGAAGATCAGAAGAGTAATGTAAGTATAGAGATGAAAACTCTAAGAAATAATTTTTTAATGCTAGAAATGAAAAACACCATAACAGAAATAAAGAATGTCTTTGATTGGCTCATCAGTAGAATGGACACAGATAAGGAAAGAATCAGTGAGACTGAAGATAGGTCAATAGAAATTTCTGAAAAAAAATGAAAAAAATTAAGAAAATAAACAGAAGAAAGAACACAAAATCTGTGGGACAATTACAAAAAGTTTAACATATGCATAATGGGTGTACCAGAAGGAAAAGAAATAATAAAGGAAAATAAGAAATATTTGAAAGGATAATGTCTGAGAGTTTTTCAAAATTAGCTACAAAAACCAAACCATGAATTCAAGAAGCTCAGAGATTACCAAGCAGAATAAATACTTTTTAAAATATTCACACCTAGGTATATTATACTCAAGTTGCAGAAAATTAAAGACAGAGAAAATCTTGAATGTAACCAGAGGGGGGAAAAATCTATAGAAAATCAAGGATACTAATTACATAGGACTTCTCTTCAGGAACATGCAAACAAGAAGGGAGTGGAGTGGAATACTTAAGTTGAAAGAAAACCCTCACCAACCTAGAATTCTGTATTCAAGTCAAGGCTATTAAGCTTCCAAAATGAAGGAGAAAGACTTTCTCAGATAAGCCAAAGGAAAAAAAAAACATGAGGGAATTTGTTGCCAGTAGACCTGCCTTGCAAGAAATGTTAAAAGAACTTCTTAATAAAAGGAAAACTATATTGTTCAGAAGATTGATCTGCATGAATAAAAGAATATTAGAGAATGAATAAAGGTAAAATAAAATATTTTAATTTTCTTATTTGATTTAAATGGCAACAATGTATTCAGTGATTACAATTTATGGGTAAGTGAAATGAGTGACATCAATGTTATAAGGAATGGGAGTGAGGAATTGGGAATACTCTGTTATAAGCTACTTGCACTATCCATGAAGCAGTATACTGTTTTTTGAAAGTGGACTTGGATTAGCTGTGAATGTATATTACAAACTCTAGGATTACCACTTAAAAATTTTAAAAAAATAAGTATTATTGATATGTAAAGAGAGGAGAGAAAAAGAATTTATATAAAATGCTTACATAAAAGCAAAGAATGCAGGAAAAGAGTGTGAGACCAAAAAAGAAACAAAGAAGAAGGGCAAGTATAAAAAGAGTAAAACTAGGGTCGATATAAATTCAACTATTCATGTGTGATCAGCAAGAGACATGCTTTGTCTAGGACAAGCATAGATTGAAAATGAGGTGGGCAGAGCAACATGGCAGAATAGAAGCCTACACCATTTGTCCCCACACTGGAACACCAACTTTAACAACTATCTACACCCAGAAAAGCATAGTCGCAAGAACCAAAAATCAGGTAAGCAATTACAGTACCTGGTTTTAACTTCATATCGATAAAAGAGGCATTGAAGAGGGCAGCAGAGATGGTTTGTTGCCTCCCTCATACCGGGCAGCAGGTGTGCAGTGCCAAGAGGGAATCTGTGCACTTTGGGTAGGAAGAGTGCAGCAACTGGGGGACTGTAAATTGAACTCAGTGCTGCCCTGTCATAGAGCAGAATAAAGCCATGCTGGTCTAAGCCAGCACACAGAATAAGCATTTGGACTAGACCTAGCCAGAGGATAATTGCCTGTCCCAGCAGCTAGAACTTGAGTTTCTTGGCAAACCTCACCACTGCAAGCTGAAGAGCTCTGGGTTCCTAGGTAAACTTGAAATGCAATCTAGGACACAAGGACTGCAATCCTTAGGAAATTCCCAGTGCTAGGTTGGGCGTATAGCTAGTGAACTAGGGTGGCATGTGACCTAGGGAGACACCAGCTGGTATGGCTTAAGGAAGTGCTTGCACCATCCCTCCCCCAACCCCAGGTAGTACAGCTTGCAGCAATGAAAGTGAGTCCTTTCTTCTGCTTAAGGAGAGGAGAGGGAATAGTAAAGAGGACTTTGTCTTGCATCTTGAATATCACTTCAGCCACAGTAGTATAGGGCACCGTGCAGAGTTGAGACCCCCATTCCAGGCCCTGGCTCCTGGATGACAATTCTAGGCACACACTGGCAAAATGGGAACCCACTGCTTTGAAGGGAAGGACCCAGCCCTGGCAGGATGCATCACTTCCTGACTAAGGAGCCCTTGGGCCGTTAATAACCAGCAGTGATACCCACAGAGTACACTGTTGGCCTTGGGCTCTGAGACGTGCTGGCTTCAGGGATGACCCAGAACATTCCCAGCTGCGGTGGCTATGGTGAAAGACCCCTTCTGTTTGAGAAAAAGAGAGGGGAAAGTAAAGGGAACTTTGTCTTGCACCTTAGGTACCAGCTTGGCCACATTAGGGTAGAACAAGGAAGTTCTTGGGGTCACCAAGTCCAGGCCTAGGCTTTTAAACAGCATTTCTGAACTTACCCTGGGCCAGAGGGGAGCCCAGTGCTCTGAAGGGTGAGCCCAGTCCTGGCAGCATTTATTATATGCTGACAGAAGAGACCTTGGGCTTTATGTGAACATCACTAGTAGCCTGGCAGAACCCCTGTGGACCAGTGGTGGCGGTGGCCACAGGGAGAGGCTCTACTGACTGTGGAAAGGGGAGGGAAGAGCAAGGAGGATTTGGTATTGTGGTGTGAGTGCCAGCTTAGCCACAGTAAAATAGAACATCATGTCAACTGCTAAGGTTTTTGACTCCTATCCCTGGATCCCAGACAGCATCTCTGGAAACACCCGGGGCATGGGGGAAGTTGCCACCCTAAAAGGAAGGGCCTTGGGAAAGACCTCAGTGCTGTGCTGGATTCAGATCTGACCCAGCACAATCCTAGTGGTGGTGGCCACAGTGGCACTTGCATCACCACAGTCCCAGGTCTAGGTAGCTCAGCACAGAGAGGGAGACTCGGTTTGGGATAAAGTAAGGAAAAAGAACAAGAGTTTCTGCCTGGTGTAATACAGAGAATTTTTCCAAATCTTACCCAAGTCTACCAACACGGTACCTCTATGAGTCTGAAATAAACATAGTATTATCTGGCTCTAGGCCCAAGTCTCTTTGAATACCTGGAAAGCCTTCCCAAGAAGGATGGGCATGAATAAGCCCAGATTGTGAAGAATACAATAAATACCTAACTCTCCAATACCCGGACACAGATGAACATCTACACGCATCAACATCATCTAGGGAAATATAGCCTCACTAAATGAACTAAATAAGGCACCAGGAACTAATCCTGGAGAATGAGAGATATATGACTTTTCAGAGAATCTAAAATACCTGTTTTGAGGAAACAAAAAAAAACTCAAGATAACACAGAGAAAGAATTCAAAATTCTATCAGGCAAATTCAACAAAGAGACTGAAATAGTTAAAAAGAATCAAGCAGAAATTCTAGAATTGAAAAATTCAATTGGCATATTGAAGAATGTCTTTTAATCGTAGAATGGAACAAGCAGAAGAAAGAAATAGTCAGCTTGAAGACAGGCTATTTGAAAATACACAGTCAGAGGAGACAAAAAGAACAAGAATGAATTACAATGAGCTGTGCCTAAAAGATCTAGAAAATAGCTTCAAAAGGGCAATTCCAAGAGTTACTGGCCTTAAAGAGGAGGCAGAGAAATAGATGGGGTAGAATGTTTATTCAAAGGGATAACAACGGAGAACTTCCCAAATCTACAGAAAGATATCAACATTCAAGAATGCCAAGCAGATTTAACCGTAAGAAGACTATCTCAAGGCATTTAATAATCAAACTCCCCAAAATCAAGGATACAGAAAGGATCATAAAGGCAGCAAGAGGAAAAATAATAATAATAAAAATAAATAACATACAATGGAGCTCCAATATGTCTGGCAGCAGACTTTTCAGTGGAAACCTTAAATGCCATGAGAGAGTGGCATGACATATTTAAAGTGCTGAAGGAAAATAACTTTTACCCTAGAATAGTACGTCTGGCAAAAATAGCCTACAAACATGAAGGAGAAATAAAGACCTTCCAAGACAAACAAAAGCCGAGGGAATTCATCAACACCAAACCTGTCCTACAAGAAATTCTGAGGGCATTCTTCAATCTGAAAGAAAAGGATGTTAATGAGCAAGAGGAAATCATCTGAAGGTACAAAACTCACTGGTAATAGTAAGCACACAGAATATTATAACACTGTAACTGTGGTGTGTAAACTACTCAAGTAGAAAGATTAAATGATGAACCCATCAAAAATAATAAATACAGGCTGGGCGCGGTAGTTCACGCCTGTAATCCCAGCACTTTGGGAGGCCAAGACGGGCAGATCACGAGGTCAGGAGATCGACACCATCCTGGCTAACATGGTGAAACCCTGCCTCTACTAAAAATACAAAAAAAAAAAAATTAGCCAGGTGGCGGGCGCCTGTAGTCCCAACTACTCGGGAGGCTGAGGCAGGAGAATGGCGTGAATCCAGGAGGTGGAGCTTGCAGTGATCCGAGATCGCGCCACTGCACTCCAGCCTGGGCGACAGAGCGAGACTCTGTCTCAAAAATAATAATAATAATAAATACATCAACTTTTCAAGATGTAGAGAGTACAATAAGACATAAAGAGAAAACAAAAAAGTTAAAAAGCCAGGCGATGAAGTTAAAGTGTACAGTTTTACTGCATGTTATTACTCATAAGAGGGAGTTGAACAGTGAGAATGCATGAACACAGGGAGGGGAGCATCACACACTGGGGCCTGTCAGGGGGTCGGGGGCAAGGGGAGGGATAGCATTAGGACAAATACCTAATGCATGCGGGGCTTAAAACCTGGATGACGGGTTGATGGGTGCATGAAACCACCATGGCACATGTATACCTATGTAACAAACCTGAGCATTCTGCACATGTATCTCAAAACTTAAAGTATAATTAAAAAAAAAAAAAACAGGCCAGGCACGGTGGCTCATGCCTGTAATCCCAGCACTTTGGGAGGCCAAGGCGGGCAGATCACCTGAGGTCAGGAGTTGGAGACCAGCCTGGCCAACGTGGTGAAACCCCGTCTCTACTTAAAATACAAAATTAGCAGGGCATGGTGGCAGGTGCCTGTAATCCCAGCTACTTAGGAGGCTGAAGCAGGAGAATCACTTGAACCCAGGAGGCAGAGGTTGCAGTGAGCCAAGATTGCACCATTGCACTCTAGCCTGGGCAACAAGAGGGAAACTCCATCTCCAAACAAAACAAAACAAAACAAAACAAAAAACAACTGCAAAAAAAAAAATAAAGTGTAGAGTTTTTGTTAGTTTTCTTTTTACATGTTTGTTTGTTTATGCAATCAGTGTTATCAGCAGTTTAAAATAGTGGGTAGTATGATTGAATTTGCAAGCCTCATGGTAAGTTCAAGTTGAAAAACATAAAACATACACCAAAAATGGAAAAAATTAAAGCATACCATCAGAGAAAAACACCCTTCACTAAAAGGAAAATGGGAACAAAGGAAAGAAGGAAGACAAGACTGTTAAACAACCAGAAAACAAATAACAAAATGGAAGGAGTAAGTCCCTACTTATCAATAATAACATTAAATGTAAATGGACTAAACTCACCAATCAAAAGACATAGAGTGGCTGAATGGATGAAAAAAAAAAAAGTAGAACTATTACATGCTTCGCCTATAAAAACACACGTAGACTAGAAATAAAGGGATGGAAAAAGATATTCCATGCCAGTGGAAACCAAAAAAAGAGCAGGAGTAGCTATACCTGTATCAGACAAAATACATTTCTAGACAAAAACTGTAAGGAGAGGCAAACAAAGTCATTATATAATGATGGAATCAATTTAGCAAGAGGATATAATTGCAGATATACATGCACCCAACAATGGAGCACTCAGAAATATAAAGCAAATACTATTAAAGCTAAAGACAGAGATAGGCCCCAGTAAAATAATAGCTGGAGACCTCAACACCCCACTTTCAGCATTGGACAGATCTTCCAGACATAAAATCAACAAAGAAACAACTGACTTAATCTGCAGTATAGAACAAATGAACCCAATATATATTTACATAACATTTCATCAAACAGCTTCAGAATACACATTCTTCTACTTAGCACATGGATCATTCTCAAGAATAGACCATGTGTTAGGTCACAAAATAAGTCTTAACACATTCAAAAAATGGAAATAATGTCAAGCATCTTCTTTAACCACCATAGAATAAGACTAGAAATCAATAACAAGATGAATTTTGGAAATGATAAAAACATATGGAAATTAAGCAATATGTTCCAGAATGACCAGTGGATCAATAAAAAAATTAAGAAGGAAATTGAAAAATTTCTTGAAGCAAATGATAATGGAAACACAACATACTAAAACCTATGGGATACAGCAAAAGCAGTACTAAGAGGGGAATGGATAGCTATAAATGCCTACATCAAAAAAGAAGAAAACCTTCAAATAAATACCTAATGATGCACTTAAAGAACTAGAAAAACAAGAGCAAACCAAATACAAAATCAGGAGAAGAAAATAAATATAAGGATTAGAACAGAAATAAATGAATTTGAAATGACAAAAAATGAAAAAAGATCAATGAAACAAAAAGGTGGTTTTTTGAAAACTTAAAATTGACAAACCTTTAGCCAGACTCAGGAAGAAAGAAAGGGAGAAGACCCAAATAAATAAAATTGGAGGTGAAAAGGGAGTCATTACAACCAACATCACAGAAATTCAAAGAATCATTAGTGGCTACTATGAACAACTATATGCCAATAAATTTGAAAATCTAAAGGAGATGGATAATTTCCTTGACATGCAGTATAGTAAGATTGAACCATGAGCAAATCCAAAACCTAAACATATCAATAACAAGTAACAGGATTGAACCCATAATGAAAAGATCCCTAGCAAAGTAAAGCCCATGACCCAATGGCTTCACTGCTGAATTCTACCAAACATTTAAAGAAGAACCAATACCAATCTTACTCAAAATGTTCCAAAAAATAGAGGCAGAGGGAATAATTTCAAGCTCATTCTATTAAGCCAGTGTTACCCTGATACCAAAACCAGGCAAAGACACATTAGGAAAAGAAAACTACAGGCCAATAGCTCTGATGAATGTTGATGCAAAAATCTTCAACAAAATACTAGCAAACAGAATTGAACTATACTTCAAAAAGATCTTTTATCATGACCCAGTGGGATTTATCCCAGGGATGCAAAAATGATTCCAAAAATGTAAATAAATCAGTGTGATACCTTATATCAACAGAAAAAAGGACAAAAACATGTAATCATTACAATGGGTGCTGAAAAAGCATTTAGTAAAGTTCAACATCCCTTCTTGATTAAAAAAACCTCTCAAAAAACTACGGATAGAAGGAACATATCTTAACATAATAAAAGCCATATACAACAGACTCACAGCTAGTATCATACTGAATGGGGAAAAACTGAAAGCCTTTCCCCTAAGATCTAGACATGACAAGGATGTCCGATGTCAACACTGTTATTCGACATAGCACTGTGAGTCCTAGCTAGAGAAATCAGACATGACAAAGATATAAAGGCATCCAAATTGGAAAGGGAGAAGTCAAATTATCCTTATTTATAGATGGTATGATCTGTATTTGTAAAACCTGAAAGACTCCACAAGAAAACTATTAGAACTGATCAACAAATTCAGTAAAGTTGCAGGATACAAAATCAACACGATAAAATCAGTAGCATGCGAGCAATTTGAAAAAGAAATTTAAAAAGTAATCCCATTTATCATAAGCACACATAAAATTAAATACCTAGGAATTAACCAAAGAAGTAAAAGATCACTATGCTGAAAACTCAGTTTTTATCTGCAAATGTCTTTATTTCACCTTCATATTTGAAGGATATTTTTGCCAGATATACTATTCTAGGGTAAAAATTATTATCCTTTTGAATAAACTTTCTATCCCAATCTCCTTCTTTACCTCCTTTTTAAAGCTAACATCTCCTTCTCTACCTACTCTTTAAGCCCAATAACTCTTAGATTTGCCCTTTTCATGCTATTTTCTAGATCCTGTAGGCATGCTTCGTTGTTTTGTATTTCTTTTCTTTTGTCACTTGTGACTATGTATTTTGAAATAGACTGTCTTCAGGCTCACTAATTCTTGTGATCAATTCTGCTATTAATGCATTCTTCAGTATGCAGCTCCAAAATTTCTGCCTGATTCTTTTTAATTATTTCAATGTCTTTGTTAAATTTATCTGATAGAATTTTGAATTCCTTCTCTGTGGTATCCTGAATTTCATTAAGTTTCCTCAAAACAGCTATTTCAACTTCTCTGTCTGAAAGGTCACACATCTCTGTTTTTCCAAGATTGGTCCCTGGTGCCTTATTTAGTTTGGTGAGGTTATGTTTCCCTGGCTGCTCTTGATGCTTGTTGATATTGGTTGGTTTTTGGGCATTGAAAAGTTAGGTATTTATTGTACTCTTCACAATCTGGGGAAGGCTTTCCAGGTATTTTAAGGAACTTGGGCCCCAAGCTGTATAACACTGTGGTTCTTGCAGACTCGTAGAAGTAACACCTGTTGGTCTTGGTTAAGATTCGGAAGAATTCCCTGGATTACAAGGCAGACACTCTTGTTCTCTTCCCTTACATTCTCCCAAACAATCAATCTCTCTCTCTCTCTCTTCCTCCCCCTATCAAATGGCCTGGAGCTGGGGGCGGGGTGACACAAGCACCCCTGTGGCCATCACCACTGGAACTGACCTGAGTCAGACCTGAAGCTAGCACAGCACTGGGTCTCTCCCAAGGCAAGCTGTACCAACTACCTGGCCACCACCTGTGTTTGCTCAAGGCTCTAGAGCTCTACAATCAGCAGATGGCAAAGCCAGCCAGGCCTGTGTCCTACCCTTCAGGATGATGAGTTCCCCAAGGCCCCATGTGGATCCAGGGATGCTGTGTGATTATGGATTTTTGTGAAGGTGCTTTTCTGTGTGCAGATAGTTGTAAAATTTGGCATTCCTGCAAGGGGAATGATCAGTGGAGCCTTCTATTCTGCCATCTTGCTCCATCCTCCAATTTCTTTTTGTTTTCTGGGATTTTGTTTTTTTGTTTTGTTTTGTTTTTTGTTTTTACTTAGCATGTATAACCTTAAATATTTAATATAATATACTTATTTTGTTGACTATGTATTATCTGTCTCTCAACTACTCCCCACCCCCATCCCAGAATGTACACGCTCAGTGACATTTCCCAAGAATCTAGAACAGTATTTGGCACCAAGTGTGCTCAATTCTTAGTGGAAAGCATTAAGAATAAATTAAAAAGATAAAAAGTAAGGATAACACAAAACTCTATTACTGAGGTTCAAATATATAGAAGCTTAAAAAACACATACAAATATATGTTTAGTAAAATAAATTTTAAGAAAAACAGAAAAACAAGAGTAGTAAGTCCTTAACAAAGTTTTGAGTTGACTCTGGCTTCCTATAGATATTTCTAGTCAATTTTATTAAGTCCATTTTATTTTTATATGTCTACTGAGATTTGTCTATTACATTGTGAAAATAGTAAAAGCAAACTAGAGGGATAGAAAAAAAATATGAGGAGTTAAGCTGACCTAACATAAATAAATTTTGATAGCTATATAATTAGAGAAATTAACAAGGAAATGACACTATAGTCTCATATATGGTGTGAAGTAAGTCCAATACTATACTTAAAAAGACTGGAAAGATAATAACATTTCAAAGAATCTGTAAAAGTCTGAAGCACATATTATATTACTAAGTGGTGAGTGAAGACTCCCCATTTTATTCTTGTAAGTGGCTGTATCAGTCAGGATTCTCCAGAGAAATAGAACCAGTATATATTTTCAAAGAATATATATTTTCAAAGTATTTTTAATTTAAATTTATTTGAAAGAATTGGCTTATGCAATTGTAGGGGCTGGCAAGTTTGAAGTTCATAGAGCAGGCCAGCAGGCTCATACAGGAGCTGATACAGTCTTGCATCAGAATCTTTCTTTATCTGGGAAACCTCAGTTTTTGCTCGTGAAGCCTTTCAGCTGGCTAGATGAAGCCCACTCATATTATTGAAAGTAATATCCTTTACTTAAAGCCAACTGATTGCAACTGCTAACCACATCTACAAGAAAACCTACACAGCAATGCCTGGATTGCTGTTTGATTAAATAACTGAGTATTATAGCCTAGCCAAGTTGACACATCACAGTGACTAAAATGCTTTCACCAAGAACTTTCTCTGAAGCATCCTGTCAATTTTTGGGGAAACTTCTATTCAGATCTGCCCCAGTGATTTTCAATGTACGTATTGCCATATACTACCCTTTCAATTCTATAAATATTCATTGAATATCTACCATGTGGTAGCCACTACAGGAATGTCTGTCCCCGAGGAGCTCCAGAAATTGGTTTTGTGTGTAGTAACTTTATTTTATATATCAGTAACACTTATTACTTTCAAGCAAATAAGTCAGCTTTCAAAGGATGCATCTGAGTAAGCTACTGACAAAGTTTTACCAACAAGATTTGATAGGTTATTTGTCTATTTGACAAATAACCTATTTGATAGGTTATTTGTTATTTAGTGTCCAGCATTAAGAGTCACTTTGTAGTCTCAAAAGTTTCCTCTACTGTGTTGATTGAAAATTTAAAGACAACTTCATCATAATGAGGACACACCATCTTCTTTATATTCTGGCCTCTTGTATGATTTATATTCCTTATCTTTAAGTCCATTCTGTTCTGTCTACACCTACCTTTCTTATTTTTAATACACTTTTACTACACTAGTTAATCTTTGCTAAAAATCATAAAGTGGGATCAAAATCAGGAATTTGTGTCACATAAAAGCTAGAATGTAATGGGGATGGTATGAACTCATTATGTTGACCAATTGTAATGGCATTTTCTTTTTGGCTTATGTTACTGAAGTTGCATTGTAAGAAACAACTAGAATTCTTAGAGTATTACAATTGTTGAAGTGAGAATATATGTAATAAACTTTGTGACTACTCTCTTCCTGCATAATTTCTGTGCTAGCAGTCAGATATTTTTGATCCTGCAACTGTGGTCCAAACTTAGGTTTAGGGTCATTGTCAGGCCACCTTTATTGCTAGTCCTCTCCGATCCTTGACCAAGTTAATTGAGCTTTTTGTCTTCCAAGTCTCGGAAATTGGCCACAGTCTTACTTCCCCATGTTTTCTCCATTCTGTTGTGCTGCTTAGGATTAAATTCCTTCATGACCAAGTTTCCTCCAGCTTCTTGCCAGTCATCTCACGTCTGGTCTCATGTCTGAGCTACAGTCCCCTGGTGTTAGATCTCCCTTTATCTGACAGCTGACTTTCCTGGATCTTTATCTCCTACCTGAAGCCAGAGCCACAGAAAGTCTCCTCCCTGGAGGTGGGTTCTGTCTACTGAACAGAATCCATTCTTCGCTCTTCACAAACTGACTCTGTGCTACCTTTAACTTTTCTTCAGAGATTGTGGCAAAGAAGCTTCCCTGATTGCCGACTACATCCATCCCTTTGCCATGCCCTAACTATAAATCAGCACTATTTCTATAACTGCAAGTAAAACGCAGAGATAACTTTGAAAAATATATATTTCTTTATTGGTTTCTTTAAATTTGGCATATTATTTTATGAAAGAAATGCATGTGCCTATCAAATATAGTAAGCAGTGAACATCTCATCTTCTCCTTCCTCTGATCTCACTCCTTGGAGAAACTACATTTAACAGTCTGTCTATCAGCAGTGGTATTCAACCCCCACTGCATCTTAGGATCACCTGGGGAGTTTTTCAAAATGCTGATATCTGTTCTCCACTCAGTGATCTGTTGCCAAATGTTTATCAACCAGAGCTGCAGGTTGGGAGGCTGAGTTGTAGTATTTGCTGATTTCCATGGCATAAATACTGTTTCCATGACAAATTTCAACATACCAATGTGAGATAGTTAAGTCAATCAGTGCAGAATTCCTGAAGATTTTTTTTTTATTATACTTTAAGTTTTAGGGTACATGTGCACATTGTGCAGGTTAGTTACATATGTATACATGTGCCATGCTGGTGCACTGCACCCACTAACTCGTCATCTAGCATTAGGTATATCTCCCAAAGCTATCCCTCCCCCCTCCCCCCACCCCACCACAGTCCCCAGAGTGTGATCATGTCTCATGATCCTGTATAAGTTGGCTTCAGCAGACCACCGCCTCCACCCTCATCCCGTTCCATAATAATTAAATCAGAATATCTGAGGACCTGTCCAAGGTAAGTTTGTCTCACACAGAGCCCTTGTAAAGTAGTGTTTGGCCCCTGGGTTTGTAACCTGTCTCTGTCATTTAATAGTGGTATAATGTTGGGAAACTTACTGTGCCTCAATTTTCTTCATTTGTAACATGGGAATATTAATCATGTCTACTTTATAGGATAATTCTGAGGATTAAAATAATTCATGTAAGACACTTAGAAGAGTTCCTGGCATATTAGGAATTTTTACTCTCTCTTAACTCAGTTTCTTCATATCAACTAGACCTCTTTGAGAAGACTGTCCAAACTTGACTCTGGCTACAATTTTTAGTGTTAATTTTTGTGTGTGTTAAGTTATTCAAAGCAACTCAGGAGTTCTGTGCTGGAAAAAATTAAAGATGACTTAGATTGAGAATTTAGACTGAGTACAAATAAGAATTTTAATTAAAACCACAACTCAAATTCATAGAATGGTATATTTCATTCCCTACACCATGCTAGGGTAAAGAGGGTTAGTGAACATTTGATTAGGGAGAACATTTCCTTTTCACCAATATTGTGACCCTAGGTAAAAGATGCTAAAAACATACTCCTCTGAAGATGCTTCACTCCATGAATTAAATACAGGTTTGGTCATAAATAATTACCCTGAAATGAATTTCTGAAGGACAGATAAAGCATTCAGATTCACCATTCATATAATCAAAAAGCTTGATCTTTTAAAATAAAACCTCTAAAATAATAAATAAAAAATTTAAAAAAACTCTATTCACTTTTAATAAACAAATTTTAGAACCTGAAATCACCTTAGAGATCATTCTCTACTGAATTAAAAGTGAAGGACTTGCTGCTAATTAGATCTGATGTATAAGCAAGTTCGGAACAATCCCATGGCATTTTCTCAAATATTCTTAGGCTCTCAGTTATTCTCTCCATCAACTGAGCTTTGACTTTTTTTTAATGCTCAAAGTTCCTGCTAACCACACTTTACCAGGACACTTGGAACAATGGGAGACTTAGTAAACAAGAAAATAAAGGAAAAATAATTGAAGGTTATTTCTAAATAACATAATTGGACAAGCTTGGAAATGCCCTCCTGCAGCAACAGAGCTTACAAGATAATATGTAGGATTCAACTCCAGAGCAAGTTGATCTAACTTATAATGATCTAGTTTGTATAAATAATCCACATTCCCACAGCTCTTCTAGACTAAACACTGTTTATAGTGGAAAGAGTAGGATAAAATTACTGTGTAGGCTAGCTTACAGAGTAGCAATTATGCTCTCAGACTTGGATATTTTATTCTGTGGTTTTCTTTAAAAGTGTTTTTAAATTTGTATATGATGTGAAGTATCAGGGAGTAGAGGGAGGTGAACCAGCATTTTTTTTTCCATATATGTCTGTGTCTATTTCTGGACTTTCTATTCTGTTTCTTTTATTTATCTTTGCCAATATCCAAACTGCCTTGATTACTACAGCTTTTAATAAGTCTTAGGTAATATTTTTCCTCCAATTTTCTTCTTTATTTGATAAATTTGTTTTGGTGAATCTAGGTGCTTTGTGTTTCCACATCAATTTTTAAAAATTTTTTATTATACTCTAAGTTCTGGGATACATGTGCAGAATGTGCAGGTTACATAGGTATACACATGCCATGATGGTTTGCTACACCCATCAACCCGTCATCTACCTTAGGTATTTCTCTTAATGCTATCCATCCCCTAGCCCCCCCACCCCCCATAGACCCCAGTGTGCGATGTTCCCCTCTGTGTGTCCATGTGTTCTCATTGTTCAACTCCTGCTTATGAGTGAGAACATACGGTGTTTGGTTTTCTGTTCTTGTGTTAGTTTGCTGATGGTTTCCAGCTTCATCCATGTCCCTGCAAAGGACATGAACTCATCCTTTCTTATGGCTGCATAGTATTCCATGGTGTATATGTGCCACATTTTCTTAATCCAGTCTATCATTGTTGGACGTTTGGGTTGGTTCCAAGTCTTTGCTATTGTGAATAGTGCTGCAATAAACATACGTGTGCATGTGTCTTTACATCAGCATGATTTATAATCCTTTGGGTATATACCCAGTGATGGGATGGCTGGGTCAAATGGTATTTCTAGTTCTAGATCCCTGAGGAATCGCCACACTGACTTCCACAATGGTTGAACTAGTTTACAGTCCCACCAACAGTGTAAAATGTTCCTATTTCTCCACATCCTCTCCAGCACCTGTTGTTTCCTGACTTTTGAATGATCGCCATTCTAACTGGTGTGAGATGGTATCTCACTGTGGTTTTGATTTGCATTTCTCTGATGGCCAGTGATGATGAGCATTTTTTCATGTGTCTTTTGGCTGCATAAATGTCTTCTTTTGAGAAGTGTCTGTTCATATCCTTCACCTACTTGTTGAGGGGGTGGTTTGTTTTTTTCTTGTAAATTTGTTTAAGTCTTTTGTAGATTCTGAATATTAGCCCTTTGTCAGATGGATAGATTGCAAAAATTTTCTCCCGTTCTGTAGGTTGCCTGTTCACTCTAATGATAGTTTCTTTTGCTGTGCAGAAGCTCTTTAGTTTAATTAAATCCTATTTGTCAATTTTGGCTTTTGTTGCCATTGCTTTTGAGAACCAGCATTTTTTAAAGTTGTTATTTCACACAGAGTACTATGGGTAGCAGTTTCCATAGGCTGTCCTATGAAGTTTCATGACAACTACAGAAGTTAGGTTTTTTTGTTTGCTTTTTATTTTTGATGCAACTCAGTAATTTTTATTGCAACTGGAAGATAATACATTGCAGAAACTTATGGTAGGTCTGGGGAAAAGTGTTATTTACAAAAAATGATGAAATAGTTTGTCTTTGGCAATATGATTACATACAAAGAATGCAAAATGCAGGTATGCATACCTTCCAAGCAACACCATCAAGTCCCTAGAGTTTGGCTGATTGTGCCTGCCTCCATATTGTTTCTTTAGGTTCACACGAACATAACTGAACATCACATTCTTTCTCCTTTATGGTTCTCCCTTTCTATTCATGATATTGGCATGAGTATCAGAAAAAAATGGCTTTTGAAAAATTATTACTCTGGTAAATTAATTTGGCCATGTAGGTCTATTGACCAGCCAAGGTCAGATAACCCTAAGCATCAATAGTAAGCCTCTTGGTCTTCTGATTGCTTTTATCACTTTTTTTTCTGTAAAACAAAACAAAACTCAGAAATGTTACAGAATCAGAGTATTAAAAAATGTACAAGTGTATATGCTTCCCAGACACACATGGATACATTTTTCCTCCACATTTTCATGATGGCAGTATTAAGTAGTGAGTATGAATGACACAGCATGAAACTGGTTACTGAATCAGCTATGAGCTCAGATGGCCTCAACATACATACTCAAGAAATGTTGCATGTTTAAATAACTGAGAGTGTGCTAAATCTCATCTAATAAAAGGAGGAGAGGGGCTGGGGAACTCAGAACACAGTCATGTAAATCTAAGGGTTGGGCCTGAACGATGATTACTTTGCACACGTGCCTTCTAGGTGCTGAATGTGTGTTCCAGTAGCATTGACGTTGACCTCCTTGCGGATTCAGCCACAGGTTTCTGACAAGCTTGAGGAAGCAATGGTAATTTTAGCTTTTTCGGTTTTGTCTTCAGATAATGAAAAGCTTTTGTAAAACAGCTGAGTGTCAATATGAGTTATATGGCTTCAATCTCCTTTAAAAATAAAATTCTTAAGGGTCCAAAACAAAGAAGAGGGGGCAAATTAAAAAAAAAAAGGAAAAAAAAAGGAAACCAAACCAAAAACAAAACAAGAAAAAAGAAAAAAAAATGCTGATATTGCCACAAATCATTAGAAATCTCCTGACATGCTGAAACCAAATGGCCTTAAGTTCAAAACAAAACAGTGACTTGTTTTTAATTTTTTTGTGATTTCGTTTTGCTCTTCCTGCCCCTTTGCCGTCCGATTGGTGATGTTATTCAAACAGGATCGGATCTCTGCTAAGTGCAGGAGCGACCCCGCCGCTTCTTTAATCTCCTCTTCTTCGCCCTGGTGGGGGGCGGTGCGGGGGCGGTGCTTTACAGTGCGTCTCTTTTTGAGGGGCAGTGTGTCGCTGGGGACCTTCCTGGCCTTAGCAAAGTCCTGGCGTTTCTTGTGCTGGGATGCGTACCCGCTGTCCCCCAGAGCATCCCTGGGCTCCTTCTGGCTGTGTTTCCTGTCGTCCTCTTCCCTGTCGCTGTGGCTCTCGTGGCTCCGGAAGCTCCCCTCGCTGCCCTCATTGCCCTCCTGGCTCTCCTTGCTGGCAAACTTGTAGTGGTCGTCGGCCAAGGAGGAGGAGGGGATGGAGTCGCTGGTGGGCAAGGTGCTCCGGGCGTTGGAGGATTTGGCATTGGTGCAGTTGTGATCCTCCTTAGGGTCTCCGCTAACCACCGGGGAGCCACACGATGGCTCGCTCTCAGTCCGCATCCGGCAGCTGGTGATGCCGTACATCATGGCAGCCGTCATCTCAATGGGACTGATCGGCAGCTGCCGCACACCAGGAAACAGTCCTCTCAGCTCAGGACCCGCGCTCCGTTTTGTATCACTCCTGGAGGAAAACCTGCTTGTATTTCAGGGGGAGTCCCATGGCCCTGGTAGCATCAATGTCAGGATCTTGGAGAAGGGCTCCATTTCTCTTGAAGAAGGTACTGCCCGGCCAGACGGGTAGACCTGATGTGCTTTGATATGCCTGAGGACAGGTGGGAGGTGTATTGAACACGTGTGGATGTGGGTGTGGGAGATAAAGTGTCTTTTTCAAAGCCTGAGTTAGATTTTGTCTATACTCTGGGTCTATGCACCACAACGACCCTTTCCCAATACTCTGACTCCTCTCTTCGTCCACTTTCTTAAAATCCTTATTCAATGACAAATTGTGTCTCACTGAGTATTTCCACCCAGTAGGTGCATTTGCAAAATATGGAAAATGTTTCAAGATCCAGTTGTAAATATCTTTCACAGGCAGGCGCTTGGTTGGAGAGTCCTCGATGGCCATAAATATGAGGCAGCTAAAGGAGTAAGGGGGGATTGCAGTTGGGGTTCTGCCTGGCATCCTAGGGCATATCAGAGTGGGTGGGGACGGTGGCTGTCATCGTCCAGGCCCTGGACCGGGCTGACACTCGAGGATCGACTCCCCAAAGCTCTTCAGCAAGTTCTTGCTCTCATGCAGCCAGCTCAGGTTGGTCAGCTCTTCATCTTCCATGGTCTCCTCTTTCAATAGGATGTCAGGCAGAGAAAAGTCGAGGTCATCATCTTCCTAAAGGGCTTGGAGAAACCACTGCCCCAGTAACACTGACTCAGTCCACTGGAGACACTAACTCCTGAGCTTTCTGGCATCTTACTGGGAGGCATGGCGGGACCCATATACATGAAGGCTCCTGAGTCAGAATGGGTCCAGGAAACCGAGGTCCGCATTGCTTCCGTCACAGAAGGACAGAAGGGCCTCCATAATCACGAGAATGCTAGTCTTCTAGGGGCTTCTATCACCTGGCCCCGCGTTGCTTCTCACGGCCGCATTCCGGGGATGCGGCGACGCTGGACTCACCTGTGGCCCAGCCGCTGGGTCGCTCAGTCTCCCAGCCGAGCTGCTGCCGGAACCCCGGCTCCTGTGCCCGGCGCCCGCCCGGGCCAGAAGTTAGGTTTCGAATTCACTAAAGGTTTAGGATTAATAGTTCGTGAAACTGTTTTACACATTTCAGGGTGACTCCAAAATTCTTCATCAATATTAGACTCATGCTGCTTATGAAAATGCAAAACAAATGCAGTTTTTCTACAAGATCATTATAAGCTTATGTATTTGCCTTATACATACTTTTGTAATTTCCACTGAGAGTAGAAATCATCAAATCTTACTCATCTTTGCATCTCTCACTAAGCATTATAGCCTAACACAGAGAGGTGCCCATTAAATGTCTGTTAACAAAACAACAGACATCAAAGGAAAGCTTTAGATCTGGAATAACTAAAAATATTCTGACATTATTTGGTATATGTTAAATAGTTCATAATAAATTTTATTATAATTTAAATAGTGCATAATAACATTTTAAAAATCCATGCAACAAGAATCTCTCATATGATGAATTCCTAGAAATGATGCTGCAAGTTCAGAGGTCTGTAAATTGTGTAAAATGTAAGTGGTGAATATTTTTCAAACAAATGTATATTGTGAAATTCAAATATTATAAACTATTTAATTTACAAAACAAAATACAAAGAAGAAAGCAATCATGATTACTTCCTTAACTCAGCAATGGCAGCAATATTCTTAATCTTCATTACTACACACAAACACACACATGTAGTAATGTGTGTTGCTCATCCTATGTACCAGTGGAATACAGGATAAGGGATGTGGCCTACTTAAGGTGCTGTAAAGAGAAATGGGTCTGTTTCTTACTCTAGCGCTCTATCCAACAGATTAACATCTATTTATTCTTCTGAACACCTTTCCTAATTAGCCTCCAGAGAAATCAGTAGGCATTATTTTTGTTGACATTCCCAATCTTCTTAAAACAATTAAAGAATGGGGGCAAGGAAATGAGCACATCAATGACATGCAAAAAAAAGGAAAGAGTTCTGTTGTTGAGGTCCTAAATAGTAACGATCACTCTGTTATTATCTAACTCTTCTTCCCCAGAAGCTATTGTCTTTGAATTTGCACAACAACAAAGTTTGCTGGCTGGATGACCTGTCTAACATTATAAAGAAGGCCCCGAAAGTCAAGATCCTGAACCTCTCCAAAAATGAGGTGACAAGAAAGGGCCAGATCAAATTTGGGTTGAGGGTAAATTATAGTGCACATCAGGATGATAACAAGAAATAGGATCCCCAGCAGACACAGGCCAGCTCCTGGAAATGCCCTCACTGGCCAGACCACCCACTGCTGCTCTTCTTTTTCTCCTAGGAGCAGCTTGTGCAAGTACTTCAAGGATAGCAGAAATATAAAAACTCTCAAGCTTGTGATGGGGAAGACTGGGCAAGGTAAGGGGGTGTGATGGGAGCAATCACAGGGGCCAAGGGCCAGAGTGTGGCAGCACCCCCCCCCCAAAAAAAACCTTGCTTCTCCTCTCCTCTACAGACCTGTGGGGGCAGCTGCTGAAGCACACAAAACATGACATTGTGGACTCCCTCAGTGTGTTGTCCAAAACTCAGCATGACCTCAGCTCCTTCCTGGTGGACATGTGTTACCAGAAGGCAAGCACCTGCTTACTCCCTTGGACAGGCCCTGAGAGCCAGAGGTGGGTAGGAGGTTAAGGGGGATCCTGAGCACTGGAGCTCTTCCCTTTCAGAAATGGATGCTCTACTTTTCTGTCTACGGTGTGTTGAAAGAAGGTGAGTGTCTGTAGAGTCCCCTCCCCAAATCCCCCACTGCTCCTTCCCCCTGGCTGGGCTCCCTCTCAGAACTCTCCCAGCTTCCCTGACCCCTTTTGTTCCCTTCCTATTCACCCTGTGTTCTTCCGTTCCCACTCTACTCCCAAAGAATTACCTGTCTTATTGCTAAGTCATAAATTTAATAAAAGTTTAGAAATACTTTCTATATTGCCAAAAGAAAAAAATATTAAAATCGGAAAAGCTGGAAGAACATATTTGCAACAATATTGCAGACTTTGTGTTAATATCCCTGTGCTAAAGGACTTTTGCTTACCAGGAGAAACTGTAACAAATATCAACAGTTAATTTCCCTGAAAAGCAAAATGATTCTATAATAAACATCTGCATCCAAACCACATTTGGTAAAGAAATGAGAATTAAAAGATGTCACAATATGTGAAAAAATCAGTTTGCAGAAAATTATGTGACTTCAAATTCTTAAAAGAATATATATGTATAGTATATATATATGTATGTTTGTTACTTACAAATATTTTAAGGTAGGTAAACATCTGCCTTGCATGTCTAGAAAGTGTGTGCCAGATTGGTAAATAGATTACAGTGACTATCTTTAGGTCATCGTGAGGTGATCATATTGATAGAAAGTGCAGAATGACTTTATTTTCAAAATATACATTCTATAGTGTTGAATATTTTATAATTAGGCAAACTTCAGGGACAGCAAGTAGCTGGTGATTCTGCAAATAAGTTTTCTCCTCTTCCATAAAGGAATACAATGTAATGCATTGGACAAAGACTGAATAGCTGAGCTCTCTGTTTGTAACAAGTACCTGGGTCTGAGGCCCTGATTGTAGCTAACCAATTCTGCAAGAGTATTTCCCTTGGAAACGGCTCCCTGGGGGTTAGGCTGGTAGCGAACTTAGGGGGCAGTAAGAAAAGTAAATTCAGTCTCCTCTAGCCCCCAGAGGTCTCCTCTCTATGCCTTTGAAGAAGGGACTTCCTGTAAGGACTCCATCTTGTCCACTAACAAAGTTGCTTTGGACTTGCTCTCACCTTCCTCAGCTGCCCTCCCCAAACTTCTGCAAACCCCGAGCTCTAGACCACACAGATTCCCCTTAAGAGAGCCCTGTGTGGACACTGGTGAAAGGTCACTGCCTTAAGGACACACCATGGGTGAGTTGGTCAGCATGAAGCCTTGGCTTTAGGTCCCTACAGGGCAGGAGGGACTGAGCCCCCTCCCCACCTCCATTCCAACCCACATGACACCTAGCGGACTCTCCTTTAAATGG
This sequence comes from Homo sapiens, assembly GCF_000001405.40. Classification (NCBI taxonomy): domain Eukaryota; kingdom Metazoa; phylum Chordata; class Mammalia; order Primates; family Hominidae; genus Homo; species Homo sapiens. The sequence continues at coordinate 102,551,475 of NC_000023.11, forward strand.
GAAGTAGCAAAAGCCCAGGCTGACTGTTTCCCACTCTCTTGAGGTCTTGGCCCTAGTGGGTCCTGACATATCCATAGTGGCTCCACATGGAAAACTTCCCCTCCTGTGGTTATGGAAATGGCTGAGCCGAGATGTTCCCCTGGTTTAGGGGAAAGGTCTGAGTCCTGTGATCCTCTCTGGTCCAGGATTTGGGGAGTGAGGAGTGTCACCTGAGGTGAGGGATATTGGAAATTAACATTTTTGAGATTTATACTAGGGGTGGAGGAGGGGCAGATAACCCACCAATACCCTCAAATTTTCAGCAGCCATTCAAAGTAGATTGTATTACCACTATAGCGTTTTTGAGGCTTGTTTTATAGGTCAGCATATAATCTGTTCTGAAATGTTGCATGTGCTGTCATATGCAGTGTTCTTTCTGTTAAGTAAATTTTGTTTGTTTCTTTGTTTGTTTTTTGAGATGGAGTCTTGCTCTGTCGCCCAGGCTGGATTGCAGTGGCGCAATCTCGGCTCACTGCAAGCTCCGCCTCCCGGGTTCATGCCATTCTCCTGCCTCAGCCTCCCTAGTAGCTGGGACTACAGGCGCCCGCCACCATGCCAGGCTAATTTTTTTTTTTTTGTATTTTTAGTAGAGATGGGGTTTCACCGTGTTAGTCAGGATGGTCTCGATCTCCTGACCTCGTGATCCGCCCGCCTCGGCCTCCCAAAGTGCTGGGATTACAGGCGTGAGCCACCGCGCCCGGCCTCTGTTAAGTAAATTTTGTTAGTCATGTTTTTTAAATCTTCTTCACCTAATGGATTTTGTGGCTGTTTTATTTGTCATTCAGTGAAGTATGTTTAAGTTTCCTACTGAGAATGTGGATTTGTCCATTTCTTCATTTACTTCTGTCAGTTTTTACTGTGCATTTTTTTCTCCATTTAGTTCCATCAATTTATTGTCATGTATATTTTGGCTTTGTGCTAAAAAGTACATACAAATTTGTTTTATTAACATATTTATGTTGAATTAAACCATTTGTCATTACAAAATATCCCTTCTTCTAGTAATATTTTACTGAAAGTATATTTTTTCTCTTATGAATAGTTATACCAGCTTTCATTTCGTCAGTGTTTTAATGGTATATTTTTTGCCATTTTTTTTTCAAATGTCTTGTGTTTTGTTTTACATATGTTCCTATTAAGGAGCATTTGATTGAATTAATTTTTAATTGAGTCTTATGATCTCTGCTTTTTTATTTGAAACCTTCAGTACATTACATATAACATAATTCCACATAAATTTGGCTTAAATATAACATTTTTCTGTTTGCTTTACATCTATTTTCCTATCCTAATTTTCTCTTTTCCTTTGTAAAATTTAAAATTATTATTTTTAAATTATTAATTTTTGCCTCATTTGGATTGATAATGTGACATTCTTCTGTCATTTTTGTAGTCTACCTTTTGGATTACAACATCCATTCTTGCCTCTAATGTACATTAGTTCTTTTACATATCCTTGGACAACACAGGTACCTTCCAATATTTTAACTCTTTTAATGCCCCTCCCAATATATTGGTGTGCATTTTTAACTATATATATTTATATATTTAAATTCCTTTTTAAAATTATTTTTAATTTTTAATCAAGTTCTGGGCTACATGTGCAGGGTGTGCAGGTTTGTTACATAGTTAAACATGTGCCATGGTGGTTTGCTGCACAGATCAACCCATCACCTAGGTATTAAGCCCAGCATGCATCTGCTATTTTTCCCAATGCTCTGCCTCCCCGACCCCACCCCTCCAACAGGCCCCAGTGTGTGTTGTTCCCCTCCCTCAACAAACTAATGCAGGAACAGAAAACCAAACACCACATGTTGTCACTTATAAGTGAGAGCTGAACAATGAGAACACATATTTAAATTCTTTAAAGACATTATCACTGTATTATATAATCAATATTCATTTAGATTTTCCTACGTATTTGCCAATGTAATTATTCTTCATTCCTTCTTGTATTTACTTGCCTCAATCTGGGATCGTATTTCTTTGGCCTGAGGATGAATCTTTAGTTTTGAGTTGACTGGTGACAAATTTGCTTAGCTTTTGTTTGCATTAAAATGTCACAAGTAGGGCCGGGCACAGTGGCTCATGCTTGTAATCCCAGAACTTTGGGAGGCCAAGACAGGCGGATCACTTGAGGTCAGGAGTTCGAGATCAGCCTCGCCAACATGGTGAAACTTTGTCTCTACTAAAAATACAAAAATTAGCTGGGCGTGGTGGCACGCGCCTGTAATCCCAGCTACTCAGGAGGCTGAGGCAGAAGAGTCACTTAAACCCAGAAGGCAGAGGTTGCAGTGAGCCAAGATCGTGCCATTTCATTCCAGCCTGGGCAACAAGAGCGAGACTCCACCTCAACAACAACAAAAAAAAAGTCACAAGTAGCCTGGAAAACATGGCAAAACCCCGTCTCGACAAACAAAAATTAGCCAGGCGTGGTGGTGCATGCCTGTAGTCCCAGCTACTCTAGAGGCTAAGGTGGGATATTGCTTGAGCCCAGGAGGCAGAGGTTGCAGTGAGCCAACACCGTGTCACTGCACTCCAGCCTGGGCAGCGACAGAGTGAGACTTGTCTCAAAAAAAAAAAAAAGTCACAAGTGTGAAAAAAAAATCACTTAAAGTGCTTTTTTCTATTTTCTCACTCCACAACAACCATCAGCACAGAAGACTTCTGTGACCAAATGTGTGGGGGAGTTTTCCCCACCAACAAGCAAGCAATCAGTTTTATAGTAAACACCTGCTGTGTGTCCTCTAATTTAATTTTGGTAGTGTCAAAATTAAATTAGGTTACCTGGAGATAGCATCAGATCCCACAGGTTGGGGGCTCAGTTCCCAAGACTGGCCCCCTCCTTCAGACACCATCTGTCGGAAGTCTGGGGCTCCAGAGCTTCTGACTGATGGCCTTCAACTTGGAGTTCCTACGACCCTCTTTTTGAATGTGATTAATTTGCTAGAATGGCTCACAGAACTCAGGGAAGCACTTACATTTACCAGCTTATTATAAAGAATATTGCAAATAATACAGACAAATAAATGTATGGGGCAAGGTACAGGGAAGGGATGTGGGGCTTCTATGCCCTCTCCAGATGTGCCACCCTCCAGGAACTTTCATGTGTTCATCCATCCAGAAGCTCTCTGAACTCTGTCCTTTGACTTTTTATGTAGGCTTTTTATGTATGCATGACTGATTAATCCATTGGACATTGGTGACTGACTTACCCTTCAGCCCCTTGAAAGTGCCAGCGCTTTAATACTGCCTTGCTCTTTCCAGTGACCGTCTCCCATCCCGAAGCTACCTAGGGGCTGCCAGCCTAGCACACAAAAAGACTTCACTTTGGAGTTTATAAAAATTTTAGGAGCTGTATGCCAGAAAACAGGGTTGAAGATCTAATATATGTTTTGCAATATCACAGATGTTTATTTAACTTCCATTTTTGTATCTTTCAAAAAATGGAAGTTAAATAAACACACAATTCTAGGCCTACAGCTATTATACTTTAGCACTCTGGGTATATAACATTACTTTCTTCAAGCTACGTTATTTCTGTTTAAAAATTATATATCGATCCAGTCTTATTTTTGCTCATTTGAAGATAACCCATTGTTTTTATTTTACTTTGAATATTTGCTTTTTTCTTTGGATTTCAACAGCTTTACTATGATGGACCTGGGTTTGGTTTTCCTCATGCCCCGCTGGACTTGAAATATACATTGCTTCTTGCATCTGTGACTTGGTATCTTTTGTTACTTTTTGAAACTGCTCAAAAATTCTACCGTGAAATACTGCTTTTGCACTACTTTCTTTTCTTTCTTCTAGAACTCCAATTAAACATGCTTGGTGTATTTACTGTATCTCCTTTAATTTTGCCCCGTGTCTTTTTGTATTCTTCATCATTTTGTGTCTTCATACTTCATTCTGGATATTTTCTTCAGATCCTTCTTTCCAAACCTCCTTGTTGTTCAAGGAGATGTAAAAGAACTAATATGCATTAGACTGTGATAAGGCAAGAATGTACATTGTAATGTGAAGGGTAAAGACCACAAAAGTATATCTGTTATTTTATGCTGCTAATCACAAAGTTGTTCTTAATTACAGTTATTGCATTTATGAATTCTAGAAATTCTATTCATTTTAATATATTTTCCAATTCTTGGCTGAAATGCTTAATCTTTTATATTCTTGACAATAATGCCATTATCTGATTATCTGGATTTTATGTTTTTTATTGTCCTTTTTTTGTTTGTTTGCTTGGTTTTTAATCATGTCATTTTATCTCCTTCTAGATTTTTTTTCAGAGAACTATATATAATAAATTGTAGATTTATTTATTTCAGTCTTAGAATGAAGTTGTCTTGCTCCAGGGAAGATTTTTTTCTGTCAACTTGCTACGTTGCAAGGAAAACCCCAAATCTCTTTAATCCCATTGATGATTGAGATGATTAATTTGGACTTCAGTCCCTTGGAGGGCTGGTCTATTTCCAGTTTACCCATATTTACCTGATGTAGCTCTTAGAGGTTCCTATCTAAGCCTGAGTGGTTTGCCAAGATCCCCTCTCCTTAACATACCCAACTTCAAATTTTATGCTCTTAGATCTATAACTCTGGGAATTTGGCACAAATTCACAGTATTTTAGCATCGTACCTATATCCTTAGGCATCACCAACTGCTGCTAGAAAAAAATCAGCCCCAAGGATTGGGATTACATTCTGAGTTTCCTTTTTTCCCCTGGTATTTCCCCCATAACATCTTATTGTATCATTAGCTTTTTGATGCCTTTAAACAACCTTTTATTTTAAATTAGTTTCCACACTTTTCTAGTTGTTCTCAGTTGGAAGTTTGGTGCAATGTAACTAGTCTCTCTTTGCTGGAAGAAAAACTCTAAATTTATTTTTTCAAATGCTGAGTTTGGTATAGTCCTTATTATCCTCATTATTATCTTCTTTACTGTGTCTTCTCTCTAATGTTTGGAAGATAATGTCACAGGAATGGGAAAACACATGTAATATGCTTTCCATGAAGTTTTCCAGATGGACATATATGGCTAGCATGGATTCGGTATATCAGAAGTTTTTCTCATTTTATTGTATTGCCATTGCTCATCCTCATCTTGTGCTTCCATCCTTGAGTGTTTGCCTCTTGTTTATGAGACTGTCAGGTCTCTTTCAGCCTTCAACTACTCTCTGATATCTCAGCCACTCCCCTGATAATAAATTCTGGATCCTTCTCTTCCCACCGTCCTCCTGACTAATTATGAATATATACATTGAGGGAATGTTTTTCAAAATATAAACTTTAAAAAGGGCAATTGTTTTATCAACATATACAAATTTTCAAAATGGTTGGTGAACTGGTAAGCTCATTCACTCACTCTTGATTAACATGCAAATAAGTATAAATGTATATTTTAAATGCCACTTCTAAAAATCTCTTAAATTTGAAAGCATTCATGTTTTGACCAAAGTAATCCACTTGTAGAATTATTGCAGGAAAAACTGTAAACAAATAATAGAATGTATATATAATCCTATTCTTCGCAGCATTGTTTATAGTAGCAAAAATTTGGAAAGATTTATTAAAATTTGAAATTTTATTAGTAGATTAAAGTTTGTGGCAGATTTTTTTTTTTTTTTTTTGAGATGGAGTTTCGCTCTTGTTGCCCAAGCTGTGATCTTGGCTCACCACAACCTCCGCCTCCTGGGTTCAAGCGATTCTCCTGCCTTAGCCTCCCGTGTAGCTGGGATTACACCCATGGGCCACCACGCCAGTCTAATTTTGTATTTTTAGTAGAGACGGGGTTTCTCCATGTTGGCCAGACTGCTCTTGAACTCCCGACCTCAGGTGATCCACCCGCCTCGGCCTCCTAAAATGCTGGGATTACAGGCGTGAGCTACCGCGCCCGACCTGTGACAAATTTTAACTATAATAATAATCTATTGTATAAATTACATTAAAGTCAGAAATTGTTATTTAGGTATTTTAGAAAATATGAAAAAGGTAAATTTTGGACTAATCATATTTATTCTTTCCTGAGCTTCCAGCTCAATGAGATTCAGCCATCAGTTCTTGCTCTGGTAAACAGGTGACCTTAGCTTTAATTTCCACAGTGTCTTTAAAGGAAAGCATATTAATTTGATAGATAATAAAAATCAATTAAATATCATTTCTGAACATGCAATGATATAAAATGTTAACTGAAATAGTAGGTTACAGATATTTTTACAATATGATTGCAGTTTGAAAATATATCTGTGTATATATAACATATTCAATAGCACACAAGCATACAGCAGCAAACATATTCACTTATCACCTCTCTGTTTCTCTCAGTCTCTCTGTCTTTCTCCCTCTCTCTCAAATTATTTGTTAAAGAAACTGGATCTTTTGTCATGCATTTGGTTCATTGCCTATCCACAATGATGAAGCCCTGAATTGCTGCTGAGGCCTGATCAGATTCAGGTTTAATGTTTGGCAAGAATATTTCATAGGTGGTACCCATAACAAAGTACCTTATATCTGGTTGTTTCCCTTTTTGTGATTTTTGCAAGGCATTAATGATCATTGTATAAATTCTTTATTTAATTAGAAGTTTTTGAATGATGATAGTCAAATTCTATCTTGCCTTCTTCATATATTAGCTAGAATATTCCTATAAAAATAAAATTTCATCAACAATTTGGCTATCTTTATGTACAGCTTGCACAGGGAAGGCAGAATAAATATTTGATTCTTCCCTTTTATTTACAAATTTTTATAAATATAAGTTGGTTTCCTGGCATTCTACAAATGTCATCAATAAGGTTCTTCTTGGTTGTTGTTTTTGAGTATCATTATGAACTCACAGCTTTTTAACATATTGATGGGATTCAAACCCTTGTTATAAGATTTTTGAGCAGAGGAATGAGAAGATTTGACTTATGCTTCAAGAAAATCACTCTCCCTGCTATGATGAAAATGCATGGTGAGGGAGCAAGTGTAAAAGCAGAGGGACAAGTTGGAAGGCAATGTAATCCAGGAGATAGATGTTGGTGACCTTGCCAGGGTAGTAGCAATGGAGGGAATGAAAAGGGGCCAGACTCTGGATATATTTTAAAGGTAGAGTCAAGAGACTTTCCTGATCAGTTGGATGTGAAGTATGAGAAAAAGAGAGCACTCCAAGCTATCATCAAATTTTGGGGACTGAACATTTCTGGATCAAATGCTCTAACCCATATTTAATTTCACTTCCAGTGCCATACAGGGAAAGTCCCAAAGGTTATGAGTAACAAGACTCTCTTGACCATGGGTCACATGGTGAAAGCAATGACTTTCCAGAGGAGTTCATCTGAGGCCTGGTCATAATAAGTATATTGTAAAGTGATCAGGAGTGAATAGAACGTTTACTCACAAGTATGTCCTGAGGTAACATGGAGTAATTAATATACAATATGTATAAAATACAAACCTATGGACAGGCACTGTGGCTCATGTCTGTAATCCCAGCAATTTGGGAGACCGAGGCAGGTAAATTTCTTGAGCTCAGGAGTTCGAAACCAGCCTGGGCAACATAGTGAGACCCCATGTCTACCAAAAATTTTAAAAAAATAGCCTGGCATGGGGTGTGGTCTCAGCTACTTGGGAGGCTGAGGTGGGAGGATTCAGTGGAGCCCAGGGGGTGAAGGTTGTAGTGAGCCAAGATCATGCCTCTGCACTGCAGCCTAGGTGACAGTGTGAGACCCTGTCTCAAAAAATATATATTTTTATATAAATATATATTTATAAAAATATATATTTTTATAAATATATATTTATATATTATATATTTTATAAAATATATATTTTTATATAAATATATATTATATAAATATATATTTTATATAATATATAATTTATATAATATATATTTTTATATAATATATATTATATAATATATATTTTTATATAATATATATTATATAATATATATTTTATATAATATATATTATATAATATATATTTTATATAATATATATTTTTATATAAATATATTTTTATATAATATATATTTTATAAATATATTTATATTTTATAAATATATATTTTTATATAATATATATTTATAAATATATATTTTTATATAATATATATTTATAAATATATATTTTTATATAATATATATTTATAAATATATATTTTTATATAATATATATTTATAAATATATATTTTTATATAATATATATTTATAAATATATATTTTTATATAATATATATTTTATAAATATATGTTTTTATATAATATATATTTATAAATATATTTTTATATAATATATATTTATAAATATATTTTTATATATTATATAAATATATATTTATATATTATATAATATATATTTTTATATATTATATAAATATATATTTTTATATATTATATAAATATATATTTTATATAAAATAAAATACAAACCTAGAGAACCTTAAATTTAGATGCTAAAAGGAAGCTGGCTTCGGATAGTCTAATTTCCTTAATCCCCACCTCCAAAACCACTAGTATTACCATTGTTTCAGTTGAATGTGATAAAAATAAAATATCCTTTGTGAATATGCTTATGGGAAAGAGAATTGATACTATCTTTTAGATGTAAATTAAACTTCCAAATCTTGTCACATGGTGAATTGAACATGTTGGTGGGGAATACAGAGGGTGAACAAGGAAATTTCTAGGAGTAAATACAGTGTGAAATATAACTGAAACACTTTATAAGCATTCCTGAGTCCACAATTATTTGATAAAGTAGACTTGCTAGCAAAGAAAACCAATAGAAACAAAAAGAATATTACATAATGATAAAAGGATCAATCCACCAGGAAGACAGAATGATCCTACCTGTATACACACCCAAACAGCAGAGGCTCAAAATACGTGAAAGAAAAACTGACGGAGCTGAAATAGCCAAGTCCAAAGTTGTCATTGGGGCCTTCAACATCCCACTCTTAGCAATTGATAGAATTACTATATAGAAAATCTACAAGGCTATAGAAGATCTGAATAGTATAATCAGTATAATAGTATGATAGTATAATACAGTAGTATAATCAATACAGATCTACATGACATATATAGAACATTTTACCCAACAACAGCAGAGTACACTATTTTCCCACATATCTTATAACGTTCATGATAGACCATGTTCACAGACATAGACCATGTCCTGGGCCATCAAAAAACCTCAATAAATTTAAAAGAATGAAAGTCATACAGAGTATTCTCTCTGACCACAGAAAAATCTCTAAACACTTGGAAATTGTAGTTGACACCTGTCATTTCTGATCATTGTTCAGCTCCTTGTTATAGAAGAGTAGCGGTTAGAAGCATTGCCTTCTCAACTGAAAGGCATTTCAGGCTTAGCAAAAAGAAAGCTCACTCTGTATTTCCAAAAGAGTATTGTTGAGGGCAAGGCTGGAGGCAGAGAGACAGTTCAGCAGGATGATGCATCAATCCATCCTGTCATGAAAGCTTGCACTAGAAAAGACAGTACAGCTTGCTGATTGTTAATAAAATCAATTTGGTGGCTGATTGCATTTGGGAGGTGTGAGAGAGGTTGCCTATCAGGTTTTGGTGAGGTTGTTAGACTATAGTGGCATAAGAGAAGGCAACATTTGGATCCTTCCTGGGGTATGGTTGATGTGCAGTCTAATCCATGAACATTCACACTTCTGTTCTCTATAAATCCTGCTCCATTTTCCAAATGGTTCCACACAGTTACCTCCTCCTTTAAGATCTCTTCCCTAACTATGTCATCTGTGAGAAAAGGCTCTCCTATCTGGACGGGTAGAGGAGTTTGCTTTCTGGGGCTTGTGTGACTGCTCTATTAGGGCGGGTTGGCACTTTGCTTGCCTTACTATGGTGTTAGGCCAAGAAATGGTACATGGTATATGACCACTGATGTGTCTTCAAACTTGTATTTTTGTTCCAAATTTCAGAACACAGTGATGGTAGCAGCTCTCCTCAAGGAGAAAATAAAGGTGGAGATTCTTCCCAGGGGAATTTTGGAAAGGAGAACCTTCATGATGAACATGATGGGTATGAGCTCCCACCTCCCCATCTTCAGAAGGTAGATGAAAATGTGGAGGTGGGGGATGTCCACGAGGATCCCCAAATAAGAAAGTAAGTGACCAGGCAGGCTGGTTTGCACATAGCAGCCCCTGGGACTTTGTAATTCTTTCACTCTCTGTAGTCTTTTTTTCCTCTCCCTGAAAAACTGAAGAATGCTAGAAGTGAAGTAATGGCTGAGAAATCCTAATTGCAGACCTGGTTTTCAGTGAGTTGAGGGTGTATGAAAAACTGTGTCACATTTCTATGCATTTCTATACATTTATAGACATATCTTTTTATCCATTTCCCTACAGCAACCCCTCTACCTTACAACCCGATAGTAGGAGTGTGAAATGCCATAGTGAATACCAAGATAGAATTCCTCCAGAGAGAGAAGTGGAGAAGAACACACAGAATGGAGACCCAGGGACCTGGTTCAAGGTCACAGTGAGTGTCCTGAGAAAATGCAAAAAATGTGCAGGAAAGGTGGGTCAGGGAGAGTTGTGTTAATCACACGTAGAAATACTAGATATTTTTCTGAGGACAGGGAAGTTAACATCTAAGCACAGGTTCAGAAAAACAATGTAAAGGGAACAGGCTGACTGCAAGAGGACCCAAGAGTCTGTCTAAACGCAAAGGTGGAAACTACTGCCAAGAAGATGTGGCAGCTCTCCACAAGATGCCTCATGGCTCAAGCTGAGTGTAGCAGTGTTGAGTTTCTGGAGTTCTTGTCAGAGGTGCAGGCTGGGTCTTCAATAGGTAGAATCTCCTAGCACCTTAAAAAAAAGATCATTTAGAACATCTGAATTTTATTATCTGAGAGTTATATTTGGAATAGAGAGAAAGGACAACTAGGAAACCCATGTCTGGCAAAAAAAAAAAAAAAAAAAAAAAGTTGAAATCATGTTAATGGTCCCTATCTTAGAAGTCTTTTAAAGCTCCATTAGAAGGTTAGAATAAAACACTTAGTTGGGTTATTTTCCAGACTTAATTCCATGTTGTCTCTCTTCTATCCTATCCCTTCTTTTCACCATTAGATTCCTTATGGGATAAAGTATGATAAGAGTTGGATAGTGAATTCAATCCAGAGCCATTGCAGTGTCCCCTTCACTCCAGTCGCTGTAAGAGAAGATGGTGAAGCCAGATGAGTAGGCACAAGGGAGGGGGAGACGCCTGACTCAGCAGGGGCCACTGACCTCTGACACTATTGCTCTTGCCTTTACTCCCTGTAGTTCCACTACAACAAAAATCGGGCCCATTTCTTTATTCAGGATGCTAGTGCTGCCTGTGCATTAAAGAAAGTCAACTGCAAGATTCATGATGAGGAAAACCAAAAGGTATATGTCAACAACATTCCCTATATACAGTCTCTGGGAAAGAGGACAGGCCAGGGTCTAGTCATTGTCTTTTTTGAGATTGAGGTCCTCGTGCTCAACTTGCCTCACCTTCTTGCAGGTATTTGTTTTTGTCAATCTTTCTACTAAACCCCAGTCTATCCAGAAAATGTTGAAACCAAAAGAGATGGCATAGCTAAAGGTAATACAGACTCAAGGCACCACTTCTTCCCCCACCCCTATATTTCCCTGTCACCACTACCACCACCACCAGAGCCTCAGAGCTGCTCTCTTCATCTGTCTCTGCAGCTGACCCTGAACAAATGATATGATGTCTCCCAGCAAGCTCTTGATCTCCAGAGGCTCCGCTTTGACCCAGGTATGGCTGACAGCAGCAATTCTAGGGCAAGTAGGGGCAGAGCAGTCTGCCTGGAAAGGAGACTTATATGGACGGCAACTTTGGGAGGGTTGGTGCTGGTGCTGGTCCAGTCAGGCCCCTTACAGCCTTCTGATGCCCTTCTCTCGGCTTCCTGGAGACTTGGTGAAACATCATATTGATATAATCCTGAATCAAAGAAACTACATGGCTGCCACTCTGAAGATCATTGAAAGGAATTTCCCTGAGGTGAGGCCTTAGGCCCAGTGCTAGTATTTAATTAGAGGGGTGGAAGAAATGGAGTGAAAGGCAGATTTGTTTCCAAGGCTCGAGATAGTATCCGTCACTCTAACTGTTCTTACCTGATAGCTATTATCTTTGAACTTGTGCGACAACAAACTGTACCACCTGGATGGCCTGCCTGACATTATAGAGAAGGCTCCCAAAGTCAAGACCCTGAATCTCTCCAAAAATAAGGTGAGAAGGGGGAACCAGATCAACTTTGGATGGAGGGTGGATGGCAGTACATATCAGAATAATGGCAACAAGCAGGCAGAGGTACCTGTGGGTGACTGTGAGGACTGGGGGAATTCGGGACCCAGGGTCCCGGGTGTTTCTCTTTCCCTGGCCCTCCTTCTCCAGTTTCCTCCCCATCTTTCTTAGCTGAAGTCGGCTTGGGAGTTGGGCAAGGTGAAAGGGTTGAAGCTCGAAGAGCTATGGCTGGAAGGGAACTCATTGTGCAGCACCTTCTCTGACCAGTCCGCCTATGTAAGGTCAGTGGCAAACCCTGTCACCCTTCCTGGGCACCTTTGCTCCCTGGGTGACTGAGCTGTGTCTGAAGGTGCCCTTCTGCAGGAAGAAGCAGCCTTGGTCCTCTGGGAGGACCACAGACCTCCCCTCCTACTCTCTCTCTCTCTCTCCTGTCTCTCTGTCACTCACTCATCTGTGGTTAGAGGTCTCCTTTCCTTCCTCTGACATGGTCCCCTTTTCACCTGCTCTGGTGTGTGTTTCCCGCCTGTCTCCACCAAGCCTCCTCCAGTGTGCCCTCTGTGAGTGTGCTCCAGGAAGTGGGGCTCCCCACCTCCCCAGGACCAGCAGTATTCAGATGCTGGTGCCCTGAACCGAGAAGAGTCCTTTAGTCCGGGACCTCATGCTGAGACAGGCCTTCCTGCCTCCATGCTGAGATGGGGCTTCCCTCCCCTGTCCCGAGAGGGGTTCTCCTTCTCTTGCTCCAAAAAGGTCCCCCCACCTGTCCTGGGCTGGCATAGGGGCTTCCCTGCCCCATACTGAGGGCTGGGGCCCCGGGTGGCTGCTGTCATGCCATCTCTTCCTCTGGCCCAATGCCAGGAGCTGGGCCCTCCTTGGGGAGAAACCTGGGTTTCCTACGTCAAGGGGCCAGAAGCGGGCCACGTTCCTGAGGCGGGAGTGGAAGGCAGAGGGCAGAGGAGGTTGAGGAGACAGAAGGACAGGCCTCTCAGGGCACTGCCCCACCTTCCCTCCTTCCCCACCTCACATCGTCCTGCCTGGGCCCTCAGAGGAGCCCTGGGTAGCCCAAGATGGGTAGCATTCCTCGGTCAAGGCGTCAGCACAGAGGGGCACAGGAGTCAGGGACCATCAGAAGAGAATGCAGTGGTCTGGAGAGGGGGTCCCCAGACTCTGAACCCCATGCTGAGCTGGGGCCTGACTCTTCACTCCTCCCGGGAGAAGGTCTCCTGTCCCCGTGGCTGCTCTGTTTCCCATGCCCAGCTCAGACTGAGCTCACACAGGTGAGGAAGGCTCCAGCTGCATCCAGTGGGCCCCAGCCCAACAGGTGCATGTTTTCCTTTCCTGCCTCAGTCCCCAGGGACAACCGGGAGCGATGAGGGAAAGGGCTGCAGCAGGGGAGCCCTTTTCTCCTCTATACCTCCCTGAACTCCACCTCCACAGTAGAGCATCTTTCCCTTCCCTTTGCTTTGCATCCTGTTTCTCCCTTGCGTCTCCTCTCCTATGTCTCACCCGTCTCTCCCTCCCCTACCTTCACCCCATTTCTGTTGTCATCACCCTGCCTTCCCCTTCCTGCCTCCTGAGCCCAGCCTCACTCACCTACCTATCCCAGCATCCTCAGCATCCCTAAGACCTGACCTGGTCTTGGCCAGGGGCAGGCCAGGCAGATTGACGGACAGCCAGTGGGGTAGCAGAGCCCTGGGCTCCCACTCCATTTCCTGCTCCCTGCATAGCCTTCCGTGGGGATTTGGACAAAGGGGAGGGAGGGAGGGGGAAGAAACCCTGGAGCTCCCAATGCTGCTTCTTGTGGCACTGGAGAAGAGAGTCGGGGCAATCTAGGTGGAAGCTAACCAGGAGGAAGGAGAGGGAGGAGAGTGAGAGGGGGAGAGGGAGGGGCAGGGGGAGGGAGAGGGAGAGAGGCTGTGCAACCCTGAATTGTCAATCACTTCATTCTATTTTTTGTTATGGACAGTATCATCCGGGAATATTTCCCCAAGTTGTTATGCCTGGTAAGTATTTACTGTCATCATTGTCTCTTACTCAAGTACATGACCTCCATGCCTGCCCTCAAGTCCTTTGGCTCTTGCCTGGATTACATGTTTGTATCCAACCCTCATCCATTTTAGAGGCATAGATTCCTGAAAAAGACAAGAATATTCTCCCTGGAATAAAATGTCCATAAACACACACACGCACCCACACTCACTAATTCACACAAAAGTTGCATCTAATAATAGATGCTTCCAAGACCCACTGTTGAAGACTCCATCTGCTGTCTTGCTGATAGAATTTTGAGGGGGCCATTTCATGCCTCACCTCTGACCCTTTTTCCCTCCAGGCCTGTTCATCTCCTTACTCATCCAGCTCTACCTCCCTGGTATGCACTGCTGACTGCCTCTTTCCTTTCTCAGGATGGCCAGGAGTTAGCATCTCCAATTATAATTGGCATTGAAGCCCCTGAGATAATAAAACCTTGTAAGGTAAGGAGGGACCAGATTTCAGATACTGTAAGGGACGTTTTTTAAACCACATAGTTTCAAGATGTCTTTTGATTCCAGGAAAGCTATAAAGGATCTGAGACCATAAAGAGTCTGGTGCTTCAGTTCCTGCTTCAGTAAGTACCCCAGAATCCTGAGGCTGTGGAAGGCTGAGACAAGACAGGCCACCCAAGCAAATGTCTATTCATGGATTTAGGAAGTCTTCAAGTCTCCTTTGGGGCCCAGGCCACAGAGATAGCCTTTCCCCACTGCTCTTTCACAGGTATTACTTGATCTATGACTCTGAAGATCGAACGGGTCTCCTCAGTGTTTACCATGACAAGGCCTGCTTCTCCCTGACCATTACCCTCAACCCTGAGGACCCAGAACCGTGAGTATCACGGCTCTGACTCTGGTCTGGGGCCATGTGGTCCCCAGCAAAGGCCAGTTCCTGGAAATGTCTGCACTAGCTGGACCACCCACTCCTGTTCCTCTTCTTCTCCTAGGAGCAGCTTGGAAAAATACTTCAAGGATAGCAGGAATATAAAGAATATCAAGGACCCTTGTGAGTGTGTGATGGGTGAAGATCAGCATGGGAAATGGGGTGGAGAGTCAATAATAGGGTACAGGGTACAGGGTGTGGCAGCCCTCAATGCTTCTCTTTCTCACACAGGCCTGAGGATTCAGCTGCTGAAGCACACAAAACGTGAGATTGTGGACTCCCTCAGTGTATTGCCCAGAACTCAGCATGACCTTAACTCCTATGTGGTAGACTTGTGCATCCAAACGGTGAGCACCTGCTTCCTCCCTCAGTCAGGCCCAGAGAGCTGAAGTAGGTAGGAAGTAGGTAGGTGGGTAGGAGGATCATGAAGGCTCTAGTTTTTTCTTCTTCCCTTTCAGGAAAGGATGCTCGTCTTTTCTGTCAATGGAGTATTTAAGGAAGGTGAGTGTCTATAGATTCTTCTCTCCAGATCACTCATTACTCCCTTCCCCAGGCTGGGCTTACTCCAAGAACTCTCTCAGCTTCCCAAGTTGCTCTTCTCCCCTT
The DNA here is from genome assembly GCF_000001405.40 of Homo sapiens. Lineage (NCBI taxonomy): Eukaryota > Metazoa > Chordata > Mammalia > Primates > Hominidae > Homo > Homo sapiens. Next base: position 102,567,282 of record NC_000023.11, read on the forward strand.
CCCTTGCATTCTTCCTCTCCGTTTGTGTTCTTCCTCTCCTGGCAACTTTCTGTTATCTTTGTGTTCTTTCCTTTTTGTTCCCTTCCCTTTGTGTTCTTCCTCTCCCCCAATTTTGTTCCCAAACATCATTACTTCCTGACCTACATCCATGCCTGTCTGCACCTGCACCACTCAGGCGTTAGGGACACAGCCTGTAGAGTTTGATGGCTCTCATCCCAGGTTGTTACTTTGCGAACTTGGGACATTGTCCTGTTACCTAACCCCTCAGTTTCCTCATTTGCAAAATGGGGTTGGTAAGCTCATCTCTTGGGTGACTGTGTAAAATGAATCAAGCGAACTCATGTTTGTCAAGAGACCTGACACATGTTAGGGGGTTCTATCCCTGGGTGCCGCTTGTTCCTATTTTTGCCCTCTCAGTCCCTGAAACTCCCTCCTGACTCTCACTGAAAAGTTGTCCCAGCCTGGCTCCCTTCAGGGTGCCAAAAGATTATCTCCCTGACTGGAGAACCCTGTATGAATGTGTAAAGCATGTGCAACTGTAAGGAGGTATCATTGTTTGTTGTTTCTAAAGTGGAAAGAGAGTCTCCAGGTTCTGTTCTTGCCTTCACCCGAACCTTCATCTTGACTTCTGTCGGCAATTCCAAGTAAGTGCTGTGCTGTGGGTGGGAGCACCCATCCTGTCCTGGAGCCAATGGTGTGGTAATGTGGTGGTGCAGTCCTCGGGATGTTCTCAGTACCATAGAAAGCCAACTGGTAGATCCAAGGAGAGGTCTAGATTATGAGAATACCAGATTCTCTTTTTGGCCACAATACTTACTAATTAGCTGTGTATCTTTTTGTCCAGTTGTAAGATTTCTCTGTGAAACAGTCCTTTTCTGAAAATGGGATGTCTACTTCTTTTGTAAAGTGTAAATGCATTGGGGTTAAATCTACAAATCTAAGGAAACTGGTAGGCAATCTCTCCAAAGGTGGACTCTGCAGCAGGGGTAAAGCCTACCAGCCAAGGAATCCGAAAGGTGGGCAGAGCAGGGGCTTGGAAGGAATCTGGTTCCTCAGTGGCAGTGGAAGCAGGATCATTGTTGAAAGTGTGGGGTTGTCCATTTTTCCAGTTGTCTGAGAGCTTGTCTTTCCTTCAGTCTGTATATTGTGAATGACAAGCTGATTGTGAGGAATGCCAGCACGAAGGAGACCCAGAGTGCCTTCTCCATCCCAGTGCCTGCACCCTCCTCCAGCTCCTTGCCTACCCTCTCCCAGAAGCAGCAGGAAATGGTGGAGACTGTCTCCACCCAGTCTGGGATGAAACTTGAGCAGTCTCAGAAGTGAGTGCTGGGAGTCTTTCAGGATAGATGTGAGCTGGGAAGAGTGGGGAGTGAAAAATGGAAACTCTCAGTTAATTTGTAAAAATAACTATTTAGATGTGGTGCTTCCAAAAATGAGTGGCCTCATAAAGTATATATATTAATTGATTGTGATAAAGAAATTAATTTTTAAACAATATAGCGTTCAGATCACATGACATGATCTTGTATATATAAAATCCTATGGAAACCACTTAAAAACACGTTAAAATTAATAAATAAGTTCTGCCTTGTTTCAGGATACAAAATCAATGTACAAAAACCAATTGTATTACTATATACCTGTAATGAACAATAAGAAAATAAAATTAAGAAAACAATTCCATGTACAAAAGCATACAAATAACACAGGAACAAATTTAATGACAAAGAAAAATCCAAAACATTTACTTTGAAATCTGCAGTACATTATAGAAAGAAATTAAGGAAGACCTAAATAAATGGAATGACATCCCATGTCCCTGGATTGGAAGACTTAATATTGTTAAAATGGCAATACTCCCCAAATTTGTATATAGATTCAATGCAAATGCAATCCATATCAAAATCCCAGCTGGCTTCTTTGTAGAAATTAAGAGGTTAACCCTAACATTTAAATGAAAATACAATGAATGCAGAATAAAAAATAATTTTGAAAAAGAACAAAGTTGGAGGACCCACTACAAAGTTACTGCAGTCTTACTACAAAGCTACAGTAATCAGTCCATACTGAGTGATACAGACCTAAGAATAGACATATAGATCAATGTAATAAAGTGAGAGTCCAAAATAAACCAAAATCCTTACCTTTATGGTCAATAGCTTTTCTACCAGAGCGCCAAGAAAAAAAGCCAGTGGGTAAAGAAAGAATAGCCTTTTCAACAACTGGCCCAGGCAGAACTGGATATCCACTCACAAACAATGAATTTGTACCCCATCATATGCCATATACAATAATAAATCAAAATAGCCCAAGGCCTAAAAGTTAGAGCTAAAACTATAAAAATCTTAGAAGGAAACAAAAGAGTGAATCTTTGTGACCTTGAATTAGACAGTGGTTTCTGATATATAACAAAACACACATACACACACAAAATTAGATAAAGTGGATTTCTTCAAAATTTAAAACTTGTTTTGCATTAAAAGGTACTATCAATGAAGTAAAAAGACAACCCAAGAATCAGAGAAAATATGTGCATTATTATACATCTGATAAGGGACTTGTATTCAGAATATATAAAGAACTCTTGGAACTCAACCATAAAAATGAAAATAACCCAATTAAAATGTAAACCACACTGAGGTATCACTTCACACACAGCAGGATGGCTACCATTTTTTGAGATCGAAATAACAAGTGTTGATAGGAGGAAAGCAATAGGGAGAGCTGTGTTAAAAGATACAAAATTACAGCTACATAGGAGGAATAAGTTCTAGTGTTTTACAGCATTGTGGGATGACTATAGCTAACAATAATATGTAGTTTCAAATAGCTAGAAGGAGGATATTAAATGTTCCCAACACAAAGATAAATATTTAAGATGATGGATATGCTAGTTACATTCATCTGCTCACTGTACATTGCATGTATCGAAACATCATTATGTACCCCATAAATATGTACAATTATTATATGTCAATTAAAAATAATTTTTTAATGTTGACAAAGCTATGGATAAATTGGAACCCTCATACATTGCTGGTAAGAATGGAAAATGATGCAGCTACTGTGGAAAATAGTTTGGCAGTTCTTCAAAATGGTAAATATGGAATTACTATATGACACAGCGATTACACAAAGAGTGATGAAAACTTATGTTCACACAAAAACTTGAAAATGAGTGTTTATTGCAGCATTATTCGTAATAGTCAAAAAGTGGAAACAATCCAAATATTCATCCATTTATGAAGATAAATCAAATGTGATATGTCTATATAATGAAATATTACTTGGCAATAAAATAGAATTAAGTTGTGATACATGTTATAACATGGATGACCCTTGAAAATATTATGCTAAGTGAAAACAGCCAATCACAAAAGACTACATATTATATGAGTTTGTTTATATAAAATGCCCCAAATAGGCAAATCCATAGAGACAGATAACAGATTAATGGTAACTAGGGTCTGGGCAAAAAGGGGAATGAAGAGTGACTGCTAACAGGTAAGGAGTATTTTTTTAAGGTGGTGGAAATGTTTTGGGTAGATAAAATTGTAATGGTTGCACAATTTTGTAAATATACCAGAAAAATCACTGAATTGTACACCTTAAAATGGTGAATCCTGTCTTACACCACAATTTTAAAATTAGTGGATAATTTTTAGTTTTGAATTTCTATTTGTTATTTCTTGAACATCTTTTTTCGTCAATATATATTAAGCTCTTGTTCATTTGAACAACCCTATTTTCCTACTTTGTATTCTAGTGGGCATGAATGTCAGCGATAGGCATTTTGGTTTTCCCTAGGCCTTTAGTCATCGTTACAATAGCGCTCATATTGGTACATGGGTCCCAGCAAAAAGTAGCATAGATTAAGGGGTGGCATTGCATAGTCAGCGTGTTGGAAATCACCTGTTCTTCTCCCACCCCAGGTGCCTTCAGGACAGTGAGTAGAACTACACCAAAGCTGACCAGGTTTTCACTATTCTCCAGGTGAGATCTGGGAATCAAGTGGGTAAAATGTGGATGTTTCCTGTCTTTCAGAAAGGCCAGAAAATTGTAGGCCAGGTGGTCTGGGTATGGAACCCAGGGCATCTGGCTCTTTGGACGTCCCAACTCCTTTTCTTTACTTCCTCTAGACCGAAGGCAAGATCTCAGTGGAGGCCTTCAAGCAAATCCCCTAAAAGGAGCCCTTCGATGTCTTCTTTGTCTTCATTCACATCCTCTTTGTTTCCTCTTTTTACCAGCCTAAGGCCGTGCCCAGGACTGGGGTTGGCAGCCTGGCTCACCGGAAAGCCAAAGTTAACTTGCAGGCCGGGTAACATAACCACTTGAAGAACCAGTTGTTCTGTGTATTCGCCCCACTCATGATCACCATTTATTTTCATAATAAAGAGTGATGTTACATGTTGTACATTGTATATCCTGGATTGCTCTTCCCCTGCCCCAACCATGAGCCAGCAGGGCCAGGACTGAAAGACCCTGCATCCCTATTCATCCCTGGCTGGCTGCAGGAGATACATTGATTGGGCTTGCATTCATAGGTAATTTGTCAATAAATCCTGATGAGAAAGGGCACACGCTCCTTCCAGAGATTGGCCTTGGCCTTAAGAGACAGTGGGACTCTGTCAGATGCTCAACCTGGAGCCAAACAGAAGCGGGCATGTTACCTGGCACAACAGGGGCTTCCATCCACCGTCCCGACCCCTCCCTTTCCCAAAGGTGCACTTTGCGAGGAGTCTCAGGTTAGCATCTGCAGGGGCGGGGAGACTCAGCCCATCTGCCCAGCTCATTCCTCAGAGAGCCGACACCAGGTGCTCCATGTCCATGTTCTTGAATGGGTTCAGCCATTTATTTTCACTTCTAAGCAAACAACAGCAGCACAGAATCTCAGGTTATGGTCATTTCTGTAGGAACTTTCTCAACAACTGGCATTTAGCATTTCCGAATTGCAGGCAAGAGTTGAATGGGACATTTGCAGAATTTATTTTCCACACTTCTGTAATGCTTGCATGTTAGACAATCAGCAGGCACACTTTTTGAAATTAGAATAATAGTGGTATGACGTTTTCAAGTCACAATCCTATAAATGATTACATAGGAGAGGTACCACCAGTTTACAAATTATGCCTCCACTTTCGTGTTTGGCATATGTTATTTCCTACCAGTTGCCACTTTCCTACCACTTGCCACTTTTCAATTCTTTATGTACATGTACATTTGGGAGCCATATGTTGGAGTGTTAATCTCTTAAAACTAGGAACTAAGGGGATAGTTGCAATCACATAAAGAATAATGCCAACTTTGTTCGTCCCTGTAGTGCCTCAATAGTCAAAGACAAGCTCCTGTACCTCTCTAAGCCTTGGTCCTCTCACCTAGGGAGCAGAGACCACACCGTGCGCTTCTCAGCCTCATCGCGGGGACTACAGATGGTCTCACATGTTACTTATCAACCATGGTGTCTGTTCAGGCACTCAGAGCTCAGAGATGCCTGGGTTCCTTTGTGTGCAGGAATCATGGAACCCATCACATGGCCCCTCTACTTCCCCTCTGTACATCATCAGGCTTCCACAACCTTGACCTCCTTTTCTACCCAGCTCAGACACCATGGTCTTCCAGTCTCTCATCCTCCTGCCAGTTCCCACAATTCCTTGTGGTCTCATGCTCCCGAGCAAATGCTAACCCTAAAGTTGTCTTCATCACATACGTCTGTATACCCAAAGTCACAGTTTCTAAGTAGCAGAATTGAGATGTGAAACTAGACAGTGGGGCCTCAAAGTCTTGAGTATGGAATGGCTGCACACTCATTAAACCTCCAGTCTTTTATTTTAATCTCCAAAACAGCATGTTGCATGAGCATTAGTGCTACTCTCATTTAAAAGAAGATAAAAATTAGGCCCAGAGGAGTGACATAGTTAATACAACTCAGGATTTTGGTATGCAGTCACTCACCTGTGCCACCCTCAACTATAACATAGATTCATACTCGATGTAAAAATATAGCTAGACTTGAAGTCAGCACAAGGGAAATGACTCAACCATTTTCCTCTGGTCATGGGTAGATGTGCTCTTGGAACACCCCTTTCCATACTCCAATCTTTAGTTCCTGTGTACACTCTCCCCATTCTTAGACACAATAAGAAAACTGTGGCTTTGATGTTCAACTATAGGGTGGGGCAGCAGAGACAAGAAAGAACATAGAATGAAATGAAGGTTTCCAGCAAGACAGATACCAATTTACAAGATTATGTTCCTATGGTTTTACACATTTTATTTAAGTATCAATGCTCTCTCTCTCTCTCTCACTAACATCCCATTCCTTGATCTCTCTAATTTTCTCCCACTTTCAGACCTTCTAGCACTTTCTTTCCCTTCCAAACTTGATTGCAGGCTCCATAATTTCATGCACAATTGAGGCAAAATCCTCAACTTCCTTGCAGTGTCAGCAGGGTCACTAAATTTTATTCATGATAATAACCTGGGAATCAGAAATTAGTAAATGGACACTGGTGCCAGGGTCAGTTTTTCTATAGTTAACTGCTTTCCGTTGAATTGAAAATATTAAAGTTCAAAATATATATTCTATCCCCTCTGCCAAAAACAACCAAAAATTAATGGCAAGTGAAAAATTGGAAAAGTATTTGCAACATATTTTAGTGAGAGAAGATTAATATACTGGACATATAAATAAATCTGACTTAGCTAAAAGAGTGATGTCTATGGCCAGCTATTATATATTTCAAAGAAATATTAAACTAATTCAAATATATACACAATTTTAAAGTACATATAAAAACGAGATAAATACATGAAAAAGAAAATTTCAGAATATACATATAATAAGATCCAACTGATTAAAAAGAATATATATTTACATATTAACATACATGTATGAGTTTCATTGTTTGGAAATCATAGTAATAATAGATATTTACTTCTAGTGCTTTGTTCATGGTTTCTACAACTCTTCAGTAATACCTCTTACTTTCCTCTATTAGAAAGTATTTTCCGGGGCTGTTCCAAGATGGCCAAATAGTAACAGCTCCAGTCTACAGCTCCCAGCGTGAGTGACGGAGATGACGGGTGATTTCTCATTTGGATACCTCATTTCCAACTGAGGTACCGGGTTCATCTCACTGGGGCTTGTCGGACAGTGGGTGCAGGACAGTGGATGCAGCGCACTGAGCATGAGCCGAAGCAGGGTGAGGCATCGCCTCACCAGGGAAGTGCAAAGAGTCAGGGAATTCCCTTTCCTAGCCAAGCAAAGCTGTGACAGATGGCACCTGGAAAATCGGGTCACTCCCACCCTAATACTATGCTTTTCCAATGGTCTTAGCAAACGGCACACCAGGAGATTATATCCTGCGCCTGGCTCAGAGGGTCCCATGCCCACAGAGCCTCACTCATTGCTAGCACAGCAGTCTGAGATTGAACTGCAAGGTGGCAGCGAGGCTGGGGGAGGGGTACCTGCCATTGCTGAGGCTTGAGTAGGTAAACAAAGCGGCCAGCAAGGTCAAACTGGGTGGAGCCCACCACACCTCAAGGAGGCCTGCCTACCTCTGTAGACTACACTTCTGGGGGCAGGGCATAGCCATACAAAAGGCAGCAGAAACCTCTGCAGACTTACATGTCCCTGTCTGACAACTTTGAAGAGAGTAGTGGTTCTCCCAGCACGGAGTTTGAGATCTGAGAAAGGACAGACTGCCTCCACAAGTGTGTCCCTGACCCCTGAGTAGCCTAACTGGGAGGCACCCCCCAGTAGGGGCAGACTGACACCTCACATAGCCGGGTACCCCTCTGAGACGAAACTTCCAGAGGAACGATCAGGCACCAACATTTGCTGTTCAGCAATATAAGCTGTTCTGCAGCCTCCACTGCTGATACCCAGGCAAACAGGGTCTGGAGTGGACCTCAAGCTAACTCCAACAGACCTACAGCTGAGGGTCCTGACTATTGGAAGGAAAAGTAACAAACACAAAGGACATCCACACCAAAACCCCATCTGTATGTCACCATCATCAAAGACCAAAGGTAGATAAAACCACAAAGATGGGGAAAAAACAGAGCAGAAAAACTGAAAATTCTAAAAATCAGACCACTTCTCCTCCTACAAAGGAATGCAGCTCCTCACCAGCAACAGAACAAAGCTGGATGGAGAATGACCTTGATGAGTTGAGAGAAGAAGGCTTCAGAAGTTCAAACTTCTCCGAGCTAAAGGAGGAAGTTTGAACCCACCCCAAAGAAGTAAAAAACCTTGGAAAAAGATTACACGAATGCCTAACTAGAATAACCAATGCAGAGAAGTCCTTAAAGGACCTGATGGAGCTGAAAACCATGGTACGAGAACTACGTGAAAAATGCACAAGCTTCAGCAGCCGATTCGATCAACTGGAAGAAAGGGTATCAGTGATTGAAGATCAAATGAATGAAATGAAATGAGAAGAGAAGTTTAGAGAAAAAAGAATAAAAAGAAATAAACAAAGCCTCCAAGAAATATGGGACTATGTGAAAAGACAAAATCTACGTCTGATTGGTGTACCTGAAAGTGACGGGGAGAATGGAACCAAGTTGGAAAACACTCTGCAGGATATTATCCAGGAGAACTTCCCCAACCTAGCAAGGCAGGCCAACATTCAAATTCAGGAAATACAGAGAACACCACAAAGATACTCCTCGAGAAGAGCAACTTCAAGACGCATAATTGTTGATTCACCAAAGTTGAAATGAAGGAAAAAATGTTAAGGGCATCCAGAGAGAAAGGGCGGGTTACTCACAAAGGGAAGCCCATCAGACTAACAGCAGATCTCTCTGCAGTAACTCTACAAGCTAGAAGAGAGTGGGGGCCAATATTCAACGTTCTTAAAGAAAAGAATTTTCAACCCAGAATGTCATATCCAGCCAAACTAACCTTCATATATGAAGGAGAAATAAAATACCTAACAGACAAGCAAATGCTGAGAGACTTTGTCACCACCCGGCCTGCGCTACAAGAGCTCCTGAAGAAAGCACTAAACAAGGAAAGGAACAACCAGTACCAGCCACTGCAAAACCATGCCAAATTGTAAAGACCATCGAGGCTAGGAAGAAACTACATCAACTAACGAGCAAAATAACCAGCTAACATCATAATGACAGGATCAAATTCACACATAACAATATTAACCTTAAATGTAAATGGGCTAAATGCTCCAGTTGAAAGACACAGACTGGCAAATTGGATAAAGAGCCAAGACCCATCAGTGTGCTGTATTCAGGAAACCCATCTCACGTGCAGAGACACACATAGGCTCAAAATAAAGGGATGGAGGAAGATCTACCAAGCAAATGGAAAACAAAAAAAGGCAGGGGTTGCAATCCTAGTGTCTGATTAAAACAGACTTTAAACCAACAAAGATCAAAAGAGACAAAGAAGGCCATTACATGATGGTAAAGGGATCAATTCAACAAGAAGAGCTAACTATCCTATATATATGCACCCAATACAGGAGCACCCAGATTGATAAAGTAAGTCCTGAGTGACCTACAAAGAGACTTAGACCACCACACAATAATAATGGGGGACGTTAACACCCCACTGTCAACATTAGACAGATCAACGAGACAGAAAGTTCACAAGGATATCCAGGAATTGAACTCAGCTCTACACCAAGTGGACCTAATAGACATCTACAGAACTCTCCACCCCAAATCAACAGAATATACATTCTTTTTAGCACGACACCACACCTATTCCAAAATTGACCACATACTTGGAAGTAAAGCACTCCTCAGCAAATGTAAAAGAACAGAAATTATAACAAACTGTCTTTCAGACCACAGTGCAATCAAACTAGAACTCAAGATTAAGAAACTCACTCAAAACCAGTCAACTACATGGAAACTGAACAACCTGCTCCTGTATGACTACTGGGTACATAACGAAATGAAGGCAGAAATAAAGATGTTCTTTGAAACCAACGAGAACAAAGACACAGCATACCAGAATCTCTGGGACACATTCAAAGCAGTGTGTAGGGGGAAATTTATAGCGCTAAATGCCCACAAGAGAAAGCAGGAAAGATCTAAAATTGACACTCTAACATCACAATTAAAAGAACTAGAGAAGCAAGAGTAAACACATTCAAAAGCTAGCAGAAGGCAAGAAATAACTAAGATCAGAGCAGAACTGAAGGAGATAGAGACACAAAAAACCCTTCAAAAAATCAATGAATCCAGGAGGTGGTTTTTTGAAAGGATCAACAAAATTGATAGACTGCTAGCAAGATTAATAAAGAAGAAAAGAGAGAAGAATCAAATAGACGCAATAAAAAATGATAAAGGGGATATCACCACCGATCCCACAGAAATACAAACTACCATCAGAGAATACTACAAACACCTCTATGCGAATAAACTAGAAAATCTAGAAGAAATGGATAAATTCCTCGACACATACACCCTCCCAAGACTAAACCAGGAAGAAGTTGAATCTCTGAATAGACCAATAACAGGCTCTGAAATTGAGGCAACAATTAATAGCTTACCAACCAAAAAAGGTCCAGGACCAGATGGATTCACAGCCGAATTCTACCAGAGGTACAAGAAGGAGCTGGTACCATTCCTTCTGAAACTATTCCAATTGATAGAAGAAAAGGGAATCCTCCCTAACTCATTTTATGAGGACAGCATCATCCTGATACCAAAGCCGGGCAGAGACACAACAAAAAAAGAGAATTCTAGACCAATATCCCTGATGAACATCGATGGAAAAATCCTCAATAAAATACTGGCAAACCAAATCCAGCAGCACATCAAAAAGCTTATCCACCATGATCAAGTGGGTTTCATCCCTGGGATGCAAGGCTGGTTCAGCACACGCAAATCAATAAACGTAATCCAGCATATAAACAGAACCAACAACAAAAACCACATGATTATCTCAATAGATGCAGAAAAGGCCTTTGACAAAATTCAACAACCCTTCATGCTAAAAACTCTCAATAAATTAGATATTGATGGGACATATTTCAAAATAATAACAGCTATCTATGACAAACCCACAGCCAATATCATACCGAATGGGCAAAAACTGGAAGCATTCCCTTTGAAAACTGGCACAAGACAGGGATGCCCTCTCTCACCACTCCTATTCAACATAGTGTTGGAAGTTCTGGCCAGGGCAATCAGGCAGGAGAAGGAAATAAGGGGTATTCAATTAGGAAAAGACGAAGTCAAATTGTCCCTGTTTGCAGACGACATGATTGTATATCTAGAAAACCCCATTGTCTCAGCCCAAAATCTCCTTAAGCTGATAAGCAACTTTAGCAAATTCTCAGGATACAAAATCAATGTACAAAAATCACAAGCATTCTTATACACCAACAACAGACAAACAGAGAGCCAAATCATGAGTGAACTCCCATTCACAATTGCTTCAAAGAGAATAAAATACCTAGGAATCGAACTTACAAGGGATGTGAAGGACCTCTTCAAGGAGAACTACAAACCACTGCTCAAGGAAATAAAAGCGGATACAAACAAATGGAAGAACATTCCATGCTCATGGATAGGAAGAATCAATATTGTGAAAATGGCCATACTGCCCAAGGTAATTTACAGATTCAATGCCATCCCCATCAAGCTACCAATGACTTTCTTCACACAATTGGAAAAAACTACTTTAAAGTTCATATGGAACCAAAAAAGAGCCCGCATCGCCAAGTCAATCCTAAGCCAAAAGAACAAAGCTGGAGGCATCACACTACCTGACTTCAAACTATACTACAAGGCTACAGTAACCAAAACAGCATAGTACTGGTACCAAAACAGAGATATAGATCAATGGAACAGAACAGAGCCCTCAGAAATAACGCCGCATATCTACAACTATCTGGTCTTTGACAAACCTGAGAAAAACAAGCAATGGGGAAAGGATTCCCTATTTAATAAATGGTGCTGGGAAAACTGACTAGCCATATGTAGAAAGCTGAAACTGGATCCCTTCCTTACACCTTATACAAAAATCAATTCAAGATGGATTAAAGACTTAAATGTTAGACCTAAAACCATAAAACCCTAGAAGAAAACCTAGGCAATACCATTCAGGACATAGGCATGGGCAAGGACTTGATGTCTAAAACACCAAAAGCAATGGCAACAAAAGACAAAATTGACAAATGGGATCTAATCAAACTAAAGAGCTTCTGTACAGCAAAAGAAACTACCATCAGAGTGAACAGGCAACCTACAAAATGGGAGAAAATTTTCGCAACCTACTCATCTGACAAAGGGCTAATATCCAGAATCTACAATGAACTTAAACAAATTTACAAGAAAAAAACAACCCCATCAAAAAGTGGGCAAAGGACATGAACAGACACTTCTCAAAAGAAGACATTTATGCAGCCAAAAAACACATGAAAAAATGCTCATCATCACTGGCCATCAGAGAAATGCAAATCAAAACCACAATGAGATACCATCTCACACAAGTTAGAATGGCAGTCATTAAAAAGTCAGGAAACAACAAGTGCTGGAGAGAATGTGGGGAAGTAGGAACACTTTTACACTGTTGGTGGGACTGTAAACTAGTTCAACCATTGTGGAAGTCAGTGTGGCGACTCCTCAGGGATCTAGAACTAGAAATACCATTTGACCCAGCCATCCCATTACTGAGTATATACCCAAAGGACTATAAATCATGCTGCTATAAAGACACATGCACACATATGTTTATTGCGGCACTATTCACAATAGCAAAGACTTGGAACCAACCCAAATGTCCAACAATGATAGACTGGATTAAGAAAATGTGGCACATATACACCATGGAATACTATGCAGCCATAAAAAATGATGAGTTCATGTCCTTTGTAGGGACATGGATGAAATTGTAAATCATCATTCTCAGTAAACTATCGCAAGAACAAAAAACAAACACCGCATATTCTCACTCATAGGTGGGAATTGAACAATGAGATCACATGGACACAGGAAGGGGAACATCACACTCTGGGGACTGTTGTGGGGTGGGGGGAGGGGGGAGGGATAGCTTTGGGAGATATACCTAATGCTAGATGACGAGTTAGTGGGTGCAGTGCACCAGCATGGCACATGTATACATATGTAACTAACCTGCACAATGTGCACATGTACCCTAAAACTTAAAGTATAATAATAAAAGAAAAAAAAGAAAAAAAAGAAAAAAAATTAAATATGGTACTGAAGCAAATAAACCACTAATAGCTGAAAAAAATAAATAAATAAATTGTTGATGTATTGAAAAAAAAAAAAGAAATCCACCTAAAATCAGATTCAGATGTCAAGACTGATAATGCCACACACACAGCAAGAGGGTATGAGAAGCTTTATTACTAACATAATGAGGCTTCTCAGGAGGGCACAGTGGGCCTTCCAAGCTGGTCCAAAAATGGCTTGAGAGACCAAGAATAGGAGACTGACTTGAGATTTGTGTGTTGTTTAAGGGGTAGGGCCAGGGTGAGAGTTCCTGTGCACAATCAGGGGCTTGCGTGATTTGAATCTCTTACTGGTGCTAAAGGACAGAGCACCTAGACTTTCTTATAAGCTTACCTGGTGTGGGGCAGAAGGGAAAGATGCATGAGTGAGACTTAAAAGTTGTCAGCAAACATTAAAAAAAAGAGTTAGACTCTTTATTATATACTTCCACGTGGACATTTACTTTAGAAAACTTCATTCATGACAAGCTTCTCCTGTAGAAATCCCAGGCATGTGTAATAGTGCTTTACATAAGTGCAAAGAGCCAAGCCTCACTTAGAGCAACCCTGTCTTCAGCCTTATCTCACTACCACAGTCTAGTGTCTGTGGTTTCCTCTGGATCAATATGGTTTCCTCTGGATCTTCACTGGTTCCTGGTGGAAGATTAACACTCTAGACATCTCTCTGAACTGGTGACTACTGAGGTACAACTGGTCTTGTTTTTGTTTTTGTTTTTGTTTTCTGTGCAGGTAACTGCTTGGGCCTGTTGACCAGACCATTCACCTCTGTGTATACATATGTATATACACAATTATATACATATATAGTTTGCCGATAGTAAGTTTTATATATATATACACATATACGTATATATATACATATATATACACATATACGTATATATATACATATATATATACATATATATACACATATACGTATATATATACATATATATATACATATATATACACATATACGTATATATATACATATATATACATATATATACACATATACGTATATATATACATATATATATATACAGAAATGAGTTATCTCTCACTAGAAAGATTAAGAATAATATCTAACAGAATTACAGTAAGGAGAAAATAAACAGAGAAAGTTTGTTTTGACACATAGTAGGCCTTCAATACATGTTTGTTTTTTACTCCTCTCTTCTGAAAATGAGGTGATGCTCACATAAATAGCATAACACTCAGGGACCACAGGGAAATGTAAACACAAAAAGTGAAGTGTACATACTATTATATATTGTAAGAATTTTGGTGCTCTTTTGGAGTGCTATGATATGTTACCTGATGGAGGTGAGAAGAGGGATAGATATTTGCACCATTTATTTTTATTCTTTCATAAACATTCCCGTCTATTATTCTGTCTTTATATTTAACATCAGAAGTGCACATTTCCATTGAAGTTGAAAAATAACGGTTCACAATCCCTGAATATGCAAAATTTAGTCAAAATGTCTGTGCCATTGCATACAAGAAATAGTAAGTTATCGGTTAATAGTTTGCCGATAGTAAGTTATTGGCAAAACTGTTGCATGTGTCTATTATATGATAAAACAGAAGTCAGTTTATAGTTTACATTGGGATTCCGAAGTGGCATTGGCATAAATCTGTATTTAACTGGCCTTTTAAAATTGTCATAACTTTCCGTGTAATAAAAGGTGTCTAGCACCACCATGAGTGTACTGAAGCTGGAAAAAAGTGGTGAGAAGGCGAAAGGTTTCAATTTATAGAGACCATCCTTGGGTATAAACAGAGGCCTGTAATGGAAAGCCTACTAGGTAATCAGAGGAAGCCTGAGACAAAGACTGTGGCTGAACTCTGCAGTAAAGGACAGTCTATTGGAAACAATTCATTTCAATATCCACAGGGCTACCTGTGTAGACAAAAGACCAAGGAACAAGAGGGATTTGAGATGTCTCAGAAGATTTCTGTTTTGACAAATGATTCAAGGACCAAAAAGCACCTGCATGCCTTGAATCTATAAAAGACCTATGGGAACTTTACTCAGTCACATCCCCAGAAAATGAGAGCAATGTGACCAGAACATATCTGTGATATCTGCCTTACTCCACGTGGAGAATGTGATCAGACTGGTCAATGGAGACACAAGACACTTACAGGACTTCTTTTAGGAAGCAGAACACGTAAAGCAAAAAGTCACTCCATAGGGTTTAAGGTAAATTTAAGATGTTCTTCCTCACACCTTCTCCTAAGATGTTTACAATCAAATCATTCTTCAAGTGTTTTAACAATTAATAACTGTTTGTAGATATGGACCATTGTGTTTAGACCAAAGAGATGAGATTACCCATGCATATATTTGGGCCATTAAGTAGAATGTTGAAATAGGTGAAAGAAAATATTTTGGTTTGTTTGTGTTATTTAAGCTCATTCCTGGCCACTGCAGCAGGAGCCAAGAGAAATGGAGAAAGCAGAAGAGGCTTTCCCTTTATTCTTGAGTTAATCTATACACCACAGATATCCTTTGCCAGGTGTTCCAGACGGTCCCAGGAATATCTGTCAATGTTGAGTAGGACTGCTTTACTTTTATTGAAGGTCTTGACATAAAGGTTCTGGGATTCAAAACTGCTATGGAAGTATGATTTCTCCTATATATATAAGCCTATGTTTATTGACAAGGACCTGGATTTAGCAAACAAGGGAAAAACTACAAGAGTGCAGCCATGAAGTACACAAAGCTGGAAGAATTGCACATTCACATGTGTATGCATACACACAAACACACAGTCAACCAATTTTACATTTGAAAATTGATAAAGTGATAATGAAAAGTGATTATTCAAATTTACACTGAAAACCAACATTATATGCCAGAGAGTGTTTACCTGTATCAGGCACATATAATGTTTTCAAAATTCTGTCTCAGTTGCTTCTCATGATTACAAAATATTTATATCTGTTCCACAAAATACCTTCCAAAATAAATTTTTTTGAGTAAGAAACTATATTGCATTTTGTTCTCTCTCTCTGTTCAACCACAAGATATCCAATATTAACAGTTTGATGTATATGCTCATGACAAATCTATAAATCTATATTTTATTCATATCTATAGCTACATCTATATCTATTATAGATAAATATATAATGCATATGTAAGTATATTCACATACTACTCTGCATCTTTATATTTTCAACTCTATGTCATTTTTCTTATTTGCATTTCTTTAATCACTAGGACATTTGGATATATTTTCATATGTTTGATTATAATTTAAGGTTCTTTTGTAAGTAATATACATATGATCTTTTATTCTCTCCATTGGAATTATTAATACAAGTATTAGGTTGATGCAAAAGTAATTGTGGTTTTTGCCATTAAAGGTAATATATTAGCCACATACCTATAGTATACATTATAAATATAATCTGCCAATGCTCCCTATATATCGACTTTTTTCCCACACGGAATCTCTTCCTAAGCTTTCCTTTCGCTTTCTAATTAGGAACATTATATGGCTCATTGTGAAACAATCGACCACTGTACTGGAGACCATTGACCTCTGCCTGACCATCTCGATCATAAATAAGGACATTGGCTGGGAGTGGTGGCTCAAGTCTGTAATCCCAGCAGTATAGGAGGCCAAGGCGAGCAGATCACTTGAATCCAGGAGTTCGAGACCAGTCTGGCCAACATTGGGAAACCCCGTCTCTACTAAAAATACAAAAATTAACCGGGCATGGTGGCGCATGCCTATAATCCCAGCTACACGGGAGGCTGAGGCAGGAGAATCGCTGGAACCCAGGAGGTGGAGGTTGCAGTGAGCAGAGATCGTGCCACTGCACTCCAGCCTGGGCAACAGAGTGAGACTCTGTCTCAAAAAAAAAAATGTATATATAGATACAGATGTATAGATAACTGAGGCATTTTTTATTAGTTTCATTTTTCTGTATACTCTTCACCTCCTAGTTTAAGATTGGATTAGTTTCACTTACCGTGTTCTTGAGGTTCATCCATGTTGCAGCATGTACACATATTTTTACTGCTAAATAGCATTTCATTATGTGGACATACCACATTTGTTTATTCATTTACCAGTTAATAGATATTTGGATTGTTTCCAATGTGGAAGCATAATTATGCTGTTGTAAACTTTCATGTAAGAGTCTTTGGGTGGACATAAGTTTTCATTTTTCTTGGGTAGATTCATAATAGTGGTATTGTTGGAACATATAATAAATTTATATTTAAATTTTATCTTTTCAAAATTTCTATTTTTAAGTATAAAAACTTTCATAATAAAACTAGTATCTAGTTATCTTTGGATTTTTGAAAATTTTCTAATGAAGTTATGGTTATTCACATTTGTTAACTTGTTATAATTTCTCTTTGCTAAATTGTCTTTTCACATCCTTTCTCTAGTGCAGACTTCATATTTTAATTATCAATCTATATTAGCTGTTTATGTTGATCATTTTTATTGTTTTTCTCAGTTTTTTTGCCTTTTAAATTTGCTTCTATTTATGACATTACAGAAGAATTTTAAAGAAATGAGAATATTTACATTTGTGGAGTTTTTTCACTTCTTTTTATCTTAGAAATTTTTCGTTCCTGTAAACATTTATGTTAATCATAGATTTTTATCAATTACATTATAAAATTTTAACTCTTAAATTTAATTGGTATGTGTTTAGTGAAATGTCATAAGCCAAGGGTTATAAGCAGAAGTCCTCATCTCCTAAAAATAATTGCCCAGAATCATT
Source organism: Homo sapiens (assembly GCF_000001405.40). NCBI lineage: Eukaryota > Metazoa > Chordata > Mammalia > Primates > Hominidae > Homo > Homo sapiens. The sequence goes on from NC_000023.11 coordinate 102,585,257, forward strand.
TATGGAATAATTATATATTTTAATATTTGAATATGATAAGTCTCTTCAAATAATTTTTTTACATTTTACTTCTTAAGCTGTTTTCCAAAGTGGCTGCATAAATTTGTATGCCATCCAGTAATATATAAAGTTTCTAGTTTCTCCATAACCTCATATTTGTTATTGTCTGTCTTAAGGTTATAGCCATTTTAGTGGGCAGGGAGTTAAATCTCATTTTTGTTTTAATTTGCATTTCCCTAATGTTTAATGATCTTGAATATCTTTTCACCATATCTTCTTTCATTAAATGCTTATTCAAATCTTTTGCCTTTTTTATCTGGATTATTTGCATTCATGTTATTCAGCTGTAGACAATCTTTTAATATTATTAATATTTCATTAGATATATGATTTGCAAACATTTTATCCCAATGTGGGGTATGTCTTTCATTTTCTTAATAGTATTTTTGGGGTTGGGAAGGTGGGGCAGGAAATGCAGTTTTTCATTATAAATGTAATGACTCCCATGTCCTAACTTCAATTCTTTAACCTCATGTATACAAATTAAATTTAAAAATTACTCTAACTTATGTAAACAAAAAAAATAGTATTTTTGAAGTGTAAAAGTTTTTTATTTTGATTAAGTACAATTTATCATATTCTTAAATGGATTATGCTTTTGGTGTTATTCCTAAGAAATCTTTGCTTATCTCAAGGTTACAAAGATTTTCTCCTATATTTTATTCTAAAAGTTTTATACTTTTAGCTTGTACTTTAGGTCTATGATCCATTTTGAGGTCATTATTGTGCATAATTTGCAAGGGAAGGGTGTAAGTTTATCTTTTTTTTTTTCTTTCATAATTGAGATTTTATTGGATGTGGATCAGTAAGACACTTAAACTTGTACACAATTCTTAACATACATACCGAAAATCTAAAAAGCCATGTATTGTAATTCTTTTTTAAAGTTATTCCAGCGACTTTCCAGCTTAAAATTTGGAAGCAAATTTTCCTTAAGAGGCTATCAATATCTTCACATGTTGATAAGCTGTTACATACATTTCACCAATTCACAACTGAATAGCATATACACTACATATTCAAATTTTTAATCTTTCACAGCATAACAAAGTTATTAGGAAAACAGGACTACCACAACCACAGATCTTACAGAGTGCACACAATTCTGACAGGGAGAAGCCAGGATCAAGGAGTGGTTTTCTTTAGAAAACAATTCTACTAAAAAACAGCAAGGGAATAGAAGTAATTTAAAATGTTCAAGACATTAAATGCAGGACTGACTTCATATTTCCATTTAATATGCTTTGTTTTATAGGATATAAAAACTAACCCCTCATCTATGGAATTTTTTTTTTATACTTTAAGTTTTAGGGTACATGTGCACATTGTGCAGGTTAGTTACATATGTATACATGTGCCATGCTGGTGCACTGCACCCACTAACTCGTCATCTAGTATTAGGTATATCTCCAAAAGCTATCCCTCCCCCCTCCCCCCACCCCACAACAGTCCCCAGAGTGTGATGTTCCCCTTCCTGTGTCCATGTGATCTCATTGTTCAATTCCCACCTATGAGTGAGAATATGCGGTGTTTGGTTTTTTGTTTTTGCGATAGTTTACTGAGAATGATGTTTTCCAATTTCATCCATGTCCCTACAAAGGACATGAACTCATCATTTTTTATGGCTGCATAGTATTCCATGGTGTATATGTGCCACATTTTCTTAATCCAGTCTATCATTGTTGGACATTTGGGTTGGTTCCAAGTCTTTGCTATTGTGAATAGTGCCGCAATAAACATACGTGTGCATGTGTCTTTATAGCAGCATGATTTATAGTCATTTGGGTATATACCCAGTAATGGGATGGCTGGGTCAAATGGTATTTCCAGTTCTAGATCCCTGAGGAGTCGCCACACTGACTTCCACAATGGTTGAACTAGTTTACAGTCCCACCAACAGTGTAAAAGTGTTCCTACTTCCCCACATTCTCTCCAGCACCTGTTGTTTCCTGACTTTTTAATGATTGCCATTCTAACTGGTGTGAGATGGTATCTCATTGTGGTTTTGATTTGCATTTCTCTGATGGCCAGTGATGATGAGCATTTTTTCATGTGTTTTTTGGCTGCATAAATGTCTTCTTTTGAGAAGTGTCTGTTCATGTCCTTCGCCCACTTTTTGATGGGGTTGTTTGTTTTTTTCTTGTAAATTTGTTGGAGCTCATTGTAGATTCTGGATATTAGCCCTTTGTCAGATGAGTAGGTTGTGAAAATTTTCTCCCATTTTGTAGGTTGCCTGTTCACTCTGATGGTGGTTTCTTTTGCTGTGCAGAAGCTCTTTAGTTTAATTAGATCCCATTTGTCAATTTTGTCTTTTGTTGCCATTGCTTTTGGTGTTTTAGACATCAAGTCCTTGCCCATGCCTATGTCCTGAATGGTATTGCCTAGGTTTTCTTCTAGGGTTTTATGGTTTTAGGTCTAACATTTAAGTCTTTAATCCATCTTGAATTGATTTTTGTATAAGGTGTAAGGAAGGGATCCAGTTTCAGCTTTCTACATATGGCTAGCCAGTTTTCCCAGCACCATTTATTAAATAGGGAATCCTTTCCCCATTGCTTGTTTTTCTCAGGTTTGTCAAAGATCAGATAGTTGCAGATATGCGGCGTTATTTCTGAGGGCTCTGTTCTGTTCCATTGATCTATATCTCTGTTTTGGTACCAGTACTATGCTGTTTTGGTTACTGTAGCCTTGTAGTATAGTTTGAAGTCAGGTAGTGTGATGCCTCCAGCTTTGTTCTTTTGGCTTAGTAACATAGTGTTGGAAGTTCTGGCCAGGGCAATTAGGCAGGAGAAGGAAATAAAGGGTATTCAATTAGGAAAAGAGGAAGTCAAATTGTCCCTGTTTGCAGATGACATGATTGTATATCTAGAAAACCCCATTGTCTCAGCCCAAAATCTCCTTAAGCTGATAAGCAACTTCAGCAAAGTCTCAGGATACAAAATCAATGTACAAAAATCACAAGCATTCTTATACATCAGCAACAGACAAACAGAGAGCCAAATCATGAGTGAACTCCCATTCACAATTGCTTCAAAGAGAATAAAATACCTAGGAATCCAACTTACAAGGGACGTGAAGGACCTCTTCAAGGAGAACTACAAACCACTGCTCAATGAAATAAAAGAGGATACAAACAAATGGAAGAACATTCCATGCTCATGGGTAGGAAGAATCAATATCGTGAAAATGGCCATACTGCCCAAGGTAATTTACAGATTCAATGCCATCCCCATCAAGCTACCAATGCCTTTCTTCACAGAATTGGAAAAAACTACTTTAAAGTTCATATGGAACCATAAAAGAGCCCGCATCGCCAAGCCAATCCTAAGTTTATCTTTTTACATGTGGACTTTCTATTGTGCTATCATCATTTATTTTAAAAATATATATTTTTAAATGTCCTGGCAGTATTATTAAAATTAATTGACCATAAATGCAGAAGTTTATTTGTGAACTTTCAATTCTGACCCACTGATATACATATCTGTGCTTATGCTAGTATCATACTGACATAACTATAGCATTATAGTAAGTTTTAAAATAAGGAAGTGTAAGTCCTTCAACTTTGCTCTTCTTTTTCAAGATCGTTTTGGCTATTTTGGGACCTTTGCCCTGCCATATAAATTTTAGTATCAGCTTGTCAGATTTTCTTTTCTTTTTTTTTTTTTTCAGAAACACCTGCTGAAATTTTGATAGGGATTGTATTGGATCTGTAAATCAATTTGGGGAATATTGCCATGCCTTTTGATTCATGAGCATGAGCTGTCTGTATTCACCTGTCTCTCCAGTTTTGGGGCCAAGCAGTTTGTCCTGTGACCTAAATTCTCTTATGGATATGAGCAAAGTTTTTCATTTTTCAGTTTTTTTCACGCCTTTTCCTTGTTATAAGGACAACAGTGATGACTTTCAAGCTCTTTATCTGTCAGACCAGAGAACAGAAGTCTAAACTAACACTAACGTAGTTCCCGGAAAATATAAAAACTTTGCTTCAATATATATCCATTCTTCTGTCCCCCTTTGTGTTATTATTATCATATATATTACATTGATGTGTATTATAAGCCCCCAAAATACAGTGTTATAATGATTGCCCTGTGTAATCTTGCATCTGTAAAGAAGTTAAGAGAAGTTGAGAGTAAAAATATCTTTATCTTTTTTTACATTAACCTACATGTTTACTCTTTTCATTAATCTTCATTTCTTCCTGTAGATCCTAACTACCATCTGGTGTCATTTCTTTTTTCCAATATAGTGCCATTACTCCCCCTTCCTTTGTGTTATCATTGTAATAAATATAACATCTTTCATGTTATGAAGCTATCAATACAGTTTTATAATTATTATTTTATGCAATTGTGTGTTAAGTCATTTAAAAGGAAAGAAATAGGTTGAATCCAGATTTTTGGCTATTGTGAATAGTGCTGTAATAAACGTGGGAATGCAGATATCTTTTTGATATATTGATTTCCTTTCTTTTGGATATATATCAAGTAGTGGGATTGCTGGATCATATGGAATTTTCATTTTTAGTTATTTGAGGAACTTCTATACTGTTCTCCATAGTAGCTACATTAATTTACATTCCCACCAACAATGTGTGAGGGTCCTCCTTTCTCCACATCATCACCAGCACCTGTTATTGTCTGTCTTTTTGATAAAATACATTTTACCTAGAGTGAAATGACATCTCATTGTAGTTTTTATTTTAATTTCTCTGATGATTAGAGATGTTGAACATTTTGTATACCTGTTGGCCATTTGTACCTATCAAAGGAAGAATGGGTTAAAACATGTGGTTTGCATATCCAATGGAATATTCTTCAGTCATAAAAAAAAGAATGAAATACTGTCATTTCCAGAAACATGGATGGAACTGGAGGTCATTATGTTAAGTGAAACAAGCCAAGCACAGAAAAACACATTGATTGTTCTCACTCATATGTGGAAGCTAAAAAATGATCTCATGAAGATAGAGAGTAGATTGGTGGTTACCAGAGACAGGGAAGGATAGGAAGGAAGGGAGATGAAGAGAACTTGATCAATGGATGCAAATACATATTTGATACATGTAATAAGACCTAGGGTTTGATCAGTAGGGTAACTACAGTTTTCAATAATCTATTGTACATTCCAAAATAGCTAGAAGAAAGTAATTCAAATGTTTTTAACGTAAAGAAAAGACAAATATTTAAGGTGATGGATATCCCAAGTACACTGATTTGATCTTTGCAAATTATATGAATGTATTGTTATCACATGTACCTTCAAACTATGTATATCTATTAGCATCAATGAAAATATTTTTAAGAAGAAGAGAGAAATAATACATATATATATACTGTTACATTTACCTATGTAATTATCTTTACCAGTGCTCATTATTTCATTGTATAGATTCATATTAGCATTTGGTGTTATTTCATTTTAGCCTGCAAAAATTTCCTTAGTATTTCTTGTAAAGACAGGACTACTAGCAATGAATTCTTTCAGTCTTTGTTTACCTGAGAATATCTTTTTTCACACTCTCACTTTTGAAGTATGGTTTTACTATTAGGTTGGTGCAAAAGTAATTGCAGTTTTTTACTTTTAATGTTCATTACTTATAATGGCAAAAAACTCAATTACTTTTGCACCAGCCTAATAGATATGCAATTTTGGCTTGACATTTTTTTCTTTCTTTCTACGCCTTGACAGTCATCCCTTTGTTTTCTGGCCTCCATTGTTTCTGATGACAAATCAGCTATAATATTATTGTGACTTTCTTGTATTTGATGATTCCATTTTGTCTTAGTGCCTTCCAGGTTTGCTGTCTTTGGTTTTCAACAGTTTGTGATGTGCTAACATCTCTTACTCTTTATTCTATTTACAGTTAGTTGAGATTCTTAGATATTTAGATTAGCATTTTTCATCCAATTTGGGATGTTTGGGGACATCATTTCTTCAAATATGTTTTAACAGGTTTATTTCAATATAACTCACATATCATACAACTCATCCATTTAAAATGTATAATGCAGTGGGTTTTAGTATTTTCACAGAATTGTGCATTAGTCACCACAACCAATTCTACAACATTTTAGTCACCTCTAAAAGAAACCATACTTCTCTTAACTGTCACCCCAATCTCCCCATACCTCTGAGCTCTAGGCAATCACTAATATACATTTTGTTTGTATAGATTTGCCTATTATGGACATTTCACATAAGTGAAATTATATAAAATATGTCATTATTTGTGACTGGGTTCTTAAAGTTAGCATGTTTTCAAGATTCATCCATGTTGGAGCATGTATCAGTACTTCATTTATTTTTATGCTGAATGATAGTCCATTGTATGAATATACCACCTTTATCCATTCATAAGTTGGTGGACATTCAAGTTGTTTTACCTTTTTGGCTATTATGAATAATGTTGCTATGAAAATTCATGCACAAGTTTTTGTGTGGATATATGTTTTCATTTCTGTGTACATGACTAGGAGTGGAATTTGCTGGATTATATGATAACACTATGTTTAACAATGTGAATACCTGCTAGACCATTTTCAAAAGTGGCTGCACCATTTTATATCCCCACCAGCAAAGTATAAAGTTTGCAGTTTCTCCACATCCTTGCCAACACTTACTATTTTTATTATAGACATCCTAGTGGGTGTGAAGTGGTATCTTATTGTGGTATTGATTTGTATTTCTCTAATGGCTAATGATGTTGAGTATCTTCATCTGCTTATTGGCCATTTGTATATCTCCTTTGGAAAAATGTCTCTATCCAGTTCCTTTGCCCATTTTAAGTTCAGGTGTCTTATAACTTTTGAGTTGTAAGCATTTATTTATATATTCCATATACAATTTCCTTTTAATACATATGATTTGCAAAAATGTTCTCTAATTCTGTGGGTTGCCTTTTCACCTTGATGGTATCCTTTGAAGCATAAAAGCTTTTATTTTGATAAATCCAATTTATGTACTTTTTATTTTGTTACTTACATTTTTGTTGTCATAAAAAATAAACCATTTCTTAATTCAAAGTCACAAAGACGACTTTTGTTTCCTTCTAAGACTTTTAGAGTTTATCTCTTACTTTTAGATCTTTGATCATTTTGAATTAATTTTTATATATGTATATATATTTGAGACAGAGCCTCGCTCTGTGGCCCAGGCTGGAGTGCAGTGGTGCAATCTGGGTTCACTGCAACCTCCACCTCCCAGGTTCGAGCAATTCCCCTGCCTCAGCCTCCCGACTAGCTGAGATTACAGGCACGCACCACCACGCCCCATTAATTTTTGTATTTTTAGTAGAGATGGGGTTTCGCCATGTTGGCCAGGCTGGTCTCCAACTCCTGACCTCAGATGATCCACCCATCTCGGCCTCCCAAAGTGCTGGGATTACAGGCGTGAGCTACTGCGCCCGGCCAGTTTTTGTATATTTGCATGTGGATAGTCAGTTGTCCCTACACCATTTGAAGACAACACACCAATTTCCTCCACTAAATGGTATTGGCACTCTTTTCTTATATCAGATAACCATAAATATATAGGTTTATTTCTGGATTCTCAACTGTACTCCAACAGACATCTATATGTCTATCTTTTTACCAATACCACCATTGTGATAAATGTAGCTTTGTAGTAAGTTTTAAAATTGGGAAATTGAATTCCTCCAACTTTTTATTTTCCACGATTGTTTGGCTATTCTGAATCCATGCATTTTATTTGGATTTTAGAATGAACTTGTCATTTTCAGAAAAGAAGTGAAGTGGTATTTTGATACGGGTTGTGTGGAATCTGTAGATAAAATTGGGGCATAATGCCATCTTAATAATATTCTGTCTTCAGATCCATGAACAGGAAATTTTCTCTCATTTGTTTAGATTTCATTTTATTTCTTTCAATGATAGTTTATAGTTTTAAGTATACAAGTTATCTATTATTGGTTAAATTTATCTCCAAATGTTTTATTCTTAATGGTATTATAAATGGAATTGTTTTATAAATTGTATTTTCAGATTGTTCATCACAAGTGTATAGAAATGAATTGATGTTTGCATATTTATCTTGTATATTACCACCCTGTTGAACTTGTTTAATAGTTCCAACCATCCTATGGGGCCTGTTTATGGATTCTAATGGGGAAGGAATGGCTGAAACCTCTTGAATGATAATGCTGTTTATCTCTTGAGTGTATGGCCTCCAGTGCCCAGAGAACGGAAGTACTCAGACCCTGCTTACTTGCAGCTGCCCACATCCCATGAGGATGTGGGTACTCACTCACAGACTAAACCCAGCAGTCACCTTCATTCATTAATAACCACATGCTGAAAGACAAGAATGTGCCATGCTGTGTGCCAGGCAGCATGACAATGCCTACATTAGCTCTAAGGCTCAGCCAGCCCCTATTTCTCTGTCTCATATTTAAACGGTTGTGAAGAGGACTTACTCCAGCCACAGAGATTTCCTTCCTAGGAAAGCTGCCCCATTGGGGCCACACCAATATGGGTGACCTGCTTCCATCTCTGCTCATCAAGGTCTGTTGATAAGTTCAAACTGTAGAGAGGGCCCCTCAGAGAGGATACTTCCCAGTATGACATCCCCATAATGGCTGGCCAAAACTTCTCCTCAGCTTCTTTGTGTGATCCTCTCTCCCATACTCTCTGCACACTCCTCTCCCTGGGTCTAATACATCACCCAAGATCCCCTATATTAATTTACCCTCAGAGAATGTAAACATAATTTATGTACACAGCCACGTGTGTGATTACACATTGAAGCAGAGATTCCAAAGAATTATGTATTTTGGGCAAAATAAATAAGACCTCGAAAAGCATGGAAGGAGAAAATAACATAATACTTTTTCTTCCCATATTACTTGAAATAATATTGCTCTTTATGACATTCCTATATTAATTTTGCCCCACCACATACATACATTTTCCAGACCATGGGAATTTTTGAGACATTTTTTGTAAAGCTACAGTTTTTTTTTTTTAAAAAAAGAAGAAAAACAGAAAGAATTATTCAATGTTTTGGTGTCTTAAACCTCTTGTTTTGTGAGAGGATAATGATTCCTGTCTTCAAGAGGGGGCAAGTTCTTGGAGTGATTCTCAATCACCAGTAGAACTTGATAGCCTTGTCAATGGAAACAGTCAAACAATCATAATTTTTTCACAGGGATAAGTGAATGAATGGATAGATATTATCCCAGGCGTCCCAGTTTGAAAACATCATTTCTAAATGGCTTGGTAGCATCTGAATAGCAAATTCTGTGTGGATAGAACATGATTGAGCTTGGTCAAGCACTCTGAATAATAGCAAAATGAATACCTAGAAAAAGTAGCAAAACTCTCATTCACAGATATGTGTCTATGGCATCAGGGAATTATCTCCACAATGTCTTTGGCCAGCAACCACAGTTCTATCTGGTAGTCAGATCTAAACTCTGAAGAAATAATAAGTGCAAAAAAGAAATATGTAAAAGATATTGATAGTGAGTGTTAAATTTTGCCTAAGCTTGTCAAAGCAGTCTGTGTTGTAATACAACTCACTGAGCTGATGAAAGGAGTTGAGGCTACAAAGGAGGGGAAAAGCCTCTGAATAATCTCTGATAGGATACAGAGATAAAACAAATGAAAGAGCAAGTATTAACACATGAGGAGAGTGCTCTGATTGAGAATATGACCCCAGAATGCAGGCAAAAACTCGCTGGTAGATTGGAGTCCATGAAACTTAGAGTCAGAGAAAATTTAAGGGGAGTATATAATTTTCAGACGGACAGGTTTGATTAATTATAAACAATTTCCTTTGAAATCCACTTCCTACTAATGAAGGCTTAGGAAACTGAACAGCAATTTATCTTTACTACTCTCAGTGCTCCTGGTTCTTCTCTGCCGCCATGAATGACTGGCAGATACATGGGCACTTTTCTTCTTACTAACATTTGTGCCAATTCATTGTATAAAGGAACTATGTAGCATCCTGTAGAAACCAATGTGTTCTTTCCTTAATTGGTCCTACACCAGGATGACCTCAGACCCCTGTAGTGTCCAGTCAGTTATCTCTGAGCCCTGTCTATTCACCTGAGAGGACCCCAGTCTTCACTCCAGTCATACTAGACTCCCTCTCCCTTCTACCCATCCAGCCTCCATAAGTCCTGCCCATTGTTCTGGGTACAGCTCCTCTTCAAGGAGACTCTGACATCTCCAGTGAGGCTTCCCTTCTCTTTTATACATTAATGCAGTTTTACAGAGGTCATCATAACTTCCACACAGACCTAGACCTTGTTCAGTGGTTATCTTGATATTTCACAGCACATAGGCCACAGGGGATGTTGAGAGTGACCACATAAATGCTCACTGATTCTGGCGATCATGGTATCTCTGGGACAGAGGTTCTGTGGTGCAGTGGTTAAGAGTACTGGCCCTAAAGCCATGTCATACTGTTCATATCATCATGTTCACATCCAAGATGTGGCCCTCACTAACTTAACAACTCTATTGATGATGAAAATAATGATGGTGTAGGTGAAATCCTGCTCCCTGTACCAAGAGGCCTAGGTGTTGGGGGTCATGGGTAATGACTAGTCCCTGAGGTGCTGTGTCATTCAGGCAGAAACACAGGTTGTTGACATAGAAAAACTGAAGTAAGGGGTAGGGTATTAAAACTTTTAGAAATACTATATTCCAGGTATTATACATTTTTTATCTCCCTTGATCCTACCATTTTTATTACCATGACTCATATCAAGTGTTACGAGAAGTGACTTTCCCCAGAGAAAAAATACTGTGAATTACTTTTCAGGGACTCAAGCCCTGGAAATACTAAACATCCCAATATTTTTCTATCCCATCATGTGGACTTTCAATAGACTTTCAATGTCCTCACGTATATTGTTTGTATTTGCTCTTAAATAGCGAACTATACTACATTTTAAAATTAAAAAAACTATAAAATTTGAAATGTCTTATGTATAGAGATATATGTATATATACATATGGCTTTATATACATATAACTACATATCAATGTCTTTGGTATAGCTTTCTCCATATATAGCATACACAAGTTGTGCATAAATAGAATATAAATTATTTATAAGTGCATATATATATGCACACATATATACATACATACATACACACAAAAAAGGTGTAGGAAAATATTTATGATCTATATTGAAGACATGGGGTTAGTATGCTTGGCATACAAAGATCTCTTAACAAATAGAGAAATTGGCAAATAATAACAGAATGCACAAAGAACTATGTAAATATACAATAAATATTTGAAAATATGCTCAACCAAATGAAATGGCAAATAAAAATCCAGAGATATCATAATAAGGAAAAGAGGTAAGGTAATATATTACTCAGAGGGTAATCACGATTTTGCAAAGAAATGTATTTTACATGTTTATACATTGGAGTGTTTTGATATCTGAGAATACATTACAGAAAGAGAAACAATCTGAAGAATATGCACCAAGTGATTAATAGTGAATGGATAATTAAGTACCTAAAATTGCTACTAACAATTGCTAACATGTGTTGGATCTTTCAGCTCTCAAGCAATGCCGTGAGGTGTACTTAGAGAAAGCATTAAGTCACTTTTCTTTTTGGTAGAATGTAAGATTAGAAGTATGAGTATTCCTTTAACAATAAAAATCAACTTGAATCTCCAATGGGCTTTCTGGCTAAAAGTTGAAGGCCAAGTAAAAATCTTGGAGCAAGGGCATTTTTTTTTCTCCTTGCTTCAACTTACTGTTCATAGCGCCTGCCACCCAAAAAAGAGAAATGAAGCCTGGCGCTAATAATATACTTAGGTTATTCTCTGATATCCTCATTTTTTAAGGTGTATATAAGATACCTTTTCTGCTTTGGATCTTTCAAATGTCTGAAATGTTCCTAAGATAATTACATAAGTCATAAAACAGCAGTTATTATGAAAATGAATGATGATTTTAAAATTTTATCAGTTGATAGACATACTTTAGCAGTAAGATCATTACTCAAGGGGAACTACAAACCACTGCTCAAGGAAATCAAAGAGGAAACAAGCAGATAGAAAAACATTCCATGCTCATGGATAGGAAGAATCAATATCGTGAAAATGGCCATACTGCCCAAAGTAATTTATAGATTCAATGCTATTCCCATCAAACTACCATTGACATTTCTCACCGAATTAGAAGAAACTATTTTAAAATTCACGCAGAGCCAAAAAAGAGCTCGTATAGCCAAGACAATCCTAAGTAAAAAGAACAAAGCTGGAGGCATCACACTACCTGACTTCAAACTATACTACAAGGCTACAGTAACCTTGTAGAACAGCATGGTTCTGGTACAAAAACAGACACATAGACCAGTCGAACAGAATAGAGAACTCAGAAATAAGACTGCACATATACAGCTATTTGATCTTCGACAAACCTGACAAAAACAAGCAATGGGGAAAGGATTACCTATTTAATAAATGGTGCTGGGAAAACTGGCTAGCCATATGTAGAAAACTGAAACTTGACCCCTTGCTTACACCTTATACAAAATTTAACTCAAGATGGATTAAAGACTTAAATGTCAAACTCAAAACTATAAAAACCCTGGAAGAAAATTTAGGCAATACCATTCAGGACACAGGCACAGGCAAATTGCCAAAAGCAATTGCAACAAAAGCAAAATTTGACAAATGGGATCTAATTAAACTAAAGAGCTTCTGCACAGAAAAAGAAACTATCATCCGAGTGAACAGGTAACCTACAGAAGAGAAAATTTTTGCAGTCTATCTATCTGACAAAGGTCTAATATCCAGAATCTACAAGGAACTTACATTTACGAGAAAAAAACAAACAACCCCATTAAAAAGTGGGCAAAGGACATGAACAGACACTTCTCAAAAGAAGACATTTATGTGGCCAACAAACACATGGAAAAAAGCTCAACATCACTGATCATTAGAGAAATGCAAATCAAAATCACAATGAGATACCATCTCACACCAGTCATAACGGCAATTAATACAAAGTTAAGAAACAAGAGATGCTGGCAAAGTTGCAGAGAAATGGGAACGCTTTTACATTGGTGGGAATGTAAATTAGTTCAACCATTGTGGAAGACGGTGTGGCAATTCCTCAAATATCTAGAACCAGAAATACCATTTGACCCAGCAATCCCATTACTGGGTATATACCCAAAGGAATATAAATCATTCTATTACAAAGATACACGCACACGTATATTCATTGCCGCACTATTCACAATAGCAAAGACGTGGCATCAACCCAAATGCCCATCAGTGATAACATTAAGAAAATGTGGTGCATATACACCATGAAATACCATGCAGCCATAATAAAGAATGAGATCATGTCCTTTGTAGGGACATGGATCGAGCTGGAAGCCATTATCCTCAGCAAACTAATGCAGCAACAGAAAACAAATACTGCATGTTCTCCCTTATAAGTGGAAGCTGAACAATGAGAACACATGTACACAGGGAGGGGAAAAACACGCACTGGGACCTGTCAGGGGTTGTGGGGGGCGGTGAGGGAAAGCCTTAGGAAAAATAGCTAATGCATGCCAGGCTTAATACCTAGGTCATAGGTTGATTGGTGCAGCAAGCCACCACGGCACACGTTTGCCTATTTAACAAACACGCACATCCTGCACATGTATCCTAGAACTTAAAAAAAAAAAAAAGAAAATGAAAATTAAGGGCTGGGAGGGAGGACTCGAAGGAACACAAAGTTTGTGGAATCGATTAGTATGTATCCTCCTATCTCAGTCTTGACTCTCTTTGCTGACTTTCCTACCCTGGGCCCCACCCCGAGACCGCCCATTTCAGTGGGCCTCTGTGTTTGGAGAACGAACTTCGAAAGACTGGAACACTTCCGCCTGTCAGGCCAGAAGAGATTTCCTGACACCACAGCTGGAAACCCATGTGCATTTCAGTTCAGGAAAGAATGGTAGGCTTGGTGGGGGGAGCTCCCGCAAAAGGGGAACTAATACAGAAACACTCTGGTATTTGTCTGCCTCTCTTGTTCCAGCGCCGTTTTCCCTATATCCGGAATTCGTCCCTGCGCATTCCAATACCTGAAGCGGCCACAGGGTACAGGACAGGGAGCCCTCCGACAGAAAAGAGTCGCGGCGCTAAACAAAGCCTGATATCACTCCGCTTCCATAAGCCGGATCCCCATAAACTACGCTCTAGCTCCTCCCACTGCCGTTGTGGGTAACGCGGACGTGGAAGAACCTCGTCTGCGGAGGAAAAGGTAGATGTTAAATGGTAACTACGCGCGAGGTTCTGAGGAGCCCTGGGAACAGGAAGGAGAAAAGAATACCAAAAGTGACAACAGTTTGCCAATCGCAGTCTTTAATCTGATAAAGCGGTTATCTCGTCTTGAGTCCCAGGTGCCGAGTCAATCCCCATACACAGCCGCCGCCATTGCCTCGAGTCCTTGTGTCTGACTGTCTGTTCCTGCTGCTGTATGACACAGCACCTCGAGGCAAGGAAATAAGAAAACTGCCTCTGATCCAAGCAGAGAAGGTCAGTGAGAAGGTGCGCATCGCTTGGGGGTGGATGTGGGTATCAGAGGTGAACACTGGATACGCGACCTGGTCATGGGAGGCGGGCGGTGAGAAGGAGAGAGAGATGGGTAATTGGAATGGCACACAACAATTAAAAAAAAATGATCTACCTTTTGCTAGCTTGATTTCCATACACTCGGTTCACCTCAGACCATGCTTGGGAAGAAAAAGGTTGCAGCTTCTAGCAGGGAAAAGGCAGACTAGATGAGGAAGAGAGGGCTACTTCCACAGGCGAGGACAGTTGTCTGGGGAGCCCTGAGAGGGAGAGAATGTAAAAAGAGGTTGTAAATGTTTGATAATCAAGGCTCTGGATTTGAAAAGGGTCTCATGTCTTGGTTACTGGTCTGACCATTAATAACCACGTCTCTCTCTCTGTCTTTTCATTTGTTCTTTGGGTGTGTATCACGCGTTTTTATGTGTAAATCTGTTCCTAAGTTTGCAGCACTCCATGTTTCTGTAAAGATCTGTAGGGGACAGCAGACCTCAAGGGGAGAGGAGAAGGAAAAGAAAATTGGCCTGGTTTGTACAGAGTGGGCAGTACTTGGGAGGCAGTACTTGGAGGTGGTAGATGGCTAAGATTAGAGTAGGCAGGAGTGTAAGGGAGCCTCCAGAACTCTCTGCCAGCTTTCCTAACATGTCCTCCCTTACCCGCATTATGTTGCAGAAAATGATAGGCTTTGGGAGAGAGGAAGGAAACATAGGAACCCAGATGAAATATGGAAATAAATACTTTTCATTTTTTCCCCAGCCTCCGTGGTTTGTCTAGGCATTTCGTCCCTACTAACACCACTACTACTACCTTGTAGGGATGTTTGAGTTGTCTCTGTATAGGAATTGTCAGACTTTGAGAATAGAGCAGAGGGGCTTGGAGATTTAGGAGTGGGAGAAAAAGGGGAGATAGAAAATGTTTGCCAAACAGGTACTTATATCCAGAAAGAAACTGTGCCCTAGGTGCTGGTCTCTACCAAAAACAGCCTCAACTGTCTCCTGTGTCTTCATTTATTGGTCTCTGTTTTTGTGAATCCCTGTAGGTAGATCTGTCCCCAGGTCTGTGGAACTGTCAGTTGTGAAGTTTTGTAAAATGGTCACCCAACTTAAAACTAGGAAATTACGAAGAAGAGAAAATTGCCCTGTATCTGTTAAGGTTGGTGTAAAGGTACAGGGACAGGGGGGCAACTTCGACTAGAGAATTCCATCTCTTCTGTTTTGTCATTTTACCAATTATTCCCATCTGCCCCACCCCCTGCTGCTGCTGATTTAGTTGGGAGTCTTGGTAAGTTGTGGGGGTACAGAATGCTAAGCTGCCTTTCCCACTCTCCACTGCTTGTCCTGCTCTCACGCTTGAACCTAGTCTAATCTGAACGAGGGACATTCTAGGGCAATCACTGAAGAGGAAGATGGTGGGCAATAGGAAGGAGGAGGAGGAGTAGCCCTGAAACAAAGCAGTGGGGGAGAGGGGATAGGAGGAGGGAAACACTAGACAAAATCTGGAAAGGCAAGAATAAGGGCAAGGGACCAAGGTCTGTCACCAGGAGATCAGTTTCCACATTCTCCTGTTTGTTTATTTGTCCATAGGTCTGCCTGTAGATCTGCTGTAGGGCTTGTCACCATTGGAAGCAAGGTAAGGAGGAGAAAGTTACTCCAGATCAGTGCAGGTTGGTATGAGTGTGGGGATTGCCTGGGTAGACCTGTAGGATGGAGTAGTGGAGAGCTGCTTGGCTCCAGCAGGGGTCAAGAACCACTAAAGGGATTCCTCAGCTTCTCATCCAGTTTTCCTACTCCTTATGCTCCTGTTTGGTGACTGGAAAGAAGGCTGATGGCACTTGGAAGTGTAGGGAGTGGGTGAAATGAAGGGAGAGAGAGTTTGCTAATTATCTACCTCTCTCACCTAGCACTGAATCACCATATTCTCCTGTCTCCCTGTGCTGATCAGCATGAGGAGAAAAAAGTTGGAAGAGACTCAAAGCCCCATTTCCTTCCTCCACCCCTAGGTCCTACTTCAGTGGCAGATCTGGTGGCCTTGGAGTGGCTGAAGACCACCACCCTCCACAGGGCTGGGCCCATGCACAGCCATCCTTCCCTACCTTGAGTGAGCTTCCTCTGCATGTTTTCTATATCACTGGCAGAGCCTGTAGTTGGAAAGGGGACAGAGTGACTACTGGACTTTGTGTGAAAACACCAACCGGGACAAAACTTCAGTCAAGGCTGAGACGGGTGGGGGTATATAACTTGTCCTTACGTTAAACTTGGAACATGGTTGACTCTGGGACAGAAGCAAGGGCTAGAGGAAAGGCTGAGGCTGGCCTGCAAGATGGAATCAGTGGTCCTGCCACTGCTAGAGTGAATGGTAAAACCCAGGCCGAGGCAGTGGCTGAGGCAGAACTGAAAACAGAATCAGTGACCCAGGCCAAAGCTGGTGATGGAGCAATGACCAGGACACATACAGTGACCTACAGGGAGGCTATGGCTGTGACAAGGGAAGTGATCAAGGTGGAAGATACAACTAAGACTAGAGTCATGGTTGAGACTAAGACAAAACCCCTGGCAGAACGCAGTATAGTGCCACAAACCAAGTCAAAGGCCATGCCTATGTCTAGGGTCAGTACTGTAACCAAGTCTGAAGTCAAGGTTGTTGCTGTCATTGAGGCAAATATTAGGTCCTATGCCAAGTCACATGATAAGGCCAATACTGGGTCCAGACCTGACAGAAGGGAAGAGACCAGCATTGGGATGAAATCCAGTGATGAGGATGAAGAAAATATATGCTCCTGGTTCTGGACTGGAGAAGAGCCTAGTGTAGGGTCCTGGTTCTGGCCTGAAGAAGAGACCTCTCTTCAAGTTTATAAGCCCCTACCTAAGATCCAGGAAAAGCCCAAGCCCACACACAAACCCACACTTACTATAAAACAAAAGGTAATAGCATGGTCAAGGGCCAGGTATATTGTCCTAGTTCCAGTTGAAGGAGGGGAGCAATCCTTGCCTCCAGAAGGAAACTGGACCCTGGTTGAGACCTTGATTGAAACTCCTCTGGGGATTCGACCTTTGACCAAGATCCCACCTTATCATGGGCCTTATTACCAGACCTTAGCTGAGATCAAAAAACAGATTAGGCAAAGGGAAAAGTATGGGCCTAATCCGAAGGCCTGCCACTGCAAATCACGTGGCTTTAGTTTAGAGCCTAAAGAGTTTGATAAACTTGTTGCCCTCCTTAAGTTAACTAAGGATCCTTTCATTCATGAAATAGCTACAATGATAATGGGCATCAGTCCTGCTTATCCATTTACTCAAGATATAATTCATGATGTAGGTATTACTGTTATGATTGAAAACTTGGTCAATAATCCCAATGTTAAAGAACACCCTGGAGCTTTAAGTATGGTGGATGACAGCTCTGAGTCTTCCGAAGAACCAAAATCAGGGGAGTCATATATACATCAAGTTTGTAAAGGCATAATCTCTTGCCCCTTGAACTCCCCTGTGCAGCTGGCTGGACTGAAATTACTAGGGCACTTGAGTATAAAATTTGAAGATCACTATGTGATTACCAGTTATATTCCAGATTTCCTCACCTTGTTAAACAAGGGAAGTGTCAAAACCAAGTTTTATGTTTTAAAAGTGTTTTCGTGTTTGTCTAAAAATCACGCCAATACAAGAGAATTGATCAGTGCCAAAGTACTGTCATCATTGGTTGCACCCTTTAACAAGAATGAGTCAAAGGCCAATATTCTTAATATTATTGAAATATTTGAGAATATAAATTTTCAGTTCAAAACAAAGGCAAAGCTATTTACCAAGGAAAAGTTCACTAAATCTGAGCTTATTTCAATATTCCAGGAAGCAAAACAGTTTGGTCAGAAACTCCAAGACTTAGCAGAGCACAGTGATCCCGAAGTGAGAGATAAAGTCATACGATTAATACTAAAACTCTGAATACCCCTCTGTTCTCATAAAGCCTCAAACAGTTTTTTGGAGTTGCAATATGAAACCAATGCATATTGTAATTATAAATTCAATACTTATGTTTTCCATGTTGATTGAGGGAGGCAATTTTATGGATACCAATTAATCTTGAGATCCTGAACATGTGCTGATTTTTATTGTGCTATATAGTATATAAATTGAGATATTTTTGGTATTTCTGCAACGTGACCTGATAATGAATCTATTCATCCTGAGTAAGCTATACTTCTGTGCTTTATATTGATATGTGTATTCTTTTGAGATTTTATTTACATGTTGTTAATAAAGTTGCATGCTAAAACTGGTGAAAATATTGTCCTAGTTCTTCAGCTGAAATCTAGTCTGGGGGGATAAAGCACAGAGAGCATAAAGATGGTGAAGAACACTGCCTGTGTGTCTGTAGTGGGGCACAAACAAAACAAGTTCACATTGACAGATTATTTAGTTTCGACATACTTAAAAAGTAGAATCACTCTATGCAAGAAGGCAGGACTGTGCTATTAGTTGTCTGTAGGCTCCTACTGATAGGGCTTCAAATGAGGAATGAAGCCCTATCTGGGCAGCTCTGGGGAAGGGAGTAAGGAGGAAGGGAATACAGATGCTTTCATTGTAGTCTCAGTTCCGGAACTTGTGCTCAGCTTTTCACATAAAATGTCTCATCAGGATGCCTTGAAGCTTTTTAACCCCAAGAGGATTCCTGGTTCTCACCCCTATTCAGTAAGCCATGGACAGCTGCACAGGAAGTGTGGTTCTGAAGGGACCCAGCCCCACTGTGCCTTCAACAGCTCCCTCCCTATCCAGGGGTATCAGATTTACTGCTTCATCTGTGATTCTCTCCCCCAGAAGTCCTGGGCCTCAGAGGAGAGTCTTTCTGGGGATTACCTACTGAAACTGCTTCATAGATAATCTCGTCTGTCTCATCTGGTGACTGTTTACTCCTTACCTTTGTTTTCTGGCCAATGTTTGGACTTGGTGATTTGTACCACAGTTGGTAGCAGCCCCTTGTTTGTGCTGATTCTTTTTGGTCAGAGCTCAGCTCTATGTATGGCATAGCCACAGGATACCAAATTCCTTTAGAAGTGCGTAGTTAGGAAGAAATTAATTCCCATAAAACCCACTGTTCTGTCTATTCGCATAGTTTATAGAGCTGAAGCCATGTTGTCTATACTAAGCTTGTCCTGTTTATTCTTAACAAAAGCTAGGTTCTCTGCAAGGATTTGTGGAATAGAATGACAATGTATAGTTTAGGATTTTGGGGTCACCTCTGCCTCTCCTACCCCCTGCCTCTTTTACTGTTAATTTACTGCCCAGAATTGGGAAATATAAATATTAGGATCAGTATACAAATGGTCTTTCTGTTGACCTTCCTCTCCTAACTTTTTATACATTTAGGGGAAGGTCTAAAGTGGAAAATCTCAATATGGTGTAATGGATCCCTACTTTTAATAGCTATCTGTAGTTTAATTTCTACTAGGATCAGTTGTGAATCTATTGTGGTACATCTAAAAGTTTAAATGAAGCACAGTTAGCTACACTTGTGCATTAAGGGAAACAAGCAAGGTAGTTTTTTTGCAATGTGAAACTTCAATTTAGATGATTTTTGAAGTTCTTTATAACATTTTTTAATCCACAGAACTCCTGTAGCCTGTAATACCAGCTGTGGGTACTACTCTCAGTGTTGGAGATCATCAAAATACAATTGGACCAGACCCTTTGGAAATAATTCTGTGTCTCAAATGCCCTGTGGAGCACACACTTAATCAGTTGATGGCTATGGAATTTTCCAACATCAGCTAAAGAGAAGGGTGAGTGTGGGGTGTGTACGTATTTGTGTCAAAGCACAAAGTTGATGGTCTCTCCTTGGATGGGAATTGTGGGATGCGAAGTCATCTCCTAGATTGTTCATGAGGTGTCATCTGTTGATGGACACTTAGGTTGTTTCCATCTTTTGGCTCTTATGAATATTGCTGCAGTGAACATTGGAGTACAAGTATCTGTTTGAGTCCCTGATTTAAATTCTTTTGGGTATATACCTAGACGTGGAATTGCTGGGTTGTATGATTTGTTTAGCTTTTTGAGGAATTACCAGCTGTTTTCCACAGTGCCTGTACCATTTTACATTCCCGTCAGCAATATGCAAGGGTTCCAATTTATCCACATTCTTGGTGACACTTGTTATTTTCCATTATTATTTAAATAGCCATCTTAGGAGGTGTGAAGTAGTATATCATTGTGGTTTTAATTTGCATTTCCCGAAAGTCTTATGATGTTGAGCATCTTTTCATGTGCTTATTGGCCATTTGAGTATATTTTTTAGAGAATGTATGTTTACGTTCTTTGCTCATTTTTAATTGTGTTTTTGGTTATTGTTGCATTGTAGGAGTTTTAAAATATATATATTCTGGATACATGCCCCTTATTAGCTATGTGATTTGCAAATATTTTCTCCTGTTCTGTAGGTTTTTTCACTTTTGATGATGTCATTTGATGTGCAAAAGTTTTTAATTTCAATGAAGCCCAATTTATCTATTTTTTTCTTTTGTTGCTGGTGCTTTTGGTGTCATATCTAAGAATTCATCACCAAATTCAAGGTCACAAAGATACCCATATGTTTTCTTCTAAAAGTTGTATAGTTTTAAACATCAGAGTAATTAGTGTTTCTATCACCTCAAACATTTATCATTTCTTTGTTTTGGGAACATTCGAAATCTTTTCTTGCTATTTGAAAATATATAATTATTTATTGTTAACTGTAGTCACCCTACATTGCTATATAGATCATTAGAACTTATTCCTCCTATCTTGCTGTAATTTTGTATCTGTTAACCAACCTTTCCCACCCCATTCCTTTCCCTATATTCTCTTAACTTTTAATTGAAAAAAAAAAACCACAATAACTTTTGCACCATCCTAATAGTAACCACTATTCTACACTCTACTTCTATGAGATGAGCTTTTATAGCTTCCACATGTGAATGATAATATGTGGTATTTATCTTTCTGTGCCTGGCTTATTTCATATAATGTCCTCCAGGTTCATCCATGTTTCCACCAATGACAGGATTTCTTTCATTGTTATGGCTGAATAGTGGTCTGTTGTGTATATATACCACATTTTTTTATCCTTGCATCTGTTTATGGGTACTTATATTGATTCCATATCTTGGCTGTTGTGAATAGTGCTGTGATAAACATGAGAGTGCAGATATCTCTTTGATATACTGATATCCTTTCTTTTTGATACATACCCAGCAGTAAGATTGCTGGATCATATGGTAGTTCTATTTTTAGTTTATTGAGAAATCTCCATGCTGTTTTTCATAATGGCTGTACTAATTTACATTCCCACCTACAATGTATAAGAGTTCCATTTTCTCTGCATCCGTACCACCATTTGTTATTTTTTTTTGTCTTTTTGACAATAGCCATTCTAACTGGGGTGTGATGATATCTCACTGTGGTTTTGATTTGCATTTCCCTGATGATTAGTGATGTTGAGTGTTTTTTCATATAATTTTTGGCCACTTGTATGTCTTCTTTTGAGAAATGCCTATTCAGATCATTTGCCAATTTTTAAATTGAATTATTTGTGTTTTTGTTGTTTAGCTGTTTGAGCTCCTTGTGTAGTCGTGTTCTACACAATGTTTCAGTCAATGATGGACTGCATGTATGACAGTGGTCCCATAAGAATATAATACCAAATTTTTGCTGTACCTTTTATATGATTAGATACATGAATACTTACCACTGTCTTACAATTGCCTGCATTATTCAATACAATAACATTCTATACAGGTGTGTAGCCTAGGAGCAGTAGGCTATACTATGCAGCCTAGGTATGTAGTAGGCTATACCATCTAGGTATTTGTAAGTAGTACTTTTCTTCTTCTAAGTAGAAGAGCTTTTTTGCCCTTCTTCTTTTAGAAGATCTTAAGAAAATCTGAATCTATGATAGTCTTACAATGGTGAAAATGCCTAAGGACACATTTCTCAGAATGTATCCACATGGTTAAGCAATACATGACTATATATTCTGGATATTAGTCCCTTGTCAGATGAATAGTTTGCAAGTATTTTCTCCCATTCTGTAGATTATCTCTTCACTCTCTGATTGTTTCTTTTGCTGTGCAGAAGCTTTTTAGTTTGATATCCCATTTGTCTATTTTTGCTATTTTGCCTGTGCTTTTGAGGTCTTATCCATAAAATCATTGCCCAGACCAATGTATTTCTCCTATGTTTTCTTTTTCTAGTAGTTTCATAGTTACATTTAGGTCTATAATCCATTTTGAGTTGTGCTAGGAAACCTGGATATCCATATACAGACGAATGAAACTAGACCTCTGTATCTCATCAAGTACTGCAGAATTTTGATTACAGTAGTTTTGTAGTACATTTTGAAATCAGGAAGTGTATGTGCTCCAACTTTGTTCTTCTGCTTCAAGATTGTTTTTGTTATTCTAAGTCCCTTTCCATTCCATGTCAATTTTAGAGTCAGCTTTTCCACTTATACAAAAAAGTCTTTGGAATTTTCACATTGAAATTTTGCTTGGGGGTATTGCCCTCTTTATAATATTTAGTTTCCAATCTATAAAGACATAATGCCCTTCCATTTATTTTGGTCTTTAACTTCTTTTAGCAATAGTTTATAGTTTTAGGTATGTAAGTTGTTCACCTCCTTAGTTAAATTTATTCCTGGGTATTTCATTCTTTTATATGCTATTGTAAATGGAATTATTTTCTTTCTTTTTCATATTGTTCATTGCTGGTATATAGAAACATAACTGATATGTGTTGATTCTGTCACTTGCAACTTTGCTGAATTTATTCACTCTAGTAGTTTTTTTGTGGATTCTTTTGAAATTTCTATCTATAGGGTCATGTCATCCATGATAGAAATACTTTTATCTTCTTTTTTCTTATATGGTTACCATGTATTTCTTTTTCCGGTCTAATTGCTCTGGCTGTAACTTGAATAACAGTGCAGAAAACGGGCATGCTTGTCTTGTTGCTGATCTTCCCAGTGAAAGCTTTCAGTCTTTTACTATTGAATGTGACATTAGCTGTGGGATTTTCATAAATGTCTTTTATCATGGTAAGGAAGTTCCTTTCTGTGCCTAACTTTATGAGTGTTTTTTTAAAGGATATCAGGTTTTATCAAATATCTTTTTTGTATCAACAGAGATGATCATGTGCAGATTTTTTTGTTCTATTCAACTGGTATATTACATCGTTTGACTCTCTTATGCTGACCACCCTTGCATTTCTAGGATAAATCCCACTTGGTCATGGTATATAATCTTTTTAATATGCTGTTGGATTTGTTGTGCTGGGATTTTGTTGATAATTTTTGCATCTATATTCATAAGGAATATTGGTACGTAATGTTTCCTTGTGATGTCTTCATCTGGTTTTGGTATCAGAGTAATGCTGGCTCCGTAGAATTAGTTAGAAGATATTCCCCCTTCTACTTTTTAGAAGAGCTTGAGAAGGATTGTTGTTGACTCTTCTTTATGTTTGTTGGAATTGTCTAGTGAAACCGTCTGGTCCTGGAATTCTCTTTTTGGGGAAGTTTTTGATTACTGGTCTAATTTCCTCACTCTTTATGGGTCAGTTGAGATTTTCTATTCAGTTCAGTGTCTTTTCTATTCAGATTTGGAGTCCGTTTATATAATTTACATATGTTTTTAAGAATTTGTTGATTTCATCTAAGTTATCTAATTTTTGGTGTATAAATGTTCATTGTGTACTTTTAATCTTTTAAAATTTCTGTGTGGCTGGTAATAATGTTCCCCCTTTCTGGTTTTAGATATTTGTGTCTTCTTTTTTTGTCTCTAGCTAAAAGATTGTCAATTTTCTTTATCTTTTTGAAGAACCAACTTTTGGTTTCATTGGTTCTCTCTGCTGTTTTTCCGTTCTCTATTTTGTTTATTTCTACTCGAATCTTTATTATTTCCTTCCTTCAGTTAGCTATGGGTTTCATTTGCTCTTCTTTTTCTCGTTCCTCAAGGTGTAAAGTTAGGTAATTGATTTGAGATCTTTCTTATTTTTTAATGTAGGTGTTTATAGTATAAACTTCTCTCTGACCACTGCTTTTGCTGCATCCCATAAGTTTAGTTATGCTGTTTTTGTTTTTATTCATTTCTGAGTATTTTCTGATTTTCCTTGTGATTTCTTC
The DNA here is from genome assembly GCF_000001405.40 of Homo sapiens. NCBI lineage: Eukaryota > Metazoa > Chordata > Mammalia > Primates > Hominidae > Homo > Homo sapiens. The sequence goes on from NC_000023.11 coordinate 102,610,024, forward strand.
TTTGACCCATTGGTTATTTAAGAGTGTGTTGTTTAATCTCCATATATATGTGAATTTTTTATTTTTCTTTCTGGCGTTGATTCCTAGCTTCATCCATTGTCAATGAAGATAATTTCACATGATATTAGTCTTACAAAGTTCATTGAGACTTATTTTAGAAGAATGTGTTTTTGCTATTGTTTGGTGCAGAGTTCTATATATGTCTGTTAGGTCTAGTTGATGTATACCACTGTTCAAGTCCTGTATCTCTTTATTGATCTCGAGTCTAGATGCTCTGTTCATTATTAAGTATGGGGTTTGAAGTTTCCTACTATTATTATAAAACTGTATTTTTTCTCTTCAGTTCTGTCAGTGTTTGCTTCTTCTTAGGGACTTTCGCTTTCCTACTTATTTAATTCTCCTGTATTTTAACCCCACTATTTTTATAGGTTTCCCCATATCTGCATGGAACATATAATCATTTTTCCCTTGGGAGGAAAAAAATCCTTTTCCTAACACTAAACTCACACTTTTCCAGCTATCTTTCTCTTCACCCTTTCAGAATAATCAAGTTTTCCGCATTTGTTGTTTCTGCTTTCTCATTTCCTACTCAGTCCTCACACAATTGCAATCTAGTTTCTTTCTCCACTACTCAACTAAACTCTGCCTCAGAACTTGGTGCCCTGTGTCCTAGCTACTTCAACTCCAGCTGTGGCTAAAAGGGGCCAAGGTACAGCTCAGGCTGTTGCTTCAGAGGATGCAAGCCCCAAGCCTTGGTGGCTTCCACATGGTGTTGGGCCTGTGGGTGCACAGAAGTCAAGAACTGCAGTTTGGGAACCTCTGCCTAGATTTCAGAAGATGTATGGAAATGCCTGGATGTCTAAGCAAAAGTCTGCTGGAGGGGTGGAACCCTCATGGATAACCTCTGCTAGGGCAGTGTGGAAGGGAAATGTGGGATTGGAGCCCACAGAGTCCCCACTGGGGTACTGCCTTATGGAGCTGTGAGGAGAGGGCCACCATCCTCCAGACCCCAGAATGGTAGATCCACTGACACCTTGCACTGTGCACCTGGAAAAGTCACAGACACTCAACAACAAGCCTGTGAAAGCAGCTGGGAGTGGGGCTGTACTCTGCAAAGCCACAGGGTCAGAACTGCCCAGGGCCGTTGGAGCCCACCTCTTGCATCAGCATAATCCAGGTGTGAGACATTAAGTCAAAGGAGATCGTTTTGGAGCTTTAAGATTTAATGACTGCCCTGCTGGATTTCGGACTTGGATGGGGCCTGTAGCCCCTTCGTTTTGGCCAATTTCTCCCCTTTGGAACAGGAGCATTTACCCAATGCCTATACCTCCATTGTATCTAGGAAGTAACTAACTTACTTTTGATTTTAACAACTCATTGACAGAAGGGTCTTGCCTTGTCTCAAATGAGACTTTGGACTGTGGACTTCTGAGTTAATGCCTAAATGAGTTAAGACTTTGGGGGACTGTTGTGAAGACATGATTGTGTTTTGAAGTGTGAAAAGTCATGAGATTTAGGAGGGGTTGGGATGGAATGATATGGTTTGGCTCTGTGTCCCCACCCAAATCTCATCTCAAATTGTAATCCCCACGTGTTGAGGGAGGGACCTGTAATCCCCACCTGTTGAGGGAGGGAAGTGATTGGATTATGGGGGCGGTTCCCCAGTGCTGTTCTCATAATAGTGAGTGAATTCTCATAAGATCTGATGGTTTTATAAATGGTGGTTTTTCCTGCACTCTCTCTCTCACCTGCTGCCATGTGAGATGTGCTTGCTTCCCCTACCACCATGATTGTAAGTTTCCTAAGGCCTCCTCAGCCATGCAGAGCTGTGGGTCAATTAAACCTCTTTCCTTTATAAATTACCCAGTCTCAGGTAGTATCTTTATAGCAGTGTGAGAACGGACTAATGCAGCCATGGAGTATAATTTTTCAAATATGCTGCTGAATTTGGTTTGCTAGTATATTCTTGAGAATTTTGCATAAGTATTCATAATAGATATTGGTTTATGGTTGTTAGTTTTTTCTTATAGTACCTTTGACTTTGGTACCAAGCTAATAGGAAGTAGCCCCTCTTCTTTCATTATTTTTTAAAGAGCTTGAAAAGGATTCCTGTTAATTCTCCTTTAAATGTTTAGTAAAATTTACTAGTGAAACGATCTGGTCCAGTGTTTTTCTTTGTTGGGAGGTTTTTTGATTACTGATTTGATATCCTCACTAGTTATAGGTGTATTCAGATTTTCTATTACTTAATTATTCAGTTTTGCTAAATTGTATGTTTCTAGGAATGCATCCATTTCATCTAGGTTATCCAGTTTTTTGGCATGCTGTTGTTCATAGTACTCATACTCTTTTTTTGTTTCTATAAAGTGGTAATAATATTTCTGCTTTCATTTCTGATTTTATTAATTTGAGTTCTCCGTCATTTAAAGTCAATCTAGCTAAAGGTTTGTCATTAAAAAATATTTTCAAGTGCTGACTTTTGATCTTACTGATTTTCCTTGTTGTTTTCTACTCCATATTTATCTCCATTCTAGTGTTTATTATCTTCTTTCTGCTGGCTCTAGGCCTAGTTTGTTATTCTCTTTCGGATTCCTTAAGATGTATAGTTTAGTTGTTGATTTGAATTTTTCTTTTTCTTTCTTTTTTTTTTTTTTTTTGAGATGGAGTCTTGCTCTGTCGCCCAGGCTAAAGTGCAATGGCACGATCTCGGCTCACTACAACCTCCATCTCCTGGGTTTAAGCCATTCTCCTGCCTCAGCCTCCTAAGTTGCTGGGACTACAGGCATGGGCATGCGCCACCACACCAGGCTAATTTTTGTATTTTTAGTAGAGATGGGGTTTCACCATGTTGGCCAGGCTGGTCTCAAACTCCTGACCTCAAGTGATCTGCCTACCTCGGCCCCCCAAAGTGCTGGGATTACAGGCGTAAGTCACCACGCCCAGCCTGAAATTTTGTTATCTTTTAAGTCTAATGCTTATTATCTCCTTATTGCCTTCAATTTCACTGAATTCTGCTCTTTTATGATTTCTTTGTTCTGCTCAATTTGGATTTAATATCCTCTTCTTGTTTTAGTTTTTAAAGGTGGCATGCTAGATAATTAATGTTATTGATACTTCTTTTTTCTGATATATCTATTCAATTCTACAAATTTACTGTTAAGCACTGCTTTATTTGCATGCCGTAAATTTTAATGTTATATTTTCATTTTGATTTATTTTAAACTATTTTAAAAATTTTCTCTTGGTAGTTCTTCTTTGATTTATTTGTTATTCAGAAATGTGTTGTTTAATTTTCAAATATTTTGGATTTGACAGCTACATTTCTATTATTTTCTTGTTTAATTCCATTATGGTCCAAGAACATACACTGACTAATTTGCTCTTTTAAGTTTGTTAAGGTATTTTTTGTGGCTCACAATATGGTCCATCTTGGTGTCTGTTCCATGTGATCTTTAGAAGAATGTATATTCTGGTTTTAGATGAAATATTCTACAGATGTCAATTAGAACCAGTTAATTATTGGTGCTATTCAGTACAACTGTGTCCTTACTGCTTTTCTGCCTAGTGGATCTTTCAATTACTGAGAGTGTTGAAATCTCTAATTATCATAGTGGATTTGCCTGCTTTTTTTTTGCAATGCTATCACATTTTGCCTCCCATATTTTGATACTCTGTCTTTAGGAACATATATAGTAAGAGCTGTTATGTCTTCTTTGACATTTGACCCATTCATTATTGTTGAAGTCTGCTTTTTTCTTTTGATTCTTTTGATTAGTGCTTGCATCTTATGTCTTAGTCTCCTTTACTTTCAAGCTATCTGTGTCTTTATATATATATAGTGGATTGTTATTGACAACATATAGTTGGGTCTTGATTTTTTTCATTCACCCCTAAAGTCTGTCTTTTAATAGGAGTATTCGGACAATTCGTATTTAAAGTGATTATTGACATATTTGGATAAATGTTTAACACATTTGTAACTATTTTATGTTTGTTGCCATGTTCTTAGTGTTGTATTTTGTAATCCACTTTGTTTCCGTCTTCTCTGGTTTTAATTGAGCATTTAAAAAATTATTCCATTTATTTTGTTCTCTTAGTGCATTAATTATACAAGCTGAGTATCCCTGTTTTGAAAATTTGAACTCTAAAATGCTCCAAACTCTGAAACTTTTTGAGCACCAATGGGACTTTAAAAGAAAATTCTCATTGGATTTTGGATCTCAAATTTTTTGTATTAGGGATGCTGAACTGATATAATAAGTATAATGCAGATATTCCAAAATCTGAAAGGAAAAAAAAAGCTGGAATCTTAAACTTTTCTGGCCCCAAGCATTTCGGAGAAGTATTTCTTTTTACAATTTTCTTAGTGATTGCTCTAGGTTTGTCATATACATTAGCAACTACTCTAAATTCAGTTTCACATAACACTATACTGATTCATGGGTAGTTCACATACCTCATGACAAGGTGTTACCAATTCTTCTCTCTCATCCTTTCTAACATTGTTATCATTATTTCAAATATCAATAAGCTGTAATCACTGAATACATTGTTTCTATTGTTATTTTGAACAAATTATTGTCTATTAGATCAATTAGAAATAAGAAAAATATGGTTGACTGTTGAACAACACAGGTTTGAACTGCACAGGTCCACTTATATGCAGATTTTCTTCTGCCTCTGCCACCCCAAGACAGCAAGACCAGCCCCTCTTCTTCCTCCTCCTTGGCCTACTCAATGCGTAGATGATAAGGATGAAGAACTTCATGATGGTCCACCTCCACTTAGCGAATAGTAAATATACTTTGTCTTCCTTATGATTTTCTTAATAGCATTTTCTTTTCTCTAGCTTACTTTGTTGTAAGAATATAATATATAATACATCTAAGATACAAATATGTGTTAATAAGCTGTTTATCAGTAAGATTTCTGATCAACAGTAGGCTATTAATAGTTTGGGAAGTCAAAAATTATATATGGATTTTTGACTGTGCAGTGGGGTCAGCACCCCTAACCCCTGTGTTGTTCAAGGGTCAACTGTAAAATATTTGTAAATTTCATTTATCCCTTCTTCAACAATCTTTTTTTCCTATGTAGATCTGACTTTCTTACCTGTATAATTTTCCTTCTCTCTGAACTACTTTTAACATTTCTGGCAAGAGAGGTCTACTGGCAATAAATTCTCTTAATTTTTTAAAGCACTTCTAGGAGACTGTCAGGAAACAAATCCAGCAAGCTTATTGTTTTATTTATGAAAACAAATCCTCATTTGAATGTCCCAAATCAAATGGTCTTTAAATACAAAGACTCACAACCAGAGTTAAAAATTTTTACATAGAACTTATTGAAGTAGTTAATCATGGAAGTTAATCATAATTATGTTTTCAGATAAAGTGGGTGGCTCTTAAAAGTGACTTTGAGTTGGGTAGAATTATTGCTGAGGAAGCTTTATGCTTTCTGTCTACGAATGTGGCATGTAAGCTCGATGTTCTTGAGCATGATAGTCACTCAGAGTGGATGGCGCACAGATTGATGTTCTCAAAGAGCCCCACCAGGTAGGCCTCTCACACTTCCTGCAGCTGCTGAGCTTTGGAAGTGCAGGTTGGTCTTGAAGTTCTGTGCGATCTTGTGCACCAGATCATGGAATGGCAGCTTGCGGATCAGCAGCTCAGTTGATTTCTGGTAGCAGCGGATCTTACGCAGGGCCACTGTGCCAAGCTAGTAGCTGCTAGGGCTTATTTATGCTTCTGGTGCTGGAGCACTCTTGCGGGCTACCTTGGTGGCCAGATTTTTTTTTTGTTTGTTTTATAATTTTTATATAACATTTTAATGTTTTATAATTTTTTATATAACATTTTAATGTCTTATAAAAACAAAATTATATAACATTTTTCTAGGTGAACTTATTCTTTGTGTTCCTGGGATGTCTATAGACAATGTTACAGTAACTTTTGACTACAGATCATTTTTTTTCAAATGATATAATATTGATAAAGTATTGTAGGGCTCCCAAAATAAAATGAGTTGGTTTTGAGCCTATGGATGAGAAATCTGCTGGGGAAATGGTCAAATTTTATGTATTTTTTTTTATTATACTTTAAGTTTTAGGGTACATGTGCACATTGTGCAGGTTAGTTACATATGTATACATGTGCCATGCTGGTGCGCTGCACCCACTAACTCGTCATCTAGCATTAGGTATATCTCCCAACGCTATCCCTCCCCCCTCCCCCCACCCCACCACAGTCCCCAGAGTGTGATATTCTCCTTCCTGTGCTCATGGGTAGGAAGAATCAATATCGTGAAAATGGCCATACTGCCCAAGGTAATTTACAGATTCAATGCCATCCCCATCAAGCTACCAATGACTTTCTTCACAGAATTGGAAAAAACTACTTTAAAGTTCATATGGAACCAAAAAAGAGCCCGCATCGCCAAGTCAATCCTAAGCCAAAAGAACAAAGCTGGAGGCAGCACACTACCTGACTTCAAACTATACTACAAGGCTACAGTAACCAAAACAGCATGGTACTGGTACCAAAACAGAGATATAGATCAATGGAACAGAACAGGGCCCTCAGAAATAACGCCGCATACCTACAACTATCTGATCTTTGACAAACCTGAGAAAAACAAGCAATGGGGAAACGATTCCCTATTTAATAAATGGTGCTGGGAAAACTGGCTAGCCATATGTAGAAAGCTGAAACTGGATCCCTTCCTTACACCTTATACAAGAATCAATTCAAGATGGATTAAAGATTTAAACGTTAGACCTAAAACCATAAAAACCCTAGAAGAAAACCTAGGCATTACCATTCAGGACATAGGCATGGGCAAGGATTTCATGTCCAAAACACCAAAAGCAATGGCAACAAAAGACAAAATTGACAAATGGGATCTAATTAAACTAAAGAGCTTCTGCACAGCAAAAGAAACTACCATCAGAGTGAACAGGCAACCCACAAAATGGGAGAAAATTTTCGCAACCTACTCATCTGACAAAGGGCTAATATCCAGAATCTACAATGAACTCAAACAAATTTACAAGAAAAAAACAAACAACCCCATCAAAAAGTGGGCGAAGGACATGAACAGACACTTCTCAAAAGAAGACATTTATGCAGCCAAAAGACACATGAAAAAATGCTCATCATCACTAGCCATCAGAGAAATGCAAATCAAAACCACTATGAGATACCATCTCACACCAGTTAGAATGGCAATCATTAAAAAGTCAGGAAACAACAGGTGCTGGAGAGGATGTGGAGAAATAGGAACACTTTTACACTGTTGGTGGGACTGGAAACTAGTTCAACCATTGTGGAAGTCAGTGTGGCGATTCCTCAGGGATCTAGAACTAGAAATACCATTTGACCCAGCCATCCCATTACTGGGTATATACCCAAATGACTATAAATCATGCTGCTATAAAGACACATGCACACGTATGTTTATTGTGGCATTATTCACAATAGCAAAGACTTGGAACCAACCCAAATGTCCAACAATGATAGACTGGATTAAGAAAATGTGGCACATATACACCATGGAATACTATGCAGCCATAAAAAATGATGAGTTCATGTCTTTGTAGGGACATGGATGAAATTGGAAATCATCATTCTCAGTAAACTATTGCAAGAACAAAAAACCAAACACTGCATATTCTCACTCATAGGTGGGAATTGAACAATGAGATCACATGGTGGCCAGATGTTGACATGGCAGTTTACCTCCAGTAGACTTGTGTGTAGTCTGCTTGATGTGGGCCATTTCAGATTAACCAAAGAAAAAACACAGATTTGGTCTCAAATTATGTTTGTCTGAAAGTCTTTATCTTCTACACTTTAGAAGGATTATTTTGTTGTATCAGTATTTCAGATTGGTGTGTTTTTTTACTATAACATTTTAGATATTCCACTCCACTCTCTTCCTGATGGCATGGTTTCTGAAGATAAGTTCAACCTAATTCTTAGCCTTGCTCTTCTGTAAGTAAGGCATTTTTTTTCTTTTGGCTTCTATGAAGATTTTATCTTAATCTATGAAGATTTTGTCTTTCATTTTCTGCAGCTTGAGTATAATATGTCTATGTGTAAATTTTTTTGGTTAAATTCTGCTTAGTGTTCTGTGAGCTTCTTGGATTTGTGGTTTGGCATCTGCTATGGTTTGAATGTCCCCTCCAAAATTCATGTTGAAATTTTATTGCAAAAGTAATACTGTTGGGAGTTGGGACCTTTAAGAGGTATTTAGATTGTGAGGTCTTCACCATCATGAGTGGATTAATGCCATTATGGAGGGCGTGGGTTAGTTATTCCAGGAGTTAGGCCCTCTTTTTTTCTTTGTCTCACATGCTGACTTGCCCTTCCATAATGTTATGATGCAGCAAGAAGACCTTCACCAGATTCAGCCTTTTGATCCTGGACTTCTCAGCCTCCAGAACCATGAACCAAATAAATTCCTTTTCTTTACAAATTACCCAGTGTGTGATAGTCTTTTATAGCAGCAGAAAACAGACCAAGACAGCATCTGTCATTCAGTTTGCAAAAGTTTCAGCCATTATTACTTCAAATGGTTGTTTCTTTCTTTCTTCCCCTTCTGGTATCACCATTATGTGTGTGTTACAACTTTTGTAATTGTTCCATAATTCTTGGATATTCTTTTCTGTGTTTTTTCTTTTGGTTTATCTATTTATTTTATTTATTCCTTCCTTTTTATTCTTGTCAGTTTGAGGACTTTCTACTGATATAGTTCCAAGCTCACCGATTCTTCCCTTGACTGTCCAATCCACTGATGAAGGAATCCTTTAGAGGTATTCTTCATTTCAGTTACAGTGCTTTAAATTTCTAGCATTTCCTTTTGAGTATTTCATATAATTTTCTTTTCTTTGTTTTTTGTCTAACTTTTATTTTAGGTTCAGTGGTACATGTACAGGTTTATTATATAGGTTTATTATATAGGTGTATTATCTGTACACTTGCACCACAGGGGTTTGGTGTACAGATAATTTTGTTGCCCATGCACTAAGCATAGAACCGAATAGGTATTTTTTTAAATTATCTCCCCACTCCTACCTTCAACCCTCAAGTAGGGCCCAGTATCTGTTGTTCCCTGCTTTGTGTTTATGTGTTCTTGTCATTTAGCTCCCACTTATAAGTTAGAACATGTGATATTTGATTTTCTGTTCCTGCATTAGTTTGCTAAGGATAATAGTCTCCAGCTCCATCAATTTGCTGCAAAGGACACAATCTCATTCATTCTTATGGCTGTGTAGTATTCCCTGGTATATATTTACCACATTTTCTTTATCCAGTATACCATTGATGGGCGTTAAGATTGACTCCATGTCTTTGCTTATTGTGAATAGTGCTGCAGCGAATAAATGCGTGCATGTGTCTTTATGGTAGAACAATTTATATTCCTTTGGGTATATACTCAGTAATGGGATTGTTGGGTCGAATGGTCATTCTGTTTTTAGTTCTTTGAGGAATCACCACACTGCTTTCCACAATGGCTGAACTGATTTACACTCCCACCAGCAGTGTGTAAGTGTTCCCTTTTCTGTGCAACCTTGCCAGCATGTTATATTTTGATTTTTAAATAATAGCCATTCTGACTGCTGTGAGATGGTATCTCATTGTGGTTTTGATTTGCATTTCTCTAATGATTTATGATGTTGAGCATTTTTTCATGTGCTTGTTGGCCACATGTATGGCTTCTTTTGAAAAGTGTCTGTTCATTTCCTTCACCCACTTTTTAATGGGGTTGTTTGCTTTTTGCTTGTAAATTTGTTTAAGTTCCTTATAGATGCTGGATATTAGACCATTGTCAGATGCATAGTTTGCTGATATTTTCTCCCATTTTATAGGTTGTCTGTTTACTCTGCTGATAGTTTATTTTGCTTGCAGAAGCTCTTTAGTTAACTTAGTTCTCTTTTATCAATTTTTGCTTTTGTTGCAATTGCTTTTGGCATCTTTGTCATGAAATCTTTGCCCGTTTCTGTGTCCAGAATGGTATTTCCTAGGTTATCTTGCAGGATTTTTATAGTTTTAGGTCTTACATTTAAGTCTTCAATCCACCTTGAGTTGATTTTTGTATATGATGTAAGGAAGGGATCCATTTTCAACTTTCTGCATATGGCTAGCCAGTTATGCTAGCACCATTTATTGAATAGGAAATCCTTTTTCCATTGCATGTTTTTGTCAGTTTTGTTGAAGATCAGATAATTGTAGGTGTGTGGCATTATTTCTGGGCTCTCTGTTCTATTTCATTGGTCTTTCTGTTTTTGTACCAGTACCATGCTGTTTTGGTTATCGTAGCCCTGTTGTATAGTTTGAAGTTGGGTAATGTGATGCCTTCAGCCTTATTCTTTTTTCTTAGGATTGCCTTTGCTATTCAGGTTCTTTTTTGGTTCCATATGAATTTTAAAATAGTTTTTGTCTAAAATCTCAATGGTAGTTAAATAGTAATAGCATTGAATCTGTAAATTGCTTTGGGCCTTATGGCTATTTTAACAATATTGACTCTATGAGCATGGAGTATTTTACCATTTGTGTCCTCTCTGATTTCTTTGAGTAGTGTTTTGTAATTCTCATTGTAGAGATCTTTCACCTCCCTGGTTAGCTGTATTCCTAGGTATTTTATTCTTTTTGTGGTCATTGTGAGTGGGATTACATTCCTGGTTTGGCTCTCAGCTTGGATGTTGTTGGTACACAGGAATGCTATTGGTTTTCCTATGTTGATTTTGTATTCTGAAACTGCTAAAGTTGTTTATCAGCTCAAGGAGCTTTTGGTCATAGATGATAAGGTTTTCTAGATACAGAATTATGTTGTCTGCAAACAGGGGTAGTTTGACTTCCTCTCGTCCTATTTGGATGCCTTTTATTTCTTTTTCTTGTCTGATTGCTTTGGCCAGAACTTCCAATACTATATTGAACAAGAGTGTTGAGAGAGGGCATCCTTGCCTTGTGCCAGTTTTCAAGGGGAATGCTTTCAGCTTTTGCCCATTCCCTGTGATGTTGGCTGTGGGTTTGTCATAGATGACTCTTATCATTTTGCAGTATGGTTCTTCAATGCCTAGTTTTTTGAAGGTTTCTAACATGAAGGGGTGCTGAATTTTATCAAAAGCCTTTTCTGCATCTATTGATAAAATCATGTGGTTTTTGTCTTGAGTTTTGTCTATGTGATGAATTGCATTTATTGATTAGCATATGTTGAACCAACCTTGCATCCCAGGAATAAAGCCTACTTGATTATGATGGATTAGGTTTTTTATGGGCTGATGTTTGCTAGTATTTTGTTGAGGATTTTTGCAGCTGTGTTCATCAGGGATATTGACCTGAAGTTTTCTCTTTTTTGTTGTGTCTCTGCCACTTTTTTGTATCAGGATGACGCTGGTCTGATAGAATGAGTTGAGGAGGAGTCCCTCCTTCTCAATTGTTTTGGAATAGTTTCAGTAGGAATGATACTAGCTCTTTGTACATCTGATAGTATTTGGCTGTGAATCAGTCTGGTCCTAGGCTTTTGTTGGTTGGTAGGCTATTTATTACTGATTCAATTTCAGAGCTCATCATTGGTCTGTTCAGGGATTCAGTTTCTTCCTGGTTCAGTCCTGCAAAAATGTATGTATTCAAGAATTTATCCATTTCCTCTGGATTTTCTAGTTTTTGTGCATAGAGGTATTCATTATAGTCTCTGATGGTTATTTGTATTTCTTTGGGGTTAGTGGTAACATCTCCTTTGTCATTTCTAATTGTTTGGATCATCTCTTTTTTCTTCTTTATTAGTCTAGCTAGCAGTCTATCTGTCTTACTGATTTTTTGAAAGAAGCAGCTCCTGGATTTGTTGATTATTTTTTATGACTTTTCATGTCTCAGTCTGCTTCAGTTCACCTCTGATTTGTCTATTCCTTATCTTCTACTAGTTTTGTGGTTGGTTTGCTCTTGCTTCTCTATTTCTTCTAGTTATGATCTTAGGTTGTTAATTTGAGATTCTCCTAATTTTTTGATGTGGGCATTTTATGCTATAAATTTCCCTCTTAACACTGCCTTAGCTATGTCTCAAAGATTATGGTGTGTTGTATCATTGTTCCCATTAGTTTCAAGGAACTTCTTTACCCAGAAGTCATTATTTACTGAAAAGTCATTCAGAAGCAGGTGGTTTAATATCCACATAAATGAATGATTTTGAGCAATTTTCTTTGTATTGAAGACTATTTTAATTATGCTGTGGTCTGTAAGTGTGGTTGATATGATTTCAGGTTTTTTGAATTTGCTAAGGATTGTTTTATGTTCAATTGTGTGGTCAATTTTAAAGCATTTGGCATGTGGCAATAAGAAGAATGTATATTCTGCTGTTTTTGGATGGAAAGTTCTGCAGATGTCTATTAGGTCCATTTGGTCAAGTGCTAAGTTCAGGTCCTGAATACCTTTGTTAATTTTCTGCCTTGATGATCTGATACTGTCAGTAGGGTATTGAAGTCTCCCACTATTATTGTGTGGGAATCTAAGTCTCTTTGTAGGTCTCTAAGAACTGTTTTAATGAATCTGGGTGCTCCTGTGTTGAGTGCATATATTTAGGATAGTTAGGTCTTCATGTTGAATTGGACCCTTTACCATTATGGGTTCCAAAAAAGACTTTATCTTTTTTGTTTTTGTTGATTTAATGTCTGTTTTGTCTGAAATTAGGATTGTAACCCCTGCTTTTTTCTGTTCTCCATTTGCTTGGTAGATTTTTTTCCATTCCTTTATTTTGAGCTTATGGGTGTCATTACATGTGAGATGGGTCTTTTGAAGTCAGCATACCATTGGGTCTTGCTTCTTTATCCAGCTTGCCAATCTGTGCCTTTTAATTGAGGGCATTTAGCCTGTTTACATTCAAGTTTAGTATTGATATGTGTGGATTTGATCCTGTCATCATGATGTTAGCTGGTTATTATGCAGACTTGTTTGTGTGATTGCTTTATAGTGTCACTGGTCTGTGTACTTAAAAGTATTTTTGCAGTGGCTGGTAACGGCCTTTCTTTTTCATAGTTAGTGCTTTATTCAGGAGCTCTTGTAAGGCAGGTCTGGTGGTAACGAATTCCCTCAGCCCTTACTTGTCTGAAAAGGATCTTATTTCTCCTTCACCTAGTAAGCTTAATTTGGCCAGATATAAAATTCTGGGTTGGAATTTCTTTTCTTTGAGAATGTTGAATATAGTCCCCAATCTCTTCTGGTGTGAAGGGTTTCTGTTGAGAGGTCCACTCTTAGCCTGATGTGGTTCCCTTTTTAGGTGACCTGCTCTTTCTCACTAGCTGCCTTTAACATTTTTTCTTTCATTTCGATCTTGGAAAATCTGATGATTATCTGTCTTGGGGATGATCTTCTTGTGTAGAATCTTTCAAGGGTTCTCTGCATTTCCTGAATTTGAATATTGGTCTCTCTAGCGAGTTTGGGGAAGTTTTCATGGATGATATGCTGAAATATGTTTTCCAAGTTGCTTGCTTTCTCCCCATCTCTTTCAGGGATGTCAGTGAGTCATAGATTTGGTCTCTTTACATAGTCTTGTATTTCTTGTAAATTTTGTGTTTTCCTTTCAATTCTTTTGTCTTTATTTTTGTTTGACTGTCTTATTTCAGGGAGCCAGTCTTCAAGCTCTGAGATTCTTTCCTCACCTTGTTCTATTCTGCTGTTAATATTTGTGATTTGATTGCATTATGAAATTCTTGTAGTGTGTTTCTCAGCTCTTATCAGGTCAGTTTGGTTCTTTTTTATACTGACTGTTTTGTCTATAAGCACCTGTATATCCTTTCTTGTGATGCTTAGCTTCCTTGGATTGGGTTTCAGTGTTATCCTAAATCTTGATGTTCTTCATTCCTATTCATATTCTGAATTCTATTTCTGTTTTTTCAGCTCTCTCATATCAGTTAAGAACCCTTGCTGGAGAACTAGTGTGTGCAGTCATTTGGAGGAAAGAAGACACTTTGGCCTTTTCAGTTACCAGAGTTCTTGCACTGTTTTTTTTTTCTCATCTGTGTGTGTGGGTGTTCCTTTAACTGTGGTGTAAATTGAGTACAGTCAGTAGACTTCTTTTCTGGATGTTTTCAGAGGGCTGTGGCTTTATGCAAGGACTTTATTTGTAACTGAATTCTTGTCTTTGGTTTCGCAGGGGAGTATGTTCGCAAAGTATTTTTGGTGTTGAAGTTTTGCGGTATGATCTAGTATGTGGCACTTATGCATAATGGTCAGTAGGTAGGCTCTTGCGTAGTCATGTGGCTCCTGTGTATTTCTCTATGGTTGCAGCTGTGTCCCTCTCAATGCTCTGAAAATATTGGCTCCTCTCCCACTTGAGTGCTGGCTGCAGATCTCAACTTGGCACTCCCAAGCTGTACACTGTGGCTCTGGGGTGATCTCAGGCTTTCTGTTCGCTCCCCAGTTTGGAGACAGCAGAAGGAGGGACCTTAGCTGTGGTTGTGGCCTAGGGTCTTTCACTTGTCTCCCGGGCGCTACCCCAGAGACATGTAGAGCTGTGATCAATCAATGTGATTGGCCTGGGATGGGGAGGCTGTACTTACGTGGGATCAACCTGGAGGGGCCCTACCTGGTGATGAGCAAGAGGGGTGGGTGGGACCTGTGGGAGACAGACTGGTCTCTCCTTAAAGCAACTGCAGTTTGCTGGAGGTGGGGATAAAGCACTCAGGGTCTTTACTCCTTCCCCAGTTTGAGGACAGTAAGAGCAGTTCCACTGCAGAGGCAGTGGCAGAGGGGCTTTCAGTTGCCCCTAAGAGTTCTACCTCCAAGAAACACAGAGCTGCTGCTACTGGGAGTGTTCAGCCAGGGGCTAGATCAGCTGCACTGCTGTCCTGAGGTAGGGGCTCTACTTGTTGGGGAGCAGGGTATCATGGGCTCACAGGGAGGAGAGACCGGCTCCTCTCCGTGTGGCGACTTTGTTGTGCTGTAAGCTTGCGTGAAGCCCTCGAGCTCTTTGTTTCTTTCCCCAACTGAGGGTAGCAGGGGCAGAAACTGCTACTGTGGCAGTGGCAGAGGGGCTGTTGGTTGCCTCCAGGAACCTCTTCCAAAGAAAACTCAGAGCCACTACCAGTGGGGTATGCTCAGCAGTGAGTAGGGCAGCTGTTCTGGAGTTGTGAGCCTGGGGCCCTGCCTGGTGAAGAGAGGGGGATGAAGACGCCTAAGGAAGAGGAACTGGACTCCCTTCCATATGGTGGCTGCAGTGTGCTGGAAGTGCCAATACAACAACTAGGCCCTTTGTTCCTTCCCCGGCCTAAGGGTAGTTAGGGCAGTACCACTGCAGCTGCAGTGGTGGAAGGGTTTTGAATTGACTCTGGGATTTCCTACTTGGAGAAATGCTGAGCCACCTCTAATTGAAGTGCTCAGGTGGGTGCAGGGTAGTTCTGCTGGAGTCCCAGGTTGGGAGGCCTTGCCCAGTGAGAAGTGGGGACAGATACCTGCATGGGGAACAATGTGGCCACTTTTCCATGGAGTAGCTGCACTGTGCTGAGGGTCTGCACCAGTGCCTAGTTACCATGGACTCGTGAGAGCTTGAAGGTAGCAAAGGCAAGGACTGCAAGAGAGCAAAGATGTTGGCTTGCTCCTTCTTTGAGCTCTGTCCCAGAGATCTGCAGAGCTGCCACCAGCATGAGAACCCCAGCGAGGGGGTGGCTGGAGTCCCAGGTTGGGAGGTCCTGCCCAGTGGGAAGAAACGGGATTGGAGACCCACATAGAAAACAGTCTGGCTGCTTTTTTTAGGGTGGCCACACTGTGCTGGGAGTCTGTGCCACACGGTAGTTGCCTGGGACTCTCCAGAACCTGAAGACTGCAAGATTACAAAGATGGCAGCCCACCTGTCTGGGAGGTGAGGAGTTGTTACAGGCCTAAGAGCCCTAGTAGGGGGTAACTAAAGTCCAGACCAGTGTGTCTCAGCCTGTGAGGCTTGCAGACCTTCATTGTTCAGCGCCCTGGATTCAGCACCTTTCTTGGGGTTGTATAAGTGAGGCTTACCTCCCCGCAACCTTTTTTTTTGAGACAGAGTCTAGCTCTGTCCCCCAGGCTGGAGTGTGCAGTGGCACAATCTCGGCTCACTGCAAGCTCCACCTCCTGAGTTCACGCCATTCTCCTGCCTCAGCCTCCTGAGTAGCTGGGACTACAGGTGCCCACCACCATGCCCATCTAATTTTTTGTATTTTTAGTAGAGACAGGGTTTCACCGTGTTAGCCAGGATGGTCTTGATCTCCTGACCTCGTGATCCGCCCACCTTGGCCTCCCAAAGTGCTGGGATTACAGGCGTGAGCCACCGCACCCGGCCTACCTCCCCTTTTACCAGAGCTGCAGCTGCTAATGCCAGGATGCCTGGGGATCCAGGGCTCCTTGGGACTCTGCATATATGTGAGTGTGGCTCTGTCCAGTCTCCACATAGCTCTGTGTATCAGTCCGAAGGCCCTGGTGGAGTGGGCTCACAGGGGGATCTCCTGATCCTAGAGTTCCAAAGATCCTAAGTGTGGATTCCTGAAGTTTCTCACTCACTCACCATTTCCCATGGAGAGGGAACCTCCCAGATGGACAGAGATCCTGTCTTACTCCTCTCTGTTCTTCGTGGGTCGAGTTGTTTCCTTGATGAATTCCAATATGTTCACCTGCATGTTTCAGTTGAAGATGTAGTGTTTAATTGCTACTGTTTCTTCTCTTTGTGAGTGTGGCATACTCTAGCTACTTCTAGTCAGCCATCTTGTCCTTCCCCCTCATTCTTCATAGGGTTTTCAAACCTCTCTGTTTATATTACTCATTTTTTCTTAAATGTTGTCCATTTTTTTCCCACTAGAGCCCTTATCATACTAGTCTGATAGTTCCAAAAATATCTGCCATATCTGAGTCAGGTTCTGATGCTTACTTTGACTCTTGAGACTGTATTTTGCAATTTAACATGGCTTCCAATTTTTTGTTCAAAGCTAGACATGATATATTAGGCAACAGAACTCAGTAAAATAGGCCTTAAGTGTGAGGCTTTATGTTTATCTGTCTAAGAATCAGGCTATATTCAATATTTGTTGTAGCTATAGATGTCAAACTCTAAAATTTCTTCTGCTATCCCTGCTTTTTCCTATTCTGTTGTCTTTGGGTTCCCCGGAGATTACTTTTTATATAAGGTCTGATACTTAACAGTTGTTCCAGCTGTAATTCCCTGTTATTAGACATTAGCCTGATTGATGTAGTGGTAAGCAGTGGGTACAAGGGGTATATATTCTATTGTCTTATGATTAGGTCTTAGTCTTTTAGTGACCTAGTACCCCTGTGCTATGACCTTCACAAGTTTTTCTCAGTTTTTTCTTCCCACTAGGTGATACGGGAATCCTAGATGGGGCTGAATTGGTTATTTTCCTTACCCTGTATCAGGCTAATGGGTACTAGATCTGGGTATTTCCCTTCTTTACAGTCGGATAGGCATTGATAAAACCCAATTCAGTTGGGTTCTGGTAAAATAGTTTCCCTTTAGGGAAGCAGGGATTTTTAAGGAGAACAGAATACTCTGGGCATATTTCAAATGGTTACTCCCCCCTCCACACCCCTGCCCCCACCGCCAACCCCTGTCTTCCTACTAGAAACATGAGGGGATTTTATTTATTTTTATTTTTATTTTTATTATTTTTTTTACCAGTCTTTATATTGAGAACCTGTCAGGGCTCCTGGAGGCAAAACTCACAAAGATTTGGGAGCCTCTCTGAGAGGAACCTCCAGATATTTTAACTGTAAAGCTAGTCCACATTGAGCCTTCCACTACTGGGTCTAGCAGTGGGCGTCTGCTCCTGAGATTCTGATGTCAGTAAGCTGTGGTTTTCAGTAACCACATTTTTTCTCAATTTTGGGGGCAGTGGCTTGTCCTGTGACCTCAATTCTCTGATGGATCTAAGAAGAGCTGTTAATTTTCAGTTTGTTCAGCTTTTTTCTTATACTAACAATGAGAGTAATGACTTCCAATCACTTTACATTTCAGACTGGAAATCAGAAGTCTCTGTTGTATTGATTTTTTGAGTTCTCATTTATGTGACTGAACATTTCTTGTTAGAAGTAATCTTACTTATAAGTTCCTTAACCATAGTGCCATGTAGGAGCCATAATGTCATCCTTAGAAAAAACAAGTTTGAGAACAGCTTTCTTTCTTTGTATTCCTTATCAATGAAAGGTATAACAGAAGCACTGCCCAATATAATTTTAGCTCTTATATTTATGCCTTTCATATATTCGGAGTTAATTTTTATATATGGCATGAGGTAGGAGTCCAAGTTCATTCTTTGACATGTAGCTTTCTAGTTGTTCCAGCCATATTTTTTGAAGATATTCTTTCACATTTTATGGTCTTGGCACCATTGTTGAACTTCAGTTGTCTATAGATGTGTTTATTTCTGGCCATTCAATTCCATTCCATTAATCTACATATCTGTCCTTATGTCTGTACCTCCCTGTTTTGATTATTGTAGCTTTGTAGTATGTTTTAAAATTGGGAATTGTGAGTTCTCCAACTTTTTTTTTTTCAAGATTGTTTTGGCTATTTGAAGCCCCTTGCAATTCTATATGAATTTTAATATCTGCTTTTCCATTTCTGCAAAAAGGGGCTTTGTAATTTTGATAGTGATGACACTTGTCCTTGAAGCTTTAAGCAAGAACTATATAGCCTCTGTTCAGTTTGATTGTGAGGCTTTTTTAAATTTAGCAGGTTACATTGTGAATGATGTAATTTCATAGGCAAAGTCCATTTTTGCCATGTAAGGTAACATATTCGCAGATTCCAGGGATTAGAAAATTGACATGTTGTGGGGGCTGATACATTATTTAGTCTACTGTACTACTTACAGTAAAGGCAGTGGTCATAGAATCAAGCAAGTTATATATGGGTAAATAAATGTGGTAAAATAGGCTATCCATATTTTGCAGAAGCTGAAATTCCAGTGATAAACACAAGGTAGAGACTTTTAAAATTTTACTACTTTCATAGACTCTGTGTATCAGCGGTTTGCAACCACCATATGTGTTAGTTGGAAATAATTCATCATTATTAATCCTTGTGGGGAGAAATTCTGTTAATTAGATGTTTGGGAAATGCTATTATAGTTTGCTGTACAAAGAATACTAGCAGTTATCTCTTACAAAACATTGATAATAATATATTTATTTTCCCATACCTACTTAAAAATTACAAATAGCATTTTCCTAGAATAAAGGGTCTAGGAAGGACACAGGAAAAGAGGGGGCTATTGCTACTTTTCAAAAGACTCAGTAGACATTAGGGAACATATTTAAGCAGTCAGTATATTTGTAGAAAGCTTGTTGAGTTTTTTTTCTATCCATTTTGTTTCTGTATGCCAGTTTTATCACAAAATAATACTTATGAGTTCACCTTTCCTTTCTGAGCAATAAACAAGCTTAAGGTATCTAAGCCTTGAAAATTGGCCTTGGTACTATTCTCTAAATTTGAAGTAATGTCTTTGTTCTTCAACAAGGTCTTACCAGCTATTGTCTTATAGCCTTAGGATTTGGGGCACACAGCAGCAAGTTTAGGGCTGAGTGAGTACGGACTGACTTTGTGATATGCTCAGTATCAATATACCCAGCAATTTCCCAAGTAATTCCCTAAAGAACAGTTCTAGTATACCTTCCTACTCCTAAAAATCAGACTGCTTTTCCTATTTTCCTGTTGTTGTAACAAATTACCATAAATTTGATTGCTTAAAACAACATATATTTATTATGTTACTATTCTAGATGCCAGAAGTTCAAATTTAGTCTTGCTGGGTTTAAGTGAAGGTGTTAGCAGGGCTGGCTCCTTCTGGAGGCTGTGAGAGGAGAATCCGTTTTCTTGCCTTTTTTTCAGCTTCTGCCTGTGTTCCTTGGCTTATAATCTCTTTCTCACATCATTTCAGCCTTTAATTTTATTGTCCCACCTCTTTCTGTCTTTGACCTTCTTGCCTCCCTCTTTTAATGACTCTGCTTATGTTGGGACTAACTGCATAATCAAGGATAGCCTTCCCATCTCAAGATCCTTAACTTAATTATATGAGCAGAGTCCCTTTTTGCCATGTAAGGTAACATATTGACAGTTTCCAGGGATTAGAAAATGGAATATTGTGGAGAGGGATACATTACTTAGTCTATTATACAACTTACAGTGAAGGCAGTGGTCACAGAATCAAGCAAGTTATAGATAGGTAAATAAATGTGGTAAAATAGGCTATTCATTGAGTTTTGGGCATTATGTAGATATCTTTAACATTCTTACTTCCAGTTATTGGCATTTTACCATCTATGAATTCACATGGGTATATCATAATAAGGGGAAAATTGATGAGTGTCAAACACTCCAGATTTCCTTACCAAAAGGGAGTTGTGAAATTTCACAGTTCTGTAAATTTTACCTCACAAGTGAATTAAAAAACAACTTGGTAACCTGTCTTGTGGTAGAGTTCCTATAAATATGATAGGAGTTCATTTGAATACTCTCTTTACCATGTTAATCTTCTGTTATGGGCTGAATCCTGTCCACCCCAAAATTCTCATGTTTAAGCACTAATCTCAAGTACTTCCAAATGTGACTATGTTTGGAGACAGGGCCTTTGAAGGGGCAATTAAGTTAATTAGGGTGGGTCCTAATTCAATCTGATTGGTGTCCTTATAAGAACTGGAAATTTGGACACACAGAAATACTGGAGGTGCACATGCACAGAGGAAACACCATGTGACGACACAGCAAGATGGTGGTCATTTGTAAACCAGGGAAGGGAGGCCTCAGGACAAATTAAACCTGCCAAAATCTTGATCTTGGATTTCCAGTCTCTAAAATTATGGGAAAAAAAATTTATGTTGTTTAAGTCACCCAGCCCGTGGTATTTTGTTGTGGCAGCACTAACAAACTAAAACATCCTCAAACATTTATGTATTTGTTTGGCATTTTACATCAGATTGGAAAAAAAGGAAGCCTTGTGTTTATGGTAAAAGTATAGAGTTTCATAGAAGTTTAGACTTTCAAACTTGATAAATCCTATCAAAGCTAGAGCACTTTTCCAGTATTATGTTCAATTCCAGTGTAGCAGTGTGTACATTAGCTTACTACCTGCTTTAGATGGCAAAATAGAAAATTAAATATAGAGAGTACCCAGAAATAAACTCACACATTTATACTTCATTGATTTTTGACAAAGGTTCCAAGAATACACAATGAGGGAAGAACAATCTCTTTAATAAATAGTGTTGGAAAAACTGGATATCCACATGTAGAAGAATGAAATTAGACCCTTATCTTACAACATATATAAAAATCAACTCAAAATGAATTGAGGACTTAAACATTAGACCTGAAACTGTAAAACTACTAGAACAAAAAATAAGAGGAAAACTCCATGACATAGGTCTGGGCATTTATTTTTTGGTTACGAACCCAAAAGCACAGGGAACAAAAGCAAAAATAAACAAGTGGGATTACTTCAAACTAAAAAGCTTCCGCACAGCTAAGGAAACAACAGAGTGAAGAGACAATCTACAGAACAGGAGAGAATATTTGAAAACCATATATTTGTTAAGGGGTTAATATCAAAAATACATAAGGAGCTCAACTCAATAGCAAGAAAACAATAACCTTATTTTTAAAATGGCAAAGGACCTCAATAGACATTTCTCAAAAGAAGACATACAACTGGCCAACAGATATGTCAAAAAATGTTCTACATCACTAATCATCGGGGAAATGCAAGTTAAAACCACAGTGCAGTATCACTCAAACCTGTTAGAATGGCTATTATTGAAAAGATGATAGATAACAAGTGTCGATGAGGATGTGGAGAAAAAAGCACTCTTGTACACTCTAGAAATATAAACTAGTACAGCCATTATGGAAAACTGTATGGAGATTCCTAAAAAAAACTAAGTATAGAACTATCATGTGATCCAGCAATTCCACTTCTTGGTATATGTACAAAACAACTGAAATCAGTATGTAATATATACAAATATATATATATGTATATATATATATGTATATATATATATATAATACTGATTTCAGTTGTTGATATATATATATATATATAACATACTGATTTCAGTTGTTGATATATATATATATATATATCAGGCACAGAAAGACAAATACTCCATGATCTCGCTTATATATAGAATCTGAAAAAGTCAAACTCATAGCAGTAGAAAGTAGAATGGTGGTTACCAGAGGATGGGAGCGAGAACAGGAATGGGGATGTGTTGGTCAAAGGGTACAAAGTTTCACATTGACAGGAGGAGTAAGTTTTTGACATTTATTGCACAGTATTGCAATTATAGTTAATAATTATGAATTGCATATTTCAAAATTGTTAAGAGAGTACATTTCGAATCTTCTCACCAAAAAATGGTATGTGAGGTGATGGCTATGTTAATTAGCCAAATTTATTCCATCATGCATACATATTTCAAAACAATGTATTGTATATGATAAGTGTATACAATTTTGTGAATTACCAAAATAAAAACAAACAAAACCAAAATTAAATTTGAAATGTACATTCAAAGTAAACCTAGAATGAACTGAACTTACTACAAACAAAAATCTCCACCTCTCTCTTTCTCCCCCCATTCCTATTTTAATTGAATTACAGTCAGTAATTTAGGGAAGAGTGGGCAGGTAGCTCTAAAAAAGCAATTTGAATTAAAACTTTTAAAAACCTACTGGGTGAGACACTTGCCAGCCAAAAATATTGTCTCTAACAAAATAATTTGTCTAAATATTTTATGGGGGTGCTTCTTTGTCTGATTGGTCAGTGATAGATGCTTATAGAAGCATAATGTCTCTTCCCAGATTTTAAATATAGTGTAAACTGATATGATTTATATAATCAACAGAAAACCATATGTTCAAGGGGTCTTTATATTTTCAACAAATTGAACAATCTGTTTTGTCCCAAACACTGTTTCTAGGTTCTAGGAATACAGCATAGAATAAAACAAAACATCATCCTCATGGAGCTTACATTTAGGGATGAGGGAAACAGATAATAAGAAATTAAATATATAAATATGTAATATTAAGTGGTTGTGAATGATACCGAGAAAAATAAAACAGGGTATGAGGGTGTTGGAAGGAGGGATACTATTTTAGATAGGATAGTCAGAGAAGTTCATTCTGAGCAAATACCTGAATGAAGTGATGGAGCAAGTCATGAGGTTATCTAACAGATAAATATTCTAGGCTTTGGGAACAACAAATACAGTGGTCCTTAGGTAGGAATGTGTTTGGCTTGCTCAAAAAACAGCAAGAAGGCTAGTGTGGCTGAAATGGAGGAAGCAAGGGGAGAATGGTGAGAGATGATTTTAAAATGGTAGCCAGGGGCCAGATCATGTAAGATATTACAGGCCATGGAAAGAAGTTTGGATTCTAAGTCTTACAGAAAGCCACTAGAAGGTTTTGGCAAGGGGAGCTGGAGAGCTGTGAGATATTATATATATATATACACACACATATATATATATATGTGTGTATATATATATGTGTATATATATATGTGTATATATATATGTGTGTGTATATATATGTGTATATATATATGTGTGTGTGTATATATGTGTGTGTGTATATATATATATATATATATATATGCTGTCTCCATATATATATATGGAGAGAGAGAGAGATAGACAGTCTTGCTCTGTCACCCAGGCTGGAGCACAGTGGCATGGTCACGGCTAAGTGCATGCAACCTCTGCCTCCCAGGTTCAGGCAATTCTTGTGCCTCAGCCTCCCAAGTAACTGGGACTACAGGCATGCACCACCACACACAGCTAATGTTTGTATTTTTAATACAGACGGGGTCTCACCGTGTCTCCCAGGTTGGTCTCAAACTCCTGGCCTCAAGTGATCCACCTGCCTCAGCTTCCCAAAGTGCTAGGATTACAGGTGTGAGCCACCATGCCTGGCCATGACTTATATTTTTAAATAGTAATCCTGGCTACTGTGTAGAGAATGGACTCTAGAGAAACAAGAATTGAGGCAAGAAGGATAACTAGTACCTATAAAACAATTGCAGTGGTCCAGGTAACAGATGATATTGATTTGGAATAAGATCTCAGCTGTGGAAGTGGTGGTAAGTGTCCAGCTTTGAAATATATTTAGTGGGTAGATTCAATGGATGTTGTAGATGAATCAAATATAGAGTAAGAGAAAAAGAGGAATTGATTCTGATGCTGAGCAGCTCAGTGAATACAGATATCACTTATTGCATTTCAGATGCCTTTTAGACATCCATGTCAAGATGGAAAGTAAGCAGTTGGAGATATAAGTTTGGGACTTTGGAGATAGGTCCAGACTAGAGGTAGAAATTTGAGAAACATGAAGGTATAGGTGGTATTTAAAGCCAAGAGGTTGGATGAGATGACTAAGAGATGTAGATAGTGTGAGTAGTAAGAGAGGAAGTCCAAAGATTGAGCTTTGGCAAGGATGCCCTCTCTCACCACTCCAATTCAACATAGTATTAGAAGTCCTATCCAGGGCAATGAGGCAAGAGACAGACATAAAGGGCATCCAAAATAGGAAGAGAGAAAGTCAAACTATCTCTTTTTGCAGACGACATGATTCTATATCTAGAAAACCCCATAGTCTTGGCCCCAAATTTCCTTTAGCTAATAAACAACTTCAGCAAAGTTTCAGGATACAAAATCAATGTATAAAAATCACTAGCATTCCTATACACCAACAACAGCCAAACTGAGAGCCAAATCAGGAAGGCAGTCTCATTTAGAATTGCCACAAAAAGAACAAAATACGTAAGAATACAGCTAACCAGAGAAGTGAAAGATCTCTACAATGAGAACACTGCTCAAAGAAATCAGAGATGACACAAACAAATGGAAAAACATTCCATGCTCATGGATAGGAAGAATCAATATCATTAAAATGGCTATTCTGCCCAAGGCAATTTACAGATTCAGCGTTATTCCTATGAAACTACCAATGGCATGTTTTGCAGAACTAGAAAAAAACTATTTTAAAATTCATATGGAACCAAAAAACAGTCCGAATAGCAATGGCAATCCTAAGCAAGATGAATAAAGCTGGAGGCATCACACTACCTGACTTCAAGCTATACGGGCTACAGTAACCAAAACAGCATGGTACTGGTACAAGAACAGACACATAGACCAATGGAACAAAGTAGGGAGCCCAGAAGTAAGGCTGTACACCTACGACCATCTGATTTTTGACAAACCTGACAAAAACAAGCAATGGGGAAAAGACTCCCTAGTCAATAAATGGTGCTGGGATAACTGGCTAGCCACATGCAGAAAATTGAAGCTGGACCCTTACTTACATCATATACAAAAAATCAACTCAAGATGGATTGAAGACTTAAATGTAAAACCCAAAACTATAAAAACTCTGGAAGACAACCTAGGTAATACCATTCTGGACATAGGAACAGGCAAAGATTTCATGATGAAGATGTCAAAAGCAATTGCAGCAAAAGCAAAAATTGACAAGTGGGATTTAATTAAGAGCTTCCGCACAGAGAAAGAAACTGTCAACAGAGTAAACAGACAAACTACAGAATGGGAGAAAATATTTGCAAAGTCTTCATCTGACAAAGGTCTAGTATCTAGTATCTATAAGGAACTTAAATTTACAAGAGGAAAACAACCCTATTCAAAAGGGGGCAAAAGGCTTGAACAGACAGTTTTCAAAAGAAGACATACATGCGGCCAACAAGCATGTGAAAAAAGGATTAATATCACTGATTATTAGAGAAATGCAAATCAAAACCACAGTGAGATAACGTGTCACGCAAGTCAGAATGGCTCTTATTAAAAAGTCAAAAAATAACAGATGCTGGCAAGATTGTGGAAGAAAAGGAACACTTATACACTGTTTGTGGAACCATTGTGGAAAGCAGTATGGCAATTCCTCACAAAAAAGCAGAACCACCATTTGACTCAGGAATCCCATCACTGGGTATATACCCAGAGGAATATAAATCATTCTACTGTAAAGTCACATGGACGCGAATGTTCATTGCAGCACTATTCACAGTGGCAAAGACATGGAATCAACCTAAATGCCCATCAGTGATAGACCGGATAAAGAAAATGTGGTACATATACACACTGGAAAACTATGCAGCTACTAAAAGAATTAGATCATGTCTTTTGCAGGAACATGGATGGAGCTGGAGGCTATCATCCTTAGCATACTAATACAAGAACAGAAAACCAAATACTGCATGTTCTCACTTATAAATGGGAGCTAAATGATAAGAACTTATGAACACAAAGAAGGAAACAACAGACACTGGGGTCTACTTGAGAGTTGAGGGTGGGAGGAGGGAGAGGAGCAGAAAAAGTAATTAATAGGTACTGGGCTTAATACCTGGGTGATGAAATAATCTGTACAACAAACTCCCATGACGTGAGTTTACCTATGTAACATAACAAATCTTCACATGTGCCCCGGAACCTAAAAGGTAAAAAAAAGATTAGGCTTTGCGGCATTTCAAAGTTGAGATACAGGAGATGATAATAAATCATCAAAAACAAAAGTTAATAAGGTACAGTCAAGGAGTAGCCAATAAGGTAGGAGAAAAACCAGGAACATATAATATGTTAGAAGCCAAGTCAAGAAGATGCTTCACAGAGGAGGGAGTGATCAACCCTGTCTAACACTACTGTTAGGTAAATGACCAAATATCATTTAGTTTCCCAGGACAGTCCTGGTTTATGCCTGTTGTACAGGAATAATTGTTAATAAGACCCTTTTTTACTTTTAGAAGTGCCTTGATTTGGATGATAAATTATATGCTCCCTATGATGATAGGTCAACAAGAGGATTGAGAATTGAGTATTGGATTTGGCAACATGGAGATCATTGGAAATCTTGAGGAAAGCAGTTTCAGTGGAGCATTCAACTTCATTGGATTGTAGGATAAAATGAATCCAATGAAAACCAACTTCATTGGATTGTAGAATAAAAGACTGGAGTGGTTTGAAGGGAAAAAGAGGAGACAGTGTCATAAACATTGACAACTATTTTGAGGGGTTCTACAGCAAAACATCAGAGAATTGGGGCATTAGCTCTGGAATGATATAGGTACAGGGAGAATTTTGTTTTTCAAGATAGATAATAGTACAGCATGTTTTCATGCTGATGAGAATATTCCAGGAGAGAGGAAAATTTGTGTAGACTATTTTTTTAAAGAGCAGTTTAAGGTTCACAAAAAAAGTGAGAGGAAGGAACAAAGCTATCCCATATATTTTCTGCCCCCAACCATGCATAGTCTCACCCATTGCCAATATTCCCCACAACAGTGGTTCCATCTGCTAAAATTGATGAACCTACATTGACACATCATTATCACCCAAACTCCACTGTTCACATTAGGGTTTGCTCTTGGTGTTCTATGTTCTATGGGTTTGGAAAAATATATACTGTCATGTATCTATCATTGTATTATAATACAGAGTATTTTCAAAAGCCTAAAAATCCTCTGTGCTCAGCCTATTCATTCCTCCCTCCCCCTAACCCATGGCAACCACTGATCCTTCTACTCTTTCCATAGTTTTGCTTTTACATCATATAGTTGGAATAAAACAGTATGTAGTCTTTTTAGACTGGTTTATTTCACTTATTAATATGCATTTACATTTCTTCCATGTGTTTTCATGGCTTGATTGCTCATTTCTTTTGAGTGCTGCATAATATTCCATTGTCTGGATGTACCACAGTGTATTTATCCATTCACCTACTGAAGGACATCTTTGATGTTTCCATGTTTGACAATTATGAATAAAGCTGCTAGACACATCAACGTGCAGGTTTTGGTTTGGATGTGTTTTCAGTTTATCTGGGTAAATACCAAGGAGAGCAATTGCTGAATTGTATGCTAAGTACATTTAGTTTTGTAAGAAACTGCTAAATTGCCCTCCAAATTACCTCTACAATTTTGTATTCCACCAGCAATGAATGACACTTCCTGTTGCCTCATATCCTCACCAGTATTTGGCACTGTAAGTGTTTGGATTTTGGCCATCCTAATAGTTGTGTATTGGTATCTCATTGTTTTTATAATTAGCATTTACCTGATGACATATGATGTGGAATGTCTTTTCATATGTTCATATGCCATCTGTATATCTTCTTAGGTGAGGATATATCTGTTAAGATCGCTGGCCTGTTTTTAAATTGTCGTGTTTGTTTTCTTATTGTTGATTTTAAGAGCTCTTAGTATATTTTGGTTAACAATACTTTCATCAGATATGTCTTTTGTAAGCATTTTCTCCCAGTTTGTGGCCTCAGCCTCTTGACAGCATGTTTTGCAGATCAGAAATGTTTAATTGTAATGAAGTACAGCTTATTAATTCTTTTTTTAAAAAAAACACTTGCTTTTTATGTTTTTTAGTAATACGTAGTATTTTTACGTATTTTGGGGTACATGTAATGTTTTGTTACATGCATAGAATGTGTAATTATCAAGTTAGGGTATTTAGGGTATCCATCGCCTCTAGTATTTGTCATTTCTATGCGTTGGAAACATTTCAAGTCCTCTTTTCTAGCTTTTTTGACATATATAATATATAGTTGTTAACTATAGTCACCCTATAATGCTATTGAACATTAGAACTTATTCCTTCTATCTCACTGTATGTTTGTACCCATTAAGTAACCTCTCTTCATCACCCCTCATACACCCACCTTTTTTCATGGATTATTGCGTTTAGTAGTGTATCTATGTCATCATCAAACCAGGGTCATCCAGATTTTATCTTATGTTATCTTCTAGGAGATATACTTTATATTTAAGACTGTGATCTATTTTTAGTTAATTTTTGAAAGGTATAAGGTATGTATCTAGATTAATTTTTTTGCATGTGGATGTCCAGTTATTCCAGCATAATTTATTGGAAAGACTGTCCTTTCTCCATTATATTGCCTTTGCTCCTTTGTCAAAGATCAGTTGACCATATTTATATGGATCTATTTCTGGGCTCTCTGTTCTGTTGCATTGCTCTCTATCTGTTGTCCTTCCTTTCACTGCTACCATACTGTCTTTGATTCCTATAGCTTTACAGTTAGTCTTGAAGTCACAAAAGCATGGGATCCCCCATTAGTGGATCGTCCTGGAATTTTTAACTCTCAGATTTGTACACACCTAGCCTTCAGCAATTTGTGAATTACAGTTCAGATTTTCCTACCCTAGCACTGGTTCCCAAAGAGGTTTCTGTTAAAGTATGTTGTGATTCTCTCCATCTACGACTTTCTCTTCCTATTTTTGGGACAGAGGTTTGTCTTGTGACCTCACTTCTCTTACAGATCTAAGAATAATGGTTGATTTTTCAGTTTGTTCAACTTTTTACTTGTTAGGATAGAGTGGTGACTTCCAAGCTTCATGCAGAACCGGACAACAGAAATTGAGAGGGAAATTTCTATGACAGAAGAGAGAAAGAAGAAAATTGCTGGAATAATGACCTTGAATAGAGGAAATGGGATATCATCTGGTAAGCAAATAGAGAAGCTGGCTTTAGATAAGAGCCTGGACAATTCATTCATAGAATAGCAGAAAAGGCAGAATTTATGTCCATAGATGCAAGTGGTATAGTAGATATAGTGATGGGAGTTTGTAAAAGTTACCTTCTAATTGCTATTTTTTTTAATGAAATAAGAAACAAAGTCATCAACTCAAAGTGAGTAATATGTAGGAGGTGATTATTGTTTGAGGAGAGAGGAGAATGTGTGATATCTTTTGTTAATTATGGTAAAATATAACACAAAATTTGCCATTTTAACCATTTTAAGTGGACAATTAAGTGTCATTAATTACATTCACACTGTTGTACATCTGCCACCACTATCTTCTTCTAAAACTTTTTATCACCTCTTATAGTTTAAATTGTGCCCCCACAGAAGATATGTTGGAGTCCTATCCCTTAATATTAATGTGACCTTATTTGGAGATAGGATCTTTATAAAGGTATTCAAATTAACATGAGATCATTAGGGTGGAATCCTAATCCAATATGATTAGTGTCCTTATAAAAAGGGGAAATTTGGACACAGAGGCAAGCACACAGGGAGAGTGCCAAGTGAAGATGAAGAAAAAGATCAGAGTGATACAAAGAAGTCAAAGAACACCAAAGATTGCCAACAAACCACCAGAAGCTAGGAGAAAGGCCTGAAACATATCCTTCCCGCATGCCTTCAGAGGGAGCGTGGGCCTGCAGACACTTTGATCTCAGACTTCTACCCTATGGAACTGTGCAAAAATAAATGTCTGTTGTTTAAGCCATTCAGTTTGTGTTACAGCACAAATGTATTCTATTTAGAATACATCATTCTAAATAGAAATTTTTTAATAATTAAGTATTTTCCTCTCCTTGGAGCACTTGGTAACTTCTAATTCTACTTTCTATCTCTATTAATTTGCCTATTCTAGATATATCAAATGAGTGAAATAATACAATAGTTGTCTTTTTGTGTCTGGCTTCTTTTACTTTGCATAATGTTTTCAAGGTTCATTCATGTTGTAGCATGTATCTGAACTTCATTCTTTTTCTGGCTGAAAATTTTATTATATGTATGTATTACATTTTGTGTCTCTATTCATCACTTGATGGATATTTGGATAGATTTAAGTCATTTGTCTTTTGTGAATAGTGCTATTAATATTATGAACACTTGAGTACAAGTTTTTGTTTAAATACCTCTTTTCTTTTTTCTTGGATGTATTATCTAGGTGAAGAATGGCAAGATCATATGGTAATTCTATTTAGCTTTTTGAGGAACTGCCAAACCTTTCCACAATGACTGCACAATTATACATTTCCAGTAGGGTTCCAGTTTATCCATATTCTCACCAATGCTTTTATTTTTCTGTTTTTTAAAATTATACTGATCATAGGAGGTGTAAAGCAGTATTTCAGTTTGGTTTTGATTTGCATTTCCCTAATGATTAATGATGTTGAGAATCCTTTCACATGCTTATTGACCATTTTTATGTCATTTTGGGAAAATATTTATTCACATTTTTGCCCATTTTTTAGTTGGGTTGTCTTTTTTTGCTGTTGAGTTGTAGGAGTTCTTTATATTTTCTGGATATTAAACCCTCATCAGATAAATTATTTGCAAATGTTTTCTTCCATTCTGTTAATTTTCTTAATGTTGTCTTTTGATGCACATTGTAAAAATTTTTAAAATCAATTTCCATTTTCTTATTTTTTTATTATTATGCTTTAAGTTCTGGGATACATGTGCAGAGCGTGCAGGTTTGTTACATAGGTATATACGTGCCATGGTGGTTTGCTGCACCCATCAACCCATCATCTACATTAGGCGTTTCTCCTAATGCTATCCCTCCCCTTGCCCCGCACCCCCGAGCAGACCCCAGTGTGTGATGTTCCCCTCCCTGTGTCCATGTGTTCCCATTGTTCAACTCCCACTTGAGTGAGAACATGCAGTGTTTGGTTTTCTGTTCCTGTGTTAGTTTGCTGAGAATGATGGTTTCCAGCTTCATCCATGTCCCTGAAAAGGACATGAACTCATCATTTTTTATGGCTGCATAGTATTCCATGGTGTATATGTGCCACATGTTCTTCATTTCCAGTCTATCACTGATGGGCATTTGGGTTGGTTCCAAGTCTTTGCTATTGTGAACAGTGCCACAATAAACATATGTGTGCATGTGTCTTTATAGTAGAATTATTTATAATCCTTTGGGTATATACCCAGTAATGGGATTGCTGGGTCAAATGGTATTTCTAGTATTTCTAGTTCTAGATCCTTGAGGAATCGCCACACTATCTTCCACGATGGTTGAACTAATTTACACTCCCACCAGCAGTGTAAAAGCGTTCCTATTTCTCCACATCCTTTCCAGCATCTGTTGTTTCCTGACTTTTTAATGATTGCCATTCTAACTGGCATGAGATAGTATCTCATTGTGGTTTTGATTTGCATTTCTCTAATGACCGGTGATGATGAGCTTTTTTTAAATATGTTTTCATATGTTTGTTGGCTGCATAACTGTCTTCTTTTGAGAAGTGTCTGTTCATATCCTTTGCCTTTTTGATGGGGTTGTTTTTTTCTTGTAAATTTGTTTAAGTTCTTTGTAGATTCTCGATATTAGCCCTTTTTCAGATGGATAGATTGCAAAAATTTTCTCCCATTCTTTAGGCTGCCTGTTCACTCTGATGATAGTTTATTTTGCTGTGCAGAAGCTCTTTAGTTTAATTAAATCCCATTTGTCAATTTTGGCTTTTGTTGCCATTGCTTTTGGTGTTTTAGTCATGGGTAAAATTTTTTGATGAAGTCCATTTAATCTATTTTTTTTCTTTTCTTAATCTTGCTTTTGGTATTATATCCAAGAAACCATTGCCAAATCTAAGGTCATGAAGGTTTACCCCTATGTATTTCTATTAGTCCGCTCTCACACTGCTATGAAGAAACACCGAAGACTGGTTAATTCATAAAGGAAAGAAGTTTAATTGACTTACAGTTTCACATTGCTGGGGAGGCCTCAGGAAACTTACAATCATGGCGGAAGGCAAAGGAGAAGCAGGCACCTTCTTCACAGGGTGGCAGTATGGAGTTAGTGCAAGCAGGGTAAATGCCAGACACTTACAAAACCACCAGATCTTGTGAGGCTCACTCATTATCACGAGAACAGCATGGGGGAAGCTGCTCTCATGATCTAATTACTTCCACCTGGTCCTGCCCTTGACGCATGAGGATTATAGGGGTTATGCAGGTTACAATTCACGATGAGATTTTGGATGGGGACACAGCCAAACCATATCTCTATTCTAAGAGCGTGATACTTTTAGCTCTTATATTTATGTCTTTAATCTATTTGGAATTAAATATTACATATGGTATGAAGAGGAGTCTAGCTTATTTTTTATTTCAGCAAAATATTCATTATATTACATAATCATGTAAGTTATATGCAGTGAAATCTCCCTTCCATGGTATGATACTTCAATAGATTAACCAAGTCCCCAAAATAGGTAGGAAGAAAAATATTGTATCCACTGGAACTGCAAGATGAACAGTATGTAGCCTTTTTACAAGGCTTTTTTTACTTAGTAATATGCATTTAAGTTTCATCCAGATCTTTTCATGGCTTGATAGCTCATTTATTTTTAGTGGTGGATAGTATTCCATTTTCTGGATATGCCGCAGTTTATGTTAATCTAGTAGAGGACATCTTGGTTACTTCCAATTATTGGCAATTATAAATGAAGCTGCTAGAAACATCCATGTGCAAGTTTTTGTGTGGACATACGTTTTCAACTCACTTGCATGAATACCAAGGAGTTCCACTTCGGTATTATTTGCTAAGAGTATATTTAGTTTTCTAAGAAACCATGACCATCTTCCAAAGTGGCTATACCATGTTGCATTCCTACCAGCACTAAATAAGTTTCTGTTGCTCTACCTCCTTTGCAGCACTTGGTGGTGTCAGTGTCCTACATGTTGACCATTGTATTAAGTGTATAATGGTATCTCACTGTTGTTTTAATTTGCATTCTCCTGATGACATACAATGTGGAGCATCTTTTCATATGTTTATTTGCCATCTGTATATCTTCTTAGGTGAGGTGTCTGTTAAGGTCCTTAGCCCATTTTTTAATCCTGTTTGTTTTCGTATTGTTGGGTTTTAAGAGTTCTTCATATATTATAGATAACAGTTCTTTATCACATATGTCTTTTGCAAATATTTTCTCCTGGTTTGTGGCTTATCTTCTCAGATAACAGTGCCTTTCTCAGAGTAGAAGTTTTTACTTTTAATGAAGTCCCGCTAACCAATACCTTATTTTGTGAATCATACCTTTGGTATTATATTTAGAGAATTGTCACCCTACACAAGGTAATCTAGACTTTTAGAAAATGTAACCATCTAGGAGCTGTAGTTTTGCATTTTACTTTTAGTTCTGTTAGCCATTTTGAGTTAATTTTGTGACATGTGTAGAGTCTGTGTCTAGATTTTTTTTGCATGTGGGTGTTGAGTTGTTTCAGTATAATTTATTGAAAAGACTCTCTTTTCTCTGTTGTATTGCCTTTGCTCCTTTGTTAAAGATCAGTTGGCCATATTTACATGGGTCTGTTTCTGGGCTCTCTGTTCTGTTGCATTTATTCGCCTGTCCTTTCATTGATACCACACTGTTTTGATTACTATAGCTTTATAGTAATTTTTAAAGTTGGGTAGTGTTGGTCCAACTTTGTTCTTCTCCAATAGTGTGTCAGCTACTATGGGCCTTTTGCCTCTCCATATAAACTTTAGAATCAGTTTGTCAGTACTTACAAAACAACTTGCTGCAATTTTGGTTGGGATCGCACTGAATTTATAGATTAAATTTGGAAGAATTAATATCTTGACAATATTGAATCCTCCTATCCATGTACATGGAATATCTCTGCATTTATTTAGTTATTTTATTTCCTTCATCAGTGTTTCATAGTTTCACTCATATAGATATTGTGCATATTCTGCTAGATTTATACCTAAGTGTTTCATTTTTAGGTGCTAATGTAAATGTTATCATTTTTAAACTACAAATTCTACTTTCTCATTGCTCGTATTTAGGAAAGTCATTTTTAAAATATATTAATCTTGTATCCTGCAACGTTGCCATAATTACTTATCAGTTCCAGAAGTTTTTTTGTTGTTGTCAGTTCTTTCAGATTTTGTACATACACAGTCATTTCATCTGCACATGAAAACAGTTTTCTTTCTTCCCAGTCAGTATAACTTTAATTTCTTTTTTCTTGTCTTTATTGCATTAGCTAGGACTTCCATTATGATGTAGAAAAGCAGTGGTGAAAGGGAAAATATCTGCCTCATTCCTGATCTTACTGATAAATCAAGTTTCTCACCATTAAGTATGATGTTAGCTGTAGGTTTTTGGTAAATATCCTTTATCAAGTTGAGGAAGTTCTCCTCTATTTTTAGTTTGCTGAGACAACTTTATTCTTTTATCTGTGGATATCTGGTTCTCTCATTACCACCACCACATATAGAGAACGGACAAGATTTTTAATAAATGGTGATTGCGTCCTCTATTAGTTTGTTTTCATGCTGCTGATAAAGATGTACCCGAAACTGGGAACAAAAAGAGGTTTAATTGGACTTACAGTTCCACATGGCTCAGGAGGCCTCAGAATTATGGCAGGAGGTAAAAGGCACTTCTTACACAGCGGGAGCAAGAGAAAAATGAGGAAGAAACAAAATCAGAAACCCCTGATAAGCCCATAAGATTTTGTGAGTCTTATTCACTATCACAAGAATAACACGGGAGAGACCAATCCCTGATTCAATTACCTCCCTCTGGGTCCTTACCATAACACGTGGGAATTCTGGGAGATACAATTCGAGTTGAGATTTTGGTGGGGACATGGCCAAACCATATCATTTCACCCCTGGCCCCTCCAAATCTCATTTCCTCACATTTTAAAACCAATTATGTCTTCCCAGCAATCCCCCAAAGTCTTAACTCATTTCAGCATCAACCCAAAAGTCCACAGTCCAAAGTCTCATATGAGACAAGGCAAGTCCCTTCTGCCTATGAGCTTGTAAAATCAAAATCAATCTAGTTACTTCCTGGATAAAACGGGGGTGTAGGTATTGGGTAAATACAACCATTCCAAATGGGAGAAATTGGCCAAAACAAAGGGGTTACAGGGCCCATGCAAGTCTGAAATCCAGTGGGGCAGTCAAATTTTAAAGCTCCAAAATGATCTCCTTCAACTCTAGGTCTCACATCCAGGTCATGCAGATGCAAAAAGTGGGTTCCCACAGTCTTGGGCAGCTCTGCCCTGTGGCTTTGCAGGGTACAGCCTCCCTCCTGGCTGCTTACATGGGTTGGCATTATCTGTGGCTTTTCCACGCACACAGTGCAAGCCGTCAGTGGATCTATCATTCTGGGGTCTGGAGGATGGTGGCCCTCTTCTCACAGCTCCACTAGGTGGTGCCTCAGTAGGGACTCTGTGTGAGGGTTCTGACCCCACATTTCCCTTCTGCACTGCCCTAGCAGAGGTTCTCCATGAGGGCCCCACCCCTGCAGCAAACTTTTACCTGGGCATCCAAGCGTTTCTTACATCTTCTGAAATATAGGCAGAGGTTCCCAAACCTCAGTTCTTGACTTCTGTACACCTGCATGCTCAACACCACGTGGAAGCTGCCAAGGCTTGCGGCTTCCACCCTCTGAAGCCACAGCCCAAGCTGTATGTTGGCCCCTTTCAGCCACAGCTGGAGCAGCTGGGACACAGGGCACCAAGTGCCCAGGCTGCACACAGCATGGGGGCCTTGTGCCCAGCCCACAAGAACACTTTTCCTCCTGGGCCTCCAGGCCTGTGATGGGAGGGACTACTGGGAAGTTCTCCGACATGGCCTGGAGACATTTTTCCCATGGTCTTGGGGATTAACATTAGGCTGCTTGCTACTTATGCAAATTTCTGCAGCTGGCTTGAATTTCTTCCCATAAAATGGGTTTTTCTTTCTTATCGCATAGTCAGCCTGCAAATTTTCCAAACTTTTATGCTCTGCTTCTCTTATAAAACTGAATGCCTTTAACAGCATCCAAGTTACCTCTTGAATGCTTTGCTGCTTAGAAATTTCTTCTGCCAGATACCTTAAATCATCTCTCTGAAGTTCAAAGTTCTACAAATCTCTAGGGCAGGGGCAAAATGCTGCCAGTCTCTTTGCCAAAACATAACAAGCGTCACCTTTGCTCCAGTTCCCAACAAGTCCCTCATCTCCATCTGAGACCACCTCAGCCTGAATTTTATTTTCCATATCACTATCAACATTTTGGGCAAAGCCATTCAACAAGTGTCTAGGAAGTTCCAAACTTTCCCACATTTTCCTGTCTTCTTCTGAGCCCTGTTCCAACCTCTGCCTGTTACCCAGTTTCAAAGTCGCTTCCATATTTTGGGGTGTCTTTTGAGCAACACCCCACTCTACCGGTACCAATTTACTGTATTAGTTTGTTTTCACGCTGCTGATAAAGACATACCCGAGACTGGGAAGAAAAAGAGGTTTAATTGGACTTACAGTTCCACATGGCTGGGGAGGCCTCAGAATCATGGCAGGAGGTAAAAGGCACTTCTTACATGGCAGTGACAATATAAAAATGAGGAAGAAGCAAAAATAGAACCCCCTGATAAACCCATCAGATTTTGTGAGACTTATTCACTATCATGAGAATAGCACTGGAAAGACTGGCCCCCATGATTCAATTACCTCCCCCTGGGTCCCTCTCACAACATGTGGGAATTCTGGGAGTTACAATTCGAGTTGAGACTTGGGTGGGGACACAGTCAAACCATATCAAGTCCCATCAATGGAATGTGAGTGGAAATGATGTGAGCATTTCCTCACCATGGATTTTAAGAAGGAAATCAACTACTTCTATTCTCCTTTTTCTCATTTGCTGGCTGGATGCAGGCTGTGGTGAGGCCCTATCATGATGAGGCAGGAAGTGATGGTTAGTTAATGAGAAACAACAACAAAAGGTAGTGTAGTTTTCTCATTATTTTTTCTATTATAGAAAGCAATTTGACATTCCATTAATTTCTAATATTTATTGACATTGTGGAAATTCAGGTTTTCTTCTCCCTGTAAAGCTAATTAGCTCTCCTTGCCAGCTCCTATAGTTCTAAAAATCCTCAAGGGGTATTTCCTATGTCCTGAATTTTTGGGGTTTTCCTGTGATTCTTCCAGTTGTTGCTGCCATTCTAAGCTGTATTGCCAGGCATTTAATGTCCTCTAATTAACTGTTCTCTCTAATTTCCTAACTCCACCTATACACAGGGTTTTCATGATGTCAGATCTGAGTAGTAGTCAAAAGTTTAAATCCATGTTAGAAAGGAGGATATTTTCCTCTCTTTAGGTTATGCTTTATTAATGGGTTCC
Organism: Homo sapiens; assembly: GCF_000001405.40. Lineage (NCBI taxonomy): Eukaryota > Metazoa > Chordata > Mammalia > Primates > Hominidae > Homo > Homo sapiens. The sequence continues at coordinate 102,647,945 of NC_000023.11, forward strand.
TTACACTGGAGCATTACAGAGTTTACTTAAAGACAGTTATTTCCTGGATATGTATAAACCTGCCTTTGCTATGACAGATATACAGTTGAGGGTTTGTGTTGGAATAGGCACAAATAGGAGTTCTATAATAATTTCAGTGTTGCTATTAGAATATCTATACTTCCCTAATGGCAAGGCATTGTTCATGGGCTAGGGTCCTTGTGCGTGACTTGGTTTTTCTTCAAGATTAATTCTCTTGAAGTAGACCCCACCCCAAATATGACCTGAAAATATTCTTGGGCCAGGCCTCCCCACCAGTTCTGCAAATGTACCCTGTCTCAAGAAGTAGAGACAGGCTGAGATCTTTCCCATAGCATTTTCAGGCTACACTGAAAATAGACATCTGTTGGGCCAATTTCACCATATAGTTCACCAGACCAACCTCAGCCTAGTTATTCCTGACTACAGGGGACTTTAATTTCTGTGTACAACCTTTGAAACTTTGAGATAGAAGAAGGGGATACATTATAAGAAAACACAGGGTTTGGCTCAGCCTCGACCAAAAGAGAAGTCTCAGAAGGAAGCTTTGCTTGAGGCCCATAAAGGACAGTATAGAGGCAAGTAAAACTAAATAGGCAAAAACAAGTCCATGACCATGGTGATTGAGACAGACAAGAGGAGAACAGGCAAGTGATAGGCTGGTGTGCAAGTTCATGAGCATGCTTGGGGGTGGTGGGTGGGATTTGGAAGAAAACAGTGAGTATGATGAGTGAGCACAGTTGCATCTGTATCATGGACTTAATGCTTATGGATTATTTGGCTCTGACATTTAGATTTCAGTGGTAAGTCAGGGTTACACAGGTGCTAGTGTAGGCACTGAGGAGTAGAAAGATGACTGTTGCAATTTATTGAACTAGAATCAATTATAGGAGGAAATAAATAGTGCTTAGCAGTCAGAGTATCTTATTTCAATCTTTTATTTGCTCAAAGGTTTTAAAAATAATAATCTATTTGATACATACCCATACAAAGCTAACATATGAAAAGCTTAAAGTAGGGCCTTTATCACTTCAATACATACTAACCAATACAAGACCATGTTTTCTAAGAGTACTGACAACAAATTGTCCAACACACATTTTAAAGTCTCACACAGTAAAATTTGTCAGCTTTTGGTAGAACCATTCCTCTGTCAGTAAATATCTTGGAATAAAGATCCTAGCACCTGCAGAATTACCACAGAAGCTTGTGCAAATGTGATTTTGGACATAATTATAAAACAGTAAAGGGGATTGGTGGCTGTATTGGTGAGATGAGCCCTAAAATATTTCTCAGAGACTGAAGCACAGGTAAAGAAAGGCAATGGGAATAGAATTCATCAGGATGGTGAGTGTATTCTGTTCCTACTCCTGCTATTGTTACCAACCAACACAGTGGGTGGGTTCAGTCGTTTGACATCAACCCCATGATCACAGCAAGGATTTAGTAAGGGGATTTATTACTTGTAACGAAGTAATGAGACCACCAGGGATACTTCCCAAAATAATGTCTCCCTGAGATGGGGGCTGGGTCAGGTTTTCATAAGCATTGGGTATTAAGGGTATATCCTGATGGCTTTGGATCTTACAATGAGGTGATGCTGAGAGGCATGATCTGACTGGATCCTGCCATCCAGTGTCCACTTCTTAATTCAGCCCTGGTCCTAATTCAAAACACTTACATTCTCCCTCTGATTGCATGCTTGGTTCATCTGAGGATGCTCAGGTAACATGATCTGAGGGTCCCCGGCAACTGAAAGACAATGCACAACTTTGTTATATAAAAGTTAAACCAGATAGGTCTGGTGCTGCTACCCTGTAACCAGTTACCATACATGGAATGGCTTAAAATAATACCAATTTATTATTATCTTACAGTCCTGGAAGGTTGGAAATCTTCAAAGGGCTTCACCACACTAAAATCAAGATGTTGCCAGAGGAGCTATCCCTCTGGCATTTCTAGGGAAGAATCTGTTTCTTTGTCTTTTCCAGGTTCTGGAGACAGCCTGTATTTCTTGGATCTTGGCTTCCTTCCATCTTCAAAGCCAACGATGACCAGTGTAGACTTTCTATGCTGCTTCAATCTGACATGGAGTCCCTGCCTTCCACATCTAAAGTACCCTTGCAATTACATTGGCCAAGATAACCCAGAATAATCTTAAATTAAACTCAGCTGAATAGCAATCTTAATGATCCTTTGTCAGGTAATATAAAATGGTACATGTTCTGGAGAACAGGACATGGACATCTTTAGGGGACCGTTACCTGCCAAACACAATGAGGGTAGTGTCTAAATGAGTTTTCAAATGGACAACAGTAACAACATCAACTTGGTGTTTAACCACATTGCTCTGTCTGTCCCATGCAGGAAGCAGGGAAAGGAGGGGCTCAAGAGTAGAGGACGGATGTGGGGGTGAAAGAAGAGGATTCAAATGAGCCAGGTTGCTTTGTCTCGGGGAGGGGGGTGCACGGTGGGATCCTCTCCTGAGAATGACTGCTGAAACAATAGGTAGTTGTGGCAGGTGGCGGAGATCCAAGCTGGTTTGATACCAGCCACATTTCCACACTGCCAAATATCATGGCAAGAGAAGACTTGACAGGGAACCGAAGAGAAGCCAGGACCATCCCTACCTGGCGGCATCAAAGAGAGAGGACTGTTATGACCTCCTGCGGGTCCTGACAGGGAAAGGTCCTCTTTTGGGGGCAACTGTGGGGACGGTGCAATGCCAACGTGAGCCACCATTTGAAATGAGAAACAGCGGTGTGGCAGAAAGAAATGAGTCTGGTGCAGACCAGTGGTTGGTTTCCTAGGGTTAGAGGTCTAGGTCTACCTTCTTTTAGAAGAGGGGCAGTGGTGAGTCCTTGATGGGAGCCCCCTGCCCCGGAGTTCACTTAAGAGCAGGTGTACCTTCCTCCCCTGCGTGGCTCCACGAAGCTGGGAAAGAAACGCACAGGACGACCACCCTAGAACCCCGGGCCTGTCTGGACTGAAATCGCCTCTCCCCTCCCACACTGCAGTGCTGACACCCCCTCTCCCATTAACATCCAGGAAGGAGGGTGAGCAGACTAGGGAGGGGGAGAGGGCAAACACCCAGCAGTCCTTATAGGGGGGCGGTTGGGGCGGGGGTGCAGACACACCAAGGGACGGTTTGGTATCCATCCGCTGCTCCCTCCAGCGCGGCTCTTCGCGACCTCGCGATCCTGTCCTCCGCCCGGCCCCGCAGCCGCCCGCCGGTGCCATATATTATAGCAGCGCCAGAAATGTGGTGGTCGTCGCCACGTTAGGGTCCGCGGGGTCCTCCTGAGGCAGCCTGGTGCCAACCCGCAGGCCCCGGCTGGGGCTCGTCCTGGCCCCGCCCACCTCTGGGTCGGAACTATGGTGGTTCTGTGAGGGGGGGCGTCCTGCACTTTCGCGCCGTATCCCTCCGCCCCCCTTCCCGACACCCTCGCGGAGAGCGGTTCTTGCCGCATCCTGCGCAGCCCCTGCCCAGTTTGGTGCAGAGGCGTGGGGGGCGGGACTCGTCTTTGCCATTCGGATCGCTGGGAAAGCGGTGGGAATCCAACTGAAGAGCAGCCAGAGGAGAGCTGAAGAGAGGAGGGGGAGGCCGATGACCTGGGCTCTGGGCCTCTGAAGGCAAGTAGGGGTGCGTGAGGTGGGGGGCCGTGGTGTGGGGGTGGTCCGCCAGGGTGGACCGGCTGGCAACCTGCCCCCCGGACCCTGACAGCCTGGCAACGAGGAGACGATCCGTTCGGAGCCGGGCGCTAGAGAGAGGTGCGCAGTGCCCGAGATCCCTGGCTATGGGGAGGCGGTGACTGGTGCGGGCCAGGCCGGACCAAGGGCTGAGGGGCTGGCTCCAGAGGCACCGTCAGATCGTCTGGAGGAGAACCGCGCTGACCGCTTCCCAGCCAGCTTTGCAGGCGCCCGCGCGCAGCCCTCGACGGTTTCGGTACCGAGAGACGGCTGTGGGGGAGGCTCCTGCGGGAGAAATGGCCAAACGGGAGCCGTGTTGGGGGGCGCCCGGGAGGCAGTTGGGGGGCGCCTGGGGGGGCCCTCGTGGGCCAGCGTCCCAGCTCTGTGCCTAGCCCGTGGGAGGTGGGTCGCGTTCGCTGCTCCGGGCCCTGATTCCGGAAAGGGGCCTGTGGGGCCCCGTGTCCTGGGTGCTGTCCCTTCCCACAGACTCCAGGTTGATGTCAAAGTCTGTCTGCGCGGTAGGTCTGGCGTATTCTGACAGGACACAGTGAGCATCTGTAGAGGAGAGGCTTGAAATAAAGGAGGAGCACGAATATTCCCTGGATTTCTGGAGGTGTGTGGGGATGTGGGGTGGGTGCCAAACACTGGAGAACCGAATCGGGGTGGGGGACTGCGACCAGAGCAGGTCAGGCATCCAGGAGCACCTCTTAATCTTCCCCTCTCTAATGGTGTTCCAGGCGCTTCCCCCACCTTCCATCCCCATCTGCCTCCCCCACCGTCCTAAACTGGGGGCTTGAAAGGGTGAGCTTTGGAGGTAGGGGTGATGAGGGAGACATACTGACAAGTACCAATTCACGACCTGTTTTCTAGAATATGTGGCGCCCTTCCCCCATTTTCTGCTGCGCAGAGCAAGGGGATGTGGCGCACCTAGTGGTGAATCCTCAGAATTGGAGAAGGGAGTAATGAGAAGAGTATGACGTCAAGAGAAGGAGTTGTTATCTCTAGAACCTTGAAGCAGGGCCTAAACAAAACGAGAATATTCCACCAGCAAAACCCCGAATGTTGAAAGACAGATATCAATAATATGGGGATTCTTATCCTTAGCGTTGGTCTCTCTACCAAGGGCTTTACTGCCACCCCTCATTTCCTGTCTTACTTTTTCATCTGTTTGTCCATAGGCCTGCTTTAAGGCTGGCCAGTTCTGCAAGAAAGGCAAGGAGGAGGAGACTGGCTCACACCTCTGGAGGTTGGTGAGAAGGGGGAGGGGGCAATTCAGGGGACAGTTGGAGAAAGAGAGCATGGCAGGTGGCTTTGAGACCAGTGGGTGCAGACCCACTTCTACTCTGCTGGATTTGCACAGTGCCAGCATCCTTTTTATTTCTTGCAGGGGACATGAGATAGGTGTAGGTTGTGTTGTGACTCAGAAAGACCTGAGAGCAGGGACCAGGACACAGGAAACCATAGATACATTGAACCCTTGAATGGGAAGACAGATATTTGTCACAGGAGCCAGAGTGCTTGCCTATCTACCATTCTCCATTCTCTCCTGTATGTTTACTTGTCTGTAGGACCCCCTTCTGTCAGCTGTGGGGCTTGACACTACTTGAACAAGAAAAGGAGGGGGAAACTGCACCACATAAGTGAAGGTTGGTATGAGAGTGGGTATACTTTTGGGCGGGGTAGTGGAGACCAGCATGGGTCCGGGAGTGCTTAGGGTCCAATCTGGGGACTTCTTGGCCCCTCCCATTGCCGACACACTTTCCCACCATTGTTGGACCTGTTTAATAGGAGGCAGCCGGTCCAGAGAGACTTTCTCAAAGCCCAGCTGTCCCACCTAGCATTCAACATCAGTCTCACTGCATATGTCTCTGCATGGGATGACATAATTGGAAGAGACTCAAAGCCCCATTTCATTCTCTCTCCCTAGATCCACCTCCAGTGGCTGCTCTGCTGGTGGTGGGGTTGCTGCTGACAACCACCCTCAACGGGTCTGCACCCATCCAGGAAATCTCTGTCTTCCTCAAGCTTGGTTGTGCCTGTTCTACACTCTATCTGTATTATTGAATTACTGACTGAGACTGTGTTTGGGAAGGAGGCTGAGTGACTACTGGACTGGATATTGACTCTAACTCTTGTTTCCAAGCTTATATCCTCAATCACCTAAAGATCAGAGTGTGAAGAAACAAACCTGTGACAGATCTGTGGTTGAGGTTTAGACTGGGGGAGGAGTATAGTACTGGACTTTCTTTGTAACTTGTACCATGACTGGGGCAGAGATTGAGTCTGGTGCCCAGGTCAAGCCTGAAAAGAAGCCTGGGGAAGAGGTTGTAGGTGGGGCTGAGATAGAGAATGATGTCCCTCTGGTGGTCAGACCCAAGGTTAGGACCCAGGCCCAGATAATGCCTGGGGCAAGGCCCAAGAATAAGTCCAAGGTTATGCCTGGAGCAAGCACCAAAGTTGAGACAAGTGCAGTGGGTGGGGCACGCCCTAAGAGTAAGGCCAAGGCAATACCTGTTTCACGATTTAAGGAAGAAGCCCAGATGTGGGCTCAGCCCAGGTTTGGTGCTGAAAGATTGTCTAAGACAGAGAGAAACTCCCAGACCAATATCATAGCCTCTCCACTTGTCAGTACTGATTCTGTCTTGGTTGCTAAAACAAAGTACCTGTCTGAGGATAGAGAACTGGTTAATACAGACACTGAGAGCTTTCCTAGAAGGAAGGCCCATTACCAAGCAGGATTCCAGCCTTCTTTTAGGTCAAAGGAGGAGACCAATATGGGGTCCTGGTGCTGTCCTAGGCCTACATCCAAACAAGAAGCCTCTCCTAATTCTGATTTCAAATGGGTAGACAAATCTGTGAGTTCCTTGTTCTGGAGTGGAGATGAGGTCACTGCAAAATTTCATCCTGGGAATAGGGTAAAAGACAGTAACAGATCCATGCACATGGCCAATCAAGAGGCTAATACCATGTCTAGGTCCCAAACTAACCAGGAGCTCTATATTGCATCTAGTTCTGGTTCTGAGGATGAGTCTGTTAAGACACCCTGGTTCTGGGCCAGAGATAAAACCAATACCTGGTCTGGGCCCAGGGAAGATCCCAATAGCAGGTCCAGGTTTAGGTCTAAGAAAGAAGTCTATGTTGAATCAAGTTCTGGATCTGAGCATGAAGACCATTTGGAGTCCTGGTTTGGGGCTGGAAAGGAGGCCAAATTCAGGTCCAAAATGAGAGCTGGGAAGGAGGCCAATAACAGGGCCAGGCACAGGGCCAAGCGAGAAGCTTGCATTGATTTCATGCCTGGGTCTATAGATGTAATTAAAAAAGAGTCCTGTTTCTGGCCTGAAGAAAATGCTAATACCTTTTCAAGGCCCATGATCAAGAAAGAGGCCAGGGCCAGAGCAATGACAAAGGAAGAGGCCAAAACCAAGGCCCGAGCCAGGGCCAAGCAAGAAGCCAGGTCAGAGGAGGAAGCCCTCATTGGGACCTGGTTCTGGGCTACAGACGAGTCCAGCATGGCAGATGAAGCCAGCATAGAGTCCAGTCTACAAGTGGAGGATGAGTCCATAATTGGGAGTTGGTTCTGGACTGAAGAAGAGGCCAGTATGGGGACTGGGGCTAGCAGTAAATCCAGACCAAGGACTGATGGGGAGCGTATTGGTGATTCCTTATTTGGGGCTAGGGAAAAGACCAGTATGAAAACTGGGGCTGAGGCCACCTCTGAATCTATACTAGCAGCTGATGATGAACAGGTCATTATTGGTTCCTGGTTCTGGGCTGGTGAAGAGGTCAACCAAGAGGCTGAGGAAGAGACCATTTTTGGGTCGTGGTTCTGGGTCATTGATGCGGCCAGTGTGGAATCTGGTGTTGGGGTCAGCTGTGAGTCCAGGACAAGGTCTGAGGAAGAAGAGGTCATTGGTCCCTGGTTTTGGTCTGGAGAACAAGTTGATATAGAGGCTGGAATCGGAGAAGAGGCCAGGCCAGGAGCTGAAGAAGAGACAATATTCGGGTCCTGGTTTTGGGCTGAAAACCAGACCTATATGGATTGTAGGGCTGAAACTAGCTGTGACACCATGCAAGGGGCTGAGGAGGAGGAGCCCATTATTGGGTCCTGGTTTTGGACCAGAGTAGAAGCTTGTGTGGAGGGTGATGTCAACAGCAAGTCTAGCCTGGAGGACAAGGAAGAGGCCATGATACCATGTTTTGGAGCCAAAGAAGAGGTCAGTATGAAGCATGGGACTGGTGTCAGATGCAGATTTATGGCAGGGGCTGAGGAGACCAATAATAAGTCTTGCTTCTGGGCAGAAAAAGAACCCTGTATGTATCCTGCCGGTGGAGGAAGTTGGAAGTCTAGGCCAGAGGAGGAAGAGGACATTGTCAATTCGTGGTTCTGGTCCAGAAAATACACAAAGCCAGAGGCCATTATAGGGTCCTGGTTATGGGCTACAGAAGAGAGTAATATAGATGGGACTGGAGAAAAGGCCAAGTTACTGACTGAAGAGGAGACCATAATCAATTCCTGGTTCTGGAAAGAAGATGAAGCCATTTCAGAGGCTACTGACAGAGAAGAGTCCAGGCCAGAAGCTGAGGAGGGGGACATTATTGGTTCTTGGTTCTGGGCTGGAGAAGAGGACAGACTAGAGCCAGCTGCTGAGACTAGAGAAGAAGACAGGCTAGCAGCTGAGAAAGAAGGTATTGTTGGGTCCTGGTTTGGGGCCAGAGAAGAGACCATTAGAAGAGAGGCTGGGTCTTGCAGCAAATCCAGTCCTAAAGCTGAAGAGGAAGAAGTCATTATTGGGTCCTGGTTCTGGGAAGAAGAGGCCAGTCCGGAGGCAGTGGCAGGAGTCGGCTTTGAGTCAAAGCCTGGGACTGAGGAGGAAGAAATCACTGTTGGGTCCTGGTTCTGGCCTGAAGAAGAAGCCAGTATACAGGCTGGATCTCAGGCAGTAGAGGAAATGGAGTCAGAGACTGAAGAGGAAACCATTTTTGGGTCCTGGTTCTGGGATGGAAAAGAAGTCAGTGAAGAAGCAGGACCATGCTGTGTATCCAAGCCAGAGGATGATGAAGAGATGATTGTTGAGTCCTGGTTCTGGTCTAGAGACAAAGCCATTAAGGAAACTGGAACTGTGGCCACCTGTGAGTCCAAGCCAGAAAATGAGGAAGGGGCCATTGTTGGGTCTTGGTTTGAGGCTGAAGATGAGGTAGATAACAGGACTGACAATGGAAGCAACTGTGGGTCCAGGACATTAGCTGATGAAGATGAGGCCATAGTGGGGTCCTGGTTCTGGGCAGGAGATGAGGCCCATTTTGAATCAAATCCTAGCCCCGTGTTCAGGGCCATTTGCAGGTCCACGTGTTCAGTTGAACAGGAGCCTGATCCTTCACGCAGGCCTCAGAGTTGGGAGGAGGTCACTGTTCAGTTCAAGCCTGGTCCATGGGGTAGGGTCGGCTTCCCATCTATAAGCCCCTTTAGATTTCCGAAAGAGGCAGCATCTTTATTCTGTGAAATGTTTGGGGGCAAACCCAGGAACATGGTACTTAGCCCAGAAGGGGAAGATCAGGAATCTTTGCTTCAGCCTGATCAGCCTAGTCCTGAGTTCCCATTTCAGTATGATCCTTCCTACAGGTCAGTCCAGGAAATTCGAGAGCATCTTAGGGCCAAGGAGAGTACAGAGCCTGAGAGTTCATCCTGTAACTGCATACAATGTGAGCTGAAAATTGGTTCTGAAGAGTTTGAAGAACTCCTTTTATTAATGGAAAAAATTCGGGATCCTTTTATTCATGAAATATCTAAAATCGCAATGGGTATGAGAAGTGCTTCTCAATTTACCCGAGATTTCATTCGAGATTCAGGTGTTGTCTCACTTATTGAAACCTTGCTTAATTATCCGTCCTCCCGAGTTAGAACAAGTTTTTTGGAAAATATGATTCGCATGGCCCCACCTTATCCGAATCTAAACATAATTCAGACATACATATGTAAAGTGTGTGAGGAAACCCTTGCTTATAGCGTGGATTCCCCGGAACAGCTGTCTGGAATAAGGATGATTAGACATCTCACTACTACTACTGACTATCACACACTGGTTGCCAATTATATGTCTGGGTTTCTCTCCTTATTAGCTACAGGCAATGCCAAAACAAGGTTTCATGTTTTGAAAATGCTACTGAATTTGTCTGAAAATCTTTTCATGACAAAAGAACTACTCAGTGCTGAAGCAGTGTCAGAATTTATAGGCCTCTTTAACAGGGAAGAGACAAATGACAATATTCAAATTGTTCTTGCAATATTTGAGAATATTGGCAACAATATCAAAAAAGAAACAGTGTTCTCTGATGATGATTTCAATATTGAGCCGCTTATTTCTGCATTCCACAAAGTTGAGAAATTTGCTAAGGAACTGCAAGGCAAAACAGACAATCAAAATGACCCTGAAGGGGACCAAGAAAATTAGTAATGGTTAATTGCTGGCCTCAGATTGTCCTTATGTTCCTGAGTTATGATCCTTGAGTAATGCTTTGATTTTAATAGTTGGTTCTGTGTTGCAACATATATCTTTAGTGCTGACACTAACTTTGTCCAACTCTGTCTGTAAGCTGGAGCATTTTTCTGATGCCAGCTGAATATTAGAGCTGAAAACACATTTGTTGATATTTGTCTTGTCCACATTGTGATGTTCAGTATTTGAGCTTATAGTGAACTGAGCAATCATAAATAAGCCACCCTTCTGATTGTCGTTCTACTGTATATATATATATATTTGAGTGTTGTTTGTGTTTCAATAAAGTCCTATGTTAAAGTTGGCAGAAATCACCCTTCTTCTTGAAATTAAAATACAGACCCAATGATAACACATGAACACACATAGAGATAATTAATATATGAATAATATGTTCCTTTCAAAAGTTTTTTTCTCAGCTTTAAACGCAAAAATTACCAGGGGCTGCTATGTAGGGCATACTTCAGAGAAAAAGTAGCTACTTCGGTTGGACTCTGAAGTTTGGGAAAGATATTGGTGGTGTAAAAAAAAAAAAAAGCATGGAGTTAGGAAAAATTTTCCTATGGGAGTGAGGTATCCTGTTTGCCTAGAGTGAGTGAGAGGAATATATTGAGCAACATAGAGGATGACATAAGTTTTAAAGAGCTGAGGATTTGCATTTTACAGCTCAAAGTACAACTGCTGCTTCCATACTACCTAAAGGGCAAAAGAATAAGACAGGAAAGCATAGGGATTTGATTGAGTCAGGAAGACAATTTAATCATGATGGTACCATGGTAAGTGTTAAGGCAACATCATACAGCCATTAAACATGATGATGTATAGGGTTTTAGGAAAAGCCCTGACATTTTTGATATTTCATATAATAGAGAACACTGGTGTCATACATGGGAAGTATGATCCCATTTGAAAAATAAATGTGAATAAATTGACCAAACTCATGTGAAGTGTATATTATTTAATAATAGAAAATTCTACAATGATATAAAATGTATCAAAGGAATGAAGAGGTAAGAGAGACTACAATTTCAGAAGAACTGGCTTGTCAATTAAAAATGAAAAATTAAAAATTATTTAAAGGACCAAACTGTAAAATTACCAAAGTTCCTGAGTTCATCCCACATGTATTTTTACATTTAAAAAGGTTGGAACATATATGTTCAGACAGTAGCAAGAGACAGGGATAAAGTCGGTTTGGGGAGAGAGTCCAGGATAACAGGAAATATGCAAAGTTTTATTTTCTCAGGAAAAAAAAATAGATACAGTGACCCTTTTACATTTGGTTTGCCTCAGGATGCAAAGGCTTTTTCCCACCTGATCTTATTTCTCATTACTTCCTATTTCTGGTTCATTATAAATGATATAAATTAAATTCCAATATGATGTTAGTTTGCTAAGGTTTACGAAAGCAGGGCAAAGTGGCAGTTTTGCCTCCCTTCACAAATCAAAAATTTTAACAGGGATCATCCTGGTGGTGCAAATTGGAGTTTGAATGTTTGTTTTGCTTACCAGCATTTTTCAAGACAGATCTTGCGTGTGTTTTAGTATGTCGCTCTAGTCGTATACAAAATATCACAAATCACTTCATCTCCCCAATCCTCATCGAATGTTCCTCGCCAGCCCAGTGGTCCTCCAGAGCAAAGCCCGGCCTTCCTTCCAGCTGTCTGGGCCAGGAGCTTGAGGGTCTTCTAGCAAGCACCCCGGAGGCTGTCTTCTGACTGTCATGCAGGGCTGTGGCAAACTAGCTGACTGCGCAGTCACGTGGAGGGGGGAGGGGCTGACGGTGGGTCATGTGACCAGGCTCTGGGTTGAGCCGGCCTAGAGGAGTGTTTTCTTACACCCAGAAAGTACAGGAAAGGCAGACGACAACTGTGCTCCGCAGAGCGGGAGGTGGGGGGAACGGCGGAATATTAAGGTGGGTAGGTGTCTCTCCATGCTTCATCAGCCTGAAAACTAATTTCTCAGGCGACCGGAATTACAGCATTTCTTGGTAGAGGAAACTATCCCTCAGCCAACCGCTAGCGGTCTTAGACGGTCTGTCTTTTGTCCAGGAGCTCAAGAAGCAGAGACTCTACCTGCCCTAGGCGTTCGTGAAGAGAAGCAGCTGTTGCTATTGGAGGAGGTGGGTGCAAGGACGGCAGATGCCATCCCTGAGAGGCGGTGACTGAGACTAGATGCGGGTACAGGTAGTGCCTCGGATCCCCGGGCTGCCTCCTGCCTTTTGAACATCCCAGGGGTCCCAACCCAGCGCCCTGTGTTTCTATGTGTGGGTGGGAGAGGTGGGCATATGGATGGAGTTGGCTTCAGGGGAGCCCAGAGAGGGGAAATGGTGAAGTGACAATTCGTGAACACGTGTGGTGCTGGATCAGGAAAGGTAAGGGTGGGGATGGGAACCATGGACTATGCTACTGCTGTCTTCCTCCCACCAAGTAGGCACTCACTCTGCTCTCTGTCTGTCTGTTTACTGGCAGTATTCAGGCAGTGGGGATGGCTGATACCAGCTCAAAACTGGCGGAGGGTGGAGGAGGGCAGAAGAGAACACATACATCTGCCTTTTGCTCCAAGGCTCCAGCTGGCTGGGGATGCAAGAGAGGAATGAACCTCAATCCAGGCAGTTCTAGGAAAAGAAGGAGGAGACATAGACTCGAGGGGAGGAAACCTAGATGCTGTGGGCCCTTCACTTAGGATTTCTCATTAGGATACTCCAAGCTTCTCGACCCCCAAGGGGATTCCTGGATCTCAGCCCCATGCAGCAGGATCTCATTCCCATTGAGGGACACAAAGTGGGTTGCTGCTCCATGTGATGCTCTCTCTCCCTGCTGTCTTGGGCCTTAGAGGAGGGTCTGGGGACCACCTACAGAAACTGCTTCATGGATAGTCTCATAGGTTCCCCTCTGCATACCCTTTGCTCTCTTGTGTTGTGATCTCTGCTCATTCCTTAGGACGTGTTTCTTTGGTCCCATTCCAGGTAGCAGCCCCATGGTAAGTCCTTCTCCTCTTTCACATTGAGTATTCTCCTTTCCCCCTGCCCCATGCATCCACTGGGTACCAAGTGAAAGAAAATGGTTCCTCTACCCACAATACTTCTGGGATAGAATGTGTGGATTTTTCACACCAAGCAATTCTTTTATTCTTTGAGGACACCAGCTAGGTATCCTACAATTTAATTCAATTCTGACACTACCCAGAGTTAGTGCAGACTTCTCTGGTTAAGGGCTCATTCCCATAAGACTGCCCTCCCCCACTTCAGACAACAGTCACAAGTAATGGATCTCCATGTCACCCACACTTCTGTCTGACTTAGCTACTAGTTGGGAGTTCTCACAACCCCCTCCTCAGGTTCAATAATTTGCTATAAGGGCCCACAGAACTCAGGGAAATGCTACTTCCTATTATTGGTTCATTATAAAGAATATAAATTAAAAGCCAGATGAAGAGGTACATATGGCAAGGTCCAGAAGGGTCCCAAATGCAGAAGCTGCCATCCATGTGGATTTGGGGTACACCACCTTCCCAGAATATGAATGAGTTCACCAACCTGGAAAATCTCAGACAGTTAGGGTTTTTGTAGAGGTTTCATTGCATAGATATGATTGATGAAATCATTGACCATTGGTGATTAGCTCAATCTCCAGCCCCTGTCCTCTCCTTGGAGGTCAAGGGGTGAGGCTGAAAGTTCCAACCCTCTAATCATGTCTTAGTGGGGGAGGGGGAACATGGACATCCACCTTTTGCTCCAAGGCTCTAGCTGGCTGGGAATCCAAGGGAGGAATGAACCTCAATTTTCAGCTCTAGGGAAGAAAGGAGGAAACAGAGACTCAAGAGGAGGGAACCTAAATGCTTTGGGTTCTTCACATAGGAATTTTCATTGCGATACTCTATGTTTCTCAACCCCCAAGTAGATTTCTGGATCTCAGCCTCAGGCAGCAGCATCCTGAGGATCTGCCCTGGATATGAGGTCCTGAAAGGACCCAGTCTCAAACTGTGCTCTCAACAGTTCGTTTTCATCTAATGACAAGGGTTGCTGCTCCATCTGATGCCCCCTCCTCCTAAAGTCCAGGGCCTCAGAAGAGGGTCTTTCTGAGAACCACCTACAGAGACTGTCTTACAGATTCCCCTCTGTAGACCCTTTGCTGTCTTCCTTGTTTCAGTTTTATAGCCAATGCTTTAGACTTGGTGATTTGCACCTATTCTTGGTGACATCTCCTAGTTGGTGTTGAAGCCTTTGGTCATAGCTCAGGTCTATGAGATAGCCACATGATACCAAATTCTTTTAGGATAATATATTAGAAAAAATAAATTATATTGGTCCTATTAACCTCTATATTTGTTGCATTTTACAGATTTGAAGCCAACTCATAAATGTCTTCCACATTATTTTTTACAGCTGCATAGTACTTTATTGTGTCACTACCATAATTTATTTACTCACTTTCCTATGAGTGGACATTTGTTTCTAATATTAAGCTGGTACAAATAATACTGGAAGGAATAACCTTGTGAAAATATACAGTATTTTTGTATGTTTGGACGTGTATCTTCACAGATTCCTAGATCTGGTGCTGGTAGGTCAAATAATAAGTGCATGTGCGTAGTTTTATTAGGTATTCTCAAATTTCCCTGGAAAGGGGTACTATAAGTATTTACTGCCACCAGCAATATATGTGAGTATCTGTTTTACTACATCCTTGTTAATCAGTTTCTTATTATTCTTTTGACGTTTGTAGAGTATCTGATGATTTAACCTCTCTCATTCCTGATGTTACTAATTGTGTCTTCTCCTTCTCTCTCTTTTTAAAAATTTTTCTGCCTAGAGGGTTATCAATTTTATTGACCATCTCAATGAACTAGCGTTTAGTCTTATTGATTTTCTTTATTGTTTTACTGTTTTCTATTTCCTTGGTTTTTCCCTTCATATATATTATTTTTTTTGTTTACTTGGTGTTTAAGTTACTCTACTTTTTCTGGTCACTTAAACTAGAAACTGAGGCCATTGATTTGAGACCTTTCTTCTTTTCTAATATAGGGATTTTAGTACTGCAAATTCCCCTCTAATACTACTTTAACTATATCTCACAATTTTTGATGTGTTGTGTTTTCATTTTTCTTCAGTTTGAAATTACTTACTGATTTCTCTTTGAGTTTGTTCTTTGATGCAAGAGTTAGTTATTTAGATGTATGCTGTGTAGTTCTCAAGTATTTGGGGACTTTTCCAGTTATTGATTTCTAATTTAATTACGTTGTAGCCAGAGAACATACTTCGTGTAACTTGAATCCTTTTAATTTACTGAGACTTCATTTATGGTCCAGAATATGGTCTGCCTTGATAAATATTCTATGTGTACTTGAAGAGAATGTGTATTCTTCTGTTATTGTGTGAATTGTTCTATAAATGTCAATAAGGCCCAGTTGGTTCAGAATTATTTTATTTTATTTTATTTTATTTTATTTTATTTTATTTTATTTTCTAAGTTCCAGGGTACATGTGCAGGATGTGCAGGTAGATGTGTGCCATGGTGGTTTGCTGCATCTATCAACCCATCACCTAGGTAAATTACATAGGTAAATGTGTGCCATGGTGGTTTGCTGCATCTATCAACCCATCACCTCTAGCTATTAAGCCTGGCATGCATTAACTCATTTTCCTAATGCTCTCCCTGCTTGCTGCCCTCCCCCCACAGGCCCCAGCGTGTGTTGTTCCCGTCTCTGTGTCGATGTGTTCTCATTGTTCAGCTTCCACTTATAAGTGAGAACCTGCAGTGTTGGGTTTTCTGTCTCTGCATTAGTTTGCTGAGGATAATGGCTTCCTGCTTCATCCATGTCACTGCAAAGGACATGATCTCATTCCTTTTTTATGGCTGCATAGTATTCCGTGGTGTACATGTACCACATTTTCTTTATCCAGTCCATCACTGATGGGCATTTGGGTTGATTCCACATCTTTGCTATTGTGAATATTGCTGCAGTGAGCATACATGTGCATGCATCTTTATAATAGAATGATTTATATTCCTTTGGGTATATACCCAATAATGGGATTGTTGGGTCAAATGGTATTTCTGATTCTAGGTCTTTGGGGAATCGCCTCACTGTCTTCCACAATGCTTGAACTAATTTACATTCCCAACAACAGTGTAAAAGCATCCCTATTCTTCTGCAACCTCACCAGGATCTGTTGTTTCTTGACTTATTAATAATCGCCAGTTTGACTGGTATGAGATGGTATCTCATTGTGATTTTGATTGCATTTCTCTAATGATCAGTGATGTTGAGCTTTTTTTTCATATGTGTTTTTGGCCGCATTTATGTCTTCTTTTGAAAATTGTTCATTTCTTTTGCCCACTTTTTAATGGGGTTGTTTAGTTTTTTCTTGTAAATTTAAGTTTCTTGTAGATTCTGGATATTAGACCTTTGTCAGATGGACAGACTGTAAAAGTCTTCTCCCATTCTGTAGGTTGTCTGTTCATTCTGATGATGGTTTATTTTGCTGTGCAGAAGCTCTTTAGTTTTATTAGATCCCATTTGTCAATTTTTGCTTTTGTTGCAGTTGCTTTTGACATTTTTGTCATGAAATCTTTGCCCATCCCTACATCCTGAATGGTATTGCCCAGATTTTCTTCTACAGTTTTTATAGTTTTGGGTTTTACATTTAAGTCTTTAATCCATTTTGAGTTAATTTTTGTATATGGTGTAAGGAAGGGGTCCATTTTCAATTTTTGGCATATGGCTAGCCAGTTCTGCCAGCACCATTTGTTAAATAGGGAATCCTTTCCTCATTGCTTGTTTTTGTCAGGTTTGTCAAAGATCAGATGGTTGTAGATGTGCAGTTTTATTTCTGAGTTCTGTATTCTGTTCCATTGGTCTATGTGCCTGTTTTTGTGCCAGTACCATGCTGTTTTGGTTACTGTAGTACTGTAGCCTTATAGTATAGTTTGAAGTCAGGTAGCGTGATGCCTCTAGCATTGTTCTTTTTACTTAGGACTTTCCCGGCTACACGAGCTCTTTTTTGCTTCCATGTGAATTTTAAAATTGTTTCTTCTAATTCTGTGAAGAATGCCAATGGTAGTTTAATGGGAATAGCACTGAATCTATAAATCACTTTGGGCAGTATGGCCATTTTCACAATATTGATTCTTCCTATCCATGAGTATAGAATGTTTTTCCATCTGCTCATTTCCTCTCTGATTTCCTTGAGCAGTAGTTTGTAGTTCTCCTCGAAGCGGTCCTTCACTTCCCTTGTTAGCTTTATTCCTAGGTATTTTCTTCTCTTTGTGGCAATTGAAAATGGGAGTTCATTCATGATTTGGCTCTCTGCTTGTTTGCTGTTTGTATATATGAATGTTTGTGATTTCTGCACATTGATTTTTTATCCTGAGACTTTGCTGAAGGTGCTTATCAGCTTAAGAAGATTTTGGGCTCTATTGATAGGGTTTTCTAGGTATAGGATCATGTTATCTGTATACAAGGACAATTTGACTTCCTCTCTTCGTATTCGAATATGCTTTATTACTTTCTCTTGCCTGATTGCCCTGGCCAGAACTTCTAATACTATGTCTAATAGAAGTGGTGAGAGAGGGTATTCTTGTCTTGTTCTGGTTTTCAAGAGAAATGCTTCCAGCTTTTGCCCATTCAGTATGATATTGGTTGTGGGTTTGTCATAAATGGCTCTTATTATTTTGAGGTATGTTCCTTCAATACCTAGTTTGTTGAGAGTTTTTAACATGAAGGGATGTTGAATTTTATCGAAGGCCTTTTCCGCATCTATTGAGATAATCGTGTTTTTTTCTCTTTAGTTCTGTTTATGTGATGAATTACATTTATTGATTTGCATATGGATTCGGTTTGTTAGTATTTTACTGAGGATTTTTGCATGTATGTTCATCAGGGATATTGGCTCGAAGTTTTCTTTTCTTGTTGCATCTCTGCCAGGTTTTGGTATCGGGAGGATGCTGGCCTCATAAAATGAATTAGGGAGGAGTCCCTCCTTTTCAGTTGTTTGGAATAGTTTCAGAAGAAATAGTACCAGCTCCGCTTTGTAACTCTGGTAGAATTCAGCTGTAAATCCATCTGGTCCTGAGATTTTTTTTCGTTGGTGGGCTGTTTATTACTACCTCAATTTCAGAACTTGTTATTGGTCTGCTCAGGGATTCAACTTCTTGCTGGTTCAGTCTTGGAAGGCTGTATATCTCCAGGAATTTATCCATTTCTTCTAGATTTTCTAGTTTATTTGCATAGAGGTGTTTATAGTATTCTCCGGTGGGGTTTTTTTTTGTATTTCTGTGGGGTCAGTGGTGGTATCCCCCTTATCATTTCTGATTGTGTTTATTTGAATCTTCTGTCTTTTCCTCTTTGTTAGTCTAGCTAGTGGTCTATTTTACTGACTTTTTTTTATAAATAAAAAACCAGCTCCTGGATTCATTGTGCAGTGGTGCATTCTCAGCTCACTGCAAGCTCCGCCTCCCGGGTTCACGCCATTCTGCCTCAGCCTCCTGAGTAGCTGGGACTACAGGCGCCCGCCACCACGCCCGGCTAATTTTTTTTGTATTTTTAGTAGAGATGGGGTTTCACTGTGTTAGCCAGGATGGTCTCAATCTCCTGACCTCGTGATCCGCCCGCCTCAGCCTCCCAAAGTGCTGGGATTACAGGTGCGAGCCACCGTGCCTAGATTCATTGAATTTTTTAAGGGATTTTCATGTCTCTATCTCCTTCAGTTTTGCTCTCATCTTGGTTATTTCTTGTCTTCTGCTAGCTCTGGGGTTTGTTGGCTCTTTATTCTCTAGCCTTTTTGTTGTGATGTTAGGGTGTCGATTTGAAATCTTTCTAGCTTTTCGATGTGGGCATTCAGTGTTATACATTTTCCTCTTAACACTGCTTTAGCTGCATCTCAGATTCTGGTACATTGTCCCTTTGTTCTCATTAGTTTCAAAAAACTTCTTGATTTCTGCCTTAATTTCATTATTTACCCAGGAGTCTTTCAGGAGCAGGTTGTTCAGTTTCCATGTAGTTGTGTGGTTTTGAGTGGGTTTCAATTCACTCAACTCTTAATCTTGAGTGCTCTGTGGTCTGAGAGACTGTTATGATTTCAGTTGTTTTGCATTTGCTGAGGAGTGCTTTACTTCCAGTCATGTGATCAACTTTAGAGTGAGTGCCATGTGCTGCTGAGAAAAATGTATTTTCTGTTGTTTTTGGGTGGAGAGTTCTGTAGATACCTATCAGGTCCATTCGGTCCAGAACTGAGTTCAAGTCCTGAATATCTTTGCTAATTTTCTGTCTCAATGATCTGTCTTATACTGACAGCAGGGAATTAAAGTCTCCCACTGTTATTTTGTGGGGGTCTGAGTCTCTTTGTGGGTCTTTAAGAACTTGTTTTATGAATCTGGGTGCTCCTGTATTGGGCTCATATATATTTAGGATAGCTAGCTCTTCTTGTTGAATTGAACCGTTTAATATTATGTAATGCCCTTCTTTGTCATTGTTGACCTTTGTTGGTTTAAAGTCTATTTTGTCAGAAACTAGGATTCCCACCCCTGCTTTTTACTGCTTTCCATTTGCTTGGTATAATTTCCTCCATCCCTTTATTTCAAGCCTGTGTGTCTTTGCACATGATATGTTTCTCTTGAATACAGCATACTGATGCATCTTCTCTTTTTATCCAGCTTGCCATTCTATGTCTTTTAATTGGGGCATTTACCCCATTTACGTTTAAGGGTAATATTGTTATGTGTGAATTTGGTCCTGTTATCATGATGCTGGTTGATTAATTTTGCAGACTTGTTACTGTAGTTGCTTCATAGTGTCGTTGGTACTTCAGTGTGTTTCTGTAGTGGCTGGTAATGGTTTTTCCTTTCCATGTTTAGTGATTCCTTTAGGAGCTCTTTCAAGGCAGGCCTGGTGGTGAGAAAATCCCTCAGCATTTGCTTGTCTGAAGAGGACTTTATTTTCCTTCGCTTATGTAGCTTAATTTGACCGGATATAAAATTCTGGGTTGGAAAATTTTTTTCTTTAAGAATGTTGACTATTGGCCCCCAATGTATTCTGGCTTGTAGGTTTTCCACTGAGATCTGCTGTTAGTCTGATGAGCTTCCCTTTGTAGGTGGCCTGGTCTTTCTCTCTGGCTGCCCTTATCATTTTTTCTGTCATTTTGACCTCGGAGAATCTGATGACTATGTGTCTTGGGGTTGATCTTCTTATGGAGTATCTTATTGGGGTTCTCTGGATTTTCTGAATTTGAATGTTGGCCTGTCTTGCTAAGTTGGGGAAGTTCTCCTGGTTGTTATTCTGAAGTATGTTTTCCAACTTGGTTCTATTCTCTCTGTCTCTTTCAGGTACTCCAATCAGTCATAGGTTTGGTCTTTTTACATAGTCCCATAGTTCTCGGAGGTTTTGTTCATTTCTTTTCTTGCTTTTTTCTCTAATCTTGTCTGTCTGCCTTATTTCAGCAAGATAGTCTTCAAGCTCTGATACTCTTTCTTCCACTTGCTCAATTTGGCTATTGATGCTTGTGTGTTGCTTGAAGTTCTAATGCTGTGTTTCTCAGCTTCATTAGGTCATTTATGTTTCTCTGTAAACTGGTTATTCTAGTTAACAGCTCCTGTAACCTTTTATCATGATTCTTAGCTTCTTTGTATTGGGTTATAACATAATCCTTTAGCTCAATGAAGTTTGTTATTACCCACATTCTGAAGCCTACTGCTGTCAGTTCATCCATCTCAGCCTCAGCCCAGTTCTGTGCACTTGCTGGAGAGGTGTTGCAATCATTTGGAGGAGAAGAGGCATTCTGCCTTTTGGAATTTTCAGCAGTTTGCCTTGGTTCTTCTTCATCTTCATGGATTTATCTACCTTTGCTCTTTGAGGCTGTTGACCTTTGTATGGGGTTTTTGTGTGGTCTTTTTTTGTTGATGTTTTTGTTGTTGTTGCCTTCTGTTTGTTTGTTTTTCTTCCAGCAATCAGGTCCCTCTTCTGCAGGTCTGCTGCAGTTTGCTGGGGGTCCACTCCAGACGTTGTTCACCTGGGTATCACCAGTGGAGCCTGCAGAACAGCAAAGATTGCTGCCTGTTCCTTCCTCTGGAAGCTTTGTCCCAGAGGGATACCGACCTGATGCCAGCCAGAACTCTCCTGTATGAGGTGTCTGGCTACCCCTGTTGGGAGGTCTCACCCAGTCAGGAGGCATGGGATCAGGAGGAAGCTGTCTGGCTTCCGCTTAGTGGAGCTGGCGTGCTGTGCTTGGGGACTCCCCCTTGTCAGCAGGCAGGAAAGAGTAAGTCTGCTGAACCTGAGACCATGGCCACCCCTCTCTGAAGGTGCTCTTTCCCAGGGAGATGAGAGTTCTGTCTGTAAGCCCCTGGCTAGAGTTGCAGGAATTCCTGCAGGTAGGCCTTGCCCAATGAGGAGGGATGGATCCAGGTGCCACCTAAAGAAGCAGTCTGGCCAAGATCTTCTACAGCCGCTGTGCTGTGCTGTGGGGGAATATCACCCAGTCCAAACCTCCCAGCTTCTCTAGCACTGGCAGTGGAAAACTGCCAACTAGAGCCACAGTAATGGTGGTCGCCCCTCCCCCCAGGAACTTGGTCATCTTCCGCAGACTCCAGGCTGTTGTGCTGTCCAGCAGGGATTCCAAGCCAGTGGGTCTTAGCTTGTGGGATTCTGTGGTTGTGGGACCTACTGAGCAAGGCTACTTGGCTCTCTGACTTCAGCCCCCTTTCCATGGGAGTGGACGGCTCTTCTGCCACCCTGGAGTTCTGGGAGCCACCAGAGTATGTAAAAACTCCTGCAGCTCAGTGCCTGCCCCAACTGCTACTGACTGGTGCAGCTGCCGTAGGTCTGCCCAGTTTTGTGTTTGGGACCCAAGGCCCTGGTGGTATAAGCACACAAAGGAATCTTCTGATCTGCAGATTGCAGAAATCCGTGGGAAAAGTGTAGAACCCTGAGCAGGTAGCACAGTCCCTCACCACCTCCCTTGGCTGAGGGAGGGAGGTCCCTTTGCACCATGCAGCTCCCAGGTGAACTGTCACCCCACCCTGCATTTCTTTGTTCTCCATGGATGATGCCATCCACCTAGTCAGTCCCAATGACCCAGAGAAAATCTGTGTACCTCAGTTGGAAATGCAGAAATCACTTGCCTTTTGCATTCGTCTCAGTGGGAGCTGCTGACCAGAGCTGTTTATACTCAGCCATCTTGGGCCCTTCTCCAGTTCATAATTTTATGTCTTCTATTGTACAGCTTTACTTATTTTGTCTCTGTTTTTTGTTATTGAAAGAGTGTTGCTGAAATCTTTGACTGTAAGTATGCATATCCCTATTTACAATTGTGGATATGCCTATCTCATTGAAGTTCTATCACAGTATTTTTGTTATTATTATTGTTTATTAATATACTGCAGGGTTCACCTTGACAATTTTTCATTATTGTTTATGATTGAACAATAATTTTCTCATTATTGTTTTGTTATGTTGAACTCATTAAATCAGTTTGGATAGCTTTTGTTCTTTTTCTAGTCTCAGGAACTGTTTATATAAGATAGAGATCGTCTGTACCTTAAAGACACCTTAAAACTTATCTCTGAAACATTTGTACCCAATGCCTTTTAGGGTGGCACATATATCATATACTCTTTACAGATTAAAATAAGCTTTTCATACTCATTATCTGCACCGCAGCTTATTCACACAGTTTGTTGTACCTGGAGAAGCTACCTTTCTTTTTTTTTTTTTTTAATCTAACTTTTTTTTTTTTTTTATTATACTTTAAGTTTTAGGGTACATGTGCACATTGTGCAGGTTAGTTACATATGTATACATGTGCCATGTTGGTGCGCTGCACCCACTAACTCGTCATCTAGCATTAGGTATATCTCCCAATGCTACCCCTCCCCCCTCCCCCCACCCCACCACAGTCCCCAGAGTGTGATATTCCCCTTCCTGTGACCATGTGATCTCATTGTTCAATTCCCACCTATGAGTGAGAATATGCGGTGTTTGGTTTTTTGTTCTTGCGATAGTTTACTGAGAATGATGGTTTCCAATTTCATCCATGTCCCTACAAAGGACATGAACTCATCATTTTTTATGGCTGCATAGTATTCCATGGTGTATATGTGCCACATTTTCTTAATCCAGTCTATCATTGTTGGACATTTGGGTTGGTTCCAAGTCTTTGCTATTGTGAATAATGCCGCAATAAACATACGTGTGCATGTGTCTTTATAGCAGCATGATTTACAAGAAAAAAACAAACAACCCCATCAAAAAGTGGGCGAAGGACATGAACAGACACTTCTCAAAAGAAGACATTTATGCAGCCAAAAAATACATGAAAAAATGCTCATCATCACTGGCCATCAGAGAAATGCAAATCAAAACCACTATGAGATACCATCTCACACCAGTTAGAATGGCAATCATTAAAAAGTCAGGAAACAACAGGTGCTGGAGAGGATGTGGAGAAATAGGAACACTTTTACACTGTTGGTGGGACTGTAAACTAGTTCAACCATTGTGGAAGTCAGTGTGGCGATTCCTCAGGGATCTAGAACTGGAAATACCATTTGACCCAGCCATCCCATTACTGGGTATATACCCAAATGAGAAGCTACCTTTCTTACTTTGTCCCTTCCCTCCAGTTATCCCTCCCCCGCTATAATGTCTGTCAAAAGCCTGTCGATCCTTCAAATATTTTCTACAAGGCCATCCACCCCCTACATGGTGACACTCCTGATCCCTCTCACCAACTCCATGAACTTTCACCTTCTTTTGAGCCCACTTCCTAATCTAATGTGTTTATACCTTCACTCCAGCGGTTAACTTGTACTGTTTGATTGGACAGCCATTCAGATAATCTTCATATTCTGCCATTAACATTCCTGATCCTTCCTTCTCTGTGTATCTTTGTTTATCCTTGGCCCAGGTATTCAATGCTGGTTCAGGTTAGTGGAAACACCTTGCTTCAGAATCAAGTAAATACTTCCTTTGAGATGGGACTGTACACTAGAAAGTTTGTCTTAGAAAGAGATGGTAAGCTTAGAACATACTGTTTTTAATGTGTTTATGACCTTAGCGGCATATATTTTTAATTTTTAAGTCATTTACTAATGGAATTGGATAATGTAGTATTGCACTGTTGTTTTGATATTAGTAAAGAGGTTAAACATATTTTCAGATGTTTATTACCTAGTTGTATTTTCTTTCTTGTGAGTGGATATTTTTAGGTTTTCCCCATTTGCCTTTAGAGGTCCTTGGTTTAGAGGTTTTCAGAGGTTCAAGAAATCCTTATAAATTTCTGTGCACACACAAACCTATGAACAGTCCAGCAATTTTGAAAGGAAAGTAATTTGGAGGTTGGGCAGGAATCTAAAATTTTTTTTATCAACCTATGGTTATTAAAACAGTAGAACTGACTCAGGAAAAGATAAATGGGACACAGAGAGCCCATATATAGGCATTTATACTAAGACGACAGTTCAGATTCATGGAAAAAAGTGAAATATTCAGTCTGCTGTGGGTCCTCAAGACCATCCACATGTTCAATGATTTGCTAGCAGGACACACAGGACTTGGCATATAGTTGTACTCACAGCTGTGATTTATTACAGTGAAAGGATACAAAACCAAACCAGCAAAGGGGGAAAAAGCATGGAGCAAAATCTAGAAGAAAATAGGCTCAAGCTTCCAAGAGTCCTCTTGCTGTGTGTGGTCACACAGGATATGCTTAATTCCTCCAACAATTAATTGTGACAACATGTGTGAAATGTTTTGTCTACCAAAGACAACATTAGAGACTCAATGCCCAAGATTTTTACTGGGGGCTTTTCATGTATCTGCCCTTTGCCTAGCACAGGCCAAAATTCCAGAATCCAAGAAGGAAAGAAAGTATTTTGCATGAACCACATTGTTTGCACAAAAAGTTTATGTACAGTGAGCCATTCTTATCAGCTCTAGGAATGGTGGGAATTCTCCCTTAGTCCAAGTTCCCAGACTCCAGGGCCGTCCTGGCAAGCAGGAGTTTCTAAGGAGAGCAATCTCAGGCCTGCTATGTTAACGTTTTTTTTTTTTTTTTTTTGCATATTTAGTGAACGGTGTTGGAATAATTAGCTAGTTATTTGGGAAAACAAGTTAAATTCCAATACACATGAACAAATCCCAGGAAGATTAAATGTCTTAATGAGTGTTTTAAATGGAGTGGAAGGAGAAATAAATACTCATTTACCTAGAATGAATTTTGGCTGGTAAATGAAAAATGGAAGAGGAAAATAGAAATGGATTTTTTTCTACATAATACCAGTATCATTTATTCAATAATACGCCCCTACTCCAACAATTTCTCATGTCTCTTTTGAAATTGATGATGTCATTTTCACATGTGTTTCTGAGGTAACTGTTCTCTGGTGTTAGAAACATACCAGTTCACTTACTGCAGTTTATAATAAGCATTGTGTCTTATCTGAGATGTTATATACATAACTCACATACATAGTTGGGCTCTCTAGTTAATTTCATCTCCAATTAATTTTATTTTCATATTCCATCAATTAGATTGATTAGTGGTGAGGGACACTAATATTCTTCTATAACTCCCTTGAAACTTTCTTGGAGTTTCAAAATGGAAAAGGCTGTTGATCAGGCCAAAGGATGTGTCTCTGTGTTGCCAGGTCTACTGGATGTCCTCAAGAAGCCATCCATAATAACACTTAGTACCTTGATGGCATTAAAAGAAGTACACAATATCTGGCCCTAGACCATACCAGCTCAGAAGCTCAATAACCTCATAACAGAAAAATAGATCCATCTGTGTGGGAAAAGCTCATGTTTAGCAAGTTCACAAGATTTACAGGATTCAAAATATCAGTTTATTAAATTATAAGGAGAAATAGTAACAGCATAGGAACTAGAATACTAGCATTTAGTGGATTCACTCACTTTATACAGACCTAGAGAAAAATAAAATTAAAATCACAAGACCAAGTAATTAATTTTGATTGAGAAGTAAATTTTTTAATTTAATTTTAAGTTCCAGGATACATGTACAGAATGTGAAGGTTTTTTATATAGGTAAATGTGTGCCATGGTGGTTTGCTGCACCTATCAACTCATCACCTAGTTATTAAACCTGGCATGCAATAGCTCTTCTCCCTAATGCTCTTGCCTCCCCTGCCCTCCCCCTTCCTCCCCCGACAGGCTCCAGTGTATGTTGTTCCCTTCCCTCTGTCCATGTGTTCTCATTGTTCAGCTCCCACTAATAAGTGAGAACATGCAGTGTTGGGTTTTCTTTTCCTGCATTAGTTTGCTGAAGATAATGACTTCCAGCTCCATCCATGTCCCTGAAAGGACATGATCTCATTCCTTTTTATGGCTGCATAGTATTCTATGGTATATATGGTACCACATTTTCTTTATCCAATCTATCATTGATGGGCATTTGGGTTGATTCCACATCTTTGCTATTGTGGATAGTGCTGCAATGAACATACATGTGCATGTATCTTTATAATAGAATGATTTATATTCCTTTGGGTATATACCCAGTAATGGGATTGCTGAGTCAAATGGTATTTCTGGTTCTAGGTCTTTGAGGAATTGCCACACTGTCTTTCACAATGGTTGAACTAATTTGCATTCCCACCAACAGTGTAAAAGTGTTCCTGTTTCTCCACAGCCTCATCAGCATCTGTTGTTTCTTGACTCTTTAATAATTGCCATTCTGATTGGTGTGAGATGGTATCTTAATGTAGTTTTGATTTGCATTTCTGTAATGATCAGTGATGTGGAGCTTTTTTTCATGGTTGTTGGCTGTATAAATGTCTTCTTTTGAGAAGTGTGTGTTCATGTCCTTTGCCCACTTTTTAATGGGGTTGTTTGGGGTTTTTTGCTAAATTTGTTTAAGTTCCTTGTAGATTCTGAATATTAGACTTTTTTCAGATGAATAGATTTCAAAAATTTTCTCCCAACCTGTACGTTGTCTGTTCACTCTGATTATAGTTTCTTTTGCTGTGCAGAAGCTCTTTAGTTTAATTAGATCCCATTTGTCAATTTTTGCTTTTGTTGCAATTGCTTTTGACATTTTTGTTGTGAAATCTTTGCCCGTCCCTACATTTTGAGTGGTATTGCCCAGATTTTCTTCTGGGTTTTTATGGTTTGGGGTTTTACATTTAAGTGTTTAATCCATCTTGAGTTAATTTTTGTATATGATGTAAGGAAGGGGTCTAATTACAGTTTTCTGCATATGACTAGACAGTTTTTACAGCACCATTTATTAAATAAGCAATCCTTTCCCTGTTGCTTTTGTCAGATTTGTTGAAAATCAGATGGTTGTAGATGTGCAGTCTGATTTCTGAGATCTCTATTCTGTTCCATTGGTCTATGAGTCTGTAGTCTATGTAGCCTTGTAGTATAGTTTGAAGTAGTGTGATGCCTCCAACTTTTTTCTTTTTGCTTAGGATTGTCTTGGCTATACTGGCTCTTTTTGGTTCCATATGAATTCTAATGTAGTTTTTTCTAATTCTGTGAAGAATATCAATGGTAGTTTAATAGGAATAGCATTGAATCTATAAATTGCTTTGGGCAGTGTGGCCATTTTCACGATATTAATTCTTCCTATCCATGAGCATGGAATGTTTTTCTATTTATTTGTGTCCTCTCTGACTTTTTTGAGCAGTGGTTTCTAGTTCTCCTTGAAGAGGTCCTTCATTTCCCTTGTTAGCTGTATTCCTAGGTATTTTATTCTCTTTGTAGCCATTGTGAATGGGAGTTTTTTCATGATTTGGCTTTCTGCTTGTCTGTTGTTGGTGTATAGTAATGCTTGTGATTTTTGCACATTGATTTTGTATCCTGACTTTGCTGAAGTTGCTTATCAGCTTAAGAAGATCTTGGGCTGAGGTGATGGGGTTTTCTAGATATAGGATCATGTCATCTGCAAAAAGAGACAATTTGACTTCCTCTCCTCCTATTTGAATACCCTTTATTTTTTTCTCTTGACCAATTACCCTGGCCAGAACTTCTAATACTATGTTAAATAGAAGGGGAGAGGCCAGGCACGGTGGCTCATGCCTGTACTCCCAGCACTTTGGGAGGCCGAGGCAGGCAGATTACGAGGTCAGGAGATCGAGACCATCCTGTCTAACATGGTAAAACCCCATCTCTACTAAAATACAAAAAATTAGCCAGGTGCGGTGGCAGGTGCCTGTAGTCCCAGCTACTCGGGAGGCTGAGGCAGGAAAATGGCGTGAACCCGGGAGGCGGAAGTTGCAGTGAGCCGAGATCGCACTACTGCACTCCAGCCTGGGTGACAGAGCGAGACTCCGTCTCAAAAAAAAAAAAAAAAAAATAGAAGGGGAGAGAGAGTGTGTTTTTATCTTGTGCTGGTTTTCAAGGGAAATGCTCCCAGCTTTTGCCCATTCAGTATGATATTGGCTATGAGTTTGTCATAAATGGCTCTTCTTTCTTTTCTTTTTCTTTCTTTTTTTGAGATGGAGTCTTGCTCTGTCACCCAGGCTGGAGTGCAGTGGCACAATCTCGGCTCACTGCAACCTCTGCCTCCTGGGTTCAAGTGATTCTCATGCCTCAGCCTCCCGAGTAGCTGGGACTACAGGCACCTGCCACCATGCCAGGCCAATTTTTGTATTTTTAGTAGGGATGGAATTTCGCCATGTTGGCCAGGCTGGTTTCGAACTCCTGACCTCAGGTGATCTGCCCGCCTCAGCCTCCCAATGTGCTGGGATTACAGTCATGAGCAACCACCCCTGGCCATAAATGGCTCTTATTATTTTGAGGTATGTTCCTTCAATACCTAGTTTGTTGAGAGTTTTTAACTCGAAGAGATGTTGAATTTTATCGGAGGCCTTTTCTGCATCTGTTGAGATAATCTTGTGGTTTTTGTCATTGGTTCTGTTTATGTGATAAAATACGTTAATTTGATTTCATATGCTGAACCAGACTTGAATCCCAGAGATGAAGCCAACTTGATCGTGGTGGATAAGCTTTTCAATATGCTACTAGATTCTGTTTGCCAGTATTTTACTGAGGATTTTTGCATTGATGTTCATAAGGGATATTGGCTTGAAGTTTTTTTGTTTTTGTTGTATCTCTGCCAGGTTTTGGGTATCAGGATGATGCTGGCCTCATAAAGTGGGTTAGGGAGGAGTCCCTTCTTTTCAGTTGTTTGGAATAGTTTCAGAAGAAGTGGTCCCAGCTCCTCTTTGTACCTCTGGGTGAATTCAGTTGTAAATTTGTCTGGTCCTGGGCTTTTTTTGGTTAGTAGGCTATTTATTCCTGCCTCAATTTCAGAACTTGTTATTGGTCTATTCAGGGATTCAACTTCTTCCTGGTTCAGTCTTGAGGGTCTATGTGTCCAGGAATTTATCCATTTCTTCTAGATTTTCTAGTTCATTTGCATAGCGGTGTTTATAGTATTCTCTGGTAGTTTTTTGTATTTCTGTGGGGTCATTGGTGATATCCTCTATCATTTTTTATTGTGTCTATTTGATTATTCTGTCTTTTCTTCTTTATTAGTCTAGCTAGTGGCCTATTTATTTATTTATTTATTTATTTATTTATTTATTTATTTTATTTCAGAAAACCAGCTCCTGGATTCATGGACTTTTTGAAGGGTTTTTCATGTCTGTATCTCCTTCAGTTCAACTCTGATCTTGGTTATTTCTTGTCTTCTGCCAGCTCTGGGGTTTGTTTGCTCTTGGTTCTCTAGTTCTTTTAGTTGTGTTGTTAGGGTGTTAATTTGAGATCTTTGTAGCTTTTTGATGTGCACATTTAGTGCTACAAATTTCCCTTTTAACACTGCTTTTGCTGCGTCCCGGAGATTCTGGTACTTTGTATTTTTGTTCTCATTAGTTTCAAAGAACTTCTTGATTTCTGCCTTAATTTCATTATTTACCCAGGAGTCATTCAGGAGCAGGTTGTTCAGTTTCCATGTAGTTGTGTGGTTTTGAGTGAGTTTCTTAATCTCGAGTTCTAATTTGATTGTACTGTGGTCTGAGAGACTGTTATGATTTCAGTTCTTTTGCATTTGCTGGGGAGTGTTTTACTTCCAATTATGTGATCGACTTTAGAGTAAGTGCTACATGGCACCAAGAAAAATGTATATTCTGTTGTTTTTGGATGGAGTGCTCTGTAGATATGTGTCAGGTCCACTTGGTCCAGAGCTGAATTCAAGTCCTGAATATCCTTGTTAGTTTTCTGTCTTGACAATCTGTCTAATATTGACAGTGGGGTGTTAAAGTCTTCCACTATTATTGTGTGGGGGTCTAAGTCTCTTTGTAGATCTCTAAGAACTTCTTTTTATGAATCTGAGTGCTCCTGTATTCGGTGCATATATATTTAGGGTAGTTAGATCTCCTCGTTGAATTGAACTTTTACCATTGTGTAATGCCCTTCTTTGTCTTTTTTGATCTTTGTTGGTTTAAAGTCTGTTTTGTCAGAAGCTAGGATTGCAACCCTGCTTTCTTTCTGCTTTCATGAGCCTATGTGTGTCTTTGCATGTGAGATGGGTCTTTTGAATACAGTACACTGATGGGTCTTGACTCTTATCCACCTTGCCATTCTGTGTCTTTTAATTAAAAATACAGAATGCTTCATGAATTTGCATGTCATCTTTGCACAGGGGCCATGCTAATCTTCTCTATATCGTTCCAATTTTAGTATATGTGCTGCCAAAGTGAGCACAATCTTTTTTCATATTAATTTAAATGTGTAAAATGTAGTTATAAAGTTGGAGCATATGATCAAGCCTGAATGATCCTACTCAAAGTGCTAATCTGAAGTTTAAAAAAAAAAAAGGAATCTATGCCAGAATTTATTTAAATTGACAACAAATTACACATTATTTCATAGCAGGTTTTTTTTTTTATGAAAGTAGCAGTGAGCACATTGACATTATGATGCCAGCTTCTTATGTCTTTGTGGAATGGTAACAAGCAGTTTGCCACAGGTGACTGAACTGGTTTATTAATTCTAGTAAGTTTCTTGTGGATCTTGGGATTTTCTATGTATAGCATCACATCATTAATGACGAGAGAGAGTTTCACTTTTTCCTTTCCAATTTATATGCCCTTTATTCTTTTGTCTTGCCTAATTATCTGGCTAGACTTCCAGTACCATGTTGAATTGATGCAGTAAAAGTGGGCATCCTTGTCTTGTTTTTGATTATAGGAGAAAGTCTTTCATCCTTAAGTATGATGCTAGCTATAAGTTTTTTGTAAATGCCTTTTATCATGTGAAGGAAGTTCTCTTTTATTCCTGGTTTGGTGAGTGTTTTTATCATGGTAGGGAATTGGAATTTGTCAAAGGCCTTTTCTGTATCAATTTGTAAGAACGTGATGTTTTTCCTTCATTCTCTTAATGTGATGTATTATGTTGATTTTCATATATTGAACTAAATATGTATTCCTGGAATAAATTCCACTTGGTCATGGAGTATAATATTTTAATATGCTGTGAGATTCAGTTTGATAGTTGTTGATATTTTTGAGAATTTTTACATCTATATTCATAAGTGATATTGATCTATAGTTTTCTTGTGATATTTTTGTCTGGCTGTGATCTCAGTTTAAGGGTGTCTTCATAGAATGAGTTAGGAAATGTTGCAATCCTCTTCTAGTTTTTGGAATACTTCAAGATGTGTTTGTGTTAATTTTTTTTTTTTTTTTTTGAGACAGTCTCGCTCTGTCACCCAGGCTGGAGCACAGTGGTGCAATCTCAGCTCATTGCAACCTCCACCTCCCGGGTTCAAGCTATTCTCCTGCCTCAGCCTCCCAAGTAGCTGGGATTACAGGCATGCACCACCATGCCTGGCTAATTTTTGTATCTTTAGTAGAGATGGGGTTTCACCATGTTGGCCAGGCTGGTCTAGAACTCCTGACCTCAGGTGATCCTGCTCACCTCAGCCTCCCAAAGTGATGGAATTATAGGCGTGAGCCACTGCACCCAGCTTTATGTTAATTACTTTTAAATGTTTGGTACAATTCACCACTGAAGCCATTTGATCCTGGACTTTTCTTTGCTAGGAGGTTTTTGGTTACTGATTCATTCTCTTTACCTATATCTCATCAGATTTTGTACTTCTTGAGTCATTTGGGCAGTTTTTGTGTTTCTAGGAAGTTGTCCATTTTATCTAGGTTATCTAATTTGCAGTAGACAATTGTCCATAGTATGTTTTATACCACTTCATATTTCTGTAAGGTCGCTAGTAATGTCCCCACATTTTATTTCATTTTAAAACTATTTAATTGATATATGATTGATATATAAAAAAGCTCTATACATTTAATGTTAATGATAAGGGCATAAATATATCTATCACTTTCCAAAGAGTCCTCCCATCCCCTTTATTATCATTGTGTGTCTGTGTGTGTGTGTTTGTGTGTGTGTTAAGAACAATTAACATATCTACTGTCTTAGCAAAGTTTAGGTATATAATACATTATTGTTACCTATCGATATTATGCTGTATATTAGTGCATTTGATAGGAAAAAAAAACACAAGATGTTCTTCCTTCTCTCAAATGCTCCATTCAACACAACACAGAACACTTTTTGTGGCCAAAATGTGTGGCTTTTTTCCCTAAACACCAAACTTTTCTGCAACAGACACCAACAGGGTGTCCTATAATTCAATTTGATTATGACACTCTCTACCTGGAATTAGAGTCAAATCCTACAGGTTAAGGGCTCAGTCCCACAAGATGGCCCCCCACTTCTAATGCCAGTTGAAAGCTCCAGATTGTTTTACACATGCTTCTGACCTACCAGCTAATAATCAGGGTTTTTCTAGACCCCTTCCTCAGGTACAATTAATTTGTTAGCATGACTCACAGAATTTAAGAAAACACTTACATTTACTGGTTTATTATATTAATAAAGGATATGACGAAGGGTATAGTTGAACATTGAGATGAAGACATACATAGGGTGTGGACTGGAAGGTTCCTGAGTGAAGGAGCTTCTGTCCCCTTGTAGTTGGGGTGTGCCACCTTCCAGTAGTCTCTCCTGATCCATTGCATTTATGTGCTATCAGCTGTAATGTCTCTTCCTTCGTTTCTGATTTTTTCGAGTCTACTCTCTTTTTTTCTAGTCTAGCTAAAGGTTTGTCAATTTGGTTTATCTTTTTGAGAAACCAACTCTTAGTTATCTGGTCATTTCGATTGTTTTTCTAGTCTCTATTTCATTTATTTCTGCTGTTATATTGATTATTTTCTTTTTTTCTAATCACTTTAGGCTTGATTTTTTCTTCTTTTTCTCTGTGAGTTATAAAGTTAGGTTGTTTATTTCAAATCTTTTGTTTTTCTTAATGTTGGCATTTATTGCTATAGACTTCTCTGTTATAATGGCTTTTGATGTATACTATAAGTTTGGTATATGATATTTTCATTTTTGTTTCTCTCAAGATAATTTTCATTTCCTTTTTTATTTAATCTTTGATTTATTGGTTTTTCAGGGGAATGCTGTTTAACTTCCATGTATTTGTGACTTTTCCAAGATTCCTCCTGTTGTTGATTTCTAGTTTTATATTGCTGATATAAGTATTATTATTGATTCTAGCTGATAACAAGTTTAATCACAGACAATAACTACACTTTTACTTCTCCACTGCCACATTTTAAGTTATTGATGTCACAATTTACATCATTCTGTATTGTGTGTTCATTAAAAAATTATTATGGCTAGAGTTATTTTTAATGCTTTTGTCTTTTAACTTTATACTAGAGTTGAAAGTGATTTATATAACATCATTACATTATTAGACTATTCTGAATTCAACTATATACTTATTTTTACTGGTGAGTTTTATACTTTCATATGTTTTAATGTTGTTAATTATCATCCTTTTGTTTCTAAACTTGAAGAACTCCCTTTAGCATTTGGTAAGGAAGGCCTATTGGTGATAAACTCCCTCAGCTTTTATTTGTCTGGGAACATTTTTATTTATTTATTTATTTATTTTCATTTCTGAAGGACAACTTGCTGGACAAAGCATTCTTAGTTGGTAGTGTTTTTTTTTTCTTTCAGCCCTTTGAATGTATTATCCCACTCTCTCCTGGTCTGCAAGGTTTCTTCTAAGAAATCCCTTGTAATGTTATGGGGATTCCCTTTATGTGGTGAGTTGCTTTTCTCTTGCTGCTTACAAAATTCTCCTTGTCATTGACTTTTCGCAATTTGATCATAATGTGTCTCGGTGAATACCTTTTTATGTTCAATCTGTTTTGAGTTCTTTGGGCTTCAAAGATCTGGATATTAATTTCTCTCTCTAGATTTGGGAAGTTTTCTGTCATCATTTATTTAAATATGCTTTCTCTCCCTTTCTTTTTTTCTGCTCCTTGGCCTTTCATAATGCATCTATTGGTTCACTTGGTGGTCTTCCATAGTCCTGTAAGCATTCTTCACCCATTTCCATTCTTTTTTCTTTTCATTCTGTATACTGGATAATTTTAAACAATCTGTCTTTAAGTTTACTGACTTTTTTCCTGCATGATTAAGCATGTTGTTGAGCTATCTGTTGAATTGTTCAGTTCAGTTATTGTTCAGCTCCAGAATTTGTTTGGTTCTTTTGTATAGTTTCTATCTCTTTGTTAAATTTCTCATTCTGTTCATGTGTTTTTAAAATTTCATTTATTTATTTATCTGTGTTATGTTGTAGCTCACTGAGCTTTTCTAAGACAATTATTATAATTCTTATCAAGAAGTTCATTGATTTTCATTTCTTTGGCATCAGCCATTGGAGCTTTATTTTGTTCCTTTGGTGTCTCATGTGTCCTTGATTCTTCATTTCCCTTGAAGCCTTGTGTCTCTGTCTTCACATTTGAAGAAACAGTAACCTCCTCGAGGTAAAGATCTTCACAAGTGAGTCTGACTCAAGATTTTGGGGGATCTCTCAGATATTTTGTATGGATATATCTGCTCCAATCTTCTGAAGTCTTGGGATTGTGTACCTTCTCTTGATTTCACAATGCCATGCCAGCTGCTGAAAGCCTCCTAATTATTTTCTCTATGGCAGTGCAATCTTGAAGTGTCAAGATTGAGCATTTTCTCCAAATCTAGCAGAGTTGCAGTGGCTGGTCATATCTGTGTGCTGTCTATTGAGGCTCATGCACACTATCTGTGGGTGAATGCAGGGTCTCAGCTCTTGGGGAAGGAGCATGTGGACTAATGAGGGTGTATGTCAGCTAGTTGGAAGGTCCACAGGTGAAACATCCTATGAGGTTCATGAGTGGAACTTTTGGTGGAATACACAAGCCAGTTCATAGGATCCGTCAGTTTCTGAGGAGGTCTCTTTTGGCCCTGAGCTCTGCCACCTTGGGCAGGTGGGTGGTGGGGGGTGACATGGGTATATGAAATTGTTCTACTTACCCTCTTCAATACATCTATTCCTAGGTTGTTTTTTTGTTTTTTTGTTTTTTTCTACAGCAGGGAGCTCGAAACTTTCAGCTGGATTCCTGGGCTCCCCTAAATGTTTTCTCATCTGTCTCAGTCCATTTTATGTAGTGACAAAGAAATGCTTGAGGCTGAGTTATTTATAAAGGAAAGAGGTTTATTTGGCTCATGGTTCTGCAGGCTGTACGAAAAGCACAGCACCAGCATTTACTTCTGGTGATGGCCTCAGGCTGCTTCTACTCATGGCAGATGGTGAAGGGGAGTCAGGGTGTATAAAGATCACATGGTGAGAGAGAAAGTAAGAGAGAAAGGGAGGTGCCAGGCTCTTTTTAACAACCAGCTCTCCTGGGATCTAGTAGAACAGGAACTCACTCACCCCCTCCCTGAGGGAGGGTATTAATCTTTTCATGAAAGATCTACTCCCATAACCAAAACACTTCCCATTAGGCTCCACCTCCAAGATTAGGCATCAAATTTCAACATGAGCTTTTTAGGAACAAACATCCAAACTATAAAGTTGTTTGTTAAGATCAATGTATCTGTGGAGATACGGGGGCTGGATCCTCCTATTCTGCAATTGTGCATTGTGCTGATGTGTTCTCTACTTCCAAATTTCCGTAAATTGAGTCTCTCTCTCTGTATTTTTTTTGACAGTCTTGCTAGAGATTTGACAATTTTCATATCTTTTGGAGGGAGCAACTTCTGGTTTCATTCAAACTCTCTATTTCTTTTCTATTCTCTATTGATTTTATCTCTGCTCCCATATTTACCCTACAGATCTGCAAAATACCAGAACTCATTATTTCTATCCAGCTATAATTCCGTATCCAGAATTTTTATGTAGTGCTCTTTTACAACTTCTATCTCTATTGATATCCTCACTTTGTTGAGATAATAGTTCTCCAGGCTTCCTTTAGTTCTTTGTTCATTGTTTCCCTTAGCTCTTTGAGCATATTTAAGACAGTTTATTTAAAGCATAAAGTCTGCATTTAATGTGGCAAATATCTAGGCTTACTCAGGGTCTATAGCTATTAATTTTTTTTCTTTCTGTGAATGAACCATACTTTCTTACTTTGTTTGTGCCTCTTTTTTGTTGAAAACTGGACATTTATATTATTATAATGTGGTAACCTTATAAATCAGGTTATCTCTCCTCCTTGGGGTTTTTTGTTGCTATTTGTTGTAGGTTGTGATTTTTTGTTTGTTTGGTGATTTTTCTGATCTATTTTTAAAGACTATATTCTTTGTCATTTTTGGTCCCTGAAATCTCTGTTCTGTTATCTCAGTGGTCACTTAGTAATTAAACATGTTTTTAAAAATATCTAAAGTTAAAAAAATGTTTTTAGTTATCCTACAATCTTTGTAGATTGGCTCTGTGTTGGTGCACTCTTTTGGTGCTTAGCTTGGCCATTTACATCTCTGCATAGACCTTCACTTCCTCCTTGCTAGAGCCTAAAGTAAAGGTCAGTAAGAAGTGAAATCGTCAGGTTTTCTCCAGTGTTTTCTGAGCATGTATCTCTCCCATAGCTTTCTGTTTCCCTTCTATATACAGGGGCTTTTAAAAGCCCTTACTCCCCACATATCTCCTTCAGTAGCATTTTCCCCAAGGATTTTTGGTCTGTCTATGGCTTGTTCTATTATTTCTTGTCCTAGGAGGCTGCAGCCTGCATGTTTGCCTTTAAATGCTTTCAACAAAAGTTAAAAGGCTGGCAAAACAAACAAACAAACAAAACAAACAAACAAAAAACCACAATTCTGAGCTAACCCCTCTGGGAGCTTTCAGACAGATCAAAACACAAAACCACATTTATGTGAGAACAGCGTCCAAATTGCCTCTCTGGCTCCTAGCAAGCCACAACAGGAAAACAAGCAGCTGCCCCTATGGCAGCCTACCAGCTAGGTAGTGTAGGATGGTAGACAATAAGTTAAAATGCCATAATGCTCTCTCACTGAAATTTGGTGCCTTTTAAAAATTAAGTGTTCCCTTTCTTGTTGTAATTCCTAAATTATAATTTGTCTTCCAAAATATTTTATTCTGACCATTTTTTCTTTAATGGATGAATGCAGTTTTGGAGTTTCTTCCTCTACCATTTTCAATGATCTCACTCACTTGAGAAATTTTAAACCTAAGCCTACCAACACACAGAGATGAAATTCTATTTCACATTAATTGACTGGTCAAATGAATACTACATAGATAATTTTGAGGTCGCAAACAAGTAGTGAGCCTAGGTACATTAGTGAAACAAGCAAATCCCTGGAATTACCTACCTTCACCTTAGGACATAAAGAAATCCTACAATTGAAATTTAAAGGAAAATAAGTACCTCATAGTTAAAAATCACAAAACACACTAATTTTTTTTCTTCCTTGTTTTAAATTATACTTTAAGTTTTAGGGTACATGTGCACAACGTGCAGGTTAGTTAAATATGTATACATGTGCCATGTTGGTGTGCTGCACCCATTAACTCGTCATTTAACATTAGGTATATCTCCTAATGCTATCCCTCCCCCCTCCCCCACCCCACAACAGGCCCCGGTGTGTGATGTTCCCCTTCCTGTGTCCATGTGTTCTCATTGTTCAGTACCCACTGACGAGCGAGAACATGTGGTGTTTGGTTTTTTGTCCTTGCGATAGTTTGCTGAGAATGATGGTTTCCACCTTCATCCATGTCCCTACAAAGGACATGAACTCATCCTTTTTTATGGCTGCATAGTATTCCATGGTGTATATGTGCCACATTTTCTTAATCCAGTCTATCATTGTTGGACATTTGGGTTGGTTCCAAGTCTTTGCTATTGTGAATAGTGCCGCAGTAAACATACATGTGCATGTGTCTTTATAGCAGCATGATTTATAATCCTTTGAGTATATATCCAGTAATGGGATGGCTGGGTGAAATGGTATTTCTAGTTCTAGATCCCTGAGGAATCGCCACACTGACTTCCACAATGGTTGAACTAGTTTACAGTCCCACCAACAGTGTAAAAGTGTTCCTATTTCTCCACATCCTCTCCAGCACCTGTTTTTTCCTGACTTTTTAATGATTGCCATTCTAACTGGTGTGAGATGGTATCTCATTGTGGTTTTGATTTGCATATCTCTGATGGCCAGTGATGATGAGCATTTTTCATGTGTCTTTTGGCTGCATAAATGTCTTCTTTTCAGAAGTGTCTGTTCATATCCATCACCCACTTTTTGATGGGGTTGTTTTTTTCTTGTAAATTTGTTTGAATTCATTGTAGATTCTGGATATTAGCCCTTTGTCAGATGAGCAGATTGTAAAAATTTTCTCCCATTCTGTAGGTTGCCTGTTCACTCTGATGGTAGTTTCTTTTGCTGTGCAGAAGCTCTTTAGTTTAATTAGATCCCATTTGTCAATTTTGGCTTTTGTTGCCATTGCTTTTGTGTTTTAGACATGAAGTCCTTGCCCATGCCTATGTCCTGAATGGTATTGCCTAGGTTTTCTTCTAGGTTTTTTATGGTTTTAGGTCTAACATTTAAGTCTTTAATCCATCTTGAATTAATTTTTGTATAAGGTGTAAGGAAGGGATCCAGTTTCAGCTTTCTACATGTGGCTAGCCA
This sequence comes from Homo sapiens, assembly GCF_000001405.40. Classification (NCBI taxonomy): domain Eukaryota; kingdom Metazoa; phylum Chordata; class Mammalia; order Primates; family Hominidae; genus Homo; species Homo sapiens. The sequence goes on from NC_000023.11 coordinate 102,687,106, forward strand.
GTTTTCCCAGCACCATTTATTAAATAGGGAATCCTTTCCCCATTGCTTGTTTTTGTCAGGTTTGTCAAAGATCAGATGGTTGTAGATATGTGGCATTATTGCTGAGGGCGCTGTTGTGTTCCATTGGTCTATATCTCTGTTTTGGTACCAGTACCATGCTCTTTTGGTTACTGTAGCCTTGTAGTATAGTTTGAAGTCAGGTAGCGTCATGCCTCCAGCTTTGTTCTTTTGGCTTATGATTGACTTGGCAGTGCGGGCTCTTTTTTGGTTCCATGTGAACTTTAAAGTAGTTTTTTCCAATTGTGTGAAGAAAGTCATTGGTAGCTTGATGGGGATAGCATTGAATGTATAAATTACCTTGGGCAGTATGGCCATTTACACGATACTGATTCTTCCTATCCATGAGCATGGAATGTTCTTCCATTTGTTTGTATCCTCTTTTATTTCATTGAGCAGTGGTTTGTAGTTCTCCTTGAAGAGGTCTTTCACGTCCCTTGTAAGTTGGATTCCTAGGTATTTTATTCTCTTTGAAGCAATTGTGAATGGGAGTTCACTCATGATTTGGCTCTCTGTTTGTCTGTTATTGGTGTATAAGAATGCTTGTGATTTTTGCACATTGATTTTGTATCCTGAGACTTTGCTGAAGTTGCCTATTGGCTTAAGGAGATTTAGGGCTGAGACAATGGCATTTTCTAGATATACAATCATGTCATCTGCAAACAGGGACAATTTGACTTCCTCTCTTCCTAAATGAATACCCTTTATTTCCTTCTCCTGCCTGATTGCCCTGGCCAGAACTTCCAACACTATGTCGAATAGGAGTGGTGAGAGAGGGCATGCCTGTCTTGTGCCAGTTTTCAAAGGCAATGCTTCCAGTTTTTGCCCATTTAGTATGATATTGGCTGTGGGTTTGTCATAGATAGCTCTTATTATTTTGAGATACGTCCCATCAATACCCAATTTATTGAGAGTTTTTAGCAAGAAGGGTTGTTGAATTTAGTCAAAGGCCTTTTCTGCATCTATTGAGATAATCATGTGGTTTTTGTCATTGGTTCTGTTTATATGCTGGATTACATTTATTGACTTGCGTATGTTGAACCAGCCTTGCATCCCAGGGATGAAGCCCACTTGATCATGGTGGATAAGCTTTTTGATGTGCTGCTGGATTCAGTTTCCCATTATTTTATTGAGGATTTTTGCATCGATGTTCATCAGGGATATTGGTCTAGAATTCTCTTTTTTTGTTGTGTCTCTGCCAAGGTTTGGTATCAGGATAATGCTGGCCTCATAAAATGAGTTAGGGAGGATTCCCTATTTTTCTTTCGATTGGAATAGTTTCAGAAGGAATGGTACCAGCTCCTCCTTGTACCTCTGGCAGAATTAGGCTGTGAATCCATCTGGTCCTGGACTTTTTTTGGTTGGTAAGCTATTAATTATTGCCTCAATTTCAGAGCCTGTTATTGGTCTATTCAGAGATTCAACTTCTTCCTGGTTTAGTCTTGGGAGGGTGTATGTGTTGAGGAATTTATCCATTTCCTCTGGATTTTCTAGTTTATTTGCATAGAGGTGTTTATAGTATTCTCTGATGGTAGTTTGTATTTCTGTCAGATCGGTGGTGATATCCCCTTTATCATTTTTTATTGTGTCTATTTGATTCTTCTCTCTTTTCTTCTTTATTAGTCTTGCTAGTGGTGTATCAATTTTGTTGATCTTTTCAAAATCCAGCCCCTGGATTCATTGATTTTTTGAAGGGTTTTTTGTGTCTCTATTTCCTTCAGTTCTGCTCTGAGCTTAGTTATTTCTTGCCTTCTGCTAGCTTTTGAATGTGTTTGCTCTTGCTTCTCTAGTTCCTTTAATTGTGATGTTAGAGTGTCAATTTTAGATCTTTCCTGCTTTCTCTTGTGGGCATGTAGTGCTATAAATTTCCCTCTACACACTGCTTTGAATGTGTCCCAGAGATTCTGGTATGTTGTGTCTTTGTTCTCGTTGATTTCAAAGAACATCTTTATTTCTGCCTTCATTTCGTTATGTACCTAGTAGTCATTCAGGAGCAGGTTGTTCAGTTTCCATGTAGTTGAGCGTTTTTGAGTGAGTTTCTTAATCCTGAGTTCTAGTTTGATTGCACTGTGGTCTGAGAGACAGTTTGTTATAATTTCTATTCTTTTACATTTGCTGAGGAGTGCTTTACTTCCAACTATGTGGTCAATTTTGGAATAGATGTGGTGTGGTGCTGAGAACAATGTATATTCTGTTGATTTGGGGTGGAGAGTTCTGTAGATGTCTATTAGATCCGCTTGGTGCAGAGCTGAGTTCAGTTCCTGGATATCCTTGTGAACTTTCTGTCTCGTTGATCTGTCTAGTGTTGACAGTGGGGTGTTAAAGTCTCCCATTATTATTGTGTGGTGGTCTAAGTCTCTTTGTAGGTCATTCAGGACTTGCTTTATGAATCTGGCTGCTCCTGTATTGGGTGCATATATATTTAGGATAGTTAGCTCTTCTTGTTGAATTGATCCCTTTACCGTTATGTAATGGCCTTCATTGTCTCTTTTGATCTTTGTTGGTTTAAAGTCTGTTTTATCAGAGACTAGGATTGCAACCCCTGCCTTTTTTTGTTTTCCATTTGCTTGGTAGATCTTCCTCCATCCCTTTATTTTGAGCCTATGTGTGTCTCTGCACGTGAGATGGGTTTCCTGAATACAGCACACTGATGGGTCTTGACTCTTTATCCAATTTGCCAGTCTGTGTCTTTTAATTGGAGCATTTAGCCCATTTACATTTAAGGTTAATATTGTTTTGTGTGAATTTGATCCTGTCATTATGATGTTAGCTGGTTATTTTGCTTGTTAGTTGATGCAGTTTCTTCCTAGCCTCGATGGTCTTTACAATTTGGCATGTTTTTGCAGTGGCTGGTACCAGTTGTTCCTTTCCATGTTTAGTGCTTCCTTCAGGAGCTCTTGTAGGGCAGGCCTGGTGGTGACAAAAATCTCTCAGCATTTGCTTGTCTGTAAAGGATTTTATTTCTCCTTCACATATGAAGCTTAGTTTGGCTGGATATGAAATTCTGGGTTGAAAATTCTTTTCTTTAAGAATGTTGAATATTGGCTCCCACTCTCTTCTGGCTTGTAGAGTTTCTGCTGGGAGATCCACTGTTAGTCTGATGGGCTTCCCTTTGTGGTAACCCAACCTTTCTCTCTGGCTGCCCTTAACATTTTTTCCTTCATTTCAACTTTGGTGAATCTGACAATTATGTGTCTTGGAGTTGCTCTTCTCGAGGAGTATCTTTGTGGCATCCTCTGTATTTCCTGAATTTGAATATTGGCCTGCCTTGCTGGATTGGAGAAGTTCTCCTGGATAATATCCTGCAGAGTGTTTTCCAACTTGGTTCCATTCTCCCCGTCAGTTTCAGGCACACCAATCAGACGTAGATTTGGTCTTTTCAAATAGTCCCATATTTCTTGGAGGCTTTGTTGGTTTCTTTTTATTCTTTTTTCTGTAAACTTCTCTTCTCACTTCATTTCATTCATTTGATCTTCCATCACTGATATCCTTTCTTCCTGTTGATCGAATCGGCTACTGAGGCTTGTGCATTCGTCACATAGTTCTCATGCCTTGGTTTTCAGCTCCATCAAGTCCTTTAAGGACTTCTCTGCATTGGTTATTCTAGTTAGCCATTCTTCTAATTTTTTTTCAAGGTTTTTAACTTCTTTGCCATGGGTTCAAACTTCCTCCTTTAGCTCAGAGTAGTTTGATCGTCTGAAGTCTTCTTCTCTCAAGTCGTCAAAGTCATTCTCCGTCCAGCTTTGTTCCATTGCTGGTGATGAGCTGCATTCCTTTGGAGGAGAAGAGGCACTCTGATTTTTAGAGTTTCCAGTTTTTCTGCTCTGTTTTTTCCCCATCTTTGTGGTTTTATCTACCTTTGGTCTTTGATGATGGTGACGTACAGATGGGTTTTTGGTGTGGATGTCCTTTCTGTTTGTTAGTTTTCCTTCTAACAGTCAGGACCCTCAGCTGCAGGTGTGTTGGAGTTTACTGGAGGTCCACTCCAGACCCTGTTTGCCTGCGTATCAGCAGCAGAGGCTGCAGAACAGCGGATATTGGTTAACAGCAAATGTTGGTGCCTGATCATTCCTCTGGAAGTTTTGTCTCAGAGGAGTACCCGGCCATGTGAGGTGTCAGTCTGCCCCTACTGGGGGGTGCCTCCCAGTTAGGCTACTCGGGGGTCAGGGACCCACTTGAGGAGGCAGTCTGTCCGTTCTCAGATCTCCAGCTGCGTGCTGGGAGAACCACTACTCTCTTCAAAGCTGTCAGACAGGGACATTTAAGTCTGCAGTGTTTTCTGCTGCCTTTTGTTTGGTTATGCCCTGCCCCCAGAGGTGGAGTCTACAGAGGCAGGCAGGCCTCCTTGAGCTGCAGTGGGCTCCACCCAGTTCCAGCTTCCAGGCCGCTTTGTTTACCTACTCAAGCCTCAGCAATGGCGGGCGCCCCTCCCCCAGCCTCACCGCTGCTTTGCAGTTTCATCTCAGACTGCTGTGCTAGCAATGAGCAAGGCTCCGTGGGCATGGGACCCTCTGAGCCAGGCGCGGGATATAATCTCCTGGTGTGCCATTTGCTAAGACCATTTGAAAAGCGCAGTATTAGGGTGGGAGTGACCCGATATTCCAGGTGCTGTCTGTCACCCCTTTCTTTGACTAGGAAAGGGAATTCCCTAACCCCTTGCGCTTCCTGGATGAGGCGATGCCTCACCCTGCTTCAGCTCATGCTCGGTGTGCTGCACCCACTGTCCTGCACCCGCTGTCTGACACTCCCTGGTGAGATGCACCCGTTACCTCAGTTGGAAATGCAGAAATCATTCGTCTTCTGCGTCGCTCACGCTGGGAGCTGTAGACTGGAGCTGTTCGTATTTGGCCATCTTGACTCCACACTAGAGTAAATTAAATTATAGGAACAAGTTCCTGAAAAATCAACATTCCCAGGAACCTCATATTTTGGAATTTTTATAACATGTAATATAAAATATTGTAATAGGCTCCTAAGTGAAAATGCATTAAAATTATTAACAAGGTACCCACAAAAATTCCAAATATATTAGAAAAGTAAATATAAATAAACATTTTGCAAAGAAAAATGATATACTAATTGAAATGGGAAACATAAAGAGTATTAAAACCAAATAAAGAGGAGTTTCAGTGGAATTTAGAATTGAAATTTTTTCTGCAGTTAGCATTAAGATACAAAATATTTCAAGTAGAAGGGAAAGAGAGCATGAGGCAGAGGCACCTTTTGAAAAGACAATGGTTGAGGATTTTTAGAACTGTTGAAAGACAGAACCACATATTTAAAAACCCCAGTGAATCTCAAGCAACTTAATAAAAAGATACATACCCTTAACACATCATAGTAAAATTGTGTACAGTAAAGTCATACACAGGATATTAATAGGAGTTAGAGAAAAATAAATTGCCTTCAAAGTAATACCAATTATATACATGCAGCTGATAATCAATAGTAGTAGTAAAAACCAGAAAACAACCAAATTAAGTACTCAATTTAAAAGAAACAAACCTGTCAATCTAGAATCCTACCTCCAGAGAATAAGAGGGGGAAAATGGTTAACATGAATCTAGCCTTGGCAGCTAACTCTTAGGTAACAGGAAATATACAGCAAGGAGTAACAGGTGAAAAAAATTATAAATATTCAATCAGACAAATCCCGAGTGTGGGACATTATGCAAAACAATCCACCTGGTAACTTAAAAAAGTCAATGTCACAAAAAAAGTTGAAGGGAATAACTGTTGTAGATTAGATAAGAGTTAAGAAATATATCAATAACTTCCTAGTCATCCAGGCAGCTAAAAAAAGAAATATATCAATAACTAATAGCTAATAGAATGTGTTATCTGTGATTGGAACATGGTTTTTAAAAGGAGCTATGAGCCACATTTTAGAGCAATTTGAAAAATTTAAATATGGAGTGTATTTCAAATGTAAGGAATTATAGTTAAACTTATTAAGGGGGTTATAATGATATTTAGTTATTTAAGAGACTATTCTTATATTTTGAAGATGCAAAACAAATTATTTAGGGCTTACATATAATTTACTTTGAAGTGTTTAGACAAGATATAAAAATGATGAATAGCAAGATACAGATATAGTTATATATATCTCAAAATAGTAACAAATGAATCCAGGTGGGTATATAGGTGTTATTCTTTCTATTTTATGTATGGTCTAAAATGTTTATAATTTTTAAAAAAATGAATAAAATGAGATTGAAATAAAACCACTTCATGCATGAAGAGCTGCTATTTGAAAGATAAAACCCAGGAATCTTTATCTTCCTACTGAGTAGTAATTATGTGATCAGCACCATGCTAGACACTGGGTTAAATTGATAAAACACACAGACATAATTTGGTAGTGACCATGAAAATTAGAAGGGATCATGGATTTCACTACTGTTTTTTATTGTTTCATTCTTCTTCTAGTGTAGCACTACCTTAAAGAGATCAAAATATGACATCAGACTTTATGTAACTGTTTGTCATGAAGCTACAACAATTAACTTGGTGATGAATTAAAAATAGAACAATGAAACAGACTAGAATACATTAACAGACCAAAATAGATAGAGATATTTAATGTAGGATAGAGATGGCATAACTGTGGGCAAAAGATGGATTGTTCAAAAAATGGTATTTGGAGAGTGATGACAGGGAAAATGGTGGAGTGAGAAGTGTTAGGAATCCGTCTCTCCACGTAGACAACAATTGTACTGCTAGAAACTAGAAACTGTCTGACGTGACTGTTTTGGAAATCTTGATTCTACTTAAACTCTTTCAGCTTCCAAGGGGAAAACTTTGCTGGTAAATTGTAGTTATTATCAGTCCTTTTTAGCCATCAGTGCAATAGGAGCTACTCATACTCCAGCCTCCTTCCAAGCCCCATGTCAATGTAGGGACAGAAACCTGTGTCTCTGGCATGGCTTGTTGGAGCTACACTGCATAATAAGGGTATTGTCCTCCAAATATCAGCGGTTTGTATTCTGTTACAGATAGCTGCTTCTGATTACTGAGGTGCAGGTAAATAAACCTGGCAACTGTTGTTTTACCCCTCACCAGCTCAAGCAGCTTCCAGAGGATTTAAGGGAGCCTCATCATCATTTTTTTTTTTTTTGGACATTCAAAAACAACTGCATATACGGAGTAATTTAGAAAGGCACTGTGTATACCCAAGGAAAGATACGGTCCCAGAAAAGACCTGAGAAGACCTTAAGCTTCCACCCCATGCTGATTTCTGGCATAGAGACATGTTACAACAATTTTTTAAACCGCAGAAAACCTTAGGGAAGGGGATACACAATTTGACTTCCAGAGTTACCACATCATAAGATTCAAATGTGCACTCTTTAACAAAAGGCCACAAGGCATGAAAAGAAACACAAAAGTATAGCCTATTAAAAGAAACAAAATAATAAATAAACAAAAAAACATGCCTGAGGAAGCACAGATGCCAGACTTACTAGACAGAGATGTTAAAACTGTGATCTTAAATATGCTCAAAATGCTAAAGGAAGACATGAATAATGACAGTAAAATGGTGTATGTACAAAATGGCAGTATCAATAAAGATATAGAAATTATGAATAAAGAACGCAAAGGAAATTCTGGAGCTGAAAGGTACAGTAACTCAAAAGACATTCAATTAGTGCAAAAGCTGATTTCAGCAAGCGGAATAAAGATTCAGAGAACTAGAAGATAGAACCTTTTAAATTATTGAGTCTGAGGGACAGAAAGGGAAAAAAATGAAGAAAAGTGAACAGAGCCTAAGGGACCTGTGGGACGTGATCCAGCAGAACAACAGGCCAACTTACACATTATGGGAATATTAGGAAGAGAAGAGAGAGAGAAAGGGGTAGAGAGATCATTCAAAAAATAATAATGGCTAAAAACTTTCCAAATTTGATAAAACACTTGAATGTAAAAATCCAAGAAGCTCAATGAACTAGAAACAGGACAAAACAAAGTGACATATGCTAAAACACATTATAATCAGATTATTGAAAGACAAAGAGTGAATCTTAAAAGCAGAAAGAGAGCAGTGACTGATCATATATAAGTGATTGTCAATAAGACTGTCAGCCAATTTGGTATCAGAAACCTGGAGGCCAGAATGTGTTGGGTTTATATCATCAAAGTGCTTGGGGAAGAGTCAACGGAGAATTCTATGTCCACCAAAAAATATTTTTTAATGGGGATAAATTAAGACATTCTCAGATAAACAAAATCTGAGGGAGTTCATTTTCACTAGATATGCCAAGCAAGGAATTCTAAAGAGAGTCATGCAGATTTAAACAAAAAGAAACTAGACAATAACTCACAGCTGTATGAAGAGATAAAGATCTCTAGCAAATATAAATACGTAAGTAATGACAAAAGCCAGTACTGTTAGAATTTTGGATTGTAGCTCCACTTTTTTATTTTTTGTATGACCTGAAAGGCAAATGCATAAAAATCAATATTTAATGTATGTTTTGGACATGCAATGTATAAAGTTATAATTTGTGACAATAACAGAAAAGAGGATGGAGCTGACTAAAGAAGATAACAAAATCTCAACAGTGGAATGACATTAGCAAGATGGCAGACTAGGAAGCTTCAGGCCCCTCCCTCACAAAGACTCCAATTTAATAGCAGTATATCAACCAGAGTACCTATGTTAAACTCTAGAGAACAACTGAGAAGAGAGACCACCCAGGTCATGATTTTCCCCACCCCTTTTGCTGGAATCCTTTCTTGATTTTACATTGTCATCAGCAATGCATGAGGGTTCCAGTTTCTCTACATCCTCACCAACTCCAATTGGTTCAAAGATTTAAACACAGATCTTGAAATCATAAAAGTACTAAGACAATATATTAGAGTTTTTTTATATTTTATATATAAATTAATTATATATTTTACATTTTATTTTGTATATTTTATTATATATATTTATATAAATTTATATTTTTATATTTTTTATATTTTATATTTATAAATTAAATAAATTTATATTCTAGCATCCTATTAGGTGTGAAGTGGTATCTTATTGTGGTTTTTATTTATGTTTTATTAATAACTAATGCTTCTATCTAACCTATTTATATTCTAGATTAGATAGAAATAAACGGGACATAAAAAATTGATAAAGTTAACTGATAATGTTAACATGATTCATAATATCATAAACATTTGCAGATGAATTAATCTTGCATATAGAAAATCCTAGGAGATCCACTAAAACCTGTTTAATGAACAACTTCAGTAGAGTTGCATGATAAAATATCAATATGCAAAAACATATTGTATTTCTATACAGTAGTAATGATCAAACAAATAATGACATTTTTATAACTGCAAGCTCATCAAAATAATTTTTAAAACTAAGGAGTAAGTTTTACCAAAAAAGTGCAATATTTGTTCACTGAAAACTCTAAAAATTGTTGAAAGGAATTGAAGACCTAAATAAATGGAAAGACACCCCATGTTTATGGATTGTGAGACTTAATATTATTAAAATATTGATACCAGCTAAATTGATCTACAGACTCAGTGTAATCCTTACCAAATTCAGCTGCCTTTTCGTAGAAATTCAGAAGCTGCTCTCAAAATTTATATGCAAGTGATCCACAGTATCCAAAATAATCAATAAAAGAACAAAGTTGGAGGACTCACACTATTTGATTTCAGTGCTTACTATGAAACTACAGTAATCCAAACTATGTGGTACTGACATAACGGTAAACATAAATATGAATGAAAAAGTATTGAGAGTCCAGAAATAAATCCTCACATGTATTGAGTTTGACAAGAGCATGAGAGCCATACAACAGGGTAAGAATTGTCTTTTCAACAAATGGTGTTGGGATAATTGGACAGGCACCTGCAAAATAATGACTTTTAATCCCTGCCTCACACTGTATATAAAAATGAACTAGAAATTGTTCAAAAACCTAAATGTAAGAGCTAAATCTATAAAACCCTTAGAAGAAAACACATGGTATAAATCTTTGTGACTATGGACCTTTGTGACATTTGGTGACTCACATATGACACCAAAGCACAAAGAACAAAGGGAAAAATAGGCAAACTGTACGTCATCGAAATTAAAGACTTTTCTGCTTCAAAGGACATAAGTAAGTGAAAACCCACCCCAGAGAATGGGAGACAATATTTCAAATCATATACTTAGCAAGGAACTTCAATCTAGAATGAATAAAAACTGTTTCAACTCAAAAATAAAAAGACAACCCAATATAAAAATGGTCAAAAGATCTGGATAAATATTTCTCCAAAGAAAATACAAAAAATTGCAAGTAAGCACATGAAAAGATGCTTAACATCATGAGCTATCACTGAAATGCAAATCAAAACCCCCAAACATTTCCATACTCATTAGGATGAAAATAATTAAAAGACAGATAATAAAATGTGTTGGTAAGGATATGGCAATATGAGCATCTTCATACACTGCTGGTGGGAATGTAAAATTGTGCAGTTGTTTTGGAAAGCAGTCTGGCAGTTTTTCAAAAAATGACCTTATGTTCTAGCAATTTCACTCCTAGGCATGTATCCAAGAGAAATGAAAACATATGTCCACATAAAATGTTGTGCACACATGTTCATAGCAGCATTATTCATGATAGATAATACATAGCAACAACCCAAGTTTCCATCAACTGCTAAAGAGATAAATAAAATGTGTTATATTCATACAATGGAATAATTTTCTGCAGTAAGAAGCAATGAAGTACTAATAAATGCTACAGCAGGGAAGAGCCTTATGCTAAGTGAAAGAAGTCACAAAGAACCATTGTAGTCAATTCCTATAATTTCATGTTGCTCTGGCATCCACCCTAGATATAGGGTTAACCTTCTAACTTTCTCATACCAAAGGCAGGGCCTAATCACCTAATTCTCCACTTCCTCCCACTTTTTCAATGTGGTCAATCCAGATATCTGCCTTACACAACAGATATCCACCACCCTCTCGGACAGAGAGATATAACCTACTTGACTTGCCCCACTGACCCTCATACCCAACATGGACAATGCAAATATGCCACAGTGATCACCTCTCAGTGATGGTGTGACCTCCTGGAACTCATCCCTACTTGCTTCAAACTCACCAGTTTGAACTCCTCATAGGAAACATGTTTGGGTAATGGCTTTGATCACAATAAAGGCCCAGCCTGCAGGTCTGTCCCACTCAACACCCATTGGTTACGCATCCTGCTGTCTTCAGACTTCTCATCAGCCCTTGTGGGCAACCCTCTTCTCTTGTAGATCTGAGTAATAAAAATATTTTGCATTTCATGTGTTTCGTTGTGCTGTCTTCTCTGTGCCTCATTTGACTTACACAACCAAACCTAACTATCCTCCTGGTCAGGGCTCTCCTTGCAAGTGGCTGTCTTAGCAGGGATAAACTGGACACAGGTCAAACAAGAGCCACAAGGGTATCTGCCAGTATAAACAAGTTTTCAGTGAGAGGGACACCTGGTCATAGGTTGGACACTTAGGCATTAGGCTGTCTGCCAGGACGAAGTATCCTGTGAAAAGCACACTGTAAACATTGAAGACCACCTTCCTTAGAGCCCCATTCAGCGCAGGGCTGGAATTTATAGCCACTCTCCAGACAGAGACCTCAAGACCAAATTAGAAAAAAAATCATAACAATAAAAATCACAACAACTACATATTAAATGATTCCTTTTATATGAAAAATCCAAAATAGACAAATTTATAGAGACAGATGAATTGTTGCCTCTGGTTTGGGGGTTAGGGCAATGCAATCTGACAACTAAGGGACAGAGAGTATCTTCTTGGGCTTAAAAATGTTACAAAATTAATTTTGGTGATGAATGCACAACTCTAAGTGTATTAAAGTCTTTGAATTGTACATTTTGAATTGGTGAATTGCATGGTATATGAATTGTATTTTAATAAAGCTGTTTTAAAGTATTTTAAACAGGCTGGGCACAGTGGCTCACGCTTGTAATCCCAGCACTTTGGGAGGCTGAGGCGGGCAGATCACGAGGTCAGGAGATCGAGACCATCCTGGCTAACACGGTGAAACCCCATCTCTACTAAAAATACAAAAAAATTAGCTGGGCACGGTGGCGGGCACCTGTATTCCTAGCTACTCAGGAGGCTGAGGCAGGAGAATGGCGTGAACCCGGGAGGCGGAACTTGCAGTGAACTGAGATTGTGCCACTGCACTCCAGCCTGGGTGACAAAGCGAGACTCTGTCTCGAAAAAATAAATAAATAAAAAATAATAAAATAAATAATAAATATTACAATAAAATAAAATATTATAAACAAGTCAAAAAACAGCATATACTGGAAACACTAGTTACAACAGATATGGCAATCTACAGGCTCATTTTGTGAGTTAACAAAGACATAATATAAATCAATGGAGTGAATATCCCAATGGAAAGCTGAGTAAGTAAATAATTAGTTCACAGGAAAGAAAAAAGGTTTGTAGTACTCAACAAATAGATTTGGGACTTTTGTTAATTATTACTATTGTTAACCAAGATTTCCTGCAGTCCAATTTTCAGACTCTTAGCCTTGCACTTCCCTACACCTTTGAGCACAACAATGGCCATGTAAGTTGCTTCGGTCAATACAATATTCAAAAAGATTTTTGTCAGTTCTGGCAGGAAACTTTTAAGAGCCGCTGTGAGATTTGTCATGATCGGTCTTTTCCTACGTCATGGTAGCCAGCAATGTTTCAGATCATAACTGTTGCGTTTAATCCTCATGAGTAAAGCTCCCAACAGACGTGTTAGACATGTAATATGAACAACAAATATATTTTTGTGATTTTTTTTTGAGACAGAGTCTCACTATGTTGTCCAGGCTGGAATGTAGTGGCGCAATCTTGGTTTACTGCAACCTCTACATCCTGGGTTCAAGTGATTCTCTTGCCTCAGCCACTCGAGTAGCTGGGATTATAGCTGTGCGCCACCATTCCTGGCTAATTTTTGTGTTTTTAGTAGAGATGGGGTTTAGCCATTTTGGCCAGGCTGGTCTCAAACTCCTGGCCACAAGCTATTTGCCTACCTTAGCCTCCCAAAGTTCTGGGTATTTTGGTTATTTTAAGTTGCCCAGATTTGGGGACCATTTGTTACGGCAATGTAATGTAGCACATCGTTATTGATAGGCTCCCTCACAATTGTAGAACACATTAAAATAATAGTATTCCATTTTTTACCTTTCATATGAACAAAAATAAAAGTTGGATAATTCCCAGTACTGACAAGGTGTTTCTGAAACAGACAGTTTCATTTTTAAAAAATATTCTTTTATTCATTGAGAAATAAAAATTGTATATATGTATGATGTCCAACATGATGCTTTGATATATAGATACATTGTGGAGTGACTAAATCAAGCTAATTAACACATCTATTCCATCTCATGAGTTTGTCATAAATTAACGAATCCCCTATACTCATATATTTAGGTTATATCTGTTTTTTCCTACTATAAACAATTCTGTAAGGAACTTCTCTGTGGAAAATTTCTAGTACTAAATGATACATTTCACTCGTGTATTTTTTATTTGTGTCAGCCCAGTTATAGTTCTTGCCCTATTTCACCCAGTAAGATTACCTGGGTGAATTCTAGGATATTGAGAAAAGATATTGAAAATCTGAAGATTATATAGGTGCTTGTGTTTGCTGATGCTTGGATCAATTCTATTTTTCTGTTTTATCTACACTTTGAGTGCACTCTCTCCAAGGTGTTTTTCTTTTCTAAAGTTAGCCCATAGATGAAGGAATAGCAGAGGATTAATATTCTTGTAGCTAAATTGATTTACACATTCTTAAGGTATTTCCTTAGGGAAAAATTCTAGAATCCCTGGCTCAAACAATCTCTGTTAAAGAACTCTTAGTTGTATTTAAAAAATTACAATCACCCTTCTGTCACTTTCTCTATAGTGGCACAGAAACGCTTATCCAATGATCAATTCAAGTACCTGAACATCGAAGAGGAGCAGAGTTTAAATGGCCTTGAGAGACTTGTGAAAAATAGCTGTCAAGACTTCTTTAAGTAGCATAGATAAAAAGTCAAAAATTTTAGTGTCAGCTGCAATATATAAAGATCTTAGAAGTCATCACTCCCAAATTTAAATAAGAAAAACCTGAACAAACTAAAAACAAATGGCCTTTTTTTGGTCCTATCAGAGAACTAAGGTCATATAGGCCAAACCAATACCATAAAATCTGGAGAAGCAGTACATTCAGAATCAAAGCTGAAATTGGCTTACATGGAATAGAATTTACTGGAGCCATAAACTGGTAGGGACACTTAAATGTTAAGTTGATGAACTGCTTGACACTGACTGTGGAGCAGCAGGAGAGTGAGAAATTCTGGGAGTCATAGTCTTATAGGGGCTTTTTATGGATTTAACCTTCAGGAAACTCACTCAGTTCTTATGGTGAAGAACAAAGAATTATCCCCTTGTGAATCTGGCAGAGGGCGAGGAAATATAACCATTTTTAAGTATACCCAGAACATTCTCCATACAACTGACTACTCTTAAGAGAGACAAACTACTGGAGCCTTATCCCACCTGCGGTCAGGCATTTCACCAATTCCAGCTCCACCTAGCATTCTTGTCTCACTTTCGGAGGAAGAAAGTTAAGAAACACTTATGAGGTCACAGGCCAAAGGAAAATATCCAATTCTAGCCCATTCTACACTTCCTGTCTCACTTAAGGTTAAAAAAAAATGAGAAGCACTTGTGAATGTCACAAAATGGGCAAAAGCTCACAAAAACATTGAAACCTAATAATAGGACCAGGAAATACTTCTCCTTCCCCTGCTGCCCACCTCCATTTCTACTACATCAATAAGGCTACTGTATTATAGCAGGATATTAAGACACACAAAACTGTACATATCAGACCATATTTAAGAAGTCTCTAGGGAAACCCAAAGGCAGCAGGGGAGACTAAAGCAAGGACATCAGAAGAAAATTAAGCTATAGCAAACAATAAACACAGCCTAACTACTAGCCAGACTAAAGGCCTACTTACCTCATTTTCTTTTACCCAGTACATCATATTGATCTTTCAAGAATAAAATGCAAGTATAATAGAAAAATACCAAGGAATCAAGACCTAGAGTAAGCATCAGAATTAGTTTGGGATATGGCAGAGACTTTGGAATTATCTGACTAGGAATTTAAAACAACTATGATTAATATGCTAAGTGCCCTAATGGAAAATGCAGACAACATGCAAGAACAGATGGTTACTGTAAGCACAGAAATTGAAAGTCTAAGAAAGAAACAAAAGGAAACTGCCAGAAATAAATAGAAATGAAGAGTACCTTTCATGGATTCCTCAATAAACTGGACATGGCTGGAAGTAGAATCAGTGAGTTTGAAGAAATGCCAATTGAAACTTCCAAAACTTCCAAAAATTTCCAAAACAGAATGCAAAGAGATAAAACAGGAGAACTGTGGAACAATTACAAAACATGTAACTTACATGTAATAGGAATAACAGAAAGAAAAGAGAGAAAGGAACAGAGATATTTGATGTCATAATGGCTGAGAATTTTTCAGAATTAATTACATGTACCAATCCATAGATCTAGGAAACTCAGAGAACATGGAGCAGGATAAAAATCAGAACATCTACACTAGTTGTATTATATTCAACCTGCAGAAAATCAAAGACAATGGGAAAATATTTTAAAAGCCAGAGAAAACACTTACCTACAAAGAAGCAGGGATAAGAATTGCATTCAGATTTTTTTCAGAAACCGTAGAAGCAGGAAGAGAGTGGAGTAACATATTTCAAGTGTTGAAGGAAAAGAACACCAACATAGAATTCTATGAAATTACCCTTCTAATCTAAAGAAGATATTCTGGGTATTCTCAGACAAATAAAAATTGAGAAAATTTGTTCCCAATAGACCTGGCTTGTAAAGATATCAATAGACAATCTTCAGAGAGAATGAAAATTATGCAGGTCAGAAATTCAGATTTACATAAAGAAAGGAAGCGTGTTAGACAAGGAGTAAATGAGGGTAAAATTAAATCTTGTATTTTTCTTATTAATTGATTTAACAGAAAACAGTTTGTCCAAAATAATAATGTTAACAACAATGTATGTGATCATTACAACTTATAGATTAGTGTAATAAATGACAACAATGGTATAAAGGATTGGAGGGATGAATTAGAAATACCCTGTTATAAAAGTACTTCTCTCAAGGGAAATTTTTAAATAACCTAAAAAAATTACAAAAATACAACTTATCAAAGTTGTGGGATGTAGCAAAACAGTGCGTAAAAAGAAGTTTATAGCATTTAATGAATATATTAGAAAAGAAGAAAGATCTATAATCAGTAATCTAAGCTTCTATCTTAGGAAACTATACAAAGAAGAGGAAATTAAATTCAAAGCAATCAAAATAAAAGATAAAATCTAGGCATAAATCAATGATACTGAAAATAGGAAATCAATGGAAAAACTCAATGAAAACAAAAGCTGATTCTTTGAAAAGATTAAAAACATTTATAAGTCTCTAGCCAGACTAAGAGAAAAAGAGACAAGGCACAAATTGTTAATATCAGAAATAAAGGAAGGCCTATCACTACTCTCCTGTTGACATTAAAAAGATAATAAAAGAATATTATGAACAACTTTGTCCAAAACTTTGATAGCCTAGCTGGAATGGAACTATTCCTTGAAAAACACAATCTACCAAAACAAACCCAGGGAGAAATAGATAATCTGCCTAAGCCTATAACCATTAAAGAAATTGTATCATATCAAAGACATGGAATCAACCCAAAAGCCCATCAGTGATAGACTGGATAAAGAAAATATGGTACATATACACCATGGAATACTATGCAGCCGTAAAAAGGAATGACATCATGTCCTTTGCAGGGACATGGATGGAGCTGGAAGCCATTATCCTCAGCAAACTAACACAGGAACAGAAAACCAAACACTGCATGTTCTCACTTGTAAGTGGGAGCTGAACAATGAGAACACATCAACACAGGAAGGAGAACAACACACACTGGGGCTTGCTGAAGGGGGTGGAGGGAGGGAGAGCATCAGGATAAATAGCTAATGCATGTCGGGTTTAATACCTAGGTGATGGGTTGATAGGTGCGGCAAACCACCATGGCACAAGTTTACCTATGTAACAAACCTGCACATCCTGCACATTTATCCTGGAACTTAAAATAAAATTTAATTAAAAAAAGAAACGGAATCAATGCATAATACACTTCCAAATGAGAAAGCATCAGGCCCAGATGGGTTCACTGGTGAATTCTACCAAACAGGAAGAAATTATAACAATTCCATACAATCTTTCACAGAAAATAGAACCCAAGGGAATACTTTCTTAAAAAATGCTATGAGGTCAGCATTACCCTAATACCAAGACCAGGTAAAAAAGTTACAAGAAAGTAAAACAGACCAATATCCCTTACACACATAAATGTAAAAATCCTCAACAAATATTAGCCCATCAAATCCAGCAATGTATAAAAAGAATTATATGCCACAACCTAGTAGAATTTATTCCAGGTATGCAAGAATGTTTCAACATTCAAAAATCAATTAGTATAATCCATCACATCAAAAGGCTAAAGAGGAAAAATTATAGTATTACATCAATAGAACAGCAAAGGTATTTGGCAAAATCTAACACCCATTCATGATTTTAAAAAGAGAAACTCTCAGAAAACTAGGGATAGAGGTGTTATGGGCTGAATGTGTATGCCCCACGCCAAATGTGTATATTGAAGTTCCAACACCCAATGTGATGGCATATGGAGGTGGGACCTTTTGCAGTTCATCAGGTTTAGATTAGCTGATGAAGATGGAACTCTCAAAATGGGATCAGTGCCCTCATAAAAAGAGACACCAGAGAGCTTGATCTCTCTCTCTCTCCCCCTACATGCACACACTGAGGAATAACCATGTGAGAACACAATGAGAAGGTGAATGAATGAATGAATAGGAAATCAATGGAAAAACTCAATGAAAACGAAAGCTAGGAAAACAAGCTAGGAAGTGAGACCTCACCAGGAACCAAATCTGCTGGCACCTTGATCTTAGACTTCCTAGCCTTCACAGCTGTGAGAAATGAATGTCTATTATTTAAGCCACTCAGTATATGGCATTTTGTTATAGCAACCTGAACTAAGACATAGAGAACTCTTTATACTTAATAAAGAACATCTACAAAAAATCTACAGCTAACATCATAAGGGTAAGAAACTAGATGCTTCCCTGCAAAGATCAGGAACAATCCAAGGATGTCCCTTCTCACTAATCCTATTCAACATTGTACTGGAAGTCCTAGCTAATGCAGTAAAACAATAAACTCAAATAAAAGATACACAGATGTGGAAGGAAGAAATAAACTTATCTTTGTTCACAAATGACATTATTATTATTATTTTGAGATAAGGTCTAGCTCTGTATTTTTAGTAGAGATGGTGTTTCACCATATTGGCCAGGCTGGTCTCGAACTTCTTGGCCTCAGGTGATCCTCCCACCTCACAAAGTGCTGGGATTACAGGCGTGAGCCACCGCACCCAGCCCACAAATGACATTATTGTCTACATAGAAAATCCTTCAAAATTGCCCTTATATGCTCTCAGCAAACTAGTATTTCACACATGAGAAATAAAAAGAAAAAAGTGCCCCCAAAGACCATTGAACCTCTCATTGTGAAACAGAAGCTCATGAGTTTTAAATAGAGAAGAAGTCAGGAGGGGCCTCTGAACAGTTTGTTCTCCAAGCAGCCGAGCACACCTTCACTAAGGAGAACCACATTCTAGGATTTAGCATTCTTCTTGAATTACTTATCTCAGATCCAAAAGTTCAACTTGCTGAAGGCTTTGATGTGTTTATGCCTAAAACTTCACTGTACTCTATATTGTCAAACTACACTCGCACAGAAAGCCTTTTGTTTAGAAAATGGTGTGTGCATTTTTTATAACGACTTTGGCTAACTCCTTACCCAATAGTAAGAGAAAAAAAGGACTTGATGACAACCAAAAAGGACTAGACCAAAATACTGTGTGTACAATAAAAGTGAGAAGTGTTACAGCATTCCAGAAAGGATGAACATGAAAGCTAGCACAATGAAACCATAAGCATTCAGCAACTAAATTGACAAGAGAAGAAAGAAAGTGTGGGAGCATAATAAGACAATGAGATTAAGGGGTATACTGAGGCTGGACAAGAACGCATATATCCTGTAGATATTGATGACTCATGAAGGATTTTACATGTGAAGGAATAATATGAAATTATTTAGAAATAGATCACTGTAGAGACGTCCAATAGAACTTTCTATCATGATGAAAATATTCTATATTTCTGGTGTCCAGAATTGTCCCACTGCCCACAGTAGCCATCAAGTGACTATCAAACACTTGAATCCAAAAACATATAATAAAATATAAAAATATAGATTATGAACAGTGGGATTTGTCCCAAAATTATGGGTTAGCTTAACATTTGAAAATCAAGGTAACTACCAGAATGAAGAAGAAAACTGATACGATCATTTCAATAGATGCAAAAAATTTTGACAAATTTCAGCACCCATCCATTATGGAAAAAAAGTCAGAAAACTAAGGAGGAAGAAAAAGAAAAGAAGGGAACTTCCTCAATAAATATTGAAAAGGAAGAACACTGTTGGAGGATGTATCTACCTGACTCCAATACTTGCCAAGAAGCTACAAAAATTAAGAATGTTTGGCACTGGCATAAGGGTCAATAAATAGATCAATGGAATAGCCTAGGAATTGGCCCACACTTATAAAATTTTTAGATTTTTCTGCAAAGGAACCAAGCAATCCAACTGGGGAAAGTCTTTTTAACAAATGATGCTTGGACTACTGGATATATATATATGGAAGAAAATGAACCTTGACTCCTGCCTCACACAACACACAAAAAATAAATTCGAGACAGATCATAGATTTAACTATAGAAGTTAAGCCATAAAGTTTATAGAAAAAAAAAAAGAATTTCTTCATGGCTGGGACTGTAGGCAAAGGTTTCTAAGACAGTGTACATAAAATAAACTAGAACTTGGGGGAAAATCAGCAAAGAAAGGCTGAAAAACTATTTCAAATTAAAGTAAACCAAAGAGACACACCACATTCAGTGTGTACACACATATTTGATTCTGGGTCAGGAAAGAAAATGACTCTGAAAGAACTTTTGGAACCAATTGACAGAGTGTGAATAGTTTATAATTTAGATAATAGTGTAGTAATAAATTGTATCAGGCCGGGCACAGTGTCTCACGCCTGTAATCCCAGCACCTTGGGAGGCCGAGACGGGCAGATCACTTAAGGTCAAAAGTTCGAGACCAGCCTGGCCAATATGGTGAAACCCAGTCTCTACTAAATATACACAGATTAGGCAGGCGTAGCGTGCATCTTTATTTCCAGCTACTTGGGAGGCTGAGGCAGGAGAATTGCTTGAACCCAGGAGGCGGAGGTTGCAGTGAGCTGAGATCGTGCCACTGCACTCCAGCCTGGGCTAGAGAGAGGGACTCCATCTCAAAATTAAAATAAAATAAAATAAGTTGTATCAATTGGATAGAGAATACATTTCTTGATTTTGATAATAAAAAAGTAAATTCCAAAGACTCAACAACGACAAAAGACCCAGTAACTAACAAACATTTATGGCAATGTTGCAAAATGGAAGGTTAAGATGTAAAAGTCAATTTTTTCTTATATCCCAGGAATAAAAATTATAATTTGAAATAAAAAATACAGTACCCTTTACATTGGCACCAAAAATGAAATACTTAGGTATAGATATACAAAAATAACTACAAGTTCTCTCTGAGGAAACTACAAAACATTGATGAAAGAAACAAGATCTAAATAAATGGAAAAATATTCCTTTTTTTTTTTATCATAACATAATATCATGAAGATGTCAGTTCATCTGCACTTGATCTATAGACTCAATGCACTCCCAATCAAAATCCCTGCAAGTTATGTTGTGGATATTGGCAAACTGATTATAAAGTTTATGTGGAGAAGCAAAAGACACAGAATAGCCAACACAATATTCAAGAAGAAGGACAAGGTCAGAGGACTGACACTACCCAACTTTAAGACCTACTATAAAGCTTAAGTAAGAGGGTTTGATATTGGTGAAAAACAGACAAGTAGATCAGGGCAACAGAAGACAGAGCCCAGAAGTAGACCCACAGAAATACGGTCAACTAATCTTTGACAAAGGAGCAAAGGTAATTTAATGGGGAAAGGATAGTTGTTTCAACAAATAGTGCTAGATTCACATGCAAAAAAAAATAGACAAAGACCTTACCCCTTTCACAGATACTAACCTAAGTTTAAAAGGCAAAACTATGAAACTTCTAGAAGATAACATAATAGAACATCTAGGTAACTTTGGGTTTGTCAACAACTTTTTAGATACAACAAAAGCATGATCCATGAAAGAACAAATTGATAAGTTGGGTCTCATTAAAGATTATTCTCCTCTACAAAATAAACTGTTAAGAGATTGAAAAAGAGAAGCCACAGAGAAACTATTTGCAAAACAGACATCTGATAAAAGATTGCTATCCAAAATATACATAAGAATTCTTAAACTTAACAATAAGAAAACAATCAACCCATTTTAAAATTGGGTAAATGATGGGAACAGACACTTGGCCAAAAAACATATTCAGATGGCAAATGAGCATATGAATACATACTAAATATCACATGTCTGGGGAATTGCAAATGAAAATGACAGTAGAAAGTCCAAAGTTAAGCTAAAAGGGTTAAAACAGGTCCTTGTCCACAGTGAGTAAGAGGGACAAAAGGAAGTAATGCAAGCTGCTGCACAGGCAAGGGATATACGAGTGTGCAAGTTCACAAGCGTGCATGTGGGAGATGGGGTGGGGTTGGGGACAGAGAGGTGGGTATCATGAGTCAGTACAGCTGCCTCTTTGTCCTGGGCTTAATGCTTGTGAGTTATTTGTTTTGGAAATTTAGATTTTAGGAGCCAGTCAGGGTTACACAGGTGCTGGTGGAGGCACTGAGGAGTAAAACCATGGCTGATGCAATCTATTAGACTGGAACACATTTTAAGAGGAAATAAATAGCTTGTACCAGTCAGACAGGCATAGGTCAGCATCTTCTTTTAACTTTTTATTTACTCTCCACTTTAAAAATGACAAACTATCCGAGCTGGTTTCCTCATCTGGTATAAGGAGGTAGTTATAATACATTCTGGTAATAGTCTATAATGTCTTTACACACAAAGAGGTTAGAACAGGGCCTTTCTCAGTTCAGTAAATGTCTATCATAGTCCCTGTTTTCTAAACGAATTGACATCAAATTGCCCAACACGTTTCAAATTCTCACAGTAAAATTGATCAGCTTTTGGTAGAACCACCCCTCTATAGGTAAATATCTTGAGAGCAAGATCCCAGCGCCTCCAGAATTACCACAGTAACTTGTGCTGGCATAGTTTTCGATACATCTGCAAACTTTCAGAATAGGGAATTGAACAGGAAACCACAGGTGAATGTAAGCACCACAAGAAAGGGGATTCATTTCTCTTTGGTTTATACTGTATGCCCACTGCCTAGGAGAAAGTAGGAGCTCAATATATATTTGTTGAATAAATGAAAGGCATCAGTAACGTTATGAAAGGGGAAGAACAGCTCAGGAAGGCAAAGAGATGTACACGCGCCAACAAATTCCAGCAGACCCAGGCTCTGTTCTCCCAAGCCTGTAATTCATTCATGAGAGTATGCTGTGGAACAGAGAAAATCCACCATTCAGTTAAGGCCATGAAAAAGGCAGAGTTAACGTGGTCTTCCTCTAATACATAACATTCATCTCCAGATGTGGTACAGAATCATCCTCACATGTTTTCTTCATATCAGCAAAATATTGTACAGTTATAGTAAATATCTGGTAACAAAAGCTGTATGGAAATATATGAAAATTCATCATAAGAATAGGGCTCCTGGCCAGGCACGGTGGCTCACGCCTGTAATCCCAGCACTTTGGGAGGCCGAGGCAGGCAGATCACCTGAAGTCAGGAGTTCCAGACAAGCCTGACCAACATAAAGAAACCCCATCTCTACTAAAAATACAAAAAATAAGCCAGGCGTCTTGGGGCATACCTGTAATCCCAGCTACTCAGGAGGCTGAGGCAGGAGAATCACTTGAACCCAGGAGGCGGAGGTTGCAGTGAGCCAAGATGGCACCATTGCACTCCAGCCAGCCTGGGCAACAACACCGATAGTCCCTCTCAAAACCAGCAACAACAACAACAAAAGAATAGGGTTCCCTTTTGTACCTGGGAAATATCAGTGGTTTCAGCAAAAAGGAACTTTCTCCAAGATTACCTATAAGGGACATAAAAAAAATCACTGTCCTTTAGGAAGCAAAGAAGAGGCAATTGATGTTTGTAGTGGTGAGGCATGAGCTCCAAAATAGATCTTCCCCAGAGACTGATCCACGGGTAAAGAAAGTCAAGGGGAATAGACTTCATCAGGATGGTGAGTGTATTAGGTTCATACTGCTGCTTTAACCAATTACCACACATAGAAGGGCTTAAAATAATACAAATTTATTATTATCTTACAGTCCTAGAGGCTGGAAATCTGCAAAGGGTTTCATTACACTAAAATCAAGATGTTGCCAGAGGAGCTATCCCTCTGGCATTTCTAGGGAAGAATCTGTTTCTTTGTCTTTTCCAGGTTCTGGAGACAGCCTGTATTTCTTGGATCTTGGCTTCCTTCCATCTTCAAAGCCAACAATGGCCAGTGTAGACCTTCTCATGATGCTTCAATCTGATATTGAGTCACTGCCTCCCTCTTCCACATTTAAAGTACCCTTGCAATTACATTGGCCAAGATAATCCAGCATAATCTTAAATTAAATTCAGCTGATTAGCAATCTTAATGATCCTTTGCCAGGAAATATAAAATGGTACATGTTCTGGAGAACAGGACATGGACATCTTTAGGGGACCGTTACTTGCCAAACACAATAAGGGTAGCACCTAAATGAGTTTTCAAATGGACAGCAGTAACAACAACATCAACTTCGTATTTAACCACATTGCTCTGTCTGTCCCATGCAGGAAGCAGGGAAAGGAGGGGCTCAAGAGTAGAGGACGGATGTTGGGGTGAAAGAAGAGGATTCAAAAGGAGCCAGGTTGCTTTGTCTCGGGGAGGGGGGTGCACGGTGGGATCCTCTCCTGAGAATGACTGCTGAAACAGCAGGTAGTTGTGGCAGGTGGCTGAGATCCAAGCTGGTTCGAATACCAGCCACATTTCCACACTGCCAAATGTCATGGCAAGAGAAGACTTGACAGGGAACCGAAGAGGAGCCAGGACCATCCCTACCTGGCGGCATCAAAGAGAGAGGACTGTTATGACCTCCTGCGGGTCCTGACAGGGAAAGGTCCTCTTCTGGGGGCAACTGTGGCGACGGCGCAATGCCAACGTGAGCCACCATTTGAAATGAGAAAGAGCAGTGTGGCAGAAAGGAATGAGTTTGGTGCAGACCAGTGGTTGGTTTCCTAGGGTTAGAGGTCTAGGTCTACCTTCTTTTAGAAGAGGGGCAGTGGTGAGTCCTTGATGGGAGCCCCCTGCCCCGGAGTTCACTTAAGAGCAGGTGTACCTTCCTCCCCTGCGTGGCTCCACGAAGCTGGGAAAGAAACGCACAAGAGGACCACCCTAGAGCCCCGGGCCTGTATGGCCTGAAATCGCCTCTCCCCTCCCACACTGCAGTGCTGACACCCCCTTTCCCATCAGCTTCCAGAAAGGAGGGTTAGGGGACTGGGGAGAGGGAGGGGGCAGACACCCAGCAGTCCCTGTGAGGGGGGCGGTTGGGGCGGGGGTGCAGACACATCACGGGGCGGTTTGGTATCCATCCGCTGTTCTCTCCAGCGCGGCTCTTCCCGACCTCGCGATCCTGTCCCCTGCCCGGGCCCCCAGCCGCCCGCTGGTCCCATATATTACAGCAGCGACAGAAATATGGTAGTGGTCGCCACGTTAGGGTCCGTGGGGGCCTCCTGAGGCAGCCTGGTGCCAACCCGCACGCCCAGGCTGGGGCTCATCCTGGCCCTGCCCACCTCGGGGTCGGAACTACGGTGGGCCTGGGATGGGGGCGTCAAGCACTTTCGCGCCGTATCCCTCCGCCCCCCTTCCCGACACCCTCGCGGCGAGCGGTTCTTGCCGCATCCTGCGCAGCCCCTGCCTACTTTGGTGCAGAGGCGTGGGGGGCGGGACGCGTCTTTCCCGTTCGGATCGCGGGGAAAGCAGTGGCTCCAAGTGAGCCAGAGGAGAGCTGAGGAGAGGAGGGGGAGGCCGACGACCTGGGCCCTGGGCCTCTGAAGGCAAGTGCGGGTGCATGAGGTGGGGGTCCGGGTTGCGGGGGTGGTCTGGCAGGGTGGACCAGCAGGCAGCCTGCCCCGCGGACCCTGACAGCCTGGCAACGAGGAGACGATCCGGTCGGAGCCAGGCGCTTGAGAGAGGTGCGCAGTGCCCGAGACCCCTGGCGATGGGGAGGCGGTGACCGGAGCGGGCCTGGCCAAGGGCTGAGGGGCTGGCTCGGGAGGCACCGCCAGATCGTTTGGAGGAGAACCGCGCTGACCGCTTCCCAGCCAGCTTTGCAGGCGCCCGCGCCCCGCCCTCGACGGTGTCTGTGCCCGGAGAGGGCTGTGGGGGAGGCTCCTGCGGGAGAAATGGCGGAGCGGGAGCCGCTGTGGGGGCGCCCGGGAAGGCCGTTGGGGGGCGCCCGGCGAGGCCGGCGGGGGTCGGCGTCCCGGCTCTGTACCCAGTCCGCCGGAGGTGAGCCGCGTTTGCTACTCCGGGTCCCGATTCCCGAAAGGGGCCTGTGGGGCCCCATGTCCTCGGTGCCTTCCCTTCCCACAGGCTCCAGGTTGATGTCAAAGTCTTGTGTCTGTGCGGTAGGTCTGGCGTATTCTGACAGGACACAGTGAGCGTCTGTAGAGGAGAGGCTTGAAATAAAGGAGCACGAATATTGCCTGGATTTCTGGAGGTGTGTGGGGATGGGGGTTGGGCGCTAAACACTGATTGGGGACCCGAATCGGGGTAGGGGACTGTGACCAGAGCAAGTCAGGCATCCAGGAGCACCTCCTAATCTTCACCTCTCTAATGGCGCTCCCCCCACCTTCCATCCCCACCTGTCTCCCCCACCGTCCTAAACTGGGGGCATGAAAGGGTGGGCTTTGGAGGTGGGGGTGATGAGGGAGACATACTGACAAGTACTAATTCACAACCTGTTTTCTAGAATATGCGGCGCCCTTCCCCCATTTTATGCTGCGCAGAGCAAGGGGATGTGGCGCACCTAGTGGTGAATCCTCAGAATTGGAGAAGGGAGTAATGGGAAGAATATGACGTCAAGAGAAGGAGTTGTTATCTCTGGAACCTTGAAGCAGGGCCCAAATAAAACGAGAATATTCCACCAGCAAAACCCCGAATGTTGAAAGACAGATACCAATAATATGGGGACTCTTATCCTTGGCGTTGGCCTGTCTACCAAGTGCTCTTCTGCCACCACTCATATCCTGACTGTCTTACTTTTTCATGTGTTTGTCCATAGGCCTACTTTAAGGCTGGCCAATTCTGCAAGAAAGGCAAGGAGGAGGAGACTGGCTCACAGCTCTGGAGGTTAGTGAGAAGGGGGAGAGGACAATGCAGGGGACAGTTGGAGAGAGCATGGCAGGTGGCAGATCCACTTCCACCTGTAGTAGAAGTGGCAGACCCACTTCTATTCTGCCGGATTTGCACAGTGCCAGCATCCTTTTTATTTCTTGCAGGAGACACGAGATAGGTGTAGGTTGGGTTGTGACTCAGAAAAGACCTGAGAGCAGGGACTAGGACACAGGAAACCATAGATACATTGAACTCTTGAATGGGAAGACAGATATTTGTCACAGGGGCCAGAGTGCCCACCTACCTACCAAGCACTCACACTCCATTCTCTCCTGTATGTTCACTTGTCTGTAGGACCCCCTTCTGTCAGCTGTGGGGCTTGACACCACTTGAACAAGAAAAGGAGGGGGAAACTGCACCACATCAGTGAAGGTTGGTATGAGAGCGGGTATACTTTTGGGCGGGGTAGTGGAGACCAGCATGGGTCCGGGAGTGATTAGGGTCCAATCTGGGGGCTTCTTGGCCCCTCCCATTGCCGACACACTTTCCCACCATTGTTGGACCTGTTTTGTAGGAGGCAGCCGGTCCAGAGAGACTTTCTCAAAGCCCAGCTGTCCCACCTAGCATTCAACATCAGTCGCACTGCATACGTCTCATACAATTGGAAGAGACTCAAAGCCTCATTTCATTCTCTCTCCCTAGATCCACCTCCAGTGGCTGCTCTGCTGGTGGTGGAGTTGCTGCTGACAACCACCCTCAACGGGTCTGCACCCATCCAGGAAATATCTGTCTTCCTTTAGCTTGGTTGTACCTGTTCTCACTCTATCTGTATTATTGAATTATTGACTGAGACTGTGTTTGGGAAGGAGGCTGAGTGACTACTGGACTGGATATTGACTCTAACTCTTATTCCCAAGCTTATATCCTTAATCACCTAAAGATCAGAGTGTGAAGAAACAAACCTGTGACAGATCTGTGGTTGAGGTTTAGACTACGGGAGGAGTATATTACCTGACTTTCTTTGTAACTTGTACCATGACTGGGGCAGAGATTGAGCCTAGTGCCCAGGCCAAGCCTGAAAAGAAGGCTGGGGAAGAGGTTATCGCTGGGCCTGAGAGAGAGAATGATGTCCCTCTGGTGGTCAGACCCAAGGTTAGGACCCAGGCAACTACTGGGGCAAGGCCCAAAACTGAGACCAAGTCTGTGCCTGCGGCAAGGCCCAAAACTGAGGCCCAAGCAATGTCTGGGGCAAGGCCCAAAACTGAGGTCCAAGTAATGGGTGGTGCAAGACCCAAAACGGAGGCTCAAGGAATCACAGGGGCCAGGCCCAAAACCGATGCCAGGGCAGTAGGTGGCGCTCGTTCTAAAACTGATGCCAAGGCAATCCCTGGAGCAAGGCCCAAGGATGAGGCCCAGGCATGGGCCCAGAGTGAATTTGGGACTGAAGCAGTGTCACAGGCAGAAGGAGTGTCCCAGACTAATGCCGTTGCTTGGCCACTGGCCACTGCTGAGTCTGGATCAGTTACTAAATCTAAGGGCCTGTCTATGGATAGAGAACTAGTCAATGTGGATGCTGAAACCTTTCCTGGCACCCAGGGTCAGAAAGGAATCCAGCCCTGGTTTGGACCAGGGGAGGAGACTAATATGGGGTCTTGGTGCTATTCCAGGCCCAGGGCCAGAGAGGAGGCCTCTAATGAGTCTGGGTTCTGGTCAGCAGATGAGACCTCTACAGCGTCTTCTTTCTGGACTGGAGAAGAGACAAGTGTCAGATCATGGCCCAGGGAAGAGTCCAATACCAGGTCCAGGCACAGGGCTAAACATCAGACTAATCCCAGGTCCAGGCCCAGATCCAAGCAAGAAGCCTATGTTGATTCCTGGTCTGGATCTGAGGATGAGGCCAGCAACCCATTCTCCTTCTGGGTTGGAGAAAATACCAATAACTTGTTCAGGCCCAGAGTCAGGGAGGAGGCAAATATCAGGTCCAAGCTCAGGACAAATAGAGAAGATTGTTTTGAATCTGAGTCTGAAGATGAGTTCTATAAGCAGTCCTGGGTTTTGCCTGGAGAAGAGGCCAATAGTAGATTCAGGCACAGAGACAAAGAAGATCCTAATACTGCCTTGAAACTCAGGGCCCAGAAAGATGTTGACAGTGATAGGGTCAAACAAGAACCCAGGTTTGAGGAGGAAGTCATTATTGGGTCCTGGTTCTGGGCAGAAAAAGAGGCCAGTTTGGAGGGTGGAGCTTCAGCAATCTGTGAATCTGAGCCAGGAACTGAGGAGGGGGCCATTGGCGGATCCGCGTACTGGGCTGAGGAAAAGTCCAGTTTGGGGGCTGTGGCCAGAGAAGAGGCCAAGCCGGAGTCTGAAGAAGAGGCCATATTTGGGTCCTGGTTCTGGGACAGAGATGAGGCCTGCTTTGACCTAAATCCCTGTCCTGTGTACAAGGTCAGTGATAGGTTCAGAGATGCAGCTGAGGAGCTTAATGCATCCTCCAGGCCCCAAACCTGGGACGAGGTCACTGTTGAATTCAAACCTGGTCTTTTTCATGGGGTTGGCTTCCGATCCACAAGCCCCTTTGGAATTCCCGAAGAGGCTTCTGAAATGCTTGAGGCAAAGCCCAAGAACCTGGAACTTAGCCCAGAAGGAGAAGAGCAGGAATCTTTGCTTCAGCCTGATCAGCCTAGTCCTGAGTTCACATTTCAGTATGATCCTTCCTACCGGTCAGTCCGGGAAATTCGAGAGCATCTTAGGGCCAGGGAGAGTGCAGAGTCTGAGAGTTGGTCCTGCAGCTGCATACAATGTGAGCTGAAAATTGGTTCTGAAGAGTTTGAAGAATTCCTTTTATTAATGGACAAAATTCGGGATCCTTTTATTCATGAAATATCTAAAATTGCAATGGGTATGAGAAGTGCTTCTCAATTTACCCGAGATTTCATTCGAGATTCAGGTGTTGTCTCACTTATTGAAACCTTGCTTAATTATCCATCCTCTAGAGTTAGGACAAGTTTTTTGGAAAATATGATTCACATGGCTCCACCTTATCCAAATCTAAACATGATTGAGACATTCATATGTCAAGTGTGTGAGGAAACCCTTGCACATAGTGTGGATTCCCTTGAGCAGCTGACTGGAATAAGGATGCTTAGACACCTCACTATGACTATTGACTATCACACACTGATTGCCAACTATATGTCCGGGTTTCTCTCCTTATTAACCACAGCCAATGCGAGAACGAAGTTTCACGTTCTGAAAATGCTATTGAATTTGTCTGAAAATCCTGCTGTGGCAAAAAAACTATTCAGTGCCAAAGCTCTTTCAATATTTGTGGGTCTCTTTAACATAGAAGAGACAAATGATAATATTCAAATTGTTATTAAAATGTTTCAGAATATCAGTAACATTATAAAAAGTGGAAAGATGTCCTTAATTGATGATGATTTCAGTCTTGAGCCGCTTATTTCTGCATTTCGTGAATTTGAGGAGTTAGCTAAGCAACTACAAGCCCAAATAGACAACCAAAATGATCCTGAGGTGGGACAACAAAGTTAATATGATTAACCACCTGCCGCTGATCAGCCTTATGTTCCCAAAGAGCCCTGAGTAGTGCTTTGGTGTTCACAGTCTGTTTTTTTGTTGTAACTTATATTTTTTAATGCTGATGTTAACTTTGTCAAACTCTTGTTTTGAGCTGGATCATTTTGTGGATGCCAAATGAATATCAAAACTGAAAACACATTTGTTGATATTTGTCTTGCTGTCCAGATTGCGGTATTTTTCAGTATTAAGTTTTCAATGAACTGTGTCACCTAAGTAAGCTACCCTGCTATTCGTTGTTTAAATATATGGTTCTCTATTTGAGTCTGTGTTTTCAATAAAGTTCTATGTTAAAATTGGCATAAGTGACCCTTCTTCAGTTTAAGAACCATGTACAGATAAATCGTGTGCACTTACAAACATAGGTAATTATTAGTATGACAAACATGCGCTTATTAGAAAATTCTGTTCTTGAGTTAAGAAGGGAGAGATTATTGTGGGCCCTGATACTTGAGGAATGTTTCCGAGAAGAGGGACCCACTTAAATTGGTCAGGATAGAACAAATTGGTCAGGATAGGAGAGCAAGACAACTTGCCCGCCTGCTTGCCCAATTATGAGCCTTCCCAACAAGCAACCTAAAATTAATACTTCTTATAGGACCCATTTAAATTACCATCTTAGCCCTGGGATTTGCCTAAGGGTAGGATAAGACAAATCATTAGGTTGCTCTTGGAAGTGGGCAGTGGTGGTTTGAAGAAAAGTGTGTAATTGAATAATCTGTTCTAGTAGCATGGATGAACCCAGTCTGCTTGAAACAAGTAAAAGGAGTTTGATGAGAAATGCAGTTAGAAAGTTGGGAAGAGGCCAATTTGGGGAACAGAATAAGCCAAATCTGCATATTTAACAATTCAAAGTACAGGTGTTACTTCAATGCCACCTAAAGGCTGAAAGAGTAGGATAGCACAATTAAATGGAGTGGGGAATATGATTTCCTTTATATTCCTAGACAAAGGAAAGTGTTAAGGAAATACCATGCAGCCGTTGGAATGATTATGTATGGATAGGTTTATTGACACAAAAGGACATTAATTATTTTATATTTGGTGAAACAGAGAATGTGACATCATGTATGGAAAATTAGATTCCATTTTTAAAACATCTGTAAATGTACACAATTCCTATGCAATTTCAATATGAATTTCTAAACACAGTCTGGAATAAAATATATACCTTGTTAAAAAATGCTTAGAGACAGGCGTTGGGGAGATACAAACATTAATAAGACAAATTAAAAAATTAATATGCTTACATTTTGTGCCTTGAGTTATAGATGAGCATGCCGGAAAGGACAGAATTATATAAATGAATAAACTATAAGTGTTAAAAAATGATTAGAGATAATATCATTTAGAAAAGTTGTAAATGAATGAGCTATCAGAAAGACTAGCTTTTTATAAAACGTTTTCAAGATAAAAATTAAAATTGGCCAGGCACAGTGGCTCACACCTGTAATCCCAGCCCTTTGGGAGGCCGAAGCGGAAGGATTGCTTGAGCTCAAGAGTTCAAGGCCAGCCTGGGCAACATATTGATGCCTTGTCTCTACTAAAAATAAAAAAAATTAGCCCAGCATGGTGGCACGCACTTGTCCTAGCTACTCAGGAGGCTGAGGTAGGAGAATCACTTGAGCCTAGGAAGTTGAGGCTGCAGTCAGTCATAGTCACACCACTGCACTCCAGCATGGGTGATGTGAGTGAGACCTTGTCTCAAAAAAAATAAAATAAAATAAAATAATCAAGGGTGGGCCAGGCGCGGTGGCTCACGCTTGTAATCCCAGCACTTTGGGAGGCTGAGGTGGGTGGATCACTTGAGGTCAGGAGTTCGAGACCAGCCTGGCCAACATAGCGAAATGCTGTCTCTAGTAAAAATACAAAAACTTAGCCAGGCATGGTGGTGTGCGCCTGTAATCCCAGCTACTGGGGAGGCTGAGGCAGGAGAGTCGCTTGAGCCTGGGGGGCAGAAGTTGCAGTCAGCTGAGGTCGCACCACTGCACTACAGCCTGGGTGACAGAGCAGAACTCCGTCTCAAAAAAAAAAAAAATTACCAAGGGTGTTAAGTTTAATATTAGTCTGTTCATGGTACAAAAATGGCACCTTTTTCACATAATTATTACCGTAAAAAACATAACATTTCCTTTTGAGGTGACAACAAAGTTCTGGAGCTAGATAGTGGTGATGGTTGTACAACATTGATAATGTACTGGGTTGTATACTTTAAAATGGTTAAAATGTTAAATTTTATGTTATGTGTATTTTGCCACGATAATTTAAAAAATGACCACACAATACCTTCAGTCAGGAGAATTGGAAGACAGGGCTATATGTTGGTTTGGAGAGGAAATTCAGACGTACGAGAAATATCCAATGTTTTATTATTTTTAGACATAACATTTATTTGTCTGAGAATGTTCTAAATTTTCAAAGGTAAAATTACAATTCATGTAAATGTAAAAAGAATATGTGAAAGATTTTTCAACACAATCAACAACTGCTAGGATTAAGAAAACAGTTGAAGGGTATATGTGTATATACAATATACACAATATGAAGATATAAACAAAACATTGAATTTCATAAACACATAGGAAATTAATAAATGTTAGAATAACACTGCCAGGTTAAATATAAAACGGGTTAATATCTTACAGGGCAATAAATTGTAACATTTAAGGTTTTCTATTGCACTGGACATAAATCATTTACATATTTATTGAATAAAATATCTACATGTTAACATCAGTGTCTACAGAGTTGAAAAATAGGTAAATCAATAGACATCCTGCACTGCCCTGAAATGACATCCAGTAACTGAAGGTGACTTTATCTAAGTTTGGTATAATTTTTCTGACAGTGCAACATGCTTTTTTTCCCCACCTGATCCTAGTTTGGTAAGGTAATATGGAAGTGGCAGTTTTGCCTCCCATCGCAAGCCATAAGTTTTAACAGGGATTATCCTGGTGGTGCAAATTGGAGTTTGAATGTTTGTTTTGCTTACCAGCATTTTTCAAGACAGATCTGTGTGTGTTTTAGTATGTCGCTTGAGTCGTATACAAAATATTAAAAATCACTTCATTTCCCAAATCCTCATCGAATGTTCCTCGCCAGCCGAGTGGTCCTCCAGAGCAAAGGCCAGCCTTCCTTCCAGCTGTCTGGCCAAGGAGCTTCAGGATCTTCTAGCAAGCACCCCAGAGGCAGAAGACTGTCATCCATGGTACAGGACTGCGGCGAACAAGCTGACTGCGCAGTCACGTGGGGCTGACGGTGGGTCATGTGACCAGGCTCTGCATTAGGCCTGCCGAGAGGAGTGTTTTCTTGCATCCAGAAAAGACCTGAGAGGCGGACGACACCTGTGCTCCGCAGAGCAGAACGTGGGAGGAACGGCGGGATGTTAAGGTAGGTAGGTGTCTTTCCATGCTGCATCAGCCTGAAAACTAATTTCTCAGGCGACTGGAACTACAGCATTTGTTGGTAAAGGAAACAATCCGTCAGCCAACCGGGAGCGTCTTAGCCCGTCTGTCTTTTGTCCAGGAGCTCAAGAAGCAGAGAGTCTACCTGCCCGACGCGTTCGTGGAGAGGAGCAGCGGTTGCTGTTGGAGGAGGTGGGTGCAAGGACGGCAGATGGCATCCCTGAGAGGTGGTGACTGAGACTAGATGCGGGTGCAGGTAATGCCTCAGATCCGCCTGCTCCCTCCTGCCTTTTGAACACCCTTGACCCCTCATCCCAAGGCTCCCAGCCCAGTGCCCTGTGTTTGTATGTGTGGGTGGGGGAGGTGGGCATATGGATGGAGTTGGCTTCAGGGGAGCCCAGAGCGGGGAAATGGTGAAGTGACAATTCGTGAACACCTGTGGTGCTGGATCAGGAAAGGCAGGGGTGGGGATGGGAACCGTGAGCTATGCGTCCGCACTCATTCTACTCTCTGTCTTCTTACTGGCAGTATTCAGGCAGTGGGGATGGCTGATACCAGCTCAAAACTGGCGGAGGGTGGAGGAGGGCAGAAGAGAACACATACATCTGCCTTTTGCTCCAAGGCTCCAGCTGGCTGGGGATGCAAGAGAGGAATGAACCTCAATCCCGGCAGTTCTAGGAAAAGGAGGAGGAGACATAGACTCGAGGGGAGGAAACCTAGATGCTGTGGGCCCTTCACCTAGGATTTCTCATTAGGATACTCCAAGCTTCTCGACCCCCAAGGGGATTCCTGGATCTCAGCCCCATGCAGCAGGATCTCATTCCCATTGAGGGACACAAAGTGGGTTGCTACTCCGTGTGAGCTCTCTCTCCCTGCTGTCTTGGGCCTCAGAGGAGGGTCTTTCTGGGGACCACCTACAGAAACTGCTTCATGGATAGTCTCCTAAGTTTCCCTCTGCATACCCTTTGCTCTCTTGTGTTGTGATCTCTGCTCATTCCTTAGGATGTGTTTCTTTGGTCCCATCCTAGGTAGCAGCCCCATGGTAAGTCCTTGTCCTCTTTCACATCGAGTATCCTCCTTTCCCCCTACCCCATGCACCCACTGGGTACCAAGTGAAAGAAAATGGTTCCTCTACCCACAATACTTCTGGCACAGAATGTGTGGATTTTTCACACCAAGCAATTCTCTTATTCTTTGAGGACATCAGCTAGGTATTCTACAATTTAATTCAATTCTGATACTACCCAGAGTTAGTGCAGACCTCTCTGGTTAAGGGCTCATTCCCATAAGACTGCCCTCCCTCACTTCAGACAACAGTCACAAGTAATGGATCTCCATGTCACCCACACTTCTGTCTGACTTAGCTACTAGTTGGAAGTTCCCACAACCCCCTCCTCAGGTTCAATAATTTGCTATAAGGGCCCACAGAACTCAGGGAAACACTACTTCCTATTACTGGTTCATTATAAAGGATATAAATCAAAAGCCAGATGAAGAGGTACATATGGCAAGGTCCAGAAGGGTCCCAAATGCAGAAGCTGCCATCCATGTGGATTTGGGGTACACCACCTTCCCAGAATATGAATGAGTTCACCAACCTGGAACCTCTCAGACATTTGGGATTTTTATAGAGGTTTCATTACATAGGCGTGATTGATGAAATCATTGACCATTGGTGATTAGCTCAATCTTCAGCCCCTCTCTTCTCCTTGGAGGTCAAGGGGTGAGGCTGAAAGTTCCAACCCTCTAATCATGCCTTGGTCTTTCTGGTGACCATCCATATCTTGAAGCTATCTAGTGCACCCACCAGTCATCTCGGAACATAAAAAAAGACACCTATCACTCCAGAGATTCCAAGGGTCTTAGTGTCAAGAACTTGAGACTAAAGCCACATGTAACAAAAGATGCTTCCGTTATCCCTATCAGGAAATAGCAAGGGTTCTAGGAGCTCTATGCCAGGAATATGGGACAAAGAATTATGGTTACCAAAGGCTGGAAAGGGTATTGGGGATGGGGTATAAAAAGGAGTTGGTTAATGGGTACAACAATACAGTTAGAAGGAATATGATCTAGTGTTCAGTAGCACAATAGGGTGCCTATAGTTAACAATAGTTATTATATATTTCAGTATAATTAGAAGAATAGATTTGGAATGTCCTCAGTGCAACAAAATGATAAATATTTAAGGTGATGTATATCTCAATTACATTACACATTCTATGCTTATATCAAAATATAATTTATACCCCATAAATATGTACAAATATTGCATATCCATGTGAATTAAAAATTTTAAAAAATTTTAAAAATAACTCATTTCAAATTTCAATCAAAATAAAAAAGATCAAATGCTGATTTCTTCATATATCACAATACATACAAAGTCAGTGTAAGAAAGTGTTGCTAGGAAGAAATGACTTTTTCTAATCCCACTCCTATCCTTATGTTTATACCAAGTTTATAGAGTTGAAACTATGTTGTTCTACTACTTTAAGCCCTCCTATTTAGACTTAAAAGCTAGGATAGATACAAGGTATGTGGGGCAAAATCATAGGTAGAGATTAGTCCCTAGGACTGCATCCTCGTCTCCTACCCTCTCCTATTATTTTCTTCTCTTTACTCTCCAGAATTCTGATAATATAAGTACTGGGGCCAGCATTCAGCTTATGGTTTTCTACTCAAGCTGTCTTGTCTCTTGTCTCTGTGTGTTTTTTCGAGTATGTCAACAGAGAAGACTTCAAGTATGGTGTGGTATAATAGAGAATATAGCTGATCTTTATCCCTAGTTGCTGACACAGCTTCAAAAAATCTTGGAATTTCCTGTGTGACAGGAGTATCTTTGTTATGCTAATGAAGTGACTTATGGTGGGCCCCTAGATAGCTTCAGGATGGGGACTGGTCACCAGAAGGACCAACCATGTGATTAAAGGGTTGGAACTTTGGGCCAGCTCAACCTTCAGGGAAGGTAGTGGGGCTAGGTATTAAGTTCAATCACAACCAATGGTTTAATCAATCTTGCCTATGTAATAAAACCCCAGTGAAAACTTTGAACTTCAGGGATAAGTGGAGCTTCTTGGTTGGTGAACATATTGTTCTCTAGGGAGAGTGGTGTACCCTGACTCCATAAGGAGAGGGTATGGAAGCTTTGTGTCCAGAATGCTTTCAGACCTTGTCCTGTGTATATCCTTAAATGAAACTGTAATAATAAGAATAGCACTTTTCTTGAGTTCTACGAGTTGTTTCAGTTAATTATGAAACCTCATAATGTCATAGGAACTCCTGAATTTATAAGTGGTCAGTCAGAAGCATGGGTGGCTTCCTGAGAATTGGGGCTGGTATCTGATCTAAAGTGGGGGCAGTATTGTTGGTGATTGTGCCCTTAAACCTGTGGAGTCCAATGCTAACTCCAAGTAGTTGGTTTCAAATATTTGATATCAGAACAATAGTGTAATTTTCCCTAGTTTTAGCAGCCACACCTAGATTAATATACATAAAGCTTACCTTTGCTGTGTATTCTACATCAACAAGTTAAAATGAAGGATTCAGACCCAACAGTGTATTATGGGTGAAAAAAGCAGTCTGTTTTTGTGGCATGTACCTGTAATTTAGATAATTTTTAAAATTATCTATGTATCTATTTATCTATATCTATCTATGTGTCTATCTATCTAATCTATCTATCCATCTATCCTGTCATCATTTTTTTTCTTATCACAGCTCCCTTAGCCTAGAATTCCTGTTGTGGGTATTGCATTTATATTTAGAAAACTTCAAATTGTGGCCTGATTAAATACTTCTAAGTCCCAAATGTACTCCAAAGCAGATACTTAAACAGTTTATGCCTGTAGAATTTTTTAATCTCAGCCGAAGAGCAGGGTGACTGGTGTGTGTGTGTGTGTGTGTGTGTGTGTGTGTGTGTATCCAAGCAAAATGATGATTGCCTTTGTTCTGACTTGTAGCGGGTAGAATCCTTCCTCAATTATTTTTCTGGGGTGTAGTTGAAATAAAAACTTCATCATTCACTCAGTCCTCTTGTTCCTTCTCCCTTTTTTGATAAATATTATGGGCTACTTTATATAATAGAGGCTACTTCAGATGTCACTTGGCCTAAAATGTTGTTGTGTGGGGATAGTATCAGAGTGAATTTTTCATCTGTCTAGTCTGGACTTTTAGCAGCCACTAATTCTCAACTCTGCCCCCAATTTCAAAAGAGCAACCTTCAATGGGATCTCATCTATAAAATACCACCAGATTTTCTATCAAGGCTTTCACAACCTTGCACCCTTTAATACAAGTCTGCCTTTCTATCTCCATCTCTCATAACATTCTTCCAAGTCAAGGCCAGGACTAGAATGAAATGAAGAAAGAAGCTCTTGTTCTCAAGTGCCTCACACTATTCCAGGCCTTGCCCCACTTTGCCTGCAGTCAAGCCCCACTGGAAAATCTGTTGTTTTCCCAACTGTATTGTGTGCTTTACTACTTTTATGCCTTTCCCACATGCTGTCCCTTCAATCTTCAATGTTCTTACCCTTTTTCTGTCTATGGGAAACATCATTTGGGCTCAGTTCAAATGCCAGGGCCTTTTTGAAGTCTGATACCTCCTCGCCCTTATCCCTTGCCCCTTGGTAGGAAGTAATTCCTCCATTCTTTGTACTTACACAATATTTTATTTGCCACTTGGCCACTTGTTTCTTTTTTTTTTTTTTTTTGAGACGGAGTCTCACTTCGTCACCCAGGCTGGAGTGCAGTGGCACGATCTCAGCTCACTGCAACTTCTGTCTCCCAAGTTCAAGCGATCCTCCTGCCTCAGCCCCGCTAGTAGCTGGGATTACAGGCACACACCACTGATTTTTGCACCATTAATTTATGCCCGGCTAATTTTTGTATTTTTAGTGGAGACAGGGTTTTGCCATGTTGGCCAGGCTGCTCTTGAACTCCTGACCTCAGGTGATCCACCCGCCTCGGCCACCCAAAGTGCTGGGATTACAGGCGTGAGCCACTGCGCCCATCCCACTTGTTTCTTTATACCATGCATCAGAGTCTTTTTATTTTTTTATTTTTATTTTTTAATGAATAACATAGAACTAGTGTTGAGGGACAGGAAGCATAGAGAAAGAAGCTTGGACTCTGGAAGTGTGATTCAAACCCCAGTCTGTCTGACTGCAAAGCCTGAATGTTTACTACTTAAAATAGTAATTTGTGTTAATATTAAGATTTATTGGATTTATTGGGTGATTTCTATGTGCCAGGGTACTCTACTAAGGGCTCTAAATGTATTCACTTAGTTAATCCTCAAAACAAACTTATGAGGTAGGTGCTGCTATTGTTTCCATTCTACATATGAGGAAGCTGAGGCACACATTGGTTAAGTAGCTTAGCCAACCTCACTGAGTTGGTTAGCAGAGGAGGTGACATTCCCACCTTTGTGGTTTGAATCTGGAGCTGATGTGCATTACTTCTATGCTATGTCTATATTCCTCCAGTGCTAGTTATCAATAAAAGCATCCATGATCATTGTAACTGTTTTTACAATCAGATCTTCTGTTCCTCAAAGCTTGTAGCAAAGTATTTATCATAAAGAAATTAAACCTGAATATTGTTAGACCTCCTGTCCCTTATCCTTTTTTCCCTGTTTATCAGCCTATTCCACCCTTTCCTTCCTTCCCAACCCAATGCCCATCACAGTACTTATTTTTACTACTCTTCTACCTCATCCTCTAGTGCCTGGCTCCACTGTCCTGGAGAAACCCCAACTCTGGATAAATCTCAAGTATCTACGACTTTCTATACCTTTGTTGTTTAGTGCACCTGGGAAAATTAATCATATTGTTCTAACTGTCGACACTGTAAATGTGTCTTTCTCAATATCAGCACAGTCCCCTGAACTGAAAGCAGGTAACCTTTGATATCTTTATAATCTGGATATTTCACAAGGGTGCACCTTCACACAATGATCCTCTGAATTGAAACTAGGTTTATCTATTATCTTAAGTATTTAATGTACCTCTGGACCTCCTAGATAAGTCAGAGTTTGGCTTCTGCCTAAAGCTTTACTTTTTAATCTGGAGCAGAAGCCAAACAGTTGTCAGACCTCTAGCAATCATTAGGACACGTGTTGAGAATTTCTGGCTTTTCTTTCCTGGGAAACATGAGTTCTGCTACTGCAGATGTAGGTGCTCACTGATGCTCACTGATGGACACAAGTCAGGAATTCTTACTCACTGAAGAGCTGTTTTGTGCCTGAGCACATCTAGGATTGTTCCATTTTCATATAACAAGGAATTCAACTAAAACTAACTTAATAAGGAAATTAATTATCCAATGATTGTAAGTACTGACGTAGGGCAGCCTTGATGGTTGTTTAATTCAGCGAAGGACTCAGCTTTTTTCCGTCTCTTTCTTCTGCCATTCACAATATCAACTTCCGTCCTAAGGCTGATAGCTTGATGGCTACAACAATTCCAGGAGGTAAGCAACTTCCTGAGGAAGAAGAAAAGACAATCTTTTCTGATGACTTTGTCTTATGAATGAGGACACTTTCCTCAGAAGTCCATCTGTAACCTTCCCCTAATGTCACATTGAGTGGAATTTGATCAATGCCTCTTCCTAAACAAGAGAGTACCAAGGGGATAGATTATCCGTAGACCAAAGAGACTCACTCTTGGAAATGGAATTAGCCTCTCTGTGACATGTGACTAAAAGGAGGAGAAAGTCAGTAACCTGCAGTGGCAACTATGCAAAAATGGCATCCTTTTAGTAAAGGGTTATGGTAAGCAACACAGAATATACAAAGCACTGAGGCTACAGCACAAAGAGCACAGTGACACTGACTTAGCAATTATGACCTTTAAAAACCATGTAGTTCTCATCTATTCTTTCTTGCTTTCTCCAGCCCACTCCATAATAGGAATAGATCAGAAATTTTAAAAGAACTAGAAAGATCTGATATACACATGTTGTGCAGGATATCAAATAGTTTTCTCAGTATACACAATAATCCTGTAAAGTAGTTAATGCCAGCTCCCTTTTAAGGATGAAGAAACTGGGTTATAAAGACGTTAAGTACCTTTGCTAAAGTTACACAAATAGTGACAAAGTCTGTATTCAGACTTTGGACTGTCTGGCTCTGAAATCTGGGTACTCCCAACTCTTCTGTACAAACTCCCTTTAGAATGTACTCCCAGGGCTCAGAAACTAGTTACTCTAGTCTAAGCAAGCACTTAACAATCATTAGGCAGTTAATGTAAACTATAGATTCTAATAGTATCATGCACTGCCTCTTGATGGTGGTGGTGGTGGTAGTGACATAGACAACTTTTCTCTCCTAGCATTAAGTTACAGTTCCTCAGACTTCATTACCAATAATATATATATTTTTCAATTTTTAAAGATTTTTTGTAGAAACAAGGTATAACTGCATTGCCCAGGCCAGTCTTGAATTCCTGCACTCAAGTGACCCTCCCACCTTGGCCTCCCAAAGTGCTGGAATCACAGGCATGAGCCATTGTGCATGGCCATTACCAGGAATTTTGATTCAGGAGGTCAAAAGTCTAATTTGCATTGCACATTACAAATTTTTGGGCTGAGATGTCAGGTTCAGGGAGCCCCATAAATTTCCTGTACCTGGGAGTGAAAAGAGCTAATATTTATGGAGCAGCTGGGTTTTCCAGGGCAACCTAATTCCCAGATGTGATGTTCAGCAGAAAAGAAGCAGACAAAAGCAATGTGCACTGCTTTTTTTTTTTTTTTTTTTTTTTTTTAAATAGAGAGGGGGTCTTGCTATGTTGCCTAGGCTGCTCTTGAGCTCCTGGACTTAAGCGATCCTCCCACCTTGGACTCCCAAAGTGCTGAGATTAAAGGTGTGAGCCACCACACCCAGCCCATTTTAAATTTTTTATTTTTTATTTTTCACTGCTCTTTAGCTTCCCTGTTAAAACCCATAGCCAGACTTCCAGTTTCAGTTCCAACATGTAAGAACTTGTAAGTCATTGCTCCTGTACTTACAACCAGAAAAAAATCTGAACAAACAGAATCAACAACATTTCTTAGATTCTTCAAAGAACTGAGGCATAGGACAGTTGACTACCCCAAATTCTGAAGGCAAATCCAGAGAGTCACAGCCTATTTCTTCTTTCATAGAACAGAAACTGCTAGAGACATAAATAGGTAAGAGCACTTAAATGTAATTTTGATGAATTGCTGGAGACTGAGTGTGGAATAATATGAGAGTGAGAAACCCCTGAGGATCTGCAGTCAGGGAGGTCCCCACACTTTTGTGGGCATTACTTCCAAGAAACCCACCATATTCTTGCAGTGAAGGGCCTCATGGCCCCTGCAGTGGGAAGGGAACTGTACTTTTGTGAAATACACCCAGAGCCTTCTTCATTTTTTAAAAAAAAAGCCTATTCTGTGGTGGAAAAGACTTTATCAGAGCCTTATCTCAGCTGAGGGAAAGGCGTTTCTCCTATTTCAGCCCCCTTTAGGTTTCTAGTCTCATGTAAGGGAGAGAAAGGCGCTAAAATAAAACTCTTATGAAAATCAAAGCCCAGGGACACAGGCCCACAAAAGACTGAAATTTAATCATAATATTATAGAACACTTCCTCTCCTCTGCACTTCACCACCATGCTAACAAGGCTTTATTATAATAATAGTGGATAACAGTGAATAACAGTTAAAAGAGCTGCAAAATGTAAACTCTCCCTGAGAAGAATATTTAGGGAAATGCTAGAAATCAAAAATACTGTAACAGAGCCCAGGCACAGTGGCTCACGCCTGTAATCCCAACACTTTGGGAGGCTGAGGTGGGTAGATCACCTGAGGTCAGGAGTTCAAGATCAGCCTGGCCAACATGGAGAAACCCCATCTCTACTAAAAGTACAAAAATTAGCTGGGCGTGGTGGCGGGTGCCTGTAATCCCAGCTACTCAGGAGGCTGAGGCAGGAGAATCGCTTGAACCCGGGAGGTGGAGGTTGCAGTGAGCCGAAATTGTGCCACTGCACTCCAGCAAATGAAGAATGCCTTTGATGGGATTATCAGTAGACTGGACACAGTTGAGGAAAGACTCAGCAAGCTTGAGTAGCAGTCCCCAATCTTTTTTGGCACCAGGGGCAGATTTCGTGGAAGACAATTTTTCCATAGACTGGGGGGCGAATGGCATGGTTTCAGGACAATTGAAGTGCATTACATGTATTATGTACTTTATTTCTATTATTATTACATTGTAATAGATAATGAAATAATTATACAATTCACCATAATGTAGAATCACTGGGAGCCCGGAGATTGTTTTTGTAAAGCTAGATGGTCCCATCTTGGGGTGATGGGAGGCAGTGACAGATCATCAGGCATTAGATTCTCATAAGGAGCATGCAACCTAGATCCTTCACATGTGCAGTTCACAATACGGTTTGTGCTCTTATGAGAATCTAATGCCACTGCTGATCTTCCAGAAGGCGGAGCTCAGGCGGCAATGAAAGTGATGGGGAGTGGCTGTATATACAGATGAAGATTTACTGGCTAGCCCGCCACTCACCTCCTGCTGTGTGACCCAGTTCCTAACAGGCCATGGACGGGTCCAGGTCCGTGGCCTAGGGGCTGGGGACTCCTGAGCTTGAAGATAGGTCAATAGTGTAAACTAAAAAGTATGTAAGACATGTCTCAATTGATTTAGAAGTTTATTTTGCCAAGGTGAAGACATTCCCAGAAGAAAAGAGCATGGAATCACAGAAACAGTCTGTGGTCTGTGCCTTTATCCAAAGATAATTTTGAGGGCTTCAATATTTAAATGGAAACAGCAGGCTAGAGGGGAAGAGGGAGGGTACAGTAATCCACATGATGCAAGGGAAAAGGAGCAGAAACAGGAATAGTCAATTCTGTATTCCTCTGGCTCACAGTAAATCAGCACTTTACATAAGGTAAGGAAAATGTGTAATATCTACCTGTGGAGATATTTAACCTTTTATCTGTAGCTATCTGCTTAGGAACAAAAAAAAAAAGAAAGGTATTTTATTGCATGACTCAGCTTTCAGCTTAATATTTTCCTTTTGGCATAGTGAATCAGGGTCCTGGGTTTTTATTTTCTTTTCACAATAGAAACTTCCAAATTGAAATGAAAAAAAGAACTGAACATTGAAGCACTGTGGGATGATTTTGAAAGGTATAACATATGCATAGTTGGAATACTAGAAAGAAAACAGTGAATTTGGAGCAGAAGAAATATTTCAAATAATAACAGCTGAGAATTTTCCAAAATCAATGACAAACATCCAACCACAGATCCAGGAATTTTAGAAAATACTAAGCAGGATAAATACCAAAAAAGTCTACACCTAAGTGTTACCACTGGAAGGTATCCAAGTTACCAACAGTGAATCCATACAGGTCTGCAGCAAACTCAATTCTTGCCTGCTCAGAAGAAAGAATTCGACCAAGGGGTACAAAGCAGAAAAAGAGACCGAGGCAAATTTCAGAGCAGGAGTGGAAGTTTATTTAAAAAGGCTTCAGGGGCCGGGCCCAGTGGCTCACGCCTGTAATCCCAGCACTTTGGGAGGCCGAGGCAGGCAGATCACAAGGTCAGGGGTTTGAGACCAGCCTGACCAACATGGTGAAACCCTGTCTCTACTAAAATAAAAAAATAAAAAAACCCAGCTGGGTGTGGTGGCACATGCCTGCAATCCTAGCTACTCAGGAGGCTGAGGCAGGATAATCACTTGAACCCGGGAAGCGGAGGTTGCAGTGAGCTGAGATCACGCCACTCCAGCCTGGGCAACAGAGCGAGACTCCAACTCAAAAAAAAAAGAAAAAAAAAGGCTTCAGAACAGGAGAGAAAGGGGAGTACGCTTGGAAGAGACCCAAGCGTGCAACTTGAAGGACAAGCACACTGTTTAACTTTGATCCTAGGATTTTATAGGCTGGTTCCTTTCCCGTGATTCCTCCGTTAGTGTGGGCTGCCCGCATGCAAGGTGCCCTCCTTACCCTTGGGAAGTGAGCACGCACAGTGTGTTTAGAAAGTTGCATGCATGCCCATCTGAGGCTTTCTTCCCTTTTCCAGTGGAGTGCCCCCAGAAGGTCATACTCTGTCATCCTGTCTCTTAATGCATATGCCTGGGAAATTGCTTCTCCCTGGTATCCGCATTCAATTAACACTTTAGTGAAATAGGTGTGGACTATCAGGAAATGGCCTGTCCTTCATGCCAGCTGCCAACTATCACTTTTAAAGAGGCAATGGGATAATTGCGGAACCATCACCTGACATTCCTAG
Source organism: Homo sapiens (assembly GCF_000001405.40). Taxonomy (NCBI): domain Eukaryota; kingdom Metazoa; phylum Chordata; class Mammalia; order Primates; family Hominidae; genus Homo; species Homo sapiens. The sequence goes on from NC_000023.11 coordinate 102,732,098, forward strand.
TGGGTGGGGGGAGAGCCCTCTCTTGCCCTGCTCATGCCTGTCTACCTGTAACATTCCCCCCTCAAGAGCCCAAGACCCCAAATCTTTGGGGAAAAATGGACAAAAGTCAGTCTTCTGTAACTGCTTTCCACTGACAAAGGGACAATGGTGGTTCAGTGGGTCTTGGACTCTTGCTAGCTGACAGGGCAGGAACGTCATTCCGTGGATTGGTGAAAGCAGTATCTAGCCAGATCCAAGGGAGTCAGGGGCAGGATTTTGCCACCTTCCTGTCCCACTGATGATCAGTCTAGGGGTCCCCTGTAGAAGGGTGTCTCTTGAATATTGAGAGGATGATATCCCTCACTGAAGATCATCTGGAGCTTGATGACCCATCCTTTTTGTTTCTTCTGAGCTGCATCAAGAGATCACTGGTTGGTTTACAGGAATAAGCAGGGTTAGTCCAAAATGCAGACAAAAACTTAAAAACAACTGATGAGACTAGATTCTAATAGTAGGTATATAATAATTTTTGAAAAATATTTTTCTCTCTCCAGTCCTCGTGATTTTTTTAAAAATTATGATAGGACTGATTTGTTTGGAAAGTAAACTTTAGTCTTATTATACTTAGCCTGATTATTTGCATAAAGCCCAGCAAGAATAATTTTTTTTCACATAGGCTTTTAAAATTTGCTTTGATGGAACTCTGTTCCATAAGTAATCTCAGATAAGACTTTTTAAAACTGAGCTCACCCATGGGTTTGTACCTTCAAATACCTATGAGTTGAGTAAATTTCTCTTTTTTTGAGGTTCCAAAATAACTTGGGGTTCCTAGGCCTGTCAGAAAATGACATTCTTTACATACCACAGGTCAGGAACCCTGTACAGGGACTGTGTAGACAAGGTATGAGGCCAGTTTTCCCAAAGGGCTTTTATTGGCTCTATAAGTCAAGCTTGATTCCTTAAATGAAGACATGTCATTCCAGTCAAAGACTTGGTAAAACAACCAGTTTCTCCCATTGCCCTGTTGCAAAAGAAAGCATTCTTATTGCACTTATGCAAATAACTATATTGCCATAAGTTAAGAATACTCACAAATTGGCTGGGTGCAGTGGCTCACGCCTGTAATCCCGGCACTTTGGGAGGCCAAGGCAGGAGCATCACCTAAGGTCAGGAGTTTGAGACCAGCCTGACCAACATGGTGAAACCCCGTCTCTACTAAAAATACAAAAAAAATTAGCCGGGCATGGTGGCGGGCGCCTGTAATCCCAGCTACTCGGGAAGCTGAGACAGGAGAATTGCTTGAACTTGGGAGGCAGAGGTTGCAGTGAGCCGAGATCACACCACTGCACTCCAGCCTGGGCAACAAAGAGCGAAACTCCATCTCAAAAAAAAAAAAAAAAGCTCACAAATTGTTTCCAAATTCTGGAAAAATCAGGTAGCGAGAAAGGAATACGCTCCAAATTTTCTTCACAGGAGTATACTTTACTCAATTGTTAAAAGCTGTAAATAACTCAAAAGAAAAGTTTTCTTGAATCTGAAAAACAAAGGATCAGCAACATTTTAAGCAAAATGTTAAAAAAAAAAAAGATGACTTCAGTCTTTTATTAGTTTTGTCCATTCAGTTAACCCCTGTTCTGCTTGATATTCATGAACATTTCAGCTCTCCATGAAAGTCCTGAAACGTATTTTTTCCTTTATTTTAATGTCACTTTCACTCGCATCCGTGTGAAGAGACCACCAAACAGGCTTTGTGTGAGCAACAAGGCTGTTTATTTCACCTAGGTGCAGGCGGGCTGAGTCCGAAAAGAGAGTCAGCGAAGGGAGATAGGGGTGGAGCCGTTTTATAGGATTTGGGTAGGTAAAGGAAAATTACAGTCAAAGGGGGTTGTTCTCTGACTGGCAGGGGCGGGGGTTACAAGGTGCTCAGTGGGGGAACTTTTGAGCCAGGATGAGCCAGGAGAAGGAATTTCATAAGATAATGTCATCAGTTAAGGCAGGGACCGGCCATTTTCACTTCTTTTGTGGTGCAATGTCATCAGTTAAGGCAAGAACAGGCCATTTTCACTTCTTTTGTGATTCTTCAGTTACTTCAGGCCATCTGGATGTATACGTGCAGGTCACAGGGGATATGATGGCTTAGCTTGGGCTCAGAGGCCTGACAGTCACAATCTCCAAAGTTACCAGAAACTTGCATTCAGGAACACCTGTCAGTTCTATAGCTGATTATAAAACACCATTTAAAGAGGATCAAAACAAGACAGGCCAGGCGCGGTGGCTCACGCCTGAAATCCCAGCACTTTGGGAGGCCAAGGCAGGCGGATCAAAAGGTCAGGAGTTTGAGACCAGCCTGGCCAATATGGCGAAACCCCGTCTCTACTAAAAACACAAAAATTAGCCAGGCATGGTGGCAGACGCCTGTAGTCCCAGCTACTCAGGAGGCTGAGGAAGCAGAATCAGTAGAACCTGAGAGGCAGAGGTTGCAGTGAGCCGAGATTGGGCTACTGCACTCCAGCCTGGGCAACAGAGCGAGACTCTGTCTCAAAAAAATAATAATAATAATAAAAAAATAACAAGACAATTGTCTGTGGATGATGAAAAGTCCTAGGGCAGCCACAGTTAAAGACACATTGACAAGGAAATTTCTTACCTCTGTGGCACACAATAATTTTACATAACAGTTCTAATTATTAATAATACCCACTAAGTTATATCAGAGTCTCATAATTTTGGAACACATATTAATAACATATTTATGCAAATACAGCCCAAAGAAAGCCAAATACAATTTCATATTTGACAATGCTTCCTTATACCAAATAAGCCAACTATGTCATTTTTGGACTTTAGAGGACCTAATATCTAAAACATTAATTAGGTCAGAAATAGACATGATTTATAATTTAATTTTGGAAAGTTTGTCAAATATCAAAGATTTTAAACATTTGATATTATAAAATAAAATCCCAGGTCACCATAAGTCATTCACTTAGCCAACCTATAGTTTATTTGAAAGGCAAACAAAAATCTTTCATTATTTTTTAATATTACACGAAAATCTTGTTCAAGAGAGAAAGCTAAATTTCACCTTTGCATTAGTGTCAAACCGAATTCTTAATAAAATGTTATAGACAAATCTATCTAATTTTAATGTCCGACCATAAGGTAAGATTCTCATAAACCTTTTATAACACTTTACAACTTCTTTTGTTAAAGAGCAGATCAGTGCTCCAAGAAAACTCTGTTGTGCTTTTATTCCAATGTTCAACTTACGGAAAAACTGTATAATACCCCTTTAACTTTAGCCAATATGTTTACACACAGAATCTCTTTTTTTTTTTTTTTTTTTGAGACGACGTCTTGCTCTCTTGCCCAGGCTGGAGTGCAGTGGCACCATCTCAGCTCACTGCAAGCTCCGCCTCCTGGGTTCAAGCAATTCTCTGCCTCAGCCTCCCCAGTAGCTGGGACTACAGGCACCCGCCACCACACCTGGCTAATTTTTTTTTTTGTATTTTTAGTAGAGACAGGGTTTCACCGTGTTAGCCAGGATGGTCTCGATCTCCTGACCTTGTGATCCGCCTGCCTCGGCCTCCCAAAGTGCTGGGATTACAGGCGCGAGCCACCGCGCCCGGCTGAATCTCTTTTGCAATATATTTTTCACAAACTTTCCACAACTTGTTCAAGCCCTCAGATGTTTCCTATCTAACTTAAAATAATCCTTTAACCCTCTAAACTAGGCAAGAAATCCACATTCCCATTCCTTCTTGTAATCTTTTACCATATGCACATTTTACTTTCCTTGCACACCTTGCATGTAAAACTGTTTCTTTAGTAGTTTCAAATACATGTTACACTGTTGACTCTTAGCAACTTTTGCTGAAAAACCTGGTTAGTAAGCTATTTTAATTATGTACTAGATTTGGAGCCTAGGACACCAGACAGAAGTGCAGATAAGGTCTCTTTCCAGCATAGCTAGGGATATGGCTAACTCCACATGTCGTTAGGCCTTATCTAGTGGTAAAGCAGGCAAGTCGAACAATTTTCAAAAGCCAAAGAAGCAGTTTATGACCTTAAAGCATTTAGCAAACCTAATATCTGACTTGCATAATTTAGACCAAATGTCTAAATTTTTGAAGATATTTTTATTTTACCAATAATCCTAAAACTGTCTTTATTTCCCAAAGATTATTTAGGTCACATGAACTAAAAGGCATTACAGTTTAAATTTTCTGACAATATTTAAGCATTTATTTTTTAACACCAATTAATTAGAGCTCTTTTATATAAACATCATCACACACAACACATATGAATACATAGAAGATTCAGTAGTTGTAAGATTTTTCATTTGCCACTTTTTGTTTCTTAATTGGATTATTGGCTTCAGGGTGGAGTCTTTGGAAGAACAGCGTGGAGAAAGCATACAGTTTCCAGAGCCTAATAAGCAGATACAGCTGGAAGGCAAAAATGGATCCCCAAAATTAAGGGACCATCGTTATAGTGGATCCTGAATCCCCAAAAGAGAAATGCTACGGAGCAAGACAGTACAATGATTTTACCATACATTTCATTGCAAAGTGATCCAATGCCAATCAGCCCATTCCCCATGGGAATCTTATCTCTCAGTGGGGGCTGGGGATGTTGCCGTACCTTCCAGGTGGCCAAGAGCATGCTTCTCTGATCCAAATGTGCAAGTATTCCTCCATAACTGCCATTAGCCATCCATATATTTCCTACCTGGTTATTACCAAAGTTCTTTCATAATGTGAAGTAATTTCTGAAACTCCCAAAAGTGAAAAACAGGTAACGCAATGCAAACAGAACAGAGCCTTAGATTTTAAGAGGGATCTATCCACTTTCAATTCCTGGGGTTCCATGAGGAAACCAGAGGTTTTTCCCAAAACGGGGTCTGTGGCACCTCCTCTTTTTTTCCCAAGGAGTCCCAAGCTGTTAGAAATTATCTTAGGTCCTTTCATGTGTGCATCAAGAGTGGCAAGAAGACAAAATAAGAAAAGCAATTCAGTTGACTGAGAACAAAAAACCTTTTTTTCTTCAGAAAAATAAGATTCAAGAAGAGAAAAAAACAAAGGCCTTTTAAATGTATGTATAGCTTGGATATCTGCTTTTAACTAAGCTGACTTTTAACCATAGTGTTCCTAAGAAAATCCTTTTAAATCTCTTATTACTTGACTTTAGCTTAGCCAAATAGCCAATACTTGTGGTTTTTGAACTTTACCAAAAGTAACCTCACAGGTGAAACCAATAAGCCTTAACTAAGGTTATGACTTATCCATGAGTGTATGACGTATGTTCAAAGAGGTGGTAAGCAGTTTTTACAAGATTTAGAGTCTACAAAGGTAGCTTCGACAAAGGAAAATTCAAGAAGGGAAGTCAGAAGTCATTCATGGAGGGGCAGAGAATACATTGATTTCTACCATTCCTACTACTGGTTTGCATAGAAAGAGAGAAGCCAGAAGTCTGGTAAGAATTCCTACCAGTCTACCAGCATGCCTGGCTGCTGGCTTCTGGGTTCCCTTTCCCTGAGCAGCCCTAGCGACCCTGCTTGCCACACCCTGGGGACCAAGCCACAACACCAAGGAAAAATCATCTTTTTTCCATTTCATGGAAACTTTGAACTAGACAAAAGTCATTTTCTGTTAGAAAGTTAAGGTTTGTACTGCATGTTGCCATGTGTGTCCTGAGAAGGGGGAGTAGATAAAGAAGTTGTCTACATACTGTAGAAGTTATCCCCTCTCAGGAGATTTCTCAGTTAGATTTTTGCTAGGGCTTGTCTGAATAAGTGTGGGCTATTTTAGACATTACCAGGGACCGGTGGGTGAATAGCAATTGGTCCCTTAAGTAATATAAAGGGGTGTGAATCTTTTGTTTTGAGGGAGGGGATGCCATTTGCCCCACCTAACAGGCTTAGCCCTGTTCTCTTTATTCTACTCTGGGTTATAAAAGACATAAGAGGCTAATCTGAGGACCTCCTGCACAGGGGTTCCAAGTCTGACTCTTGTAATTGCTTCCCAGTTTCTTTTTAAGCCAAGCAGTTTAAGGTTTGAGGAAATTAAAATTTTCCCAGTTTGGGGGAATGCATCCAAGGGGCAAGTCCTGTGGTATGGAGACACAATTTCCCATCTGCCATTTGCGAAGAGAGAACAGAGGAGGAAAAAGAGGAAAAGGGAAAAAGGTGTCCTCTCTTTCTTCCTATTATCCCAAATGGGGCATCCCCCATCATCCTGGGTTCTAGACTTAACCATTCTTTACCATGTACCCATGGTCCCATCTCATTACAATTACCCACTTGAGAACAGAGAACAGAAGAGATACTGGAGTGAACAGTGAGCCCCTGTCCATCCCTGGGGTTCCAGAATTAACTGGTCCTTACTGTGTACCTGCCTAGCCTTTCATCTTTTTTCCAATGGTAATCCGTTAGGCTAGGACCACCCTTCTTGGGTTCCAGACTTAACCAGTCTTTACTCTGTATCCATGGTCCCATCTCATCACGATTACCCACTGGAGAATAGAGGAGATACTGGAGTGAACCGTGGGCCCCTGTCCATTCCTGGGGTTCTGGAATTAATTGGTTCTTACTGTGTAACCCCCTAGTGTTTCATTTCTGTTCCAATGGTAATCTGTCAGCCTGGGCCACCCTTCATCTCTGTCCTATGGGTCTCTTATGTGAACCCTGAAAATTTGAGATAGGCCTCAGTTAATTTAGAAAGTTTATTTTGCCAAGGTTGAGGACACACGCCAGTGACACAGCCTCAGGAAGTCCTAAGGACATGTACCCAAGGTGGTTGGGGCACAGCTTGGTTTTATACATTTTAGGGAGAGATGAGATATCAATTAATATATGTAAGAAGTACATTGGTTCTGTCCAGAATGGTGGGGGCAACTGGAAGCAGGGAGGGGGCTTCCAGGTCACAGGTAGGTGAGAGACAAATGGTTGCATTCTTTTGAGTTTCTCATAAGCTTTTCCAAAGGAGGCAATCAGAATAAGCTTCTATCAGAGTGAGCAGAGGGATGACTTTGAATAGAATGGGAGGCAGATTTGCCCAGCTTGAGTGTTCCCTTTAGCTAGGATTTTGAGGGCACAAGATATTTTCCTTTCACACTTTTATCAGTGGCCTTTAACCAGCCTATATCCTTGTCTCCATGGCCTTATAGTGACTCTCACTCAGAGGATTTTAGTAATAAAATAATTATCTTTTTTCTTAGAAGCCTGTTTCTCTGTTAACTGCCACAGCGGCTGGACTTCCCTCCCCACTCCCTTAGAATATGACCTTGAAGGTCTTGATGCACATTGAGAAGGGCATGGAAGTAATTCGAGAAATGGCGGCTATAGGAGGAAGTGGAAAGAAGCAAGAGGAATACTCATGGAAAGCCTTCATGTGCTCACAAAAACAGGAGCCCTTGTATTCAAGAGGGTAATATTTATTTGCCCTCTGAACATAAAGCCGTAACCTCTGAGGACTTGGGGCCTGGGGTAAGAATTTCTCCTCCTCCCAAAGTGGTGGTGGCTTAAAAAGCAAGAGGGTGGGATTCTTGAAGGACCAGAGTGAAGCACTATGCAGGCAGACAAGCCGCTTTTAAAAGCCATCAGAAAACTTAGCGCTGGGGCATAATAGGAACAAAATGCACATGATGAGTTGTAAGAAACCGGCAGCACTGGAGTTCCAATTAGTGTTCTGGCCACATGCCAGCAGACAGGGGAAAGATGGAATGTCACCCGAGATAGTAAAAACAAATATAAACCTCGGGGGATATCCACAAGGGAGCCTGTGCCTTTGCTGCTGCAGAAATGCAGAGAGCCATGGGCGCATGAATAATAGGGAGTGTGTGTTTTAGAAGTCATGTGGCATGCAAAGTGAAAGCAAAGAAGCAGACTTTCACCCAAGGCAGAAGGTCTGGTGGGCGTGAAAAGCCATTTTAGAACACACACACAGAAAACAGAAGAATGGGTGGTATACATTTTTGGAAAAGAGCCAATTTTAGTTGGAAAGAAAAAGCAGAGGAAATCCCAGACATTGCATGGTTTTTAGGCCTCAGCCTCACCACTCTCATAAGCCTCCTATCTAGGAGGGCCATTTAATGCTTCTGACCTACTTGGTGTGGACCCTAAGGTCCTTCCCACCCCCGCAAGCCACCCATTAGGGTGAGCTGAGAAATCAACCACAAAAAGCAGAGTCACTTATGGAGAGAGAGAGAGACTGACAGAGAGAGAGAGATCGATTGATTGATTGATTGGGAGAATGTAAAGGAAGAGAACAAGAGTCTCTGCCTGGTAATCCAGGGAATTCTTCCGAATCTTAACCAAGACCAACAAGTGTTACTTCCACTAGTCTGCAAGAACCACAGTGTTATAGAGCTTGGGGCCCAAGTCCCTTAAAATACCTGTAAAGCCTTCCCCAGATTGTGAAGAGTATAATAAATTCATAACTTTTCAATGTCCAAAAATCAACCAACATCAACAAGCATCAAGAGCAGCCAGGGAAGCATAACCTCACCAGACAAACTAAATAAGGCACCAGGGACCAATCTTGGAAAAACAGAGATGTGTGACCTTTCAGACAGAGAAGTTGAAATAGCTGTTTTGAGGAAACTTAATGAAATTCAGGATACCACAGAGAAGGAATTCAAAATTCTATCATAAATTTAACAAAGACATTGAAAATAATTAAAAAGAATCAGGCAGAAATTTTGGAGCTGCATACTAAAGAATGCATTAATAGCAGAATTGATCACAAGAAAAAGAAAGAGAAGAAAAGAGAAAGGAAGGAAAGAAAGAAGAAAGAAAAGAAAAGAAAAAGAAAAGAAGAAAAGAAAAGAAAAAACTGCACACGGGGGTCAGATGCCTCCAACCAAAGAAGGCAAGGCATAGATATCTCTTAACATCTGAGTCACATGGCCAATATGTTACCGGTGGCAAATAACCGAGTCTCATGGTACCTAATATGTTAAGGGTAACAAGTGTCCGAGTTACCATTGGTGAATCTGTATGGGTCTGCAGCAACCTCAATTCTTGCCTCCTCAGAAGAAAGAATTTGACTGAGGGGCATAAGGCAGAAAAAGAGACCAAGGCAAGTTTCAGAGCAAGAGTGGAAGTTTATTTTAAAAGGCTTTAGAACAGGATAGAAATGAAAGCATGCTTGAAAGAGACCCAAGTGGGCGACTTGAAGGACAAGTGCACTGTTTAATCTCGATCCTAGGACTTTATAGGCTGGCCCTTTTCCCATGATGCTTCCGTTAGTGTGGGCTGCCTGCATGCAAGGTGCCCTCCTTCTCCTTAGGAAGTGAGCATGCACAGTGTATTTAGAAAGTTATATGCATGCCCATCTGAGGCTTTCTTTCCTTTTCCAGTGGAGTGCTCCCAGAAGGTCATACTCTGCTATTTTGTCTCTTAATGCATATGCCTGGGAAGTTGCTTCACCCTCTTGCCTGCATTCAATTAACACTTTAGTGCAATAGGTGTGGGCCATTAGGAAATGGCCTCTCCCTGGCACCAACTGCCAATTTTTCAATTTTAGAGAGGCAATGCAATAATTGCTAAATCATCTTCTGACAGTCCTAGTGGGTGGGGGGAGAGCCCTCTTCTGCCCCAATCATGCCTGTCTAACTCCCTGTAACATAGGCATATCATATGCAAACTGAAGAAAGACAAAGAGAAAATACTGAAAAACAAAACAAAACAAAACCCCTTACTTACAGAGGAACAAGGATAAGAATTACAGTGCAGAAACCATGCAAGTAAAGAAGAGAGTGGGCTGTAATATTTAAAATATTGAAAGAAATACTACCAACCTAGACCTCTGTGATTAGTAAAATTATCTTTAAACATGAAGGAGAAATAATTTCTCAGACAAACAAGAACTGAGGATATTCATCACCAGCAGACCTGCCCTGCAAGAGATGTTAAAAAGAATTTCTTCAGGGAAAAGGTACAATAATATAGGTCAGAAATTTATAGAAAGAAAGGGCATTGGAGAAGGAATAAATGAAGGCATGCTTGCTATTGCCCTCATCATTCTTGTCCATCTCAGTGTGCTAATGAAACCACCTTTGCAAAAATTATAGCTGATGAAATTATGACAGTGAAAGAGATCAGACCTTACCAACTCCATCTTGCTTCTAAACTTTAAGCTGTCCTTGTTCATTCCTGGGTGTAGGCCAAACTAACCTTGGGAAGGAATTTAGTTTATAGTTTAACTCTGAAACAAAATTGATAGTAGCCCTTTCCCAGTCGGGGGCGGGGTCGGGGGGGACCTTCTTGCCTGGGGACCAGTCTGCCTTTGTAGGCCTAACAAATTAGCTACAAGATTAAAAATTATGGTTTAGGGGCCACACAGCCTCCGGCTGCAAGAGTCTGAACCTCCCCAAATTGCTCCTGGGAATAACATCACTGTTGAAAAATCTAAGGTCAGTACTTGAGATACTTTGCAGACCCTGCCTTCCTTGTTGGAAGCAAGTAAAACTCCAAAAAAATAAAGGAGTTGTACAGCAAACTAAACTTTAGTTCTCAACCAAATTTTGGGAGATCAGGGATTCTCTGGAGGGGGGCTTCCAGGCCTCTGCAAGTTGTCCTATTGGTTTGAGCCATAAAGATAGCTCAAGCTGGTACCAAGCACCCATAGGAGATTCGTGAAGGTCAGGGGCACCTCCACTCAGAATCCCTTTGTGGTTACCAAAATATGAACCCCAAATATCTGAGACAAGTCTCAGTCAATTGAGGAAGTTTATTTTCTCAAGGTTAAGGATGCTTCTGTGACACAGCCTCAAGAGGTCTTGACAACATGTGCCCATTGTGGTCGGGGCACAGCTTGGTTTTGTAAATTTTAGGGAGAGATGAGACATCAATTAATACATGTAAGATGCACATTGGTTCTGTCCAGAAAGGCAGGACAACTCCAAGAGGGGAAGGGGCTTCCAGGTCAAAGAAAGATAAGAGATAAATGGTTGTATTCTTTTGAGTTTCTGATTAGCCTCTCCAAAGGAGGCAATCACATATGCATTTATCTCAGTGAGCAGAGGGGTGACTTTGAGCTCTGTCTGTCCTTTGTCCACAGGGAATTTCCTTGTGGAAAAATGGTGAGGGATGTATGTAGCTTTTTTTTTTTTAATCTTATTAACTATCTTTTTTAGGAATAGAATGGGAGGCAGATTTGCCCTAAGCAGTTCCCAGCTTTACTTTTCTCTTTGGCTTAGCGATTTTAGGATCCTGAGATTTATTTTCCTTTCACAATAGATATATACTTATAATGCACACTTTCCATAAACCATATGTATTATTGTACAACTTGCATTTTCACTTTGTATTTTGAGTTATTTCCATTTTGGTATATATAGAGCTACTTCTTTTTGATATCATAGTAGGGTAGAATAGTACTTTATAAATTTATCATACTTAGTTTAATCCTTTCCCTATTGATGGTCATTTATGTAACCGCCCGATGGGTTCTTCCTGCCAGCTGCACAAACAAAATCAATTCAAGGAGACCATGGCATTGCAGTAAAGAAAGAGGTTAATTGATGTGGTGCTGGCCACGCCAAATGGGAGATGGAGTCCTGTCTTAACTCAATCTCCTGAAGAATTTGGGGGCTAGGGTTTTTCAAAGGTAGTTTGGGGGAAATCATGGGGGTGGCTAGGCAATGGGTACTTGGTGCTGATTGGTTGGGGGTGCAATCATAGGGGTGTGGGAAATGGTCCTCCTATGTGCTGAGTCACTTCTGGATGGGGCCTCAGGAGCAGTTGGTGGGTCGAGGTGGAGCCAGACATGCAAGAAATCTGAAAAGATACCTCAAAAGGCCAATCTTAGGTTCTACAATAGTGATGTTATCTGCAGGAATAATTGGGGACGTTGCATATGTTGTAACCTCCAGAATAACGGCTGTCAATCCTTTATGTCTACACCTTAGCAGGACTCAGCCTGCTCCATCCTCCTAGCCTGGTGGTTTCATTATTAGCTTTACAAAGGCATTTGGTTAAGTTTTGGGGAATGGCTATTATCATTTAAACTGTAAAGTAAATGTCTCCCAAAGTTAGCTTATAAGCCCAGGAATAATTAAGGGCAGCTTGAAGGCCAAAGGCAAGACAGGTGTTAGCCAGATCAGATCTCCTTCACTGCCATAATTTTCTCATTGTTATAATTTTTGCAAAGGTGGTTTCATTTACATTATTTACAATTAATTGCTATTAAAAGAAATTATGCATTTTAATATTCTTGCATATATTTACTTAAAGCATTATACTAGAGAAATAAAACTCTCACATCAGAATCTGCAGGCCTATGTCCTTCGTATTTAAGACAATGTGTTAAAGTTTTAATACTATTAAGCTTAAAGGACAAAGCCAATAAGAACACACAAATGTTAAGAATCATAACCTAGAGTGATTCATCAAAAAGTAGTGTGACATGCAATTGAAACTCCTGTTTCTCTTAGTATGACTAGTATCTCCTAAGTCACATATATTGGTGTGTCTGATTGAGGCATCCACAAAGGGAATACAAATGACCAGGAAAATGATCATATTTTTCTGCCTCTTTGTGCTCTATATTTTAAAATGCAGGTATTGGTACTTTTAGGAATTGCTTCACAATCTCTGTCTTCCTCTCTTGCTCCTTCCAACACTGAAAAACCATACAGAAAGCAGCTGTGGGTGGCATACTCTGGGCTAAGCCCTGGGGTTACAGGCAGCAAAGACACACCTATGAATTAGCATTGATCTGCAAACCACAGAGGGTACCATGGAATTGTCATGATTCAGTAGCCCCTCACCTCCTTCAACCCTTGACTGACTATACCGTCTACAATGTGCTGAGAATACAGTGGGGAACAATACCAAAAGGGTACTTTCATTCAGGAAACTTCCAGTCTAACAAGTCAAACTCCCCATCGCTTGGAAGGGAGAGTAAAAAAATATATATATATTCAGAAGAAAAAAGCACATGCATGCATTAGGCAGGGTGCAAGGCTGGGAGAAAAGGAGGAGTTGAGGAGCGCAGCTGGAATCTGGGATCTGCCTCGAGGAAGTGCGCGAATAGTGGTCCCCTCTCCTCCCAGAACAGTGGAGAGGCGCCAAGACCATCCCTACCTGGTGCCATCAAAGAGAGAGGACTGTTACGACCTCCTGCGAGTCCTGACAGGGAAAGGCCCTCTTTTGGGGTCAACTGTGGGGACGGCGCAATGCCAACCTGAGCCACCATTTGAAATGAGAAAAAGCGGCGTGGCAGAAAGAAATGAGTCTGGTACAGACCAGTGGTTGGTTTCCTAGGGTTAGAGGTCTAGGTCTACCTTCTGTTAGAAGAGGGGCAGTGGTGAGGCCTTGATGGGAGCCCCCTGCCCCAGAATTCACTTAAGAGCAGGTGTACCTTCCTCCCCTGCGTGGCTCCATGAAGCTGGGAAAGAAACGCACAAGAGGACCACCCTAGAGGCCCAGGCTTGTTTGGCCTGAAATCGCCTCACCCCTCCCAGACTGCACTGCTGACACCCCCTCTCCCATTAGCTTCCAGGAAGGAGAGTGAGAGGGCTGGGGAGAGGGAAGGGGCAGACACCCAGCAGTCCCTGGTTGGGGAGTTGGGGCGGGGGTGCAGACACACCAAGGGGCGGTTTGGTATCCATCCGCTGCTCCCTCCAGCGCGGCTCTTCCCAACCTCCTGATCCTGTCCCCTGCCTGGGTCCCCAGCCGCCCGCCCGTCCCTATATTATAGCAACGCCAGAAATGTGGTGGTGGTGGTCGCCACGTTAGGGTCCGCGGGGGTCCTCCTGAGGCAGCCTGGTGCCAACCCGCAGGCCCAGGCTGGGGCTCGTCATGGCCCCGCCCACCTCTGGGTCGGAACTAAGGTGGGCCTGAGAGGGGGGCGTCGAGCACTTTCGCGCCGTATCCCTCCGCCCCCCTTCCCGACACCCTCGCGGAGAGAGCGGTTCTTGCAGCATCCTGCGCAGCCCCTGCCCAGTTTGGTGCAGAGGCGTGGGGGGCGGGACGCGTCTTTGCCATTCTGATAGCGGGGAAAGCGGTGAGAATCGAAGTGAGGAGCCGCCAGAGGAGAGCTGAGGAGAGGAGGGGGAGGTCGACGACCTGGGCCCTGGGCCTCTGAAGGCAAGTGGGGGTGCGTGAGCTTGGGGTGGTCCGCCAGGGTGGACCGGCTGGCAGCCTGCCCCGCCGACCCTGACATCCTGGCAAGGAGGAGACGATCCGGTCGGAGCCGGTCGCCGGAGAGAGGTGCGCAGTGCTCGAGACCCCTGGCGATGGGGAGGCGGTGACCGGTGCAGGCCGAGCCAGGCCAAGGGCTGAGGGGCTGGCTTGAGAGGCACCGTCAGATCGTCTGGAGGAGAACCGCGCTGACCGCCTCCAAGCCAGCTTTGCAGGCGCCGGCGCCCCGCCCTCGACGGTGTCTGTGCCCGGAAAGGGCTGTGGGGGAGCTCCTGCGGGAGAAATGGCGGAGCGGGAGCCATTGTGGGGGGCTCCCGGGAAGGCCGGGGGGAGCCGGCGTCCCAGCTCTGTGCCCAGCCCACGAGAGGTGGGCCGCGTTCGCTACTCGGGGCCCTGATTCCGGAAAGGGGCCTGTGGGACCCCGTGTCTTGGGTGCTGTCCCTTCCCACAGGCTCCAGGTGGTTGTTAAAGTCTCCTGTCTGCGTGATAGGTCTGTTGGGTTCTCCAAAAGTGGAACTTTGAGTGGGTGAATTATGAAGACACTAAAATGAAATGTTTAACCGCCTTTTATAATACCGCACTGTTTTATTGCCTTACATATTTAGATCCCCACATCCAGTTTTGTGCAAGCAAATAGGGTGTGGACTTAGTCGAATTTCACAACAGTGGTCCATGTAAATAACAGGGTAGTATTTTTCCACCTTTCTTGTTCAGGATCTGTTTTCTCAACATGCTGATCCACTTTAAGTAATGTAATGATGTGTGAGAATGTGGGTTCCGAGTAGAGGGGTAATCTTTTTGAAGGGTCAATTTAGAACATTTGAAGTCAATCTGCTTCTTCAGTTTATGGTTCTGGAAACCAAAACTCCATCTCCAGCCACTCCTCACAGACCCTCTCATTTTGGTGCAGAAATAGTCCCACAGAAGAATTCATGGCATTTCTGATGGTGGATATCTGAGGAGCTATGAGAGTTGGGAGACTTTATTTACTTAGTTTCTGATTCTCAAAAAGGAGGTGTTAGAATCCGAATTCTGGGAATCTGTCCATTAACCTGCTATTTTTCTACCATTGTTAACATAGTCTCTTGGGGTTATTTTTTGCTAGTTGCTCCGCCTTCTTTTTGTAGGGCGTGACTCTTCTTTGGTGGGAAGGATAGCATCTCCTGAGAACTCCTGCTGTATAAGCAGGCTGACATAGGTGGTGAATAAAGTAGGATCTAGGTATGCATGGGGAAGGGGAAGGACATGCACAGATGGTATTAAAATAACAGTCTCCATTATGTTCCCTGCCTGCCTTGTAAGTACAATTGCCTATGTTCCACTACCTATTTCTGCACCTCATTTTTTTTGGTTCAGGAAAGGAGCTGTAACTTCTATTGGGAAAATGACTGACTTCAAAGTTGGCAGGAGGTGTAATCAGGCTGCAGGTCTTGGGGTGATTAGGGAATCATTGAGGAAGAGCAGACAGGTGGGAGACATTTAACATAGCCTTGAATATTCAAAAGCATATGTTATAATCCTTGTTATAGGCATTAGATCATCTTAGTCTCTTCTGTTTTCTTTCCTCTGCCTTCCTTTCTATCCTTAGGTCTGTTTCTTTCTAGGTTCCTGTAGAGATCTGTATGTAGCTGTTCACTTGGAAGTTAATTAAGAAAGAACAAAAACTATTCATTTGGATTCAAGGTAGGTTTATGTGTGAGCACCCCCGTTGATTGGGGTTATGGAAAGGCTGTTGCCAAGTGGGTTAGACCAGATCATATCTTGGTGCCACTGTCTTCCATCTTTCTAGTCACCTCTGACCTCACATTTGTGTACAAGTGATGGGGTGGGGTGAGCCAGGATTATGCCTATGAGGTAATTGGTAGATATTGGGGCAGGAAATGGGAAGATAAGCCACAAGGAGTACTAGGAGGCCAGAAGTGTTATATAACCAAAGCCCTAGATTTGGAAAGGCAGAAATTGGGTTTAGAGATTAGAGTGTAGGTCTGTCAACCAAATACTCAGAACTCCAATCCCATCTGTATTTTTGTCCATAGGCCTGCCCATGAGTTAACTATAGGGCATATCAACACTGCAAACAGGGAAGGAGGAAAAATTGCACTAGATCAGTGCAGGTTGGTGTGAGTGCTGCCTGAATACACCTATGAGGTCTAGTGGTATATATTTTAGTGGTGGACCTACTAGCATGGGTCCAAAGAGACTGGGCACTCCTTTAGCCTTTCTCACTCTCAGCAAGCTTACCTGCCATCTTTGTTCCTGTTTGATGCAGAGTAAAAGAATGACAGTGCTTGGGCAGGACATTGTTGAGCATTAGTGGCAGTGTGCAAGGTATAAAATTAAGTAGCAGAGTTTTTTATTAATCCACTTCTACACAATTCATTTCTACTCTCCTATGTCCTTCTGTGTGGCTGTTTGCATAGAGAAGCACAGTTAGACAAGACTCAAAGCCAGTTTCTTTCTTCAACCTCAGGTCCATCTCCACTGGTGGCTGTGGTGGCTTTGGATTGTTGGAAGACCATCACCTTCAGCAGGTCTGCACTTGGGAACAATCATTCTCCCCCAGCCCGAGCGTGCCTCTGCCCTCTGTATCATTGACAGAGGCTGTATGTTTGGAAAGAGAACTTTGTGACTGCAGAACTGACAGTTGACTCTAATTCTTGCTACCAAGTTTTTCCCCGACCCAGTGAAAGAGTGTTAAGACTTCGACCTAGGACACATTGAGAACCAAGGCCAAGACTGGACAGGGCCATATAACTGGGCTTCAACCATGGCTGGGACTAAGAATAAGACAAGAGCCCAGGCCAAAACTGAAAAAAAGGCTGCTATACAAGCTAAAGCTGGAGCAGAGAGGGAGGCTACTGGTGTTGTTAGGCCTGTAGCCAAGACCAGGGCCAAAGCAAAAGCCAAGACAGGGTCTAAGACAGATGCAGTAGCAGAGATGAAGGCAGTGTCTAAGAACAAGGTTGTTGCTGAGACGAAGGAAGGAGCTCTGTCAGAGCCTAAGACTCTGGGCAAAGCCATGGGAGATTTCACTCCCAAGGCTGGGAATGAGTCCACCAGCTCCACATGTAAAAATGAGGCTGGTACTGATGCCTGGTTCTGGGCTGGGGAAGAGGCCACTATCAATTCCTGGTTCTGGAATGGAGAAGAGGCTGGTAATAGTTTCAGCACTAAGAATGATAAACCTGAAATTGGTGCCCAGGTCTGTGCTGAGGAGTTGGAACCTGCGGCTGGGGCCGATTGCAAACCTAGGTCAGGGGCTGAGGAGGAGGAGGAAGAGAATGTTATTGGGAACTGGTTTTGGGAAGGAGATGATACTAGTTTTGACCCTAATCCTAAACCTGTGAGCAGGATAGTTAAGCCTCAGCCTGTGTATGAAATTAATGAAAAAAATAGGCCCAAGGACTGGTCTGAGGTAACTATCTGGCCCAATGCCCCTGCTGTAACTCCAGCTGTGTTAGGATTTAGATCCCAGGCACCATCTGAGGCAAGCCCTCCTTCATATATTGTTCTGGCCTCCGCTGAAGAAAATGCCTGTTCTTTGCCTGTGGCAACAGCTTGCCGCCCTTCTAGGAACACTCGCTCATGCTCACAGCCTATCCCTGAGTGTCGTTTTGATTCTGACCCCTGCATCCAGACCATAGATGAGATTAGACGTCAAATCAGGATCAGGGAGGTAAATGGGATTAAGCCATTTGCTTGTCCTTGCAAAATGGAATGCTATATGGATTCTGAGGAATTTGAAAAACTTGTTAGCTTACTTAAGTCAACTACTGATCCTCTTATTCATAAAATAGCACGGATTGCAATGGGTGTCCATAATGTTCACCCATTTGCCCAAGAGTTTATTAACGAAGTAGGTGTAGTGACACTTATTGAAAGCTTGCTCAGTTTTCCTTCCCCTGAAATGAGAAAAAAGACTGTAATTACTCTGAATCCTCCTTCTGGGGATGAAAGACAACGCAAAATTGAATTACATGTTAAGCATATGTGTAAAGAAACCATGTCATTTCCTTTGAACTCACCGGGACAGCAATCTGGATTAAAGATACTAGGACAACTGACTACTGATTTTGTCCATCACTACATTGTTGCCAATTACTTTTCAGAGCTTTTCCATTTGCTGTCCTCAGGAAATTGCAAAACCAGAAATCTTGTTTTGAAACTACTTTTAAATATGTCTGAAAATCCAACTGCAGCCAGAGACATGATCAATATGAAGGCATTGGCAGCATTAAAACTCATCTTTAACCAGAAAGAGGCAAAAGCCAATCTTGTTAGTGGTGTGGCCATATTTATTAACATAAAGGAGCATATCAGAAAAGGCTCAATTGTAGTTGTTGATCACTTGAGTTATAATACACTCATGGCCATTTTCAGGGAAGTTAAAGAGATTATTGAAACAATGTAAAATGAGCCAGAGATAGAACATTTTAAGCCATCTTCAAACTCTAGCAGGCTGTACATTACAGTGTACACATTATACACTGCATCTTTAACACAGAGTCACCTGTGACAGGCTCTAGGTTTGAGCTAGACTATTTTGGGGGTATCAAATGAATATTATACCTTGGGCTGAAAATGTTTGATTTTTATCTTGTCTAGATTGGCATATTTTTAACATTTTACTTAAGATAGCAAACCAGTTCGTTTTAAGTAAGCTAACTTGTTCATTAGTATCTGTGGCTTAAAATGGCAAAAAAGAAAATATCCTTGAGTTTGTAATCTAGTTACAGAAGTAAGGCATACACACACACAAAGATAACAGTACCTAGAGAGAGAGTGTGTGTGAGTGTGCGTGTCTCTGTGTGTGCACGTGCACGCTCATGGCCAAATGTGCGCACTCTACATAAAGGAGGCAGGAGTTCCTATAGGCTATTTAATGTAAGAGAAACTATTTTTCTCCTGTTCCAGCTGTATCAGATACTCGTTCCGCAACACAGAAATGACTCAGAATCTCAGACAAAATGTATTATTTGTTCAATTTTAATTTTGCTACTACATTCATAACTCTTAAATTGTTAGGCTGTTTCATTTACATCAAAGTTATCTCACAAAAGAGAAGGCAGGAAACGTTTTGTGAGTGCCTATTCTATGTCAAACACTGTGTTGGCACCATATTTTACAAGTTTTTTTCCTCTTCTCACAGTGATCTTGTGAGTTAGTTACTTATATTTTTATTAGAACTCATTATTCTGGGTACCCTCCAATGAGAATTAGAGAGGTTAAATACCTTTTCCTAGATTCCCACAGCAGGAAGGTGGCATAGCTGTTTTGTCTGACACCAGAACCCATCTCACCACACTGCTTTACAGTCTTCCTGAAGGACATTTTGAGGTGGGGGGGCCTTCAAAGCTCAGAGACTGGTTTGAATGGTTTAATTTTGCAATGGATCATGTCCATGCCAGGTGTTACAATTCTTAACTTCCTCCAAATTCGTGTGTCCATTAGACATTTGGCTACATCTGGCTGGAGGTCAGGAGAAAATTCTGAGGTAAATAGATGGATTTTATCTGGCAGTGTCGAAAATAGTAGGAGCCTAAAACTTTGTTCAATGAGTAAGATGTAGATTTGGAGTCATCAGCAGGGGAAACTTGTTAGATGTCCTTTGTATCTTTTTCTATCCATTTGTATTTTTTCTTTCCCAAAGAGCTGAAATCATTTTATACCCTGAATTTAAAAGGTAATTGCTTTTTTCCTCCTTGCGAAATCATACCTTAATTTTTTTTTTTTTTTTTTTTACCATTTATGATTTATTCTCCTATGTGTCATATGAAAGGCCAAGGGGCTTTATCTTTTACTAGTAGGCAAGCCTGGGCATTTCTGCATTTGTGCCAGCTAACACTACAAAATAGACTTAATTAGAGAAATTTAGACCCAGAATTGCAGCTTCAACAACACAAAACAGGAAAGCTAGAAGAGGTTGCTGTGTCAACCTACAAGATAGTGATTCTTGGAAGTTGGTATGGACCAGAAAGCATTCCCAGGACATTTAGGCTATGGCTGAGTTCTCTAAGACTCAGGGTGGGAATTATAATCCCTGGTCTAAGCTGATATGAAAGTTTCTATGTGTGAAAATATGGAGTTATATGCTTTGAGATTTTCTGCCAGTTAAACTAAAACAAGATCATACTGTAAATGTTTGTAACTTGCTTCCCCCCACTGTATACTGTAAACATCTTTGCATGTCAATAAATATGCCTCTACAACATATTTTTGAATCACTTAATATTTTTCCCATGTTAACAGTTGGTATATAGTGTTGTAAACCTTTATTGCATATTCTCATAACATACAATATACACATTCTTTTGCAAAAATGGGAACACAGTATTGAGACTTGCCTTTTCCTCTTAACACTTATCTTTTCAATTTAGTATTATATAGATCTGTCACATGCTTTTTATCTAATAACTTTATAGAAATATAATTGCCATACATTAAGCTGCATGTTGAAAGTATACAGTGTGATCAGTTTTGGAATGTATATACACACAAAACCATAACCACAATCAAAATTGTAAATACATTCATCACCCACCAAAGCTACTTTTTTTTTGAGACAGAGTCTTGCTCTGTCACCCAGGCTGGAGTACAGTGGCGCAATCTCGGCCCACTGCAACCTCTGCTTCCCAGGTTCAAGTGATTCTCGTGCCTTAGCCTCCTGAGCAGCTGGGACTACAGGTGCATGCCACCACATCCGACTAATTTTTTTTTTTATTTTTTGTATTTTTAGTAGAGACAGGGTTTCACCATGTTGGCCAGGCTGGTCTTGAACTCCTGGTCTCAAGTGATCTACCCATCTTGGTCTCCCTGAGTGCCAGGATTACAGGCGTGAGCCACCATGCCCAGCCTCCCCCAAAGCTTCTTAATGCCCTTTTGTAATCCCTCCCTCCCCTCTCTCCCTGTGCCCCTAACCCAGGCAACCATGGGACATTTTCTGACAAAATAGAATTGTTTTCATTTCCTGTAATTGTGTATAAATGGACTCATATAGCATGTACTCTTTGGTCGGGAGGGGATCTGGCTTATTTCACTTAGTGTAATTATTTGAGATTCATCCATATCATGTGTCTCACTATTTCATTGCTTTTTATTGCCAAGTAGTATTCCACCATATGGCTTTACCACAGTTTATTTATCCATTCACTTATTGATGGACATTTGGGCTGTTCAGAGTTTGGCCATTATAAGTAAAGCAGCTATGAGCATTTGTGTACAAGTGTTTTTATGGACATAGGCTTTCATATCTTTGGAATGACATCTAACAATATTGAATCTTCGACCCATGAATAAAATCTCTCTCCACTTATTTAAGTCTCCTTTATTTCTCTAAGCAGCATTGTGTAGTTTTCCTGCAACATGCTTTTTTAGCAGCTGCATATATTCTGTTATGTGGTGGTATTACATGTTATTTAATCTGTTCCCTGATGATGAACACTTACAGGATTTGGTAAGCATGAATAATTCTATGATTTGGTATTTAAATCTTATTCTATAGGTGAGGAAGACCAAAGTTGTGATGGGTAAAGAAGCAGCAGTCACTAATATTAGCCAGAATGGGGGGGGGGGTATTTCATCATTTTTATAATTGGGACAATGATTTTCTGTGTTAATACATGATTACAGAGTAGTCTTGCTTTTGTCTTGATACATGACATTCATGGAGTAGCCTGGTCTGATGTTAATGTTCTGTGAAATTGTTTCAATTCAATGAGAGAACATCAAGGCCTAGCTGTGAGTGCTGGGCCAGCTCTTAGATGTCAGACTGCTTTTCTTCTTGTCATGGATATTTACAAATATTTATGTATATTGCCTAACCTTCAAAATGAATCTCACCAGCCTCATCTCATGGATCATGAATGTCTGTTTCTTCATATACTTGCCAACACTTGGTATCACTGTTTTTAAGTTTTGCTACTCTCATAGACAAAATCATCTCATTGTTATTTTTATAACAACATTTTAAAGGTTACATAATACTACATATTATGGATGTGACAATTGAATCGCACCTTTATATTCCATTGGGTTAATTGTAGGTATGTGAAGATGGACCCCATTACTTAGTGGGTGGAGGAGAGGAGTATATATACATCTGTGTCACTTTGCCTATTTTCTTTATGCCTCCTCATTGCTGTCTTTCCCACGTGATCTGGAGGCCCTTGCAATTATCACCAACTGACAACTAGAAAAGTTGTATCACTTTATGCCTTGGGAACTAGATTTAAAACAAGAATGAAGAGTTTAGCTGTGCTGACATTCTGTTACAGAGTTCAGGCCCTGAACTCTGTTATGGACCAACACTCAGGCAACAGCCATAGTGACTAGACTTGCAAGTGATATGTACACACAACTACACCTCAAAACAAAATGGGGCTTATTAATGAGACAAGCAAAAATGCTTTCCAGTTACAGTTTTATGAAGATAACATAAATGTACTTCTATTTCTTCAGAGTTGGTCATTTTATAAAATAAGCTTCAGAGAAGTATCATAATTAATTGTGAGTTGATAAAAGTCTTCAAGAGCAACATGCACTTTTTGCTTTAAGATTTTAGCTTATCTCTGGACACCTACTTTCAGCTCGACAGTGTGCTATCTTGTGTCAGCAGCTCTTCTGAAAGGAGCTCTGGCCACCTCTCTCCTAAAGGTGCCATGTGCCTCTCAATGGTCGTTGCTAGGGTTTCCCTGAAGGAGAAGAGAACTGCAGAAACTTGCAAACTGGAACAGCTATTTGTTGTGTATGTTGAACACCTCATTTAGCAAACAAAACTAGGCTGTTCTCAGGTTGTGATATCCAAAATAAAGCAAAATAT
This sequence comes from Homo sapiens, assembly GCF_000001405.40. Lineage (NCBI taxonomy): Eukaryota > Metazoa > Chordata > Mammalia > Primates > Hominidae > Homo > Homo sapiens. The sequence continues at coordinate 102,755,047 of NC_000023.11, forward strand.
AAAAGACTTCGGTAGAAATATTTTTCTTCTCCAGAAGATGTTAATATTCCATGTAGGAGGGAGAGACTGGCTACAACCTAAGGCCCAGTTAGGTCCTTTGTGGAAAGCTCTAAAATGTTAGGAACAAACAAAATGCCTAGTATGTTAGCAATGAACAGGAAAGAGGAGTAATGCAGAAAGCAATAATGTGTTTCCAGGTGCTCTGCTTTGAATTATGAAAGAGTGCTATTCCCTCTCCTTGTTGATAACAAAATGTCATTTTAATGGGAAATTGCACTGGAGAAAGTGTGCTCCACTAGGCCCATGCTTTATTATGTAGCTTTTATGTGTAGCTGTGCTATTGTAGTTTAAGGATACAAAGAATTAATCTTTTATCAGAACCATCTTGATTCTACAAAATATGATAATGTGATATGAGTTAAATTGCACTCCTTAACAAACATCGAATACTTTTTTTTTTTTTTTTGAGGTGGAATCTTACTCTGTGGCCCAGGCTGGAATGCAATGGCATGATCCCGGCTCACTGCAACCTCCACCTCCTGGGTTCAGGTGATTCTCCTGCCTTGGCCTCCCGAGTACTTGGGATTACAGATGCTCACCACCGCACCCGGCTAATTTTTGTATTTTTAGTAGATATGGGGTTTTGCCATGTTGATCAGGCTGGTCTCGAACTCCTGACCTTAGGTGATCACCCACCTCGGCCTCCCAAAGTGCTGGGATTACAGACGTCAGCCACTGCACCCGACCTACATGAATACTTTTATAATGGCCTTCTGGAAAGCCATACACTTGGGCTGCAATTGTTCAGAACATTGAAATTGCCTTTAGAACCAGTTTGTATTAATTTTATATTTATGATTGACACATTATAATTGTGTATATTTATGGGTACAGTATGATGTTTCAATGCATGGGTGCATTGCATAATGATCAAATCAGGATAATTACCATATCCATCACTATAACCACATTCAGAACCAGTTTGTGAGTTATACAAGGACACCAGGATCATCGCTTTATAGCCATGGCTATATATTGAATATTTTTGTACTCAAGATCAGTGCTTTTTCATCTTCATCATGTCCTAACACACTCAGAAAAAGAGTATTTGCATGGGACAAACAGACACATCTGTTCCCCCTTAAAGGCATCAGCCTCAAGGACTCCAGCTGCCCCATTCCCACCTGCAACTACTGTGAGCACTGAGGGAAGCAGTATCTTCAGCACACCTGTAACCTATTTCTAGCATGTGATTGGAATGCTCTACCCCAGGTCCATGGTTTTCAACTGCCTTTCTTGGAGTCTTAGGATTCCCAGGAAATGCTTCAAAAGGCACTACAGAGGTTCAGGGGAAGCTGAGTGGGTTGGATCTATGTGCTTCCCACTACTCTCAATCAAAACAACTTAGCTTTGGGATTATGTGTAAGAGTGTGTTTGGAAAAAAGTTCCCCCTGTTAAAAATTGCTGTGACCACTTCTATAAATATCCATTCATCCATCCATCTTTAAAAAGAATCTGCATCTAATGGTTGAGTTGCCCTTCTGCATATTCCTAACACTGACAGTATTACTATCTACTGATTTTTTTAGTTGATGGAAATCTATTCATGTTACTCAAAAGATTCCCGTGCTCAGGTTTCACATAATTTATTAAAAGCTCTAGCTAATACCTTCAAATAAAGTTTGTAAACTTTTGTAAATTCTATTTTTGAAGAAGTGTGTCACACACATGGCAGTCAGGCAAGAGTAAATAGTAGTTTTGAATACAAGTCCCAAAGGTATCATTTTTTTATTTTGATGCCAGAGTTCTCAACTTCGTTGGCAGTATTTTCTGTCTGCCAAAAGCATAGGCCTCCACTGTACACATGTCCATTTGTGCAAAGGTTCCCCTAGGAAACACTTCTAGAATTTGAATTTCTAAGTCTGAATAGAACATTTTTCATCATTGGTGAAGGTGTAGAACAGTGATTCTTAACCCTGGTTGCATTAGAATCACCTGGAGAGCTTTTAGAACCTAGTCATGCCCAGGATCCGCTCCCAAAGATGCTTATTTAATTGGTCTGGAGAGGAACTTGGGCCTTGATAATTTTTAAAACGTTCCCTAGGTAATACTAATGAGCAGTCAAATTTGAAAACCGCTGTTGTAGAGAATCAGGCAATCTCATCAACTGCTGGAGGTAAAGGAGAATAATTTGGTGTAACCTCTTCTAATGGTCATTTACCAATATCTATTAAAATGTTCATATTTTTGAATGAGAAATTAATAGATATTTATCCTACAGAAAAAAATACATAAAAGTGGGCACAAATATTGTATAAATATGTTAATTGTACCAATGTTTGTATTTTTGAAACTAGAAATATTCAATATATCCACAAATAGGAGATTAAATAGCTTACAGTAGTTCCGTAGTATGGGATATTCTGCATTAGTTTAAAGTAATCGAAGAGATCTATATGTACTAAAATATGATCTTCGTTTTGAAAATGCATGAAAAGAGAAAAACTGGAATGACATATAAAATATCTAATAGGTTTATAGCTAGTGGAGGAACTAGAGTGTTTTATTATCTTTTTATCTTATTTCTCTAATTCTTCTTTGGTAAACAAATACTACTTATGTAATAAAACATACAACCTTAAGGAGAAGATCTGATGAGGAAGCATTTGTTACACAAAAAGTTGAGCATATACCCATAAAGGAAATATCAATTAAATGGAGCTTCTCGGGCCGGGTGTAGTGGCTCACGCCTGTAATCCCAGCACTTTGGGGGGCTGAGGTGGATCACTTGAGGCCAGGAGTTTGAGACCAGCTTGGCAACATAGCAAAACCCCTTTCTACTACAAATACAAAAATTAGCCAGGTGTGGTAGCGCATGACTGTAATCTCAACCACTCAGGTGGCTGAGGCACGAGAATCACTTGAACCCAGGAGGTGGAGGTTCCAGTGAGCCAAGATCGTGCCACTGCACTCCAGCCTAGGCAACAGAGTGAGACTTTCAAAATAAAATGAGATAAATGGAACTTCTGTAGGGGTGAATTATTGGGGCAAGATACAAAGTCGAATTTCATGAACGCATATTAGTCTAGGAATTACAAATTATCGTAAATGAGAAGATGTAAATATGAGCTAAAATTCACAGTAATCGCCCAAGTAAATGAGATATTTAAGCAATCCAGAACCTTTTCTCATCAAGTTGATTAAGGGAAATAATCTCCCAAGGTGTTGGGAGGCTGATAGGAAAGTGTGTGTTTCATAATCAGAACCTAAGAAATCTGACACACAAACTTTGAAAGTGTATAAGGGAATGATCAAAAATTAGCTGAGTGTGGTGGTGGGTGCCTGTAATCCCAGCTACTCAGGAGGCTGAGGCAGGAGAACGGCTTGAACCCAGGAGGTGGAGGTTGCAGTGAGACAAGATGGTGCCACTGCACTCCAACCTGGGCAACTCCATCTCGAAGAAGAAAATGTATAAGGGAATGAGAAACGTTTTGTTTTCCGGAGGTCAAGGGAAGTCGCAGATCTTGGATGGCCGTTACATATATTATTGGCAATGCAAAGAGTCGGTTTACATCCAGACACCATACTCTCTTTTAAAAATGACTGCATCAAATAAGTCTTGTGAAAAGCAAAGAAAATAATAAAATTGTGTTTTTATCTTAAACTAGTAACAGAAGCAATCAGTTGCTGAATGGTCTGTCACTTTATATTCAGTAGGACCTCCCTAGACAGGATTATTCTGTGAAGTAGCATGGTTGGAACAAAAAGTAGCTAAGGAAGACATTTCTTCTTTTTTTCCTTTTAATAGACATTCTGTGCACCCTTTAACACAATATGGTTGCAGCATCAAAGGACACAATTGATTAATAGTCATCATAAAACTTCACAACCATCCTACAATGTGAAAAACTGAGCGCTTAGCCTCTACTAAAGGTTTGTTTATTACATGAATGAAGGAATGAACGAATGAGCTATGAGGCACTGGATATTGATAAAAACAATTCTCTATCTTTAAAGTGGAAGTTGAGAAGAAAACATTAGTTCCTTGAACAGCCAACTACCTTTGCCACCAGTAGGTTTAGTCATACAAAAATCTCTTGAATGGAATCTATGGTCTTTGAGATATTTCAAACTGTGATAGAAACAATGCAATTAATTCAAGCAGGTCCTTTCTTTAGGACTGATCTACAAAATATGATAATGTGATATGAGTTTAATTGCACTCCTCTACACTATAAAGGACATCTACACTGATCAGGCAAACCTCACAATTCAAATGAACCAATTCAAACTGCACATGTGAGCTTCTCAAATGTTTTGTAGGTATAGGCTCAATAGAGGGTTGTTTGCTATTAAATATTGGAAAGTTTACAAATTTGTGTTGGGCAGCATTCAAAGCCATCCTGGGCCACATGAGGCCTGCGGGTCACAGATTGGACAAGCTTGCTTTAACTCATAATTTGATTTTTTAATGTTTCTCTGATGCATGTGAAAATATTATGAGTAAAAAGACAATGTTTGGGCTCTGCTTTAAAATACTCTAGAAAACACACACACACACACACACACACAAACACACACACACAAAAGGGTTGGAGAGAGTTTTAAAAATGGCAGAATGTTACTAGATGTTGCAACTTGCTGGTGGGCATATGGGTGTTCATTAAGCTATCTTTTCTACCTTTGTATATGCTAGAAATTAAAATTTTAATCCAAAAATAAATAAATATTGGAATCTTAATATACAATTTTAATACTTTTATCATTTGACATGTCCTATGTAATATGCTGTGAGGATGAAAATACAACTCCATTTTCTTTTGAATATGTGTTAAAAATAATAATAAAAATTATTTTTCTTTGCCCAGTGATTTGAAAATGCCACTTTTATCATCATAAACATTTATAAATGCTTTGGTCACTCTCTCAGTGGGCTTTCTATTTTATTTCATTAAATTATATATTGTTATATTGGTTTTAATTGTTCTTGCCTTGTAATTTGTTTTAGTATAAAACAGAGAAAGAGTCTCTTCATTATGCTTCTTCTGAATGGCCATCATTCTTGTTTTATTTTATTTTATTTATTATTCCTGTTTCTAATGGAAGTAAGGAAGGGTAGAGTGACTTACTCAGTGTTATAAAGTAAGAATGTTGTTGATATAGCCCCGGGACCCAGATTTCATGCCTCCCATTACAGTATTCTGTTTGTCAGCATCGTTATTTTGCTTTATTCTTTTGTGGGATCTTGTCTCTCTGTACCTTGAAGGATATAACCAACATCAAGTTCTCTTGCTTCTCTGCTGCTGACAGGGAAAAAAAAAAAAGGAAGCAGGAATGTACACACACCAGTTACATATAAATGGGTGGTCTTTCATCCCTATCTCAATTATATCATCCTAAACATTCTATAATACAAAAATGATGCTTAAGGTAATATATAATGTAATATGTGCTTATTTCTCTGTCTGATTCTTAAAAAATTTCTGATGTATTTAACAGTCATGCTGCAATCTCACCAGAATTCTTACACTCAGTCACTACATTCAGTTCAATTAGTTAAACAAAAACTCCCAGAGTGTTTGGCCCTGGCTGAGGCTCTACAGATATATGTTGCTGTGTGGTAGGATACCATTGTGGTTAATACCAATGTGCTTTGACACCATACAGTCTGGGCTAGGGTACTGCCTCTGCCCCCTACTAGCCATGTGGTCCTGGACAAGTTTCTTAACCTTTCTATACCTTGAGGTCCTGATCCATAAATGGGGATAATACCTTAAAGAGCTGTTACGAAGCTCAAATACATTAATGTCATTAAAGTACTGAACATGGTGTCCAGCATAGAAATGTAGGCTAGGGTGGACCTTCATGCTTTTTGTTCATCTGTCTTGACGTTGAAACTCCTTTTGGGTCTGGCTTTACTTGCTGCTCATATAACCAATTTCTACATGTTTTACCATTTAAAACATGCGTTTAATAAAGGGGAACAAAAGCTAAGCTCTAAATTTTGGTTGAAACTGCAGATTTTGATACAGTTTATAAAAACGACTATACTTCAGTTTGAGAAACTCATGTAAGGATGAAAAAAGACTGGAGACTCTCAATTCTGTATGCCATATGCATTTATTTAACAAATATGTATGGAATGTCTATTATATGCCAGGCTCCAGAAGCCCTCAAACCATATCTTTATTACAGAAATTTCTTCAGGGGTCCAGACCCATGAATTCAAATACCTATGAGCAATTTATATCTAAAGCAGTGATTCCCATTCAGGAGCAATTATGCTCCTTAGCTCCAGGGACATGGAAATGTCTGGAGACATTTTTGGTAGTCACACCTGGGGGTGCTACTGGAATCTTATGATTAGTGGCCAAGGAGGCTGCTGAACATCCCCCAATGCCTAGGACAGCCCCCACAGCAAAGAACTCTCCAGCCCAAAATGTCAATAGTGCTGAGGTTGAGAAAACCTGCTCTAGAACAGGGCAAATGTTACTACCCACACCTATCTGCAAAGGTTCATGGTGGAACCCAAGGTTGGGGTCTGACCACCCTGGATTCAAATAACCATGCTGCCTCTTATTGGGCGTGTGTCCTTGTAAAATATATTTAACCTCCATTAGCCTTAGGAGAGCCTGCTTCTGGGGAGGAATAAGTTTAAGCAGGGAATATTGATACCTAACTTACAGAACAGTTGTAAGGACTTAGAGAAACAGTATGTGAAGTGCCTAACACAGTGTCTGGCCCATTGTAGGCCCTTGAAATGTTAGTTTTCTTTCCATCCCCCTTTCTAACTTCTGCTTCTGAGATGACTTTAACCTAAACTACATAGTGCTAAGCAGCATAATTGTGTTCTAAAGAGCTTCTGAAAGCAAGGCAACAGAAAGAAAAATAAACTCACACAGACCCACATTATGTGTAAGAGTTGGTGCCTCTTCTGTGTTGTGGCATCGTGCATTGTAGGTGGCATGGGGAAATGTCACCCCATTTCTTTAGAATCAGTGTACCTTTCCTGACCTCTTTGGGCCCCCCTTGGAGAGTGAACATCAGGAGTGGCCATTGACTGGTTATCTGGGTTGTTCCTGTGGCTCCATAAAGACACATGCCCAGGGAAGAGCAGAGCATGAGGATGGGTCTTCTGGAGAGAGCAATGGAGTGAAAGGCAGAAGATGTCGCTTCCAGAGCCTGACAAACTGCTTTCTGTGTGATGTGGGTAAAACATATACCTTCTCCTGGCTACAGACTTGGTGTTAGGGCATGTGAGTTGAGGGGATCTTCTAGCAGGCCAATTTTGGGTATAAATCATTTGGCTTGTCTCTTTCCAAGCATTTCTGCCATCATATAAGTTCTCATATTCTAGTGCTGCTGAAGGATTAAATGAATTAAACTATCTCATAGGAAATCTGGGACATTGCTGAGGCAGAAGGTCAAAGTGTGCTGGTGGGACTCCTAGATGGCCCTTATCACTTCTGCTTGGGAGGGGCACACTCCATTTCCCCTCATAGCTCACTGGCCACATCTAGTCACATGCCCAGGTCTGATGTCAGTGGAGTGGGGTCAGTGGGTGCCTCAGTGCACTTGAGCTGCCATAACAAAATACCTGAAAGTGGGTAATTTGTAAACAACAGAAATGTATTACTCAAAGTTCTGGAGGCTAGGAAGTCCAAGATCAAGATGCCAGAATATTTGTAGTGTGGTAAAGACTCCGTCTGCATCATAAATGACACCTTCTTGCTGCATGCTCACATGGTGAAGTGGCAAACAGGTTCTCTCAGGCCTCTGATAAGGACACTAATCCCATTTATGAGGGCTCTGCCTTCATGGCCTAACTACCTCCTAAAGATTATTAGGTTTCAACATATAAATGTGTGGGAGACACAAACATTCAGACAAAAGAAGTGGGCCTAAGAGGGACCCTAAGGACCTGCCGGTACATGTAACTTCACAGCTAGGTTTCATGGGCCAGAAAACAAGATTTCATCTCCACTATCATCTTCCTCAACATGAGGGGTTATTGAGTGAGTACCTTTAGGGGACAATACTAGGGAAATGTAAAACTTCCAAATGGGAAGCTGCTGGTTTTATTGTGGGGAGGGAAAGAATGGAATCACATTCCATTTCTGCCACTTCTCTGGAGAGGGTCTTAGTCCCTTTGAGAAGGAGCTTGGTCATCTGTGAAATAAGACGCACCACATTATCTTCTTCAGAGTACTGTCCTGAGGGATAAATGAGAAAACCTGTCAAGTGCCTATGGGAGATAGTAGGACTTCAGCACATAACAGGTCTGGCTATTTGCCCCCTCCCTCCCAGAGAGTAGATGACATTGACCTAAACCAAAGGGCATTACTGCTATTGAGACCTTGTGGAAAGGTAGCAGCAAGAGCTGAAATATATCCCCATAACCTATGAGCTTTGGGCCAGTTCTGAGTTGTGGGATGAGTTACATGTGAGAGCTGGGGAAAAGGAAAAATAAATCACCATACCATTTCCTATAACTGCATCTGCCTTCCTATCCTCTTAATTTATCATTCAGTTTGACACTGGAGGAGCAGTTTCCCATTAACTTTAAGGTAGAAGGGACACCACAGGGCAATATGACAAGAATACTGGACGGAAGACTAGAGTCATAAGACCAGACACATTATGATCCACGATTATGTTCTGTTATATGGCAAAAGGGAGATGATCAGCATAGGCCTGACCTAATTAGTCAAGCCCTGTAAAATCAGAGAATTTTCTCCTGCTGTTTAGAGTAGGGCAAGTCAGAGATTCAAAGCACAGGAAGCCTTCAATGTGCCATTGCTGGATGGAAGAAGGAGGCCACATGGCAGGCAAGTGGACTAGCCCCCAGGAGCTAAGAATATCCCCAACTGACAGTCATCAAGGAAATGGGGACTGCGGTTCAATGGCCACAAGGAAATGACTTCTGCCAGCAGCAAGAATGATCTTGGAAGCAGATTTTTATCTAGATCATCCGCGTGAGACCTCAGTGGAGCCAACATGGGCACCTTGATTCTAGCTTTGTGAGACCTTGAGCAGAGAATAAGGTCATGCTGGACCAGTCTTCTGACCTACAGACCTGTGAGCTACTAGATGGATGTAGCTTTCAGACACTAAGTCTGGTTACACACCTACAATAAATTAATACATTCCAGTTAAGTTAAATCTATTCAATGCATACACAGTATTTTTGTTTACATGTACACATGTGTATAGATGATAATTGGTGGAAACATAATTACAGTTTTTATTAGTGCATGGTGGGGTTAGATATTATCAATATTCATATTGGTATTTGAATGCACTTTCCACATTTTTTAAATAGACAGTGGGTTACTTATTAATCAGAGATAAAACACATTAGAGCTTTGTTCATGTCAAATTTGATAGATTTCAGACTTTTCAAAAGGTATTGTAAATATGATAGTAGGCAAACACGTACACAACCAAGGTTATGAAGCAAAACATTACAGAGTGGACTCTCCTGTGTGAGTTCCCTGATTGCCTCAGCGCCCTCAGAAGGAACCACTATCCAAAATTTCTTGTTTAGTCATGAATACATCCCTAAACTAAACACATAATTGCTTTGCATATTTTTATCTCTATATAAGTAACATATTTATATATCTATTATCGAAATGTTTTCTTCTGAAAATAGTGTTTCTGAGATGTTTCTAACCAGGTGACTTTGGGACTATTTTGATATTTACCCATGCTCCTGTGAACAGGTTTGCTATGTACCGAGACTCTGCAATGCACATCTGAGAGGGCAGCAGATGACAGAGCCTCACATGCTTCTATTGTGGGTGCTGCTCAATATCTCCACAAAGAAGTTGTACCAATTTGTCCGCTCCAAGCTATGTATGGGCTTCTCGTGGCCCCAACATTTCAATTCAAACAGGATGCAACATAAACACAAATTCGATGATTGGGTTTTCTTTTCAAACTCTAGAATTATTCCAAGACATATTCTAAGGTATAATATGGAACCATTAGCTAAGCATTTTTAATGCACCTGTGAAATACACTATTTAAAACATAATACGATAGGGAAAAATAAAGAAAATCTAATGTACCAATAACAGGATCTCAGAATAAAAAATATTAAAAATCTGTGAAACCTATTTTTGCACAGATCAGGAAAAACAGATGTTTTCAAATTGTTGGATGGAATATAAGAACTATTAAAGAAATTTTAAAGTTCAACTATATAGGAAGCATTAAAAATATTAAATGGTCATGCTCTTTGACAAAACAGTTCCACTTCTGGGAATGTATCCTCCTGATATGGCCTCAAGAGTCTCCTGCTGTAACCACTCGTGTCCACACTGCTCAGGGCTGAGATGACCATTTCCTTAGTTGGCCCAGTGCCTTCATGTCCCAGATCCTGAGTCATCTACCCCTGGATCAAAACAGGAAAATCAAATCTGAATCATGGATGGATGCCCAGACTCGAAGGACCATCCACTAATTCACCACAAACATTGATACAGAGCAATGCTCAGGTCCCAACTCCTGGAGAGATTTGTAGACCTCAGGCCTCATCCCTGTCTGGGAGAAATCTTCCTTCCTCTCCCATCTTTGTGTCCTGAGAGGCCCCCACATCCCTACCAGGTACAAGCAGCCCGGTCCTTTCAACAAATTAAGTTTTCATAAAGGATGAAAGAAAAACTGGCTCCAGAAGGCTTCTGCTGTCAGCCCTCTCACAAACCTCCCCTGAAGTAAGGAGAGGGGGCACCAACCTTACTGCAGGGAGGGTAAGCAAGGAGAACAGAGATTAACCTCCTTAACAGTACATGTCCAGATACATTTGCTAAAGGTCTACCACTAGCAACTCAAGGTGCCCAGGCTGGCAGGTTCTATCCCTGGCTCTGGCAGTGGGCCTGGTGAGTAACCTCCTTGCCATTCAGCTCTGTGTTTAGGAGCACGTGCTTTATAGTCACTGACATCCATGAGGAAGAGAGGATACTGGTACCTCACCAGCACGGCTGTCATGAGATTAAATCCAGACACTAATGTGAAGAAACTGGAGCTGGGCCCAGCTAAACCATCTGCCTTACAAAATAGTAGCTGTCTTTTCCTCCTCCAAGCAGGGAACTCATGTTACTCTGAGCTGCCACCTCAGCCAGGGCCCCTTAAGAGGGCGCACATCGTAGTCACCTTGATGAGTCTTTTCTAAACCCTCAGCTGAAACTCCCTTGTTGGTGGAAAAATAGGACTTTGGCATCAAAGATCATTAATGTCTTAAGTTATAATATGAGCCTTGGAAAACAGATATATCCACTTGGCACCAACAGTATATGTGAGCGTCTGCTGGCTTTTCATTCCACCAACACCAAGTATTACCAACTTTTGTCCTTATTGCCAATCCAATCTGCTCATTTTCCCCAGACCTGTCCCATTGGAAGAATCAGCTCAGATGGTCATTAAACTTAGAGATTCACAGGGTCATCCCCTGCAATTGCCAGATTTAGCAAATAATAAGACGATTTAAAATTTTTATTTTGTTATTTATTTCATTTACTTTTATTTATTTAATTAAAATCCAGTTGGATTTTAATTTTAAATAAACTAATATTGCATGCCACATAAACTAAAAAATATTCCTATTAATCCGGAATTTAAAGTTAACTGAGTTGATTTTAATCTGGTAACTGTACACGTGGAGGGCTCTGTGGAGAGCCAAGATGCTCAGGTCAACAGCCTTAACTGAGCTCCCAGCAGACGCCAACACCAGTCATCATTCATGTGAGTGAGCTCTCTCAGATGTCCCAGATGAGTGGAACCTCCAGATGACTGCAGCCCCAGGTGACAGACATCATATAGAGCAGAAAACATCCAGCTGGGCCCAGTTAACACACAAAATACTGAGAGAAAATAAATGGCTATTAATTAAGGGTGCTTGTTAAGAAGGAACGGATATCTAAAACATTATGGTTTTGGTGAACTTTTCCTCATTTTCTGTGTTGTGTTATCATTGGGTAAGAAAGGAATTTTCTTATCCTTGAAGGCTTAGTGAAACTTGGTTATAATTGTATCATCTGAGTGTTGGCTTACATGTGGGTACAGATTTCTGAACATGTCATCAATTCCTTCTTGAAGGGATTCCCAAGGGCAATTTACATGATATCTATTTTTCATGCTAGTCTTAAAATTTGAAACCTAACTCCTTAAGAAGAATTCCCACTGCAATCATGTGAATTAAGATACTGAGAGGGCATTGCTACAAACCATTCTATGAGGAAACCTGAGAGGTTGTCTTAGTGAGTATTCATTCTGAACAATTTTAGAAGTGTTTCTCAAAGAAAGTGTCCTGAAACACTTTCTCCTGCTATAGTGATAACCCTTGGCAAGGAAGTAACTTTCCTTGGGCACACATAGACAGGGCTCCTTTAGGAGACAGCAGATAGATATACATTGCAGTCCTTGGTCTTTATGACTGTCCCAATGCAGCACTGCTGGGTGGATAAGTCAATTCTAGAACTTACTCATAGTAAGCCCACGTGACAGCAAATCTAAGTCACATTCTCCAATATCACCTTATAAGAGATAAAGTCAATATATGTTTCTCCTTATTCTTTTCCTATGTTTCTCAGTTGGTTTAGAGCTCAGACTAGAAGCAGAAGAGTATTTTGGGGGCCCCTTAAAGAATTAAGCATTGTGAATCAAGAACTATAGGAATAATTGTAGAGTCAGTGAGACACAGTTAGAGGAGTAAACCTGTGGGCCTATTTTAAGTCCCATCCCTGAAGGCAAAGCTGAACAAGTGCCTCCTGAAGGGCAGCTTACTACCAAGAAGTTGAAGGGAGAGGGCTTGGGCAGAGTATCATGTGTCTCCTTCCAGATTCTCCAATCGGATAAGTCATTCCTGCCGTAGAGAGGAGTGAGTGTGTAGAGGCTACATGTATTTTTGTCATGGATGTATTTTCCACATGGAAAAACATACCAGGAATGAAGGATAAGAATTTCCTTAAGGCAGGGCTGGGTGCGGTGGCTCACGCCTGTAATCCCAGCACTTTGGGAGGCCGAGGCGGGTGGATCACGAGGTCAGGAGATCGAGGCCAGCTTGACTAACATGGTGAAACCCTGTCTCTACTAAAAATATAAAAATTAGCTGGGTGTGGTGGTAAGCGCCTGTAATCCCAGCTACTCGGGAGGCTGAGGCAGGAGAATCGCTTGAACCTGGGAGGCAGAGGTTGCAGTGAGCTGAGATTGCGCCGTGCACTCCAACCTGGGCGATAGAGCGAGACTCCGTCTCAAAAAAAAAAAAAAAAAAAAAAATTTCCTTAAGGCAAACTACTGTGTGTTTTAATTGACTGGATTCCTGCCTACTAAATGATTATATTATTCTAGTCCGGCCTCCCTGAAATAACTGTATTATTACTCAAATGACAGTTTTTGTGTTTCTAGATCATTCAGTCACTTGATTATAAACAATCTGTTTTCTGCCACAGAAAACCAACTGCCTAGTATAGTGTGTGAGTTGTACATGTTCCTCCTCAGAGGGCTAGCTCATCTCCCAGAGTCCTAGGACACCTCTCTGGGCTTCTGTGTACTGATGATACTCCTCTAAGGTCACTTTTTTTTTTTTTTTTTTTTGAGAATCTCGGCTCACTGCAAGCTCCGCCTCCCGGGTTCACACCGTTCTACTGCCTCAGTCTCCTGAGTAGCTGGGACTACAGGCGCTCGCCACCACGCCCGGCTAATTTTTTGTATTTTTAGTAGAGATGGGGTTTCACCGTGTTAGTCAGGATGGTGTCGATCTTCTGACCTCGTGATCCTCCCGCCTCGCCCTCCCAAAGTACTGGGATTACAGGCATGAGCCACCGCGCCCGGCCCCCTTAGGTCACTTTTAAAGCAAAATTCCTGACAACATGGACTTCCTTTCCTCTACCATAATGAGTAGAGAGTCTTGAAAATTGCCCGGATCCCAGCCTCTAATTGGTATGTTTTCTCAGGGAGTTATCTGAAGAATGAAGGTGTTTTGCTTTAAGGGATAGGCTGGGGATGGAGGAGCGGGTTGTGCATAGTCATTTTCAGGTGTGGAAGACAAGCCAGTGCTACGCGGTTGCCATAGTAACCTGACGTCATATTAGCGACGGTGACGACTTTTTATTGAGACCAATTTGGCCTGGGGAGAACCGCCTTCAGGCGTTTGGACTCAGTGGAGGTTGTGAGTGCCCAGCAGTGTGGCCTGAATCTCCGTGGGGTTTAGGGAGACGAAAGGACCCCAGATCGACGTCCCCTCGTTCCCACTTTGGGGATCGGCGCTCTGGCTGTTTCGTGAAGGAGAGAGAGGTGGGTCTCTTCTGGCCCCAGTGAGTGTGGTGTCCTGCTCCAGGGTGTCCCGGGGCTACTTTCCCTGTAAAGGCGGGACGCGGGAGGATGAGACAGGTAAAGACCCTCTCTGAGCCCAGTTTCCCACTCTGTAAAATGGAAATAAAAATGCTCACCCACAGGATTGCTGAAACCTTCAGTGATAACATAGGTGCAAGACGATAGCCCTGTGGTTATTGCAGGATCAGGAATGCCTGTATGAAGTCAGGCCTCTTCTTGTTCTGTTTCAAACTTTCTTACAGTATAGACAAGGGAGAAACTTTATGTTTAACATGCATTTATGATAAGTTTATATATATATTTCTGACTGCATAAATAATAACCAGTGATTCCCATCAACACTATCAAATGAATGTTGAAATATAAAGTTAGTTAGAAGGCCTTCCTACCAATTTGAGATTATAATATGCATTCTCCCATATCTGTTGTATAATAAATTTGTTTATGAACTATAACTTATAAAGTGTCAATTAAAAAGTCATATGATGTTTTGATATATTTTATACATTGTAGAATGGCTGAATCAAGCTAATAAACCTATGCATTACCTAATGTACTTTTTTTTGTGGTGAACACTTAAAATCTACCCTTTTAGCAGTTTTCAAGTGTACAATATATTTTTATTAACCATGGTCACTATGATGTACAATAGATCCCTTGAATTTATCCCTCCTCTCTAACTGAAATTTTGTATCCATTGACCAACATCTCCCCAAACCCCTCCCCAGCCTCTGTCTGGTAATTACTGTTCTACTCTCTGCTTCTATGAGTTCAACTTATTTAGATTCCATATACAAGTGAGATTACGTGGTATTTGTCTTGCTGTGCCTGGCTTATTTCACTTAATGTCCTCCAGGTTCATCCATGTTGTCACAAATGACAGGATTTCCTTCTTTTTTCAAAAAGCTGAATAGTACGCCATTGTGTGCATGTATGACATTTTCTTTATTCATCTGTTGGTGGATACTTAGGTTGATTCCATACCCTGGCTATTGTGAATAATGCTGCAGTGAACATGGGAGTACATACATCTGTTTGAGGTACTAATTTCATTTCCTTTGGATATATACTCAGAAGGGGGACTGCTGGATCATTTGGTAATTCTATTTTTAGTTTTTTTCAGGAATGACCATACTGTTTCTGTAATATCTGTATAAATTTACATTCCCAGTATTGTACAAGGGTTCCATTTTTTTCCACATCCTTGTGAACACTTACCATCTTCTGTTTTTTTAAATAATGGCCATCCTAACAAGTGTGAGGTGATATCTTGTTATGGTTTTAATGTGCATTTCCCTGACAATTAGTGATATTGAGAATTTTTTCACATATCTGTTGGCCACTTGTATGTCTTACTTTGAAAAATGTATATTTTATTATATATGGACACATGATTATTGTACATATTTATGGGGGTACACTGTGATATTTCAATATATGTATACAATGTGTAGTGATAAAATCAGGGTAGTTAGCATATCCATCATCTCAAATCTTTATCATTTATATGTGCTGGTAACATTCAACATTTTCTCTTCTAGCTATTTGAAAAAATACATTAAATTATTGTTTGATAATTTAGTATAATGCTATAGAACACTAGAGATTATTCTTCCTATCCAGGGTCTGGAGTATGGGCTAGCCTTCAATGGATGTTAATCTAGTGTCTGGAGTACAGACATGTGCAAAGTGACCTTGGCTTAGGGGCCCGGATCCCAGCCTAGTTCCTCTAATTGGTATGTTTTCTCAGGGAGTTATCTGAAGAGTGAAGGTGTTTTGCTAGGTCTCTATGGCAGTGGCTCTGGTGTCTGAGGCATGGGCAGGCACAGTCAGGCACAGAGCTGGGGTCTGGAGTATGGGTATTTACAGAGTAGTTGTAGCTTGGGGGGGTCAGTGACACATGCAGCATTGGGACAGGTGGCACCTCTGGTCCCAGAGTGGTATAATAGCTGCTGCTTCTTGAGATGAGAAGTGTGTAGCCACTTCTCCCTCTCTGGGGTTCCTTGGGCAGGAATGGCTGTTGGTTATCTCAGTGGCGAAAGATGCCAGTGTCCTCTCCAGAGCAGACTGCTGGGGACCATGGTGATTCCTGCCACATGGCTAATAGCAATAGCCTTTGCCTTTCTTCTTTGCTCCTAGACATCTCCTGGCACCTCAAGTATACTGATCTCACCAGCAATATTTTCTGTGTGGATATTCCCCATTTTTTTTTCTACTGTGTTGCTGCAGATTCTTAAATGGGCCCCTGAGCCCTCCCATGAATACTTTAGTTTGTGGATAGCTGTCTACACTTGTTTTTTTGTGGCAGGGGGTGATGAAGGCTGATATCTCCTACTCTGCCCTCTTGGTCCTTCAGTATCTAGTTTGCCCTATTCTAATGATACCCTGCCATGTCCCCTAAAGGAACCGTATAGGCTTATATATCATTGTTATTATTTTCAAGGACATAACATTTTCAGTTCTGTTGTACCCAGCCTACCCATTCCTCCCACTGTCCTGTCTCCAGACAAATACAGCACTTTTGTCATTATAGATTAGATTTCATTTATTTAAAAATAATCATAGAGGTTTTTTTTTTATTTTTTTTTTTTAGGGATCTGGCTTCTTTCATTCACTCTATGTATTTTTAGATTTGTCCATTTTATTGCCTATTTCAATAGTTTTTTTTTTTTTATTACAGAGTAGCATTACAGTATAGGATATACTACAATTCGTTTTGTCCATTCACTTGCTAATGGATATTTGGGTTGTATTCAATTTAGGGGATCTTGTGTATGAGTCTTTACAGAGAAATGTGCTTTCTTTCTCTAGGGTAAATACTTAGGATTGCAGTGGCTGGAACATGTTATAGATGTAAGACTAACATTGTAAGAAACTGCCAAACTGTTTTCAAAGTGGTTGTACCATTTTTCATTGTCTCAGCAGAGCTTCATCCTCCACAACCTCGTCAGTGCTTGGTATGGTCAGTCTCTAACTTTAGTGATTCTCATGCGGCGATAAAACAAGACGACCCAATGGAGCTTAATTAGGCCACACACAAAAAACATTAACTATTTAAAGGAATAATATTTAATCTACTGGGCTAAAAATTTCAGTTGGGGTAACTTCAGAGCACCGTACAACCTCTGAATGATTAAAACCCGGACTAGACTAGTTATTCATAAAAGTGTGTTATAATTTATTGACCCAAGCAATTTGATCAATAGAACAAGTTACCCTAGGGATAACAGCATGATCATATCTTAGAGTTCATATCAACCATAGGGATTTACAATCCTGATGTGGGATCAGAACATCTCAATAGTATAACAGCTATTTTTTTTTTTTTTTTTTTTGAGACGAAGTCTCGCCCCGTCGCCCAGGCTGGAGTGCAGTGGTGCAATCTCGGCTCACTGCAACCTCTGCCTCCCAGGTTCAAGCGATTCTCTTGCCTCGGCCTCCCGAGTAGCTGGGACTACAGGCGCCCGCCACCTCGCCTGGCTGATTTTTTGAATTTTTAGTAGAGACGGGGTTTCACCGTGTTAGTCAGGATGGTCTGGATCTCCTGACCTTGTGATCCGCCCGCCTCAGCCTCCCAAAGTGCTGGGATTACAGACGTGAGCCACCGCGCCTGGCCAGCAGCTATTAATTGTTTATGTTTTCAGTGACCAAAGTCCTACATGATTTAAGTTCAGGATCTGGGTTGGTTTCCACCTATTTAATATTTCTCCCAATACAAAAAGAGAAGAGAATTATGGCACACAAAAAGCACCCTCAATTCAAAAGATGATATAATCTAGATCTAATTTATTATTATACACTTTGCCCCAAAACAGGGCTTGTTAAGATGGTAGAGCCTGGTAATTGCATAAAACTTGAAATTTTATAATCAGAGGTTCAATTACTCTTCTTTTTAAAATAATTGTTTATTTTATTTTTATTTTTTGTGGGTATACAGTAGGTGTATGTATTTATGGGGTACATGGGACGTTTTGATACAGGCATGTAATGCATATCAATCACATCGTGGAAAATGGGTATCTCCTCAAGAATTTATCCTTTCTGTTACAAAAAAATCCAATTATACTCTTTTAGTTGTTTTAAAATATACAATTAAGTTATTATTGACTATAGTCACCCTGTTGTGCTATCAAATACTAGGTCCGTTTCATTCTATTTTTTGTACTGGTTAACCATCCCCCATCTCTCCCCAACCCTCCCCAATTCCTTTCCCAGCCTCTGGTAACCATCCTTCTACTCTCTATCTCCACAGGTTAAATTGTTTTGATTTTTAGACC
The DNA here is from genome assembly GCF_000001405.40 of Homo sapiens. Lineage (NCBI taxonomy): Eukaryota > Metazoa > Chordata > Mammalia > Primates > Hominidae > Homo > Homo sapiens. Next base: position 102,773,658 of record NC_000023.11, read on the forward strand.
CCACAAATAAATAAGAACATGCAAGGTTTCTCCTTCTATGTCTGGCTTACTTCACTTAACATAATGATCGCCAGTTCCATCCATGTTTTTGCAAATGACTGGATCTCATTATTTTTTATGGCTGAGTAGTACTCCATCGTGTATAAGTACCACATTTTCTTTATCCATTCATCTGTTGATGGACACAGGCTTCTTCCAACTCTTGTCTATTGTGAACAGAGTGGCAACAAACATGGGAGTGCAGATGTCTCTTCAATATACTGATTTCCTTTCTTTTGGGTATATATCCAGAGTAGGATTGCTGGATCACATGGGTAGCTCTATTTTCAGTTTTCTGAGGAACCTCCAAACTGTTCTCTACAATGGTTGTAGTAATTTACGTTCCCACCAACAGTGTACGAGGGTTCTTTTTTCTCCACATCTTCACCTGCAATTGTTATTGCCCGTCTTTTGGACATAAGCCATTTTAACTGAGAAGGGATGATATCTCATTGTAGTTTTGATTTGCATTTCTCTGATGATTCATTACGTTGAGCACCTATATATGCCTGTTTGTCATTTGTATGTCTTCCTTTGAGAAATGTCTATTCAGATATATATATATATTTTTTTTTTTTTTTTTTTTTTTAGACGGAGTCTTGCTCTGTCAGCAGGCTGGAGTGCAGTGGCGCAATCTCGGCTCACTGCAACCTCCACCTCCTGGGTTCAAGCGATTCTCCTGCCTCAGCCTCCCGAGTAGCTGGGACTACAGGCGCATGCCACCATGCCCAGCTAATTTTTGTATTTTTAGTAGAGATGGGGTTTCACCATTTTGGCCAGGATGGTCTCGATCTCTTGACCTCGTGATCCACCCACCTTGGCCTCCCAAGGTACTGGGATTACAGGCATGAGCCACCGTGCCCGGCCTGCCCATTTTAAATTCAGATTATTATATTTTTTCCTATAGAACTATTTGAGATACTTATACATCTGGTTATTAATTCCTTGTCAGATGGGTAGTTTGCAAACATTTTTACCCATTCTGTGGTTGTTTCTTAACTTTGTTGATTGTTTCCTCTGCTGTGCAGAAGCCTTTTAACTTGATGTGATGCTATTTGTCCATTTTTGCTCTGGTTGCCTGTGCTTGTGGGGTATTACTCAAGAAATTTTTGCCCAGACTGATGTTCTGGAGAGTTTTCCCAAAGTTTTCTTGTAGTAGTTTTATAGTTTGAGGTCTTAGATTTAATTCTTTAATCCATTTTGATTTGATTTTTGTACATGATGAGAGATAGGGGTCTAGTTTCATTCTTCTGCATATAGGTATCCAGTTTTCCCAGGACCATTTATTGAAGGTACTGTCTTTACAGTATATGTTCTTGGCACCTTTATCAAAAATGATTTCACTGTAGGCGTATGCATTTCTTTCCGGGATCTCTATTCTGTTCCATTCATCTATGTGTCTGTTTTTATGACAGTAGTATGCTGTTTTGGTTACTATAGCTCTGCAGTATAATTTGAAGTCAGGTAATGTGATTCCTCCACTTTTATTCTTATTGCTCAGGATCGCTTTAGCTATTCTGGGTCTTTTGTGGTTCTATATCCCTTTTAGGGTACTTTTTTTCTATTTCTATGAAGATTGTCATTGGTATTTTGATAGGAATTGCATTGAATCTGTAGATTGCTTTGGGTAGTATGGGCATTTTAACAATATTGATTTTTCCAGTGCCTGAACGAGGGATATTTTTCCATCTTCTGGTGTCCCCTTCAATTTATTTCATCAGTCCTTTGTGGTTTTCATTATAGAGGTCTTTCACTTCTTTGGTTAATTCCTAGGTATTTTATTTCGTTTGTGGCTATTGTAAATGGGATTACATTTTTATTTTTTTTTTCAGATTGCTCACTGTTGGCATATAGAAATGCTACTGATTTTTCCATGTTGATTTTGTATCCTGCAACTTTACTGAATTTATTTATTAGTATGAATAGTTTTTTGGTGGAGTCTAGGTTTTTCCAAATATAAGATAATGTCATCTGCAAACAAGGATGATTTTAATTCTTCCTTTCCAACTTGGAGGCACTTTATAGCTTTCTCTTCTTTGGATGCTCTAGCTAAGAGCTCCAGTACTGTATTAAATAACAGTGGTGAAAGTGGCCGGCCATATTATGTTCCAGATCTTAGAGAAAAGGCTTTCAATTTTTTTTCCCATTCAGTATGATACTAGCTGTGGGTCTGTCAATATGGGTTTTATTATGTTGAGGTATGTTCCTTCTACCCCAGTTTTTTAGGGTTTTTATCAAGAAAGAGATGTTGAATTTTATCAAATGCTTTTCCAGCATCAATTGAAATGATCATATGGTTTTTGTCTTTCTGTTGACATGATATATCACATTGATTGATTTGCATATGTTAAACTGTCCTTGCATCCCAAAGATAAATCCCACTTGGTCATGATGAATGATCTTTTTGATGTATCATTGAATTGGGTTTTGCTGGTATTTTGCTGAAGATTTTTGCATCAATATTCATCATAGAAATTGGCCTATAGTTTTTTTTTAGTGTGTTTTTGTCTGGTTTTGGTATCAAAATAATACTGTCCTCATAGAATGAGTTTGGCAGTATTCCTTCCTTCTGTTTTTTGGAATAGTTTGAGTAGGATTTGGGTATTAGTTCTCTTTAAATGTTTGGTAGAATTTAGCAGTAAAGCCATGGGGTCCTGGACTTTTTCGTTACTGGGTGTATTAGTCTGTTTTCACACTGCTGATAAAGACATACCCCAGACTGAGACTGGGCAATTTACAAAAGAAAGAGGTTTAATTGGACTTAACAGTTCCACATGGCTGGGGAAACCTCACAATAATGGTGGAAGGCAAGGAGATACAAGTCACACCTTATATGAATGGCAGCAGGCAAACAGAGAGAGAGAGCTTGTGCAGAGAAACTCCCATCTTTAAAACCATCAGATCTCATGAGACCGGTTCACTATGACAAGAACAGCATGAGAAAGACCTATCCCCATAATTCAAACATCTTCCCCCAGGTCCCTCGCACAACATGTGGGAATTATGGGAGCTACAAGATGAGATTTGCGTGGGGACAAAGAGCCAAACCGTTATCACTGGGGAGACTTTTTACTATGGCTTTAATCTCATTACTTGTTTTTTTCTTTTTTTTTTTTTACTTTAAGTTTTAGGGTACATGTGCACAACGTGCAGATTAGTTACATATGTATACATGTGCCATGTTGGTGTGCTGCACCCATTAATTCGTCATTTAACATTAGGTATATCTCATAATGCTATCCCTCCCCCCTCCCCCCAGCCCACAACAGGCCCCGGTGTGTGATGTTCCCCTTCCTGTGTCCATGTGTTCTCATTGTTCAATTCCCACCTATGAGTGAGAACATGCGGTGTTTGGTTTTTTGTCCTTGTGATAGTTTGCTGAGAATGATGGTTTCCAGCTTCACCCATGTCCCTGCAAAGGACATGAACTCATCATTTTTTGTGGCTGCATAGTAATCCATGGTGTATATGTGCCACATTTTCTTTTTTTTTTTTTTTTTTTTGAGACGGAGTCTCGCTCTGTCGCCCAGGCCAGACTGCGGACTGCAGTGGCGCAATCTCGGCTCACTGCAAGCTCCGCTTCTCGGGTTCACGCCATTCTCCTGCCTCAGCCTCCCGAGTAGCTGGGACTACAGGCACCCGCCACCGCGCCCGGCTAATTTTTTGTATTTTTAGTAGAGACAGGGTTTCACCTTGTTAGCCAGGATGGTCTCGATCTCCTGACCTCATGATCCACCCGCCTCGGCCTCCCAAAGTGCTGGGATTACAGGCGTGAGACACCGCGCCCGGCCGCCACATTTTCTTAATCCAGTCTATCATTGTTGGACATTTGGGTTGGCTCCAAGTCTTCGCTATTGTGAATAGTGCCGCAATAAACATACGTGTGCATGTGTCTTTATAGCAGCATGATTTATAATCCTTTGGGTATATACCCAGTAATGGGATGGCTGGGTCAAATGGTATTTCTAGTTCTAGATCCCTGAGGAATCGCCACACTGACTTCCACAATGGTTGAACTAGTTTACAGTCCCACCAACAGTGTAAAAGTGTTCCTATTTCTCCACATCCTCTCCAGCACCTGTTGTTTCCTGACTTTTTAATGATTGCCATTCTAACTGGTGTGAGATGGTATCTCATTGTGGTTTTGATTTGCATTTCTCTGATGGCCAGTGATGATGAGCATTTTTTCATGTGTCTTTTGGCTGCATAAATGTCTTCTTCTGAGAAGTGTCTATTCATATCCTTTGCCCACTTTTTGATGGGGTTGTTTGTTTTTTTCTTGTAAATTTATTTGAATTCATTGTAGGTTCTGGATATTAGCCCTTTGTCAGATGAGTAGATTGCAAAAATTTTCTCCCATTCTGTAGGTTGCCTTTTCACTCTGATGGTAGTTTCTTTTGCTGTGCAGAAGCTCTTTAGTTTAATTAGATCCCATTTGTCAATTTTGGCTTTTGTTGCCACTGCTTTTGGTGTTTTAGACATGAAGTCCTTGCCCATGCCTGTGTCCTGAATGGTATTGCCTAGGTTTTCTTCTAGGGTTTTTATGGTTTTAGGTCTAACATTTAAGTCTTTAATCCATCTTGAATTAATTTTTGTATAAGGTGTAAGGAAGGGATCCAGTTTCAGCTTTTTACATGTGGCTAGCCAGTTTTCCCAATGCCATTTATTAAATAGGGAATCATTTCCCCATTTCTTGTTTTTGTCAGGTTTGTCAAAGATCAGATGGTTATAGATATGTGGCATTATTTCTGAGGGCTCTGTTGTGTTCCATTGGTCTATATCTCTGTTTTGGTACCAGTACCATGCTGTTTTGGTTACTGTAGCCTTGTAGTATAGTTTGAAGTCAGGTAGCGTGATGCCTCCAGCTTTGTTCTTTTGGCTTAGGATTGACTTGGCAATGCAGGCTCTTTTTTGGTTCCATATGAACTTTAAAGTAGTTTTTTCCAATTCTGTGAAGAAAGTCATTGGTAGCTTGATGGGGATGGCATTGAATCTATAAATTACCTTGGGCAGTATGGTCATTCTCATGATATTGATTCTTCCTACCCATGAGCATGGAATGTTCTTCCATTTGTTTGTATCCTCTTATTTCATTGAGCAGTGATTTGTAGTTCTCCTTGAAGAGGTCCTTCACGTTCCTTGTAAGTTGGATTCCTAGGTATTTTATTCTCTTTGAAGCAATTGTGAATGGGAGTTCACTCATGATTTGGCTCTCTGTTTGTCTGTTATTGGTGTATAAGAATGCTTGTGATTTTTGCACATTGATTTTGTATACTGAGACTTTGCTGAAGTTGCCTATCAGCTTATGGAGATTTTTGGGCTGAGATGATGGGGTTTTCTAGATATACAATCATGTCATCTGCAAACAGGGACAATTTGACTTCCTCTTTTCCTAATTGAATACCCTTTATTTCCTTCTCCTGCCTGATTGCCCTGGTCAGAACTTCCAACACTATGTTGAATAGGAGTGGTGAGAGAGGGCATCCCTGTCTTGTGCCAGTTTTCAAAGGGAATGCTTCCAGTTTTTGCCCATTCAGTATGATATTGGCTGTGGGTTTGTCATAGATAGCTCTTATTATTTTGAGATACGTCCCATCAATACCTAGTTTATTGAGAGTTTTTAGTATGAAGGTTGTTGAATTTAGTCAAAGGCCTTTTCTGCATCTATTGAGATAATCATGTGGTTTTTGTCATTGGTTCTGTTTATATGCTGGATTACGTTTATTGATTTGTGTATGTTGAACCAGGCTTGCATCCCAGGGATGAAGCCCACTTGATCATGGTGGATAAGCTTTTTGATGAGCTGCTGGATTTGGTTTGCCAGTATTTTATTGAGGATTTTTGCATCGATGTTCATCAGGGATATTGGTCTAGAATTCTCTTTTTTTGTTGTGTCTCTGCCAGGCTTTGGTATCAGGATGATGCTGTCCTCATAAAATGAGTTAGGGAGGATTCCCTCTTTTTCTATTGATTGGAATAGTTTCAGAAGGAATGGTACCAGCTCCTCCTTGTACCTCTGGTAGAATTCGGCTGTGAATCCTTCTGGTCCTGGACTTTTTTGGTTGGTAAGCTATCAATTATTGCCTCAATTTCAGAGCCTGTTATTGGTCTATTCAGAGATTCAACTTCTTCCTGGTTTAGTCTTGGGAGGGTGTATGTGTCAAGGAATTCATCCATTTCTTCTAGATTTTCTAGTTTATTTCATAGAGTTGTTTATAGTATTCTCTGGTGATAGTTTGTATTTCTGTGGGATCGGTGGTGATATCCCCTTTATCATTTTTTATTGTGTCCATTTGATTCTTCTCTCTTTTCTTCTTTATTAGTCTTGCTAGCGGTCTATCAATTTTGTTGATCTTTTCAAAAAACCAGCGACTGGATTCATTAATTTTTTGAAGGGTTTTTTGTGTCTCTATTTCCTTCAGTTCTGCTCTGATCTTAGTTATTTCTTGCCTTCTGCTAGCTTTTGAATGTGTTTGCTCTTGCTTCTCTAGTTCTTTTAATTATGATGTTAGGGTGTCAATTTTAGATCTTTCCTGCTTTCTCTTGTGGGCATGTAGTGCTATAAATTTCCCTCTACACACTGCTTTGAATGTGTCCCAGAGATTCTGGTATGTTGTGTCTTTGTTCTTGTTGGTTTCAAAGAACATCTTTATTTCTGCCTTCATTTCGTTATGTACCTAGTAGTCATTCAGGAGTAGGTTGTTCAGTTTCCATGTAGTTGAGTGGTTTCGAGTGAATTTCTTAATCCTGAGTTCTAGTTTGATTGCACTGTGGTCTGAGAGACAGTTTGTTATAATTTCTATTCTTTTACATTTGCTGAGGAGTGCTTTACTTCCAACTATGTGGTCAGTTTTGGAATGAGTGTGGTGTGGTGCTGAAAAGAATGTATATTCTGTTGATTTGGGGTAGAGAGTTCTGTAGATGTCTATTAGGTCCACTTGGTGCAGAGCTGAGTTCAATTCCTGGATATCCTTGTGAACTGTCTGTCTCGTTGATCTGCCTAATGTTGACAGTGGGGTGTTAAAGTCTCCCATTATTATTGTGTGGGAGTCTAAGTCTCTTTGTAGGTCACTAAGGACTTGCTTTATGAATCTGGCTGCTCCTGTATTGGGTGCATATATATTTAGGATAGTTAGCTCTTCTTGTTGAATTGATCCCTTTACCGTTATGTAATGGCCTTCATTGTCTCTTTTGATCTTTGTTGGTTTAAAGTCTGTTTTATCAGAGACTAGGATTGCAACCCCTGCCTTTTTTTGTTTTCCATTTGCTTGGTAGATCTTCCTCCATCCCTTTATTTTGAGCCTATGTGTGTCTCTGCACGTGAGATGGGTTTCCTGAATACAGCACACTGATGGGTCTTGACTCTTTATCCAATTTGCCAGTCTGTGTCTTTTAATTGGAGCATTTAGCCCATTTACATTTAAGGTTAATATTGTTTTGTGTGAATTTGATCCTGTCATTATGACGTTAGCTGGTTATTTTGCTTGTTAGTTGATGCAGTTTCTTCCTAGCCTCGATGGTCTTTACAATTTGGCATGTTTTTGCAGTGGCTGGTACCGGTTGTTCCTTTCCATGTTTAGTGCTTCCTTCAGGAGCTCTTTTAGGGCAGGCCTGGTGGTGACAAAATCTCCCAGCATTTGCTCGTCTGTAAAGTATTTTATTTTTCCTTTACTTATGAAGCTTAGTTTGGCTGGATATGACATTCTGGGTTGAAAATTCTTTTCTTTAAGAATGTTGAATATTGGCTCCCACTCTCTTCTGGCTTGTAGAGTTTCTGCAGAGAAATCAGCTGTTAGTCTGATGGGCTTCCCTTTGTGGGCAACCCACCGTTTCTCTCTCTCTGCCCTTAACATTTTTTCCTTCATTTCAACTTTGGTGTATCTGACAATTATGTGTCTTGGAGTTGCTCTTCTCAAGGAGTATCTTTGTGGCATTCTCTGTATTTCCTGAATTTGAATGTTGGCCTGCCTTGCTAGATTGGGGAAGTTCTCCTGGATAATATCCTGCAGAGTGTTTTCCAACTTGGTTCCATCCTCCCCGTCACTTTCAGGCACACCAATCAGACGTAGATTTGGTCTTTTCACATAGTCCCACGTTTCTTGGAGGCTTTGTTCGTTTTTTTTTATTCTTTTTTCTGTAAACTTCTCTTCTCGCTTCATTTCATTCATTTAGTCTTCCATCACTGATACCCTTTCTTCCAGTTGATCGAATTGGCTACTGAGACTTGTGCATTCATCACGTAGTTCTTGTGCCTTGGTTTTCAGCTCCATCAGGTCCTTTAAGGACTTCTCTGCATTGGTTATTGTAGTTAGCCATTCATCTAATTTTTTTTCAAGGTTTTTAACTTCTTTGCCATGGGTTCGAACTTGCTCCTTTAGCTCGGAGTAGTTCGATCATCTGAAGCCTTCTCTCAACTCGTCAGAGTCATTTGCTGTCCATCTTTGTTCCATTGCTGGTGAGGAGCTGCGTTAATCTCATTACTTGTTATGTGTCGGTTCAGGTTTTGGATTTCTTCCTGGTTCAATCTTGGTAGGTTGTATGTGTCTAAAATCCGTTCATTTCTTTTAGATTTTCAAATTTATTGGCATATTGTTACTCATATTAGCCACTAATGATCATTTGCTTTTCTGTGCTATCAGCTGTAATGTCTCCTTTTTCATCTCTTATTTTATTTATTTGTGTCTTCTTTTATTTTCTTAGTCTGGATACAGGTTTGTCAATTTCATTTAACTTTGCAAAAACCCAAGTTTTTGTTTCGGTGATCTTTTGTGTTGTTTTCTTCATTTTTATTTCATTTATATCTGCTCTGATCTTCATTTATTTTCTTCTAATTTGGGGTTTGAGATTTATTCTTGCTTTTGTAGTTCTTTAAGATGCATCATTAAGTTGTTTATTTGAAGGTTTTTACATTTGATGTAGACATTTATACCTATAAACTTCCCTCTGAGTACTGCTTTTGCTGTATCCCATAGGTTTTAGTGTTTCCATTATTATTTGTTTCAATAACTTTTTCAACTTCCTTCTTAATTTCTTTCTTTTCATACAGGTCATTCAGGAACATAATGTTTAATTTCCACATTTTTGCATAGTTTCCAAAATTCCTCTTGTTATTGATTTTTAATTTCATTCCATTGTGGTCAGAGAAGATGCTTGATATTATTTTAGTTTTTTGAATGTTTTCAGACTTGTTTTGTGACCTGCCATATGGTCTATCCTTGAGAATGAGCCCTGTGCTGAGGAAAAGAATGTGTGTTCTACAGCCATTGAATAAAATATTCTGTAAATTTCTATTTGGTCCATTTGATCCATAGTTTTGATTAAGTCCAAAATTTCTTTGTTAATTTTCTGTCTGGGAGATCTTTCCAATGCTGACAGTGAGGTGTTGACGTCTCCAGCTATTATTACATTGGAATCTATATATCTCTTTAGCTCTAGTAATATTTGCTTTATATACCTGGGTGCTCCAGTGTTGGGTATATATATATTCTTAAAATTGTTATTTCCTCTTGCTGAATTGATCCTTTCATCATTATATAGTGACCTTCTTTGTCTCTTCTTATAGTTTTTGTCTTGAAATCTATTTTGTCTCATATGAGTATAGATATTCATGCTCTTTTTTGGTTGCTGTTGACATGGAATATCTTTTTTCATTGCTTTATTTTCAGCTTATATGTGCCTTTATAGGTGAAGTGTGTTTCCAGGGACCAATCCTGGAGAAATAGAGATATGTGACCTTATTTAGTTCATTTGGTGAGGTCATGTTTTCCTGGCTGGTCTTGATACTTGTAGATGTTTGTCTGTGTCTGGGCATAATGGAGTTAGGTATTTATTGTACTCTTCAGTCTGGGCTTGTTTTTACCCATCCTTTTTGGGAAGGCTTTCCAAAAGGACTTGAATGTTGTGATCTAAACTGTATCTGCTTTAGGTGGGACCGCAAGCCTAGGATTGTGCTGGGCCTGACCTGAAGCCAGCACATCACTGGGTCTCACCCAAGGCCTGCTGTAACCACTTCCTGGCTACCACCTATGTTTGCTTAAAGCCCTGGGGCTCTACAATCTTCAGGTGGCAAAGCTAGCTAGGCCCATGTCCTTCCCTTCAGGGAAGCAAGTTCCCTCAGGGCCTTGGTGGATCCAGAGGTGTCATCCAGAATCTAGGGACTAGAGTCAAAAACCTTAGAAGTCTGCCTGGCGTTCTAGTGCACTGTGGATGAGCTGGCACTCAAACCACAAGATGCAGTCTTTCCCACTCTTTTCTCCCCTTTCCAAAGGCAGAGGAGCCTCACCTCATGGCCAATGCCACCTCAGGCCCACAGGAATATTGCCAGATTACTTCTGATCCTCCCTTAAGGCCCAAAGTCTCTTCAGTCAGCTTGTGGTGAATAGTGACTCACCTGGGGTTCACCATTCAGGGAAGTGGACTCCCCTCTGGCCCAGGGCAGGTTAAGAAATACTATCGAAGAATGAAGTCCTGGAATTAGTCCCACCAAGTGGGATCCCAGGAGCCCACTTGGTGCTCTACCCCCCTGTGGCTGAGCTGGTACCTAAAGTGTAAGACAAAGTTCCTTTTACTTTTCCCTCTATTTTTCTCAAGCAGAAGGAGTCTCATTCCATAGCCAACACAGTTGGGAATGTGCTGAGTGTCACCTGAAGCCAGTAAGTCTCAGAGTCTCACCCAAGGCCCTCAACATATTACCTGGGTATCACCACTGGTTATTCTGGGCTCAAGGGCTCTTCAGTTAGCAGGTGATAAATTCTGCCAGGAGCAGGACTAGGTCCTTCCCTTCAAGCAGTGGGTTCCCTTCTGGCCCAGGGTTTGTGTAGAAATGTCATCTGGGAGCTAGGGCCTGGAAAGGGGACCTCATGACTCTAATTGGTCCTCTATCCTGCTGTGGCTGAGCTGATATCCAAGATGCAAGACAAAGTCCTCCCACTGTTCTTTGTCCTCAAGTGGAAGCAAGAGATCTCTTTTGGAGCCGAGAGCTTTGCAACCTGGGTTTAGGGGATGTGTGATACCAGCACTCCCTTAGTTGTGCAGGCTGATGTCTTAGTAGGTCAAGTGCCCCTCTAGTCCACTGGCAGTGGGCCCAGTTTAGCACTAGGACTCGTCAGGTGTTGCAATCCTTGTGGCCTAGACTGCCTTTCAGATTTATTCGGAGACCCCAAGCACTTTAGGTCACAGTGGTGAGGCCTGTGGAAACTCAAGTTCGGACCACTGGGATCAGCAATTCTGCTTTGGCTAGGTCTGGTTTAAATTCTCCCTCCATGGGTAGGCATTAGGTGGGTTTGGTCCGGTTTTGCTTTCTGCTGTAACAAGGGCAGTGCTGAGTTCAATGCCTCACAATTGCTGGCCCTCCCTCTCTCCAGCACACAGAAACTCTCAGCACCAGGTTGCTGCTGCTGGGCAATGGGGGCGACAGGGAAGGGGTGGTGTTCAGTATTCAAGACTGTTTTTCCTGCCTCTTCAGTGCCTCCTTCAGTGATATGAAATTCAAACCTGGTACTGTGAGTGGTTAACGGGCGTTTGGCTTTTATGAAGGTGCTTTTTTGTGTGTAGATAGTTGTTAAGTTGGCACCCTTGTCAGGGGGTGTTGGGACAATCGGTGGGGCCTTCTATTCCATTATCTCATTATCTTACTCTGCCCCTCTCCTCAACTTTTTTTTTTTTTTTTTTTTGAGGCAGAATCTCATTCTCCCACCCAGGCTGGAGTGCAGTGGCATGATCTCGGCTCACTGCAACCTCCACCTCCCGGATTCAAGTGATTCTCCTGCCTCAGCCTCCTGAGTAGCCGGGACTACAGGTGCGTGCCACCACGCCTGGCTAATTTTTTGTATTTTTAGTAGAGATGGGGTTTTACCGTGTTAGCCAGGATGGTCTCGATCTCCTGACCTCATGATCCGCCCACCTCAGCCTCCCAAAGTACTGGGATTACGGGCATAAGCCACCACACCCAGCCAACTATTCTTCTTAACAGTGTGTTTATAATTGATCTTAACCTACTCATTACCCCTGCCATTCTCTCTATAGCATTCTTAACATTAGTTGAACAAAATGTATTAGCCTATATGCAGCTTCTCAAAGGGCCTAACAGTATAGGCCCCTGTGGCCTACTTCAACCCTTTGTAGGCACAATAAAACTGTTAAAGAGCCACTGTGACCACTGACATCTTCTATACTCTTATACAGTATTGCACCTACCCTAGCCCTACCCCTTGTACTTACTATATGAATCCCATTACCTATACCACATCCATTAATTAGCCTAAACATAGGAATGCTATTCATCTTAGGTACATCAAGCCTAGCCATATCTTCTATCCTATGATCAGGATGAGCATCAAATTCAAATTATGCATTAATTGGTACACTATGAGCAGCAGCACAAACAATTTCATATGAAGTCACCCTAGCCATTATCCTATTACCAGTTCTCCTAATAAACAGATCATTTACACTGTCAATATTCTAATTATTACCATAGAATATATATGACTAGTTCTTCCATCATGACCCTTGTTCATAATAAAATTTATTTCAACACTAACAGAAACTACTTGAGCTCTATTCATTCTGACAGAGGATGAGTCAGAACTGGTAACAGGCTTTAAAGTTGACTATGCTGCAGGCCTATTTGCCCAAATGTTTTAAATAGCAGAATACACCAACATCAATATAATAAGCACTAAACACTATCATTTTTCTAGGGGCACTCCATGACATTCACATACAGGAAATTTATGTAATCAATTCTATCATTAAAACACTCCTCTTATGAGTTCATGCATCATATCCACAATTCCAATATGATCAACTCACGCACCTGTTTGAAAATTTTTTTTTAGCATTTGCACTAGCATTATGCATGACACATCTATATGCCCATTTTACTATCTAGTATTCTACCAAAAACATTTTAAAAAGTCTAATAAAAATTATTTTCATAGAGTAAATAAAAGAGGTTTAAATCCTCTATTTACAGGATTATAGGAATTGAACCTACTCTCTTAAGAATTCAAAAATCTTTGTGCTACCTGATACACTATATTCTATAGTAAGGGCAGCTTAATAAGCTGTTCTGTCCATACCCTGAAAATTTTGGTTTATATCCTTTTTGTACTAATTAATCCCTTAATCTTTTCTACCATCCCATCTACTCTGTTCATAGGAACCATAATCACTTATTCAGCTCACAGTGATTAATAATCTGAATAGGACTAGAAATAAATATATATCATTACCCCCATTTTAATCAAATAAGCAAACCCATGATCCACAGAAGTAGCTACATATTAACACAAGCACCTCTATCTATACTCCTAACAATGCTCATTATCATTATATATTGTACTCTGGACAATGAAGAGTTGTAAAAATTTCCAGCCAAACAGCATCCCTAATAATTATTATAGCACTAGTTATGAGATTTGGATTATCACCCTTCCATTTTGAAGTGCCAGTAGTTACACAAGAAATCTCAGTAACATCAGTTGTAATTCTACTAACATGATGACAATGTGAAAGGAAAATAAATCTTGGGACCCCAAGCTCATTAAGCCAAAGGGAAAAGTTAAGCCGGGAACTGGGTCACTCAAAACTGTCTCCCCCTTTTGATTCCTAAATAAGATGACTACAAGATGAAAAGCTACATGCTTCCCCCATATTTTGCCCACAAGGAAATTCCTAGTGAGCTCCAAGATCTTTACCCTAAGGTGTTTCTGTTAAAATTTCACCATGACAATGTAACTCCATAGCTCATTGACAGGTGCAATCACTCCCCTGCCCACGTGACACAAATGCATATCTGATTGTTCCCCTGCCCCATTTTGCCTATGTTATCTTATGTAAAAATACAGATTCCCTGCATTTTTCCTCTGCCCCATTTGTCTGTGTCATCCTAAGTAAAAATGCAGATTCACTGAGCCAGACAAAGACATGAATCACTATTTTTCCTTATCCCCCTCTTACATGAAAATTGTGTACTTCTCAATACCCTGCCCTTTTCCCTTTAAATTTGGAGCCCTCAAAATCATCTTAGGAGAAAGGCATAGACCTGTTTCCTGGGTGCACATCCTTAACTTTGGCAAATAAACCTCCTAAAATAATTGAGACTTGTCTCCTCATTTTTCTTGATTGACAACAACTAGCACCAATTTCAATTATGTTTCAGGTATCATCATCAGTTGATCTAAATATAATGCTAAAAATTGCTATGTTGTCTGTTCTAGTAAGAGGGTGAGGAGGACTTAATCAGACAAAACTTTGAAAAATCTTAGCCTACACATCAATTGCACACATAGGCTGAAAAACAACTACCTTCTTTTATAGCCCTTCCACAATAATTCTAAATTTACTAATTTATGTAATCCTAATACTCACCATATTCATAATATTTAGCTTAAATACAAACACCACAACCCTATCACTATCACACATATGGAATAAGTTACCATTAATAATTTCCATAATCCTTATTACCCTTTTATCCTTAGGTCTACCCCCACTTACAGGATTTCTTCTCAAATGAATTATTATTCAAGAACTAACAAAAACCACACCATCATCATGGCAACATTTAAAGCTATTATAGTGTTACTCAACCCATACTTTTATATACGATTAATCTATCCTACATCATTAACCGTGTTTCCAACAAACATTAACATAAAAACAAAATGACAGCTCACAAATTTAAAACATTCTTTCTACTGTGAATCCCCAAAATTTGAGACAAATCTCAGCTAATTTAGAAAGTTTATTTTGCCAAGGTTGAGGATATGTGCTCATGACACAGCCTCAGGAGGTCCTGATGACATGTGCCCAGGGTGGTCAGAGCACAGCTTGGTTTTATACAATTTAGGGAGACATGAACCATCGATCAACATATGTAAAATGAACATTAGTTTGGTCTGGAAAGATGGGACAACTCTAAACAAAAGCAGGACAATTTGAAGCAGGGAAGGGGCTTCCAGGTCACAGGTAGGTGAGAGAAACTTGGTTGCATTTTTTTTGAGTTTCTGATTTGCCTTTCCAAAGGGAGCAATCAGGTATGCATTTATCTCAGTGAGCAGAGGGATGACTTTGAATAGAATGGGAGGCAGGTTTACCCCAGGCAGTTCCCAGATTGAATTTTCCCTTTAGCTTAGTGATTTTGGGGGCCCAAGATATTTTCCTTTCACATTCCCCCCCACATCCCCAACCTTTTATTTTTAAAAATCTTTTGGAGAAAGCATTTTAGAAGAAAATGAGTCTCTGGTCCCAGGTTTTATCTGATCTCTCATGGCTAGGATGGTTTTTTCCTAGACAGGTAGGTCCTGATTTATTAGGAAAAGCTCATTTTTAGCAGGTTGTTAAGTCTCATGTCCTATGAAGAAAAAATAGGGGAAGGAAGGGAGAAAAACAACAACAAACAAAAGAACGAACCTGGAAAATCAATATAGGCAACGTTACTCTGAAGTCCATACATCAGTAGGCAGGTATGAAGGTGGCTTATGTATGTAAATAGGTTGCTCTTATTTTTGCTGTAGTTTAAATTGTCTAGCTTCAGTTCACAGGGCTATATGAAAACACAGCTTAGTTTCAGTGACTTAAAATTAGGAAAAATGGGGAAAAAAGGAAAAGAAAGTTGAAAACATTATTTTGCAGGCTTGTAGCCAAGAAAAATTAGAATTCTATCCAAACAGTAGAAAATAATAAAATGGAAAAATGTTAGGCAAGATTAGAATCTAACAACAGGTGTACTATAGTTTTGAAACCATTTTTCTCTCTCCAGTTTCCCATTTTTACTAAAGACAAATTATGGTAGGACTGGTTTGCTTTATTCTACTTGGCCTAATTATTTGTATACAATGCAGCAAGAATAATTATTTTTTACATAGGCTTTTAAATTGGCTTCAATGGTACTTTGTTCCATAGAAGGAATCTCAGATAAGACTTTTTTAAAGCCGAGCCCAGCCATGGATTTGTGCCATCAAATTCCTGTGAGTTGGGTGAATTTCCTCTTCTCTTGAGGTTCCAAGATAAACTTGGGGCTCCTGGGCCTGTCAGAAAGTGACATTCTTTACTTGCCACCGGTTAGGAACCCTGTACAGAGCTGTGCAGACAAAGGTAAGAGGCTACTTTTTCCAAGGGGCTGTTATTGGCTCCGTAAATTAGGTTTGATACCTTAAAGGATAGCACACCATTCCAGTCAAAGCCTTGGTAAAATAACCAGTTTCTTCAATTGTGTCCTGTTACACATGAAAACAGATTCTTATTGCACTTACGCAAATAACTATATTGTCATAAGTTAAGAATACTCACAAATAGTTTCCAAATTCTGGAGAAATTAGGTAGAGAGAAATATGCTTCAAATTTTGTTCACAGGAGTATAGTTTACTCAATTGTTACAAGCTGTAACTAGCTTGAAAGTTTTCCTGACTCTGAAAAACAAAACAAAGGATTAGCAAGGTTTTAACCAAAAAGTTAAAAAGATTACTTTAGTCTTCTATTAGTTCAGTTCACACAGTTAACTCCTGTTCTGCTTGATATTCATGAACATTTCAGCTCTTCATGAGAGTCCTGAAAGTTTTTTCCTCTATTCTAATGTCACAAACTCCAAAGTTATCAGAAACCTGCGTTTAACAACGCCTGTTACACAGTTCTATGGCTGATTATAAAACCACCTTCTAAGGAGGATCAAACAAGACAATTGTCTGTGAATGACAAAAGCTTTTAGGGCAACCATAGTCAAAGACACAATTGACAAGGAAATTTGTTACCTCTGTGGCATACAATAATTTAACATAACAATTATAATTATTACTAATAATGTACACTAAGTCATATCAGAATTATAGGAGTTTCCCGTGATTTTGGAACACATACCAATAACATTTATACAAATACATCCTAAAGAAAACCAAATACCTTTTCATATTTGACACTGTTTCCTGTATAATTTTTATACCAAATAAGCCAAATTATTTCATTTTTGGACTTTAGGGAAACTAATATCTCAAAGGATTAATTAGATCAGAAAAAGATATAATTTGTAATTTGATTTTGGAAAGTTTGTCAAATATCAAAGGGTTAAAACACTTGATATCACAGGTCATTGTAAAATAAGTCATTCATTTGATCAAAATGATAACTCAAGGATTTCAAAAAAAAGGTGAAAACCTTCATTCTTTGATAGAAGAGACTTGATTTTCCAAACAGTCAGCCCTAATAAAAAGAGCATGAAGCCAATTAAGTGTTTTTCAAAATTTTGTAGTCTATAAAATTTTAATTTTGACCATAAGATAATAGCTTCCATAAGCCTTTCATAACCTTTATAACCTCTATTTAGGAGTCAGTTAATGCTTCAAGAAAACCTTGTTAATCTGACATGGGCGCATATGCTGGTCTTGCATCAGTGTGCCTTTGACATTAATGATTAATTTATAGGGAAACTGAATTTATTTTATGTCTCAAAATTGGCCCTTATAATCTCATATGCCCACCTCTTCTGCGATAGTCCCTGGGCCTTGAGGAGTTGAATAGCTCTAATTTCTGGCCCTGTGTTTCAGGAATGCAGTTTATTTTGATTGGCATCTTCTACCAGGCCTGAAGATGGGGCTTTAACTGCTGTCAGTGTTTAAAATTTAGCAGGACTTGGTGTCCTTTTTAGACCCAGGAGTCAAACCCCTGTAACTCAATGTCACAAGTACTTTAAAAGTGCATACAGAGAGAAACACAGATGTTAATAATGTTAATTTTTTTATTTATTTCTTCTAACAAAAAATGGGATACATGTGCAGAATGTGCAGGTTTGTTACATAGGTTGTTACATAGGTATGCATGTGCCATGGTGATTTCCTGCACCTATTGACCCATCCTCTAAGTTCCCTCCCCTCACACCCCCACCCCCCAACAGGCCCTGGTGTGTGTCATTCCCCTCTCTGTGTCCATGAGTTCTCAATGTTCAACTCCCACTTATGAGTGAGAACATGCAGTGTTTGGTTTTCCGTTCCTGCATTAGTTTGCTAAGGTTGATGGCTTCCAGCTTCATCCATGTCCCTGCAAAGTACATGATCTCATTCCTTTTTATGGCTGCATAGTATTCCATGGTGTGTATTTACCACGTTTTCTTTATCCAGTCTATCATTGATGAGCATTTGGATTGGTTCTATGTCTTTGCTATTATAAATAGCTGCAATAGACATATGTGTGCATGTGTCTTCATAGTAGAATGATTTATATTCCTTTGAGTATATACCCAGTAATGGGATTGTTGGGTCAAATGGTATTTCTGGTTCTAGATCCTTGAGGAATCACCACACTGTCTTCCACAATGGTTGAACTAATTTACATTCCCACCAACAGTGTAAAATAGTTCCTATTTTTCCACAGCCTCTCCAGCACCTATTGTTTTCTGACTTTTTGATAATCACCACTC
This sequence comes from Homo sapiens, assembly GCF_000001405.40. Classification (NCBI taxonomy): domain Eukaryota; kingdom Metazoa; phylum Chordata; class Mammalia; order Primates; family Hominidae; genus Homo; species Homo sapiens. Next base: position 102,792,109 of record NC_000023.11, read on the forward strand.
TGACTGGTGTGAGATGGTATCTCATTGTGGTTTTGATTTGCATTTCTCTGATGATCGGTGATGTTGAGCTTTATTTCATATGTTTGTTGGCTGTGTAAATGTCTTCTTTTGAAAGTGTCTGTTCATATCCTTTGCCCACTTTTTGATGGAGTTATCTTTTTCTTGTAAATATGTTTAAGTTCCTTGTAAATTCTGGGCATTAAATACTTGTCAGATGGGTGGATTACAAAATTTTTCTCCCATTCTGTAGGTTGCCTGTTCACTCTGATGATAGTTTCTTTTGCTGTGCAGAAGCTCTTCGGTTTAATTAGATCCCATTTGTCAATTTTGGCTTTTGTCACAATGGCTTTTGGCATTTTTGTCATGAAGTCTTTGCCCATGCCTATGTCCTGAATCGTACTGCCTTGGTTTTCTTCCAGAGTTTTTATGGTTTGGGATATTACATTTAATTCTTTAATCCATCTTGAGTTAATTTTTGTATAATGTGTAAGGAAGGGGTCCAGTTTCAGTTTTCTGCATATGGCTAGCCAGTTTTCCCTGCACCATTTACTGAATAGGAGATCCTTTCCCCATTGCTTGTTTTTGTCTGGTTTGTCAAAGATCAGAATGTTGTAGATGTGTGGTGTTATTTCTGAGGTCTCTGTTTTGTTCTATTGGTCTATATATCTGTTTTGGTAACACTACCATGCTGTTTTGGTTACTGTAGCCTTGTAGTATAGTTTTAAGTCAGGTAGCATGGTGCCTCCAGCTTTGTTATTTTTGCTTAGGATTGTCGTGGCTATACAGGGTCTTCTTTGATTCCATATGAAATTTAAAGTAGTTTTTTTTTCTAATTCTGTGAGGAATGTCAATGGTAGTTTGATGGAAATAGCATTGAATCTATAAATTACTTTGGGCAGTATGGCCATTTTCGTGATATTGATTCTTCCTATCCATGAAGATGGAATGTTTTTCCATTTATTTGTGTCCTTTCTTATTTCCTTGAGCCAGTGGTTTGTAGTTCTCCTTGAAGAGTTCCTTCACATCCCTTGTTAGCTGTATTCCTAGGTATTTCATTCTCTTTGTAGCGATTGTGAATGGGAGTTCATTCACGATTTGGCTTTGTGCTTGCCTATTGTTGGTGTAAAGAAATGTTATTTTTGCACATTGATTTTGTATCCTAAGACTTTGCTAAAATTGCTTATCAGTTCAAGAAGTTTTTGGGCAGAGATGATGGGGTTTTCTAAATATAAAATCATGTCATCTGCAAACAGAGACAACTTGACTTCCTCTCTTCCTATTTGAATACACTTTATTTCTTTCTCTTGCCTGATTGCCCTGGCCAGAACTTCCAATACTATGTTGAATAGGAGTTTTGAGAGAGGGCATTCTTGCTTTGTACCAGTTTTCAAAGGGAGTGCTTCCAGCTTTTGCCCATTCAGTATGATATTGGCTGTGGGTTTGTCATAAATTGCTCTTATTATTTTAAGATATGTTCCATCAATACTTAGTTTATTGAGAGTTTTTAACATGAAGGGATGTTGAATTTTATCAAAGGCCTTTTCTGCATCTATTGAGATAATCATGTGGTTTTTGTCTTTGGTTCTGATTATGTGATGGATTCCATTTATTGATTTGTGTATGTTGAACCAGACTTGCATCCCAGGGATGAAGCTGACTTGATCATGGTGGATATGTTTTTTGATGTGCTGCTGGATTCAGATTGCCAGTATTTTATTGAGGATTTTTACATCAATGTTCATCAGTGATATTATCCTGAAGTTTTCTTTTTTTGTTCTGTCTCTGCCAGGTTTGGTATCAGGATGATGCTAGCATCATAAAATGTGTTAGGGAGGAATCATTCCTTTTCAATTGTTTGGAATAGTTTCAGAAGGAATAGTACCAACTCCTCTTTGTATTTGTGGTAGAATTCAGCTGTGAATCTGTCTGGTCCTGGACTTTTTTTGGTTGGTAGGCTATTAATTACTGCCTCAATTTCAAAACTTGTTATTGGTCTATTCAGGGATTCAACTTCTTCCTGGTTTAGTCTTGGTAGGGTGTATGTGTCCAGGAATTTATCCATTTCTTCTAGATTTTCTAGTTTATTTGTGTAGAGGTGTTTATAGTATTCTCTGATGGTAGTTTGTATTTCTGTGAGGTCAGTGGTGATATCCCTTTATCAACTTTTATTGTGTCTATTTTATTCTTCTCTCTCTTCTTCTTGTCTAGCTAGTGGTCTATCTATTTTGTTAATTTTTTCAAAAAAACAGCTCCTGGATTCATTTGGTTTTTGAAGGGTTTTTCATGTCTCTATCTCCTTCAAGTTTTCTCTGATTTTAGTTATCTCTTGTCTTCTGCTAGCTTTTGGATTAGTTTGCTCTTGCCTCTAGCTCTTTCAATTGTGATGTTGGGGTGTCGATTTGAGATCTTTCTAGCTTTCTGATGTGGGCATTTCGTGCTATAAATTTCCCTCTTAACACTACTTTAGCTGTGTCCCAGAGATTCTGGTATGTTGTCTCTTTGTTCTCATTGGTTTCAAAGAACATCTTTATTTCTCCCTTAATTTCATGATTTACCCAGGAGTCATTCAGGAGCAAGTTGTTCAATTTCCAAGTAGTTGTGTGGTTTTGATTGAGTTTCTTAATCCTGAGTTCTAATTTGATTGCACTGTGGTCTGAGAGACTGTTTGTTATGATTTCAGTTCTTTTGCATACTTCCAGTTATGTGGTTGATTTTGGAATAAGTGCCATGTGGCACTGAGAAGAATGTATATTCTGTTGATTTGGGGTGGAGAGTTCTGTAAATGTCTGCTAGGTCCACTTGATCCAGAGCTGAGTTCAAGTCTTGAATATCCCTGTTAATTTTCTGTCTTGTTGCTCTAATATTGACAATGGGGTGTTAAAGTCTCCCACTATTATTGTGTGGGAATCTAAGTCTCTTTGTAGGTCTCTGACAACTTGTTTTATGAATCAGGGTGCTCCTGTATTGGGTGCATATATATTCAGAATAGTTGGCTCTTGTTGAATTGTTCTCTTTACCATTATGTAATGCCCTTCTTTGTGTTTTTTGATCTTTGTTGGTTTAAAGTCAGTTTTGTCAGAGACTAGGATTGCAACCTCTACTTGCTTTTTTTTTTTCTTTTTTTTTTTAACTTTCCATTTGCTTGTTAAATTTTCCTCCATCCCTTTGAGCCTCTGTGTGTCTTTGCCCGTGAGATGTTTCTCCTGAATACAGGATATTGATGGGTCTTGGGTCTTGACTCTATCCAATTTGGCAGTCTATGTCTTTTAATTGGCACATTTAGCCAATTTACATTTAAGGTTAGTATTGTTATGTGTGAATTTGATCCTGTCATCATGATGCTATTTGGTTATTTTGTGCGCTCGTTGATGCAGTTTCTTTGTAGTGTCATTGGTCTTTATATTTTGGTGTGTTTTTGCAGTGCCTGATACTGGTTTTTCCTTTCCATATTTAGTGCTTCTTTCAGGAGCTCTTGCAGGGCAGTCCTGGTGGTAACGAAATCCCTCAGCATTTGTTTGTCTGGAAAGGATTTTATTTCTCCTTCATTTCTGAAGCTTAGTTTGGCTGGATATGAAATTCTGGGTTGAAAATTCTTTTCTTTAAGAATGTTGAATATTGGCCCCCAGTCTCTTCTGGCTTGTAGAGTTTCTGCTGAGAGATCTGCTGTTAGTCTGATAGGCTTCCCTTTGTAGGTGACCTGGTCTTTCTCTCTGGCTGCCCTTAACGGTTTTTCCTTCATGTCAACCTTGGAGAATCTGATGATTATGTGTCTTGGGGTTGATCTTCTCGTGGAGTATCTCTTCTGGTGGAGTTCTTTGTATTTCCTGAATTTGCATGTTGGCCTGTCTTGCTAGGTTGGGGAAGTTCTCCTGAATAATATCCTGAAGTGTGTTTTCCAGCTTGTTTGCATTCTCCACATCTCCTTCTGGTACTCCAGTCAATCCTAGGTTTGGTCTTTTTATGAAGTCCCACATTTCTTGAAGCCTTTGTTCAGTCCTTTTTATTCTTTTTTTTTTTTCTGTTCTTCTCTGCATGTCTTATATCAGTAAGGTGGTCTTCATACTCTGATATCTGTTCTTCTGCTTGGTAGATTTGGCTGTTGATACTTGTGTATGCTTCACTATATTATGAGTGTTAGGTTTTATCTTTTTATTTACATTCAGAGGCCTAATATTGTATTAGCTAACTCATCACTAGATACTGTCCTTCATGATGCATATTATGTCATAGCTTGTCTCTTTTATGTTCTACCAATAGGAACAGTCGTTGCCATTATAGGAGGATTTGTCCACTGATTCCTACTATTTTCAGGTTATACACCTAATTTAACTTGAGTCAAAATTTATTTTACAATTATATTTGTAGGTGTTAACTTTATTTATTTATTTATTTATTTTATTTATTTATTTTTTTGAGACAGAGTCTTGCTCTGTTGCCAGGCTGGAGTGCAGTGGCGCGATCTCAGCTCACTGCAACCTCCACCTCCCAGGTTCAAGCAATTCTCCTGCCTCAGCCTCCCGAGTAGCTGAGACTACAGGTGCGCACCACCACAACCAGATGATTTTTGTATTTTTAGTAGAGACGGGATTTCACCATGTTGGCCAGGATGGTCTCGATCTCTTGACCTCGTGATCCACCCGTCTCGGCCTCCCAATGTGCTGGGATTACAGGCGTGAGCCACCGTGCCCAGCCGGTGTTAACTTCCTTTCCACAAAGAAACATTTCCAACATTTCCTTGGCCTATTAGGAATGCCCAACAATACTTCAATTACTCCATACATATGCAATATGAAATGCCATCATTGATAGGCTCATTCATTTCATTAACAGCATTAATGTTAAGGATTTTCATAATCTGTTAAGACTTCTATTCAAAATGAGAAGTCTCAGTACTAGAACTTTCAAATATAAACCTCAAATGACTTCATGGCTGTCTACCACCATATCATAGATTTGAAGAGCTGCTTACATAAAGGCCTAAAATAAAAAAGAAAGGAATCAAATCCCCTATTACTGATTTCAAGCCAGTCCCATAACAATTATGGCTTTCTCAACAAGCAAGATATTAGTAAAAATATTACATAATTTTTTTCAGTTTATTTATAGGTTAAAATTCTTTTTTTTTTTTAAGACGGAGTCTTGCTCTGTCACCCAGGCTGGAGTGCAGTGGTGCAATCTCGGCTCACTGCAAGCTCCGCCTCCCAGGTTCATGCCATTCTCCTGCCTCAGCCTCCCGAGTAGCTGGGATTACAGGTGCCAGCCACCACGCCCAGCTAATTTTTTGTATTTTTTTAGTAGAAACAGGGTTTCACCATGTTAGCTAGGATTGTCTCAATCTCCTGACCTCATGATCTGCCTGCCTTGGCCTCCCAAAGTGCTGGGATTACAGGCATGAGCCACCATACAATTCTTTATATCTTTATGGTGTACCCATTCTAACTGGGCTTTCTCAATGCAATATCAACTCTTATAGACGTTCTCCATTTCCACCACCACACATTAATAACCATTTTCTTAATTATAGAGGACTAATACTATTAATGTTTTATTAATACTAACAACTAAATTAACTTATACACATATACAGATGCTCAAGAAGTAGACAGTATGAACTATTCTACCCACTATTATTTTGAACCTAATTGCCTAACTGTAAACACTATAGGCCACCAATGATTAACATGAAACCCCTTGAGAAAAAAAAATGAACCTTGATTATTGTATAATTCATACAACAGATCTTAAACCAGGGGAGCTACGATTACTTGAAGTTGATAATTGAGTAGTTTTACCCATAGAAATATCAATTTGCATACTAATCTCATTTGAAAATGTATTACATCCATGAACTGTTCCATCATTAGGCTTAAAAACAGACAGAATTACAGGGTGTTTAAATCAAACAACCCCAACATCCACATGACTAGGCCTATATTATGGTCAGTGCTCAGAAATTTTTGGATCAAATCAGGGCTTCATACCTATTATACCTGAATTAGTTCCTCTAAATCATTTAAAAAACTGATTAACATTTTGAAACTATTAACATCTATGTTATAATATCACTGTTAAATAGCATTAACCTTTTAAGTTAAAGACTGAAAGTACTCATCTTTCTGCAATGAAATGCCACAACTAGCTACGTCAACATGATTTATCACTATGGTTTTAATAATTCTTATACTATTTATCTTATTTCAATTAAAAACTTCAAAATATATCTACTGTTTAAGCCCAATACCAAAAAATATTGAAGCATTATAACATGAAACCCCTTGAGAAAAAAAGTAAACAAAAATGTATTGGCATCTTTCATTATCCTTACAATAGTAGAATTACCCTTGATATTCTAATCATTTCATTCCCAAACATTATATTCCCTACCCCAATCACCTAATCAATAATCAACTAATCACCATACAATGATTAGTGCAACTCATATTAAAACAAATTATAATAATATACAATGTCAAAGGGTGAACTTTATCCCTCATATTAATTTCACTTATTCTATTTATTACCTCAACAAACATCAGGATGACTAACCCACTCATTTATGCCAATAACTCAGTTATCAATAAATCTAAATATAGATATCCCACTATAACCAAGAGCAGTTATCACTGACTTCCACCACAAAACAAAAGAGTCATTGGCTTGTTTGCTACCACAAGGATCACCCATTCCACTAACCTCTATACTTGTACTTATTAAAATTAACCTTTTTATTCAACACTTAGCCCTGGCTGAACAACTAACAGCCAATATTATAGCCATCCATCTACTCATACACTTAATCAGTAATGCCACACTAGTGATAATATCCATTAGTTTTGCAACAGCTTGAATGTATTTTAACATTTACATACATATATGCATACACACACATAAACACACGCATACAAGGTCTCGCTCCAATGCTCCAACTGGATGCAATGGCACAATCATGGCTTACTGCACCCTCAAACTCCTGGGCTCAAGTGAGCCTTCCACCTCAACCTCCTGAGTAGCTGGGACTACAGGCGCACTCCACCATGCCAAACTAATATCTTTTTTTACTTTTTTTTTGGAGATGGAGTCTCAGTTTGTCACCCAGGCTGGAGTGCAGTGGCGCGATCTTGGCTCATTGCAATCTCCGCCTCGCAGGTTCAAGCGATTCTTGGGCCTCAGCCTCCCAAGTAGCTGGGCTTACAGGTGTGCACCACGACGCCCAGCTAATTTTTGTATTTTTTGTAGAGACAGGGTTTCACCATGTTGCCCACGTTGGTCTCGAACTCCTGACCTCTAGCAATCCTCCCACCTCAGCCTCCCAAAGTGCCAGGACTACAGATGTTAGCCACTGTGCCCAGCCATATTTATTATTTTAATTATATTTACCATCTTTGAATTTGCTGCAGCCCAAATTCAAACATACCTCTTCACTATACTAGTCTTTACTTGCACAACAATACTTAATGACCTACCAAATACATAGCTATCATGTATTTGACCCTTGACCCTGACCACTTACAGGAGCTCTATCAGCCCTGCTAATAATATCTGACTTAGTAATATGATTTCACTTTAACCTAGCTATCTTATTATCTTTAGGTCTGCAAACCAATAGATTAATGATATACCAGGGATGATGAGATATTGTCCGAGAAAGCAGATTTTCAAGGTCATCACATATTAATTGTTCAAAAAGGCCTATGTTTCTATTTATCATGTCAGAAATCTTCTTCAAAGGCTTCTTCTGAACTTTCTACCACTTCAGTCTGCCCCCAACCCCAGAAGTATGAGGTATCCTACTTGCTATAATTATTAACCAATTAACTAATTAACTAATTTATTTTCATTAGCTTATGCCTCTTAAGCCAATCTAATGAAAATAGCCTAAGTTTTTCATTAGTCTTTTTCTTTGATTCAAAATCAGCCCCCCTTTTTATATTAACGTGATTGCTCTGCTTAATAATTATAGCCAGTCAGCATCATCTCTGCAAAGAATCATATATATGAAAAAATTACATATTTCTCTATTAATCTTTCTACAAATGTTTTTAATGATAAAATTTACTGCTACAGAATTCTATTTTATATGCTCTTTGAAGCAACACTAATAGCAACACTAATCGTCATTACCTGATGAGGAAATCAAACAGAATGATTAAATACAGGACTCTTATTTCCTGTTCTATACACTGGCTCCCTGCTCCTACTCATAGCACTAATTTATATCCAAAACTCCATAGGCTTATTAAACTTCTTAGTAGCCTCCTACTGAATTCAAGCACTACTACCAAGCCCCTGATCTAATAGCCTTTTATGGTTAGCATATATAATAGCATTTATAGTAAACATACCCCTTTAGGCCTTCACCTCTGATTACCAAAAGCACAGGTACAAGCCCCAGTTGCTGTGCCCATGGTTCTTGCAGTCATATTATGAAAATTAGGGGACTATGGCATAATACAAATTACTGTGATTTAAAATCCACTAACAGAATTTATAGCTTACCCATTTCTTATACTATCCTTGTGAGAAATAGCAAACTGTATTTGTTTATGCCAAACGGACTTAAAGTCACTCATGGTATATTCATCCAAAAGTCATATGGCACTCGTAGTTGTAGTTGTTCTTATCCGAACACCATGAAGTTTTATAGGAGCAATAGCCCCAATAATTGCCCATGGCCTCACCTCATCCATATTATTCTGCATCAAGTTATGAATGAATTCATAGCTGAACCATGCTATTAGCTCGAGGACTACAGACACTATTACCTCTCGTAGCTAACATGAGTACTAGCTAGCCTAACTAACCTAGCCCTATCACCAGCCATCAACTTAGAGAGTTATTTGTAGTTATAGCATCATTCTCATTATCTCATTTTACCATTGCCGTAGTAAAATTTAGTATATTTATTATGGCCTTATATTCTCTCTATATGTTAATCATAACATAATTAGGAAAATTTATGTATCACATTAATAATATCAAACCATGCCAGTCACAGTCATGCATGCCTGTAATCCCAGCACTTTGGGAGGCTGAGGCAGGAGGATTACTGGAGTCCTTTCTACAAAAAATAAAAATAGCTGCACATGGTGGCATGTGCTTGTAGTCCAGCTACTTGGGAGGCTAAAGAGGAAAGATTGCTTGAGCCCAGGAGTTTAAGTCTGCAGCAAGCTATGATTGCACCACTGCACTGCAGCCTGGGTGACAGAGTGAGATCCTATCTATATCTATATCTATTTGCAAAATAATATACTCTTCTCACTTAACCCAAAAATCATTCTAGGACCCATATACTGTAAATATAGTTTGAATGAAACATTAGGTTATAAATGTAACAGCAGAAAATTAAAACTTCTTATTTTTTGAGAAAGTGTGCAAGAATTGTTTATGTGATGGATTATGTTTATTGATTTGTGTATGTTGAACCAGCCTTGCATCCCAGGTATGAAGCTGACTTGATCGTGGTAGATAAGCTTTTTGATGCGCTGCTGGATTCAGTTTGCCAGTATTTTATTGAGGTTTTTCGCATCGATGTTCATCAGGGATATTGGCCTGAAATTTTCTTTTTTTGTTGTGTCGCTGCCAGGTTTTGGTATCAGGATGATGCTGGCCTCATAAAATGAGTTAAGGAGGATTCCCTCTTTTTCTGTTGTTTGGAATAGTTTCAGAAGGAATGGTACCAGCTCCTCTTTGTACCTCTGGTAGAATTTGGCTGTGAATCCGTCTGGTCTTGGACTTTTTTTGGTTGGTAGGCTATTAATTGCTGCCTCAATTTCAGAACTTGTTATTGGTCTATTCAGGGATTTGACTTCTTCCTGGTTTAGACTTGGGAGGGTGTATGTGTCCAGGAATTTATCCATTTCTTCTAGATTTTCTAGTTTATTTGCATAGAGGTGTTTATAGTATTCTCTGATGGTAGTTTGTATTTCTGTGGGATCAGTGGTGATATCCCCTTTATCATTTTTTATTGCGTCTATTTGATTCTTCTCTTTTTTCTTCTTTATTAGTCTTGCTAGCGGTCTATTTTGTTGATCTTTTCAAAAAACCAGCTCCTGGATTCATTTATTTTTTTTGAAGGGCTTTTCGTGTCTCTATCTCCTTCAGTTCTGCTCTTATCTTAGTTATTTCTTGTCTTCTGCTAGCTTTTGAATTTGTTTGCTGTTGCTTCTCTAGTTCTTTTAATTTTGATGTTAGGGTGTCAATTTTAGATCTTTCCTGCTTTCTGTTGTGGGCATTTTAGTGCTATAAATTTCCCTCTACACACTGCTTTAAATGTGTCCCAGAGATTCTGGTACATTGTGTCTTCATTCTCATTGGTTTCAAGGAACATGTTTATTTCTGCCTTCATTTCATTATTCACCCAGTAGTCATTCAGAAGCAGGTTGTTCAGTTTCCATGTAGTTGTACAGTTTTGAGTGAGTTTCTTAATCCTGAGCTCTAATTTGATTCCAGTGTGGTCTGAGAGACTGTTTGTTATAATTTCTGTTCTTTTGCATTTGCTGAGGAGTGTTTTACTTCCAATTATGTCATCAATTTTAGAATAAGTGTGATGAGGTGCTGAGAATAATGTGTATCCTGTTGATTTGGGGTGGAGAGTTCTGTAGATGTCTGTTAGATTTGCTTGGTCCAGAGCTGAGTTCAAGTCCTGAATATCCTTGTTAATTTTTCTGTCTCGTTGATCTAATATTGACAGTGGGGTTCATGGGTGCAGCAAACCACCATGGCACATGTATACCTATGTAACAAAACTGTACATTCTGCACATGTACCCCAGAACTTAAAGTAAAATTAAAAAATAAAAAATAAAAGAAAGTGTATAAGAACTACTAACTCATGCCCCCATGTATAACAATATGGCTTTCTCAACTTTTAAAGGGTAGAAGTAATCTGTTGGCCTTAGGAGCCAAAAAATCGATACAACTCCAAATAAAAGTAAATAAATATATTTTTTCATTTTTTTCACAATTTCACTAATCCTCCTAATTCTACCAATTATTGTAACTATAACTACTGTTTATAAAGTTATTTCTAACCTCACTATGTAAAAATCTCTATTTCATACACTTTTACAACCAACCCCATTCCAGCCATAATATTGACTTGCTTGAGCCAATAAATAATTATTTCAAACTGTCACGATCCAAACTTTAAAATTAACACTCACCTTCAAGCTAGATTATGTCTTTTTAAAAATTTTAAAAAATTTCCATAGGTTCTTGGGGAACAGGTGGTGTTTGCTTACCTGAGTAAGTTCTTTAGTAGTGATTTATGAAATTTTGGTGCACCCATCACCAGCGCAGTATACACTGTACCCAATTTGTAGTCTTTTATTCCTCACCCCACCCTTCCTCCAAGTCCCCAAAATCCATTGTTGCATTCTTACACCTTTGCATCCTCATAGCTTAGCTCTCACTTATGAGTGAGAACATATGATATTTGGTTTTCCATTCCTGAGTTACTTTACTTAGAATAATTGTCTCCAATTCCATCCAGGTTGCTGTAAATGCCATTATTTTGTTCTTTTTTTATGGCTGAGTAGTATTTCATCTACATCTATATCTATATCTATATATGTTTGTGTATATATATATGTATGTGTGTATATATATATATATATACACACACACACACACATACATACATATACATTTTCTTTATTCACTCATTGATTGATGGGCATTTGGGCTGGTTCCATATTTTTGCAATTGCGAATTCTGCTGTTACAAACATGCACGGGAAAGTATCTTTTTCATATAATGATTTCTTTTCCTCTGGGTAGATACCCAGTAGTGGGATTGCTGGATCATATAGTAGTTCTACTTTTAGTTGTTTAAGGAATCTCCACACTGTTTTCCATAGTGGTTGTACTAGTTTACATTCCCATCAGCAGTGTGAGTGTTCCCTTTTCACTGCATCTCTGCCAACATCTATTTTTTTTTTATTTTTAGATTATGCCCATTCTTGCAGGAGTAAGATGGTATTGCATTATGGTTTTGACTTGCATTTCCCTTATCATTAATGATGCTGAGCATTTTTTCATATGTTTGTTGGCCATTTGTATATCTTCTTTTGAGAATTTTCTATTCATGTCCTTAGCCCATTTTTTGATGGGATTGTTTGTTTTTTCTTGCTAATTTGTTTGAGTTCCTTGTAGATTCTGGATATTAGTCCTTTGTCGGACTAATATCTGATTGTGAAGATTTTTAACCACTCTGTGGGTTGTCTGTTTACCCTGCTGGTTGTTTCTTTTGCCGTGCAGAAGCTCTTTAGTTTAATTAAGTCCCACCTATTTATCATTGTTTTTGTTGAATTTGCTTTTGGGTTCTTGGTCATGAAGTCTTTGCCTAAGTCAATGTCAAGAAGGGTTTTTCCAGTGTTATCTTCTAGGATTTTTATGGTTTCAGGTCTTAGATTTCAGCACTTGATCCATCTTGAGTTGATTTTTGTATAAGGCGAGAAATGAGGATCCAGTTTCATTCTTCTACATGTGGCTTGCCAATTATCCCAGCACCATTTGTTGAATAGGTTTTTATCAGTAGCATTTTTTATTACATGATCTATCATAGAGTTCTCAATATGCTATATACATTCAGATCCAAACATTAACTGATTCTTTAAGTATTTGCTCATATTTCTTATCACTATACTATTTCTAGTTACTCTCAACAACTCCTTTCAACTGTTTGAGAACAAGCAAGAATTATATTATTTTTGTCAATTGATTATATGGTTGAATAGACACAAATACAGCAGCCCTCCAAACAATTTTATGTAACTGCATGGGAGATACTGGATTTATACTACAATAATATGGGTTTTTTATTATATTCAAATACATGAGAATGCAACAAATTTTTATGCTCAATTCCTATCCCAATATCCTTCCATTAAGTGGAGTCATTCTGGCAACTGACAAGTTTGCCCAATTTGGCCTTCACCCATTATTACCATCAGAAATAGAAGGTCCAACACTTGTCTCAGCCCTACTCCATTTCATCACAGTGTTATAACAGGGGCTCTTAACCCAATTTTATGCACTAATAGAAAATAATAAAACAATCCAAACACTAAAAATATGCTGAGGTGCTATTACCACTACATTTACGGCAATTTGTGCCCTAACACAAAGTGACATCAAAAAGATTGTCACATTTTGTACCTCAAGACAACTAGGTCTTATAATAGTCATTATTGGTATTAATCAACTACATCTAGCACTTCTCCACATCTAGACACATGCATTCTTTAAAGCTATACTATTTATATATTCAGAGCCATCATCCACAACCTTAATGATGATCAAGATATTCAAAAAATAGGATGTCTATTTAAATACATACCTCTTCAATCCTCCTTACTTATTATTGGAAGCCTTGCACTCATAGGCATACCTTCCCTTACAGGCTTCTACTTCAAAGACTTATTTATCAAAACTGCAAGCATGTTGTATACTACTGCCTGAGCCCTTTTAATCACACTTATCACCACCTCCCTAACAGCTGTCTACAGTACTCAAATTGTCTTTTTTGCACTCCTAGGACTACCTAGTTTTTCAGCTTTCATTATTATCGGTGAAATTAACTCCTTCCTAATTAATTCAATTAAACCTTTAACAATTGGTAGTATTTTTGCTTTTTTAAAAATTTCCAACAACATTTCTCCTGTAACTATTCCCCAAATGACTATGCCATTATACCTAAAACTTTCAGCCCTTGCCATAACTATCTTAGGCTTCATTATGGCAATTAGAATTTAACCTAATAACATGTAATCTCAAATTTGAATTCTCCTCATACATATATAAATTTTCTAACCTTCTAGGGTTTTTCCAACAGTTGTTCACCATTTATCAGCGTACCTAAACCTTTCTAAAAGTCAAAATACAGCATCACTTTAATTAGACTTGACTAGAAAAATACCAAAAATTATCTCATCTCCAAATAATAGCCTCAGTAAGTATCCCTAACCAAAATGGCCTAATTAAATTATATTTTTTCTCTTTCTTCATTTCATTTTTATTATCTATACTTCTAGCCACTTAATTACTGTGAGTAATTTCAATAACAACAAAATATTAACAAAAGGATCAGTCACTTACGACCATGAATCAACTCCATTAACTGTACAATGCAACCACACCTATAGAATCTTCACAAAGAAGCCTGACTTCTTTACCCTCAAAAATCACCCAATCCTCTAAATTTTTGAAATCAATAATAATTTTTATTTCATCATAGCCTATTATTTATACAATGATTAAATAATTATATTAATAATCCTAACTATTGTTAGGATTTGAACCTCCCCCAAATAACAACACCAGATCCTCACATTTCAGGATTGTATTTAGTAGCTATGGTTATAGGATTCTAAATACTACCAGTATCCCTGCTAAATAAATTTAAAACACTATCATTCCCATAAAACATCCACCAAAATTTATTACAATCCTGCATTCCACACCACCATTGATAACCCTAAACCCATGTAATAGGTAAAAGTTTTGAAGAAAGTCCTATGATGCCTACAACAAAAATAGTAACAAAATATAGTATATGTCATAATTCTCACATGGAATCTAATCATGACCAATCACGTGAAAAATCATCATTGCACGTCAACTGTCAGAGCTCTGATAACCAACATTTAAAAATCTCACTTCCTAATAAAAATTCTTATTTATTGATCTACCTGCACCATAAAACAACTCAACATGAAGAAATTTCGGTTTCTTCAGACTGAGTTTGCCTAGCTTTACAAATCATTACAGGGCTTTTCCTAGCTATACACTGTACCTCAGACACAGTAACTGTGTTTTCCTCTATCACACACATCTGCTGAAATGTAAGCTATGGCTGAATCATTTAATATCTGCCTGCTAATGGATATCTATATTCTTTATCTGTTTATTCATGTAGGCTGAGGTCTGTACCTTTCTAGAAACCTGAAACATTGGAATTATTCTTTTATTCACAGTAATAGCTATAGCATTCATAGGCTATGTCTTACCATGAAGAGAAACAACAATCACAAATTTACTATCAACTATTCCATACGTTGGCACCAACCTGTTAGAATGAATCTGAGGTGGATTTTCTCTTGACAAGGCAACTTCACACAATTCTTCACCTCTCATTTTATTCTGCCATTCATTGTTTCAGCTCTAATTATTGTGCACCTTTTATTCCCACATGAAACAGGATCAAATAACCCAAGGAATCTCAACCAACTCAAATAAAATCCCATTCCACTCCTATCACAAAATTAAAGGCATTTTAGGATTTATTTTTCTACTATCACTTCTACTCAAACTTGTTTTATTCTCCCCTGACTTTTTAGGAAACCCAGATTATATTCCAGCAAATCCCCTCAATATACCACCTCATATTAAACCAGAGTGATATCTTCTATTTGCCTGTGTAATTTAGGATCTACTCCCAATAAACTAGGAGGTGTCATAGCCCTTGTGCTCTTAATCATAATTTTAGCAATCATCCCAATCCTTCAGTTATCTAAACAACGAAGCATGATATTCCAGGTACTAAGCCAATGCCTATTCTGGGTTCTAGTATTATAATAACCTCATATTCACACAAATCGAAGGTCAATCAGTAGAACACCCTTTCATTATTATTGAACAACTATTATCCATTTTATATTTTTCCCTTGTTCTCATATTAATACCACTTACTAGCCTAATCAAGAATAAACTTCAATGAAGAGTTCTTGTAGTTTATTAAATTTGGTCTTGTAAACCAAAAATGGAGAGCACCTCTCCCCAGCGCAGTCAAAGGAAAAGCTATTCACTCCACTATCAGCACCCAAAGCTGATATTCTATTCCCTGATTCTTATACTGAATGCAAAGAAATTGTTCTTGAGTTCTATGTCAGTATGGAAAAAAAACATAAAATCTAATCACCCTGTGTACATCATGCATCATGTAATTTACCCCATTAATTATGTAGTAGTACTATATACACTTCATCACACATTATACATTTTTATCTTATGGTGCTTTAAAATCCATTCCCCATGCATACAACCATGCACATCAAACTAATCACAGTGTGTAATACATTAAATTAAAAGTCCACACATATGGATTTAACCATGAGTATTGTTCCATACAGTAAGTTCTTCATTTTACATAGGACATAATATTATTGATCATACATAGCACAGGAAGTCAAATCCTTTTTTGACAACATGCTTATCACCTCCAATAGGATTTCTTGTCTACCAAGCTTTGATAAATTAGCAGTCTGCTCAGGAAGTGTCCATCTTCTCACTCTGGACTCAGAAAACTTGGGGGTTTCTAGACTGAAACTATACCAGACATCTGGTTCTTATTTCAGGGCCATGAGCTTATATCCATCCTCTTTTTCCTCTTAAATAAGACATCTCAATGGACTAATGACTAATCAACCCATGATCACTCATAACTGTGGTGTCATGCATTTGGTATTTTTTAATTTGGGGGGATGATGTGATCCAACATGGCTGTCAAGGCCTTGACAAAACTTGACTGTAGTTGAACTTAAATTGAATGTTATTTTCCCAAACAAAAACGATAAGGTGTTAATTAATCCATGCTCAATGGGCATAATAAAAACAAGATACAGTCACAGATGCATAATTATTCCCATCATACATGATTAACTCTGCAAACTCCCTCTAATCCCCTACTTTAAGCTGTTACAGTATTTATGTAAATATCAATCTTTTATTCTTGCCAAACCCCCCAAACAAAAAATCTTATATCTGCTGATTATTACCTAAGGCTCTAATATGTACCCACATATTATTAAATTCAATTATAAACTTATCCAAAATATTATTTCAGCCTAACTCCTAATTAAAGCATTTTCTAAAACAAACAAAAAAATCCATTAAAAATTTGATTTTCTAAGCTAAAACTTTTTGTTTCTCAATAAGATTATCAAAAAACTCTCAATACTAGAATAATACTTAAATTTAGCAATTTCCCCTCGAGAGTATTCCCTAGATACAAGCTGATGTAGCTTAATTCAATAAAGCAAGCCACTGAAAATGCCTGGATGAATTCATGTGACTTCATAAACACACAGGTTTGGTCCTGGCCTTTTCAGTGAGATTACATATGCAAGTGTCTGAATACCAGTGAGAATGCCCTCTAGATCAGTGGAAGATCAAAAGGAGCAGATACCAAGCACACTAATTAGTATCTCATAATGCCTTGCTCAACACACTCCCACAAGAAACAGCAGTGATAGAAATTAAACAGTAAATGAAAGTTCGAGCAAGCTATAGTAATTTCCCATAGGGTTGGTAAATTTCGTGCCAGCCACTGAGGTCATATGATTAACCCAAATCAATAGTACCCAACACGTTTATGATTATGTCTAACTAAAGCTAAACTGTAAGCCATAAAAGGCAATAGCTAAAATGAAAATAAACTATGAAAGTGACTTTATTATGTTCTGAATTTAAAATAGCTAAGACCCAAACTGGGATTAGATACCCTACTATGCTTAGCCATAAACTTAAATAACTGAATAAAGTTATTTGCCAGAGTACTACTACCAGCAACAGCCTAAATCTCAGAGGATTTGGCAGTGCTTTATATTCCTCTAGAGGAGGCTGTTCTATAATTGATAAACTCTGACAAACCTCTCCATCTCTTGCCGATTCAGCCGTATACTGCTGTCTTCAGCTAACCCTAAAAAGTCTTAATCACAAATATTTACATAAAAACGTTAGGTCAAGGTGTAGTCTATGAGATGGGAAGAAATGGGCTACAGTTGCTAATTAAAGAACACTCCACCTATAGTAACCCCTATGAAACTAAAGGTCAAAGGAGGATTTAGTAGTAAATTAGGAATAGAGAGCTTAGTTGAATGAACATGAACACACCACCTATCAGCCTCCTGAAATACTTTAACAAACCCAAATTTATAATTAACACAAATTTATGTATAAAAGAAGGTAAGTCACAACAAAATAATCATACTGGAAAGTGTGCTTAGGTAAACCAAAATGTATCTGAATTCAAAACACCTGGCTTACACCCAGAAGATTTCATATTAATCTGACTACTTTGAACCAAAACTAACAAATCTCAACAATTACATATATTTAAATGAAAACATTCATTCATAAAAAGTATAGAAGATAGAAATTTATTTAGGTGCTATAGAAATAGTACTGTAAGGGAACAATGCTAAGAATAATTTTTAAAGTACAAAAAAAGCAAAGCCACAAGGTAGTGATGCCTTGTAGTTTTCATTTACATTTCCCTAATTGATTAATGATGTTTGAGTATATTTTCATGTGCTTATTTGACAGTTGTTTATCTTCTATAGATGAGTGTCTATTCAACTCTTTTGCCTATTTATTTATTGGAGTGTTTAATTGAATTTTGTGATATTTTTCTATATTTTGGATACAAGTACTTTATCAGATATGATTTTCAAACATTTTCTCCCAATCAGGGGCTTGTCTTTTCATTCTCTTAACAATGTCTTTGTAAGATGCAGAGTTTTTAACTTTGACACATTCCAAATTATTGATTTATTCATCTAAGAAATCTTTACCTAACTCAGGGTCACAATTTTGCTCTCCCATGTTTTCTTCTACAAGTTTTACAGCTTTAGGTTTTATATTTACATCTATGATCCATTATGAATTGCCTTTTGAATTGTCTTTTGTACATGGTACAATATATAGATCAGTATATAATTGTGTATATGAATATCTACTTGTTTCAGCACAATATATTGAAGATACCATCCTTTATACATTGAATGGCTTCTGCACCTTTGTTAAAAGTCAGTTGTCCAATATATGTAGGTCAATTTTTTGGTGGTTTATTTTGTTCTTTTTTTTTTTTTTAATTATACTTTAAGTTTTAGGGTACATGTGCACATTGTGCAGGTTAGTTACATACGTATACATGTGCCATGCTGGTGTGCTGCACCCACTAACTCGTCATCTAGCATTAGGTATATCTCCCAATGCTATCCCTCCCCCCTCCCCCTACCCCACAACAGTCCCCAGAGTGTGATGTTCCCCTTCCTGTGTCCATGTGATCTCATTGTTCAATTCCCACCTATGAGTGAGAATATGCGGTGTTTGGTTTTTTGTTCTTGCGATAGTTGACTGAGAATGATGATTTCCAATTTCATCCATGTCCCTACAAAGGACATGAACACATCATTTTTTATGGCTGCATAGTATTCCATGGTGTATATGTGCCACATTTTCTTAATCCAGTCTATCATTGTTGGACATTTGGGTTGGTTCCAAGTCTTTGCTATTGTGAATAATGCCGCAATAAACATACGTGTGCATGTGTCTTTATAGCAGCATGATTTATAGTCCTTTGGGTATATACCCAGTAATGGGATGGCTGGGTCAAATGGTATTTCTAGTTCTAGATCCCTGAGGAATCGCCACACTGACTTCCACAATGGTTGAACTAGTTTACAGTCCCACCAACAGTGTAAAAGTGTTCCTATTTCTCCACATCCTCTCCAGCACCTGTTGTTTCCTGACTTTTTAATGATTGCCATTCTAACTGGTGTGAGATGGTATCTCATTGTGGTTTTGATTTGCATTTCTCTGATGGCCAGTGATGGTGAGCATTTTTTCATGTGTTTTTTGGCTGCATAAATGTCTTCTTTTGAGAAGTGTCTGTTCATGTCCTTTGCCCACTTTTTGATGGGGTTGTTTGTTTTTTTCTTGTAAATTTGTTTGAGTTCATTGTAGATTCTGGATATTAGCCCTTTGTCAGATGAGTAGGTTGCGAAAATTTTCTCCCATTTTGTAGGTTGCCTGTTCACTCTGATGGTAGTTTCTTTTGCTGTGCAGAAGCTCTTTAGTTTAATTAGATCCCATTTGTCAATTTTGTCTTTTGTTGCCATTGCTTTTGGTATTTTGTTCTTTTGATCTACCTTTCTGCCTTGATGCCAGTAGCACACTGTCTTGATTACTATGGGTTTGTAAGAAGTCTTAAAATTAGGTAGTGTTTGTCATCCGTTTTGTTCTTTCTCAATGTTGTTTTCATAGTCTAGATCCTTTGTATTTTTACATGAATTTTAGAAACAGCATTTTACTTTCTGTTAAAACTATATCAGTTAGGATTTTTATTGGGATTGTTCTGAATATATAGATCAGTTTAAACAGAACAGGCATCTTAACAACACTGAGTCTTCAAACTCATGAAGACAGTATGTCTCTATTTATTTAGGTCTTTAGTTTCTCTTTGCAATGTTATATAGCGTTCACTATACAGACCTGTCACATATTTGGATAGATTATTCCTAGTTATTTCATATTTCTTGGTGCTCTTATAAATGCCAGTAGTTTGAATTACATTTCTGCATATTTTATTTTCACTGAGCTGTCAGCTGCCAAATGTTTAACAGTAGCTGTTAATCTTCTAGGTTGAGATCTCAGGCTATAAAACGGAAAAGGTACCTGATACTTAACAAGCATTTGCCTGTGTTTCCATGTCAGCTTTCAGAAGTTATTGAAAGTGTACTGTAACTCGAGGAAAAAATGTCCCAGAGACAAATCAACAGGTCATCTCCAGAAAAATCCATTATAAAATAGTTTAGTAGATTTCAGCTTTCTATGTGCTCAGAATTGAATCTGTTGAATTGTGGGGTTTGTTACCTACTCCCCATCACCAGCAATCCATCTCAATGAATTCCTGGGATCTTGGGTGTTGAGAAAGAAAGAGAGAGAGAGAGAACATGTATGTATGTGAGTATGTATGTGGGTATGAATGTGTATATTGCTGAAGCTGCCAGAAGTATTTATGGTGAGGAATACCTCAGGTTAATTACTGTAGTCATATCAGACCAGTTTAGTTCCTAGGACATACTAGAAAACAAATCAAAGTGATGGTTATTTTCTTTTCCAAGCTGTCTTGGCCCACATTGTTACCATGGTGACTCAGTGACTGCCATGACATTTGGTACAGAATGAGCATTTGTTTATGTTTTTTGCCTGAATCACGTATTATTATGATAGTTGTTAAGTGAATGTTTTCCAATTCTGATATTCCTTCTGGAATTATTAGTTTGCATCTGAGAAAAAGATAGAGCTTTTTCTTTTCCCTTATTTATTTATCAATGTATTTATTAACATTTATTTATGTCAATATGACTCTGAGATTCCCATGTTCCTCAAAGGATTACCCTCTGTAGTTATTAGTATACATTTTTTGTATTAGGCCATTCTTGTGCTGTTATACAAAAATACCTGAGACGGTAATTTATGAAGAAAAAGGTTTAATTGGCTCATGGTTCTGCAGGCTGGACAGAAAGCATGGTCCCAGGATCTGCTTGGCTTCTAGGGAAGCCTCAGAGAGCTTTTAATCATGGCAGAAGGCAAAGCAGTAGCAGGCATGTCACATGCCAAGAGTGGGAGCAAGAGAGACAGACAAGGGGAAGGTTTCAGACTTTTAAACAACCAGATGAACTAACTGATGGAGAACTCACTTATCACCAAGGGGATAGCACTAAACCATTCATGAGAAATCCACCCCCATCATCCAGTCACACCCCATCAGGCTTCACTTTCAACAATGGGAATTGCAATTCTACATGAGATTCAGAGGGGATAATATCCAAACCATATCAATTTTGGTGCTCAAGTGTTCTCAAAACTGGCTAGTGGGAGCCCCTTAAAGTAGGCCTCATGTCCATTTGAAGCTTCCATAAAATTCCTTGAATATGTACTTGGCCCCCTAAGCCTATTATCCCTCATCTGTAGAAAGGAAGCTCTGATGTCAGCCTCAGAACATCACTGTGAGGACTTGAAGATAAAAAGTCTGAAAATAACAACCTACAGTGTATGGTACCTAGTAGACTATCAGCAAATGGTAATTCCCCATTCCAACTTGCCTCTTCCATTCTGTCAATGGAATGCCTCTGGCGTTAACATAATGGCCTAACTACTAGAGCAAATACTTGGAAATGTAACATCAAGCAGGAATAAGCCCACATTTCCATTATGTGTGAGCTTCAGTGTCACTGCTGTGTGTGGGAGGGGTTCTGGGATGGAGTTGAGGAAGAGGAAAAACATCACTGCTCAGCTTCCAGTTAACTGAGTGGGGATAGGCCAGACATCATCACCCCATCCCCTGCATTTCATGTGCTTTCTTATCCTCTTACTTTCTTCTCTATTCCATGTGCTTTCTTATCCCCTTACTCTCTCTTCTAGTTTAACATCAGAGACTCTGAAAGCCTCTTAGGTTACTGGAGCAAGAGGAAAGAGACCCAAGTCACATCATGGGGACACTTTAGGCAGGGCATACCTTTCTGCCAGTTTTGTCTATCCAATGGGATAATAATACCCACGCCTCTAGACCACCCAGGAATACTCTGGAATTTAAGTGTGATCCCATGTGGCAATCTGCGGTCTTATGTGGTGGGGAAGAACCAGTGAACTTTCAGCTAAGTATATTAACAGAGCAAATGCAGATATCCCAGAACTTTGTATGGTGGGCATTAAATTTATGGTACCCAACTCTGAGCTGTTTAGGTCAGGATTTTTACAAGTGTGATCTATGGACCACTTCATCAGATTTGT
This sequence comes from Homo sapiens, assembly GCF_000001405.40. Taxonomy (NCBI): domain Eukaryota; kingdom Metazoa; phylum Chordata; class Mammalia; order Primates; family Hominidae; genus Homo; species Homo sapiens. Next base: position 102,814,685 of record NC_000023.11, read on the forward strand.
CCACAGTTGCTTGCTAAAATTGCACATACTTGAGGCCATCCTAGATCTGCAGAATCAAAACCAGGGAGGTGAAGTGAGAGGTGTCTAGATTTTGAGTAATTTCTTTTGTTGTTTCTGTTACTCATCCACAATTGAAAAGCAATGCTATGGATGGCAACAAGGTCTATAAAAAGTTTAAATCCTTTGATGTCTAATTTCATTGTTAGTTGCTCCTGCTACTCAGCTTTAAATTTCTGTGTCTTCTCTTGTGTGTCCAGTAGGTAACAATTTTTTCAATACAATAATTCTTATTCAGTGATTTATGTATGAGACACTGAAGAAACATCATAGAGAATAAAAGAAGAATCCCTGGAGCTATTGTTCTAGTTTGGGGAAACTGGCAATAAGCAGGTAAACAAATCAATGAGTGAGGCAATTTCATATGGGGATTTGTGTTTTGAAGAAAATGAACAGGTAGAGTAGAAAATGACTGAGACAGGGATTATTATAGATGGGGTTGTCAGTGAAGCTCTTTCTCAGGAAGTGATGCTTGAGCTGAGTCCTGAACAACAGAAAGAAGCCAGGCATGGAAAGGCCATTTTGTCAGTGTCCCTGTGCTGTGTGTGGGCACCATTGATCTAGGAGCAGAGGACAAGTTGAAGTGGCTGAAGCCTGGCACGTAAGTGCAGACAGGTGGGAGATGAGGTTGAAAGGGCAGACAAGAGCCACATGGTTTGGATCCTTTAAGGAGTTTGGGTTTTATTCTGAGTGTGGAAGGCTAGAGTACAGGAGTGACGTGATCTGATTCTTGTTATCAGAAAGTGTCTCTGGCCACTGTGTGGAGAATGGACTGGAGAGGGACAAAATAAGGAGTGGGGATAACCGTTAGAAGAATATTGCAGAAATTCAGGGAAGAGGCACAGATGAATGGCACCAGGACTGCAGCTGTGTGCAGAGGAAGGGTTAGACCTGGACAGGTCGTGTTTGGAGGTATGACACGGGGGACCTGCAATGGCTGTGTGCGTGGGGTGTGTGGGGATAAGGCACAGTCAAGGAGGACCCCTCAGCTGTTTGGCCGTACAGAGAAATGGTGGGCTGTTTTCTGAGATCAGTCCTTCCAAGTGCTTTTGAGGCATTCTTAAGGTAATTAGTCAACCAACAGTGGTTGTAGTGAAAAAAAGTGATTTTAAAAATGCATTAGTTGATGACTGATATTCATACCTGAGGGTAGAGGGAGAGAGGAGAGTAAGGATTGAAAACTACCTACTGGGTACTATGCATATTACCTGAGTGGCAAAATAATCTCCACACCAAACCCCTGTGACACACGATTTGCCTGTATAACAAACCTTCACATGTACTCCTGAAACTAAAATCAAAGTTAAAAAGCAAACAAAAACTTAAAAAATAAGTAAAATCAAAAGCTATATAAGGCAAAGATAGGTAAATATTACAGCAAAGTTAAAAACTATTATTTAACAAAAGATACCACAAACAAAAGTAGAGAACTCCAACAGATTTGAGGAAAATATGCCATTTTTATAATAAAGAATGAGTATCTGGATCATAAATAAATAAGAAAAAGGAAAAAGAAGACTCATTTGTAAGACTATTAAGCTTTATTGAATTGGCTTGATTTAATCTTTCCACAATGTAAACATATATCAAAACATTACAGTGTACCCCATAGTATATACAATTATGCCAGTTAAAATTAAAATTTTAAAAATACCTGAGTTGATAAATAGGATTCAGTTGCAAGACTATTAAGCTTTCTTTCCCCAGTATCTCTGCCTTAGATAGAATTTTCAAGTTAATGTGATCCCTGGCCATTTATATTTTTAAAAACCAGCACACAGGGACTTTTTAATTTTAATTTTAATTTTAAGTTCCATGGTACATTTAAAATATGTTTTGTCCTCTATTGTAAGTACTATATAATACTGGTTTTACTGACAAGACTTTGAGTGATTTTATGGTGAAATAAAAGTATTCAAAGTCACAAGATTTTTACATGGCAGAACTAGGGTTTGTCTCTAGTCTATATACAGAGCCTACACTCCTCTAACCAGTACACTTAGGAAGAAGAGACAGACATTTGTTGAACTATGTCAACCCATGGTGGTTGGTGTAACATTGAGACCATAGCTCTTTTATCTATGTTTCTGTAGTCATTCTACATTGTACCAGATGGTATTTAAGAAAAAGTAATAATTTTTAAAATAAAAACATTAATAAACATCATAGTTACTTTGTACTAGACAACTTGGCTGTTGATGTAGATAATTCGTTGGACCCCCAAGACGAATGAGTTCTCTTTCCTTTTAGGAACTCAGAGTGGTTTTCCAGATGGGAATCACATTGCTCTCTGTCCCTGAGATCTTGCTGGAGACAGGGCTACTCAGTCCCTCTTTGCCAGGTGAGTATAGATGCAGTGTGGTGACTTACTCAAGGGCACCTAGAGTTAGTGGGATAGGTCTGGCACTGTGGCCAGGTATGTCTCCTGTCCCATATCCATCTGCATGTCCATTATACACAGCTGTATTAGTTTGTTTTCATGCTCCTGATAAAGACATACCCAAAACTAGGAACAAAAAAAGGTTTAATTGGACTTACAGTTCCACATGGCTGGGGAGGCCTCAGAATCATGGTAGGAGGTGAAAAGCTCTTCTTACATGGTGGCAGCAAGAGAAAATAAGGAAGAAGCAAAAGCGGAAACCCCTGATAATCCCATCAGATCTCGTGAATCTCATTAACTATCACGAGAATAGCACGAGAAAGACTGGCCCCCATGATTCAGTTACCTCCCCCTGGGTCCCTCCCACAACATGTGGGAATTCCGGGAGATACAATTCAAGTTGAGATTTCGATGGGGACGATGGGGACACAGCCAAACCATATCATTCTGCCCCTGGCCCCTCCAAATCTCATGTCCTCACATTTCAAAACCAATCATGCCTTCCCAAGAGTCCCTCAAAGTCTTAACTCATTTCAGTATTAACCCAAAAGTCCACAGTCCAAAGTCTCATCTGAGACAAGGCAAGTCCCTTCCGCCTATGAGCCTGTAAAATCAAAAGCAAGCTAGTTACTTCCTAGATAGAATGGGGATAGAGGTATTGGGTAAATGTAGCCATTCCAAATGGGATAAATTGGCTAAAACAAAGGGGTTACAGGGCCCATGCAAGTCCAAAAATCCAGCAAGGCAGTCAAATTTTAAGGCTCCAGAGTGATCTCCTTTGACTCCAGGTCTCACATCCAGGTCACACTGATGCAAGAGGTGGGTTCCCATGATCTTGGACAGCTCCGCCCCTGTGGCTTTGCAGGGTGCAGCCTCCCTCCTGGCTGCTTTCATGGGCTGGTGTTGAGTGTCTGTGACTTTTCTGGCCATATGGTGCAAACTGTCAGTGGATCTACCATTCTGGGGTCTGGAAGACAGTGGCTGTCTTCTCACAGCTCCACTAGGCAGTGCCCCAGTAGGGACTCTGGGGGCTCCAACCCCACATTTTTCTTCTGCACTGCCCTAGCAGAGGTTCTCCATGAGCGCCCTGCCCCTGTAGCAAACTTTTGCCTGGGCATCCAGGAGTTTCCATACAACTTCTGAAATCTAGATGGAGGTTCCCAAATTTCAATTCTTGACTTCTGTACACCTGCAAGCTCAACACTTCGTGGAAGCTGCCAAGGTTTGGGGCTTCTACCCTCTGAAGCCACAGCCTGAGCTGTATGTTGGCTCCTTTCAGCCACAGCTGGGACACAGGGCACCAAGTCCCCAGGCTACACACAACATGGGGACCCTAGGCCCAGCCCAGGAAACCATTTTTTCCTCCTGGGCCTCCAGGCCTGTGATGGGAGGGGCTGCTGTGAAGGTCTCTGACATGGCCTAAAGACGTTTTCCCCATGGTCTTGGGGATTAACATTAGGCTCCTTGCTACTTATGCAAATATCTGCAGCCAGCTTTAATTTCTCCCCAGAAAATGGGGTTTTCTTTTCTATCACATAGTCAGGCCACAAATTTTCCAAACTTTTATGCTCTGCTTCCCTTATAAAACTGAATACCTTTAATAGAACCCAAGTCACATCTTGAATGCTTTGCTGCTTAGAAATTTCTTCTGCCAGATACCCTAAATCATCTTTCTCAAGTTCCAACTTCCACAAATCTCTAGGGCAGGGACAAAATGTTGCCAGTCTCTTTGCTAAAACATAACAAGAGTCACCTTTACTCCAGTTCCCAAAAAGTTCCTCATCTCCATCTGAGACCACCTCAGCGTGGATCTTATTGTCCATATCGCTATCAGCATGGGCAAAGCCATTCAACAAGTCTCTAGGAGGTTCCAGACTTTCCCACATTTTCCTGTCTTCTTCTGAGCCTTCCAAACTGTTTCACCCTCTGCCTATTACCCAGTTCCAAAGTTACTTCCACATTTTTGGGGATCTTTTCAGCAACACCCCACTCTACTGGTGCCAATTTACTGTATTAGTTCATTTTTACACTGCTGATAAAGACATACTTGAAACTGGGAACAAAAAAGGGTTTAATTGGACTTACAGTTCCATATGGCTAGGGAGCCCTCAGAATCATGGCGGGAGGCGAAAGGCCTTTCTCACCTGGTGGCAGCAAGAGAAAATGAGGAAGAAGCAAAAGCGGAAACCCCTGATAAACCCATCAGATCTCGTGAGACTCATTAGCACAAGAATAGCATGGGAAAGACTGGCCCCCTTGATGCAATTACCTCCCCCTTTGTCCCTCCCACAACATGTGGGAATTCCGGGAGATACAATTCAAGTTGAGATTTAGATGGGGACACAGCCAAACCATATCAGCAGCATTAGCCGTGTTCATAGCTGTAGTGCTTCACTTTTCAAGGGCTCAGAGGATATGTGCTTCTCTGAGGTTAACCTGCAGATAATATACGGGAACACTAAGTACCTTCAAATAAGAAAAAATAGGGTGTTGAATTTTTTATGTAGCCCAAACTGTAATGGGAAATTTGAAGAAAAATTCCTAGAATCATACATCATGTTCTCTTTTCTAACTTCCTTCCTTCAATCAACATACTGTATGTGAGATTTACATTTATTATTATCTATAGTCGTAGATCATTCATCATCATTGGTGGATATTATTACATCGAGTGGATATTTCACAATAAGCATATCTGCTATGTGGATTTTTTTCTAGTTTTTGACATGAATAACAGCGTTATGAATGTCTTGTACATATCTTTGGATAAACATTTATTTTTCTTTCTTTTGGGTGCGTACCTTCCCCAGACCTAAGAATGAAATTTCTGAGTTGTAGGGTGTGTGTATGATCAGGTCAGTCAATATTGCCAAGCACTTTTTCAAAGTGGTTGTTGAATTTATATTTTCACCAGTGCTGTGAGAATTACACAGCTTCCATGTCCTCACCAACACTTGGTGTTTTCCATCTTTTTAATTTTCTTTTTCTGGTGTAAGTGTGGTGGTATCTCATTATGGTTTTAATTATACTTTACTTTCTCATTAACTCTCTGGAGTTTTAAATCTCTTTTCTCTCTTTGTTTTTGCTTTTCAACTTACATATTGAGTATTCCTAATCTGCAAATCCAAAAGCCTCCAAAATCTGAAACTTTTTGATCATTGACATGATGCTCAAAGGAAATGCTCAGTGGAGCATTTCAGATTTTGGATTTTCAGATTAATGATACTCAACTTGTATTTGCTTATTATACTGGAACTTTGGTTTGTGGAGTTTACATTCTCAATTTTGCTGATTGTATCTCCATTGTGCTGTTACTTACATTGCTCTGGCCCCTCCTATTTTCTATAAATTAGTAGAGTTAGAGGCTTCATCCAGTTCAGGATTTTTTGGCAAGAGTACCTCAGATGTGTTACATACTTCCTATATCCTTACACCAAGTCTTAGTTCAGGCTGCTTTACCAAATTACCACAGACTAGGTGGCTTAAATAACAAACATTTATTTCTCATGAGTCTGGAAGCTAGAAGTCTAATCAGGGTGCCAGTATAGTTGGGTTCCTGGTGAGGATCCTCTTCCTGGTTATGTCCTCACATGGCCTTCCCTTGGTGTGTGCATGCAGAGAGCAAGTAAACTCTCTGTGTCTCTTCTTATAAGGACACTAATCTCATAATGAGGGCTCCACTTTGATGACCTAATTATTTCCCAAAAGTCCTATTTTTAAATACTGTCACATTGGAGATTAGGGTTTCCACATATGAGTTTTGGGAGGACACAAGCATTCAATTCATAGGCATACAAGGAGCGTCATTGTGTCTTATTGTCACTCCTACCTTGACATTAAGATTGAGCACTGGGCTCAGGTGTTGTTAGACTGATCCATCTATTATGTAATTTCCCATCTGCTTTTTACCTCATTATTTTTTACAATCTCTGATCTTTACCAAGATCTGCACTTCATTAAAAATTCTAAAATGATGATGTTTAGATACTACAATTTCTTCTGCATTTATTAGCTGGACATTTTCTATAAGAGAAACTCCCCCCCGCCCCCCCCAACCCCCGCCCAAGCCCCTGCCAACTAGTAGGCTTAACTGAGGTATGGCACACACAGGAAAGGAAGGACAAATATTTAATCATTTTGCAGTATTTCCAGTTTTAAGAATAAGTATTGTTTCTGTAGGATCCTCCACAGATTAGCAGTGAGTTGGTTTTGTTTGTGTTTTTTCTTTTAGAGTGTCATCACGACTCAGAGATGTTTCTGTATGTGATGTGTTTTAACTCACTGTAGGCACCAATGTTTTTGATGCTTAAATTGTTCTTATTTGGTCTGTGGAAGTCCTATCAGGTTGGCTTCTGAGTCTTTTTGATATGTTCGCTGGTATGATCATTCAGTCCAGACTCATCTGGTACAGCTCTACCACAGACTTGGATTCAGCCATTTTTCCTTGTGGGTAATATTTTTAGAGGACTCAATCTGGGTACTAGAGTTCTTCATTGCTACTGGGTTGGCCATTGTTTCTTAAATTTTTCAGTGCATCAGACCAGTAAATAGGTATTATATTTTTAAGAGAATATATATGATCAGCTTCCATCCTGGGCTGCTACTCTGTTCCCTTATAAGTAATTATTTTTATCAGTTTTTGTTTTAGCCTACTAGTTTAAAGAATATAATAGAATACTATATGGCTGTTAGTTTTCTCTTCTCCTCAGAGGTAAAAGGTGGCATATTCAACCTCAGTCAAGTTTCTAGCAGCTCAGAGGTGTGGAGCATTTGAGATATCCCTTCTAAGGTGAAGGATAAATACTTGCACCTGGCCTCTACTACAACCAAAAAAGAGGTACACCATCTGGTGGGCTTCTTTGGATTTTGGAGGCAACATACTCTTCATCTGGGTGTGTAACTCTGACCCATTTACTGAGTAACACAAAAAGCTACTAGTGTTGAGTAGGGCCTAGAACAAGAGAAGGCTCTGCAACAGGTCCAGGCTGCTGTGCAAGCTGCTATGCCACTTGGGCCATATGATCAAGCAGATCCAATGGTGCTTGAGTTGTCAGTGACAGATAGGGATGCTGTTGGGAACCTTTGGCAGGCCCCCATAGGTGAATGGCAACACAGGCCCTGCCATCTTTCCTAGATAACTACTCTTCTTTTGAGAAACAGCTCTTGGCCTGCTAATGGGCCTTAGTAGAGACTGGAAACAACCAAGTTTTCATGTGACGTGAGCTGCCCACCATGACCTGTGTGTTATCTGACCCACATAGCCATAAAGTTGGGTATGTACAGCAGCACTCACTCCATCATCAAAGGTAAGTAGTATATATGAAATCGAGCTCAAGCAGGTACTGAAGGCATAAGTAAGTTACATGAGGAAGCAGCTCAAATGCCCATGGTCCTCATTTTTGCTACATTCCTTTCTTTCTCCCAGCCTGCACCTATAATCTAAGTTCCCTATGATCAGTTGACAGAGAAAGAGAAGTTTGGTTTACAGATGATTCTGCATGATATGCAAGCACTACTCAAAAGTGGACAACTAACACTACATCCCCTTTCCAGGATGTCCCTGAAGGACAATGGTGAATGGAAACTCTCCCGGTGGGCAGAACTTTGAGCAGTGTACCTGGTTGATCACTTTGCTTGGACAAATGGCTGGACCTGCCATTTCTATATATACTGATTCATGGACTGTGGACAATAGTTTGGCTGCATGATCAGGAACTTGGAAAAAAACATGATTGGAAAATTGGTGACAAAGAAATTTGGGGAAGAAGTACTTGGATAGACCAACACTTACACATTGGGAATCAAGTTTTCAACACATAAACTTTAGTGGACACATTCATACTGCAGCATTCTGCCCCCGGCTCATAAAATTCATCTCCTTCTCACATGCAAAATATTCTGACTCCATCCCAGTAGCCCCAATGTCTTTACTTGTGCTGGCACCAGCTCAAAAGTCCAAAGTCTCATCCAAATCAAATATGGATGAGACTCAAGGCATGATTTATTCTGAGGCAAATTCCCTCAAGCTGTGAGCCTATAAAATCAAAACAAGTTACCTACTTCCAAAATGCAACAGTGAGACAGGCATAGGATAGATATTCTAATTCCAAAAGGGAAAAATAGGCAAGAAAAGAGGAGTAACGGGTCCCAAGTAAGTGCAAAACTGAACAGGGCAAACAACATTAAATCTCAAAGCTGGAGAATAATCTTTCTTGACCCCATGTCCCACCTTCTGAGCACAATGGGGTATGGGTTAAGCCCCCAAGGCCTCAAGAAGCCCCACCCCTATGGCTTTGCTGGGCATGGCCCTTGCAGCAGCTCTCATGGGTTGGAGTCTCCTGCCTGCAGCTCTTCCAGGCTGGAGCTGCACACTGATAGGTTTACAGGTTCATGGTCTCAGTGGCAACCCTATGCCTGTGACTCAACTAGGCATTACCCTAATGAGAACTCTATAGTGCCTCTGCCCCTGCAGTAGGTTTCTGCCTGGGTCACAGGGATGTCTGATACATCCTTTAAAATCTAGGTGAAGGAAGCAGTGCCCCCACAGCTCTTGCATTCTGCTCACTTACAGAATTAGCACCATGTGGGAACCAGCAATGCTTACAATTTGCACCCTTCATAGGAGCAGTTAGGTCCACTTGAGATACAGCTGGGGCTGCCAGGCAGCACTGTACTAGAATGCAGGGATCACAGTCCCAAGACAGCTCTGAGCAGTGAGCCCATGAGGGACACCCCAGGCCTGTCCCTTGAAATCATTCTGCCCTCCTAGATCTCTGGACTTGTAGGAAAGGGGCAACTTTGAATATCTCTGAAATGCCTTCAGAGTCTTTCTGCAATGCATTGTCCTGCTGAACAGCACCCGGCTTCCTTCTTTCCATGCTAATCCCATTATCGGAGAGTTGCTTGGCTGCACCCTTGCATGCTTTTTCATTCTTTATATGACACGAATGTGAATTTTCCAAATATTTATGTTGTGATTCCCTTTTTTTTTTTTTTTTTTTTTTGAGATGAAGTTTCGTTCTTGTTGCCCAGACTGGAGCGCCATGGCGCGATCTCGGCTCACTGCAACCTCCATCTCCTATGTTCAAGCAATTCTTCTGCCTCAGCCTCCCAAGTAGCTGGGATTACAGGCGCCCACCACCATGCCTGGCTAATTTTTGTATATTTAGTAAAGATGGGGTTTCACCGTGTTGACCAGGCTGGTCTTGAACTTCTGACCTCAGGTGATCCACCCGCCTTGGCCTCCCAAAGTGCTGGGATTACAGGCATGAGCCACCACGCCCGGCCCTCTGATTCCTTTTTAATTATAAATTACAAATTCTGTCTTTAAATCATTTCTCTTTTCTTACATCTTACTGTATGCAGTTACAGATGCCACACGGTTCCTCCAATACTTTGCTTAGAAATTTCTTCTGCCAGATACTTTAGTTCATCACTCTTAAATTCTGTCTTCCATAAAGCCCTTGGGCATCAAAACAATTCAGTCAAGTTCTTTGCCAATTTATAACAAGAATTGCCTCTATGCCAGTTTCCAATAATATATTCCTAATTTACATCCAAGACCTGGTGAGAATGGCCTTTACTGTCCATATTTCTATCAACGTTCTGATCACAATCACTTAGGTAATCTCTAAGAAGATTCAGACTTTTCTTACAGCCATACTCTTCTTCTGAGCCCTCACCAGAATTGCCCTTAATGCTCTATTCATGGCAATGTAGGCCTTTGCTAGCTGGTTCCTCCAAACTCTTCCAGGCCCTATTACCCAGTTCCAAAGCCACTTTCACATTTTCAGTTATTTGTTGTTTCAAAACCCCACTTCTTTGGTACACATTTTCCTAATCCATTTTTGTGCTGCTAGAACAATGTCACAGACTGTATAATTTGTAATGAACAGAAATTATTGGCTCACAGTTCTGGAGGTTGGGAAGTCCAAGATCGAGGGGCTGGCATCTGATGAGGTCTTCTTGTTTTATCATCTCGTGGCAGAAGAGCAAAGAGAGGAGGAGAGACAGCAAGAGGGGGAAGAAACTTGTCCTTTTATGAAGAACCTACTCCCATAATAATGGCATTAATCTGTTTATGGGTGCAGAATCACCATGACCCTAGACATCTTAAAGGTCCCACCTTCCAACACAAAGAGGTTGTACCAATTTATATTGGGAATCAGGTTTCCAACAAATGAACTTTGGAAGACACATTCAAACTATACCATTGTGGATACCAATTAGAAGAAAGTCACTAACTCCAGCTCACACACAATGAGACAGATTATACAAAGGAGTAAATAACAAGAAACAAAAATCATTGGGTGCATACTTAGATTCTACTTACGACAGCATCACTAGGCCATTTCTCCGTACTGATTACTGGGAATGTTTCCTATGTCATGATAATTAGACTCATATAATTTAATACTATAATCTAATTTAATATTACAATTTTATAATGTAATTTTAATATAATATATTTAATATATTAAAATTAATTATATTTAGTTAAATATTTAATAATTTGATATCATATATCATATAATTTAGTATTACAGTTTTAAAGTATTATAGTTCATTATATAAATAAATTAAGCAATACCCTGGGCAGTATTGCATGTGAGCACTGAGAGAGATTAGAGCATTCAAATTCCTGGTGGCTTCAGGACACAATGCCTTAATGAAATTTCAGTTTCTATTACTGAGCAGGCATTACAAAGCAATTTGTCTGATTTATGTAACTGTTCCTAAATTCCCATAATTTAATCTAAATTATACATTAAATAATAGGCTACTTGAATAAGTGTTAAGATGAAAAGAGATGCAAATTAGAGCATTTCTTGCTTATGCTAGTTTTGTCAACATTAATTTTCTACCCTCCAGGTAATCTGTTCCAGAAGAAACATGTGTCGTTCTGACTGAGCCCCTGCCTGTCTGTCACCTTAAGAGCCAGTCAATTCATATGGTCCCCATATCAAAGTCTCCTGTGCCCAGAGAGAGGATTTCATTTCAACCATCACCATCACCACCATCATCATCATCACCAAGAGATGTTGTTGAGTGAGCATCTGGGGAGGAGAGTAAAGTGATCAGTTCCAAAGCCCTGGTGGCCAGTTATCTACATAAGAAGTCACTGGGCATAGGCAGTGTTTCTCTCCCCTTCTTTCATTCTTGTCCCTGTTTTGGAGGACTTTTAGACATGTTCTTCCTCACACATCCTTTCTGCCAAGAATGTAAAATTTTAATACCACACGTAAAGTGGTAACTGTTTATGTACTGTGGTACTTTGCAGGACCACAAACCATTGTAATGTCTCCCATCCTCCTTACCATCCAGAGCCAATTTTCAGCCCCTTGGGCATAATGTCGCCTCTGTTGACAATGCATGAAATACTGTGATGACAGCAAAGGCTGGACCACATTCCTGCCCCTTACTTGATGTGTGATGCTGAAATCCTTTCTTACCCTCTGTCAGCTTGCCCTTAGTTATCTGTAAAAGGAGACTTACTACGTCTTCCTTACATAACTAGTCTATGGTGTAAATAAGAAATCCTGTACAGCATATATGTCACCTAGTAGGACATCAACAAATGCTTATACTGACCCACTTTTCACCTCCCTCCTAGAGAAGTGATGACTGTTACCTAAGCCAAACAGCACAATTGCCATAGAGTCTACCTGGAAACATACCAAGCAGTAAGAAGTTAAACCTACTCACATTTGCATTATGAATGAAGCTTTGGGAACCATTCCAGTGTTGCAGGAGGGCTTTGCTGAGGGATCAGGGAAAAGGGAAGGAGATAATTAAAACATTTCCTTTAATCCCCTGTCATTTTCTGCCCCCTTGTTTGATCTTCTAGATTGATACTGGAAAAGCAGTTTCTATTGAGCCCCCAAATGAAGAGTGAGTGCAGATGAAGAGGAGGCAGGACTCACAAGCCCTTGAACTTTATTCCAGATCTGTTAGCACCTACAGGACCCTGCACCAGGATTTCATCTGTACTATCAGCTTCTTCAAAGAGAGAGAGGTTGTTGAGTGAGTACCCACAAGGGCACAGTACTAAAAACATGTAAAATTACAAGTGTTTAAGTCCTAAAAGGTTAAGATCTATAAAGAAGATACCTGGGTGTCCTTTCGGGAGGGTGAGAGTTAGAATGCCATTTCTGTTCCTTAGTAGATGAGTCTGCAAAATTGATTTTACATCAGCAAGTTTAATATAGTCAACTTCAAAATGGGAATAATGATGATTTCTCCACAAAGTTATGAGAGAATCATGCAAAATATACAACTACATGCTTTTAGCTATAAATATATAAATGACATCATAGAGTAAGTGCTCTTTTGAAAATTTTCATTCTCTGAAAATAGTATTACTTAGCTATATCTAATAAGGTGATTTGAGATTCCTTTAAATATGACTAGCCATGCTATCTTGGCCATCTTACATATATGCTGTCCAGACCTAAGAGTACAGTGGGTGACAGGTGCCTTGCTTTCTTCTCTCACAGATGTTGCCAAATGTCTCTGCAAAGAGGTTGTACCAATTTGTCCTCCCTAGGCCATGTATGGAATTATCATGGCCCTGCATTTTCCATTTAATGAGGATACAGCATAAACACCAACTCACTGATTGAGTTTACTTTTCTTTTCTTTTCTTTTTTATTATACTTTAAGTTTTAGGGTACATATGCACAACGTGCAGGTTAGTTACATATGTATACATGTGTCATGTTGGTGTGCTGTACCCATTAACTCATCATTTAACATTAAGTATATCTCCTAATGCTATCCCTCCCCCCAGCCCACAACAGGCCCCAGTGTGTGATGTTCCCCTTCCTGTGTCCATGTGTTCTCATTGTTCAATTCCCACCTATGAGTGAGAACATGCAGTGTTTGGTTTTTTGTCCTTGCGCTAGTTTGCTGAGAATGATGGTTTCCAGCTTCATCCATGTCCCTACAAAGGACATGAACTCATCATTTTTTATGGCTGCATAGTAATCCATGGTGTATATGTGCCACATTTTCTTAATCCAGTCTATCATTGTTGGACATTTGGGTTGGCTCCAAGTCTTTGCTATTGTGTGAATAGTGCTGCAATAAACATACGTGTGCATGTGTCTTTATAGCAGCATGATTTATAATCCTTTGGGTATATACCCAGTAATGGGATGGCTGGGTCAAATGGTATTTCTAGTTCTAGATCCCTGAGGCATCGCCACACTGACTTCCACAATGGTTGAACTAGTTTACAGTCCCACCAACAGTGTAAAAGTGTTCCTATTTCTCCACATCCTCTCCAGCACCTGTTGTTTCCTGACTTTTTAATGATCACCATTCTAACTGGTGTGAGATGGTATCTCATTGTGGTTTTGATTTGCATTTCTCTGATGGCCAGTGATGATGAGCATTTTTTCATGTGTCTTTTGGCTGCATAAATGTCTTCTTTTGAGAAGTGTCTGTTCATATCCTTTGCCCACTTTTTGATGGGGTTGTTTGTTTTTTTCTTGTAAATTTGTTTGAGTTCATTGTAGATTCTTATTCCAGGACATATTTAAGACATAAAGTTGGATCATTATGTTTCCATTTGGTAATTTAAATGTGAAATATGCCATTTATAGGAAAATAAAATATGGAAAATGAAAAATAATCTAACATTCCAACAAAAGTATATCACATTAGCAAATATTAATAATATAGTGAAACCCATTATTTGTACAGATCTTGGAAAATGAGTATTCATATCTTGTATTTCATTGTGACAAATTAGCAAAGAGATTTTAAGGTGAATTAGACAAATGTTTAATATTCATGCTTTTTGAGGAAGCAGTCCCACTTGTGGAAACTTATACTCTGGTTAACAGCCTGAGAGGTCCTTGCCATCATCAATCATGTGTCCCTCCTGCTCAGTGCTGAGCTGACCATTTGCCTAATTGGCTTGGTGCCTTAAGGACTCCCTGACCCTGTTCCATCCATCCTTTTATCCAAAGAGAAAAATAGGTCTCATGGCTGGATGCCCAATTTCAATGGACCTTGGGGTTGGATCAAACCCAAGGGTTGATATGGAGCAGTGCTCAGATCCTTACTCCTGGAGGGACAAGTAGATCTCTGGCCTCATCCCTATTTGGGATAAATCTCTCTTCCTCTCCTTTCTCTATGTCCTCAGAGGCCTTCCCTTTCCTACCAGATAACAAGCAGTCCAATCTTTCCCTTAAGTTTAAGTTTCCTAAAGAATGGAAGAAACTGGATTCAGACATCTTTGGCTCCCAACCCTGTCATAAACCTCCCCTAAGGCAAGGGGAAGGAACACCAAGCCTGGTTCCTTGCTGGAAATGCAAGGAGGGTAAACACAGGGAGGACAGACATTAACTTCCTTAACAGTGTGTGTCCAGATACATTTGCTAAAGATCTGCCACCAGCACTTAAGGTGCCCAGGTTGCCAGCTACTATCTCTGGCTCTCTCAGTTTCTGTGGTAATCAAATCCTTTGCCATTCTACTTTGCCCTTGCTCATCTGTAAAAGGGGACTCACAATGCCTTTCTTAGACAAATTTTCTGTGGGGTAAATGAGAAATCCCATACAGAGTAGATGGCACCTAGTAGAACTTCAACGAATGGTCATCCAGGCCCACCTTTTTCCTCCCTCCCAGAGAAGTGATGACTGTTATCTAAACCAAGCAGCATAATTGCCACAGAGACCACCTGGAAGGAGAGCAGGAAGATGGAGCATGTGCTCACACTTACATTATACATGGACCTTTGGGGCCATTTCTGTGTTGCAGGATGGTTTGCTGAGGTATTGGAGTGAGATGAGAAGATCGTCAAACCAATCCCCTATCATTTTCTGCCCCCTCATTTGATCTGCTACGTTGATTTGGAAAAGCAGTTTCTATTGAGCCTCAAATGAAGAGAGAGTGCAGATGAAGAGGAGGCAGGAGTCATAAGCCTTTGACCCTTATACCAGACCCATTACCACCTATAGGACCTTGCACTGGGATTTCATCTGCACGATCAGCTCTTTCAAAGAGAGAGAGGTTGTTGAGTGAGTACCCACAAGGGCATAATCCTGGCAACATAAAAAACTGCAAGTGTTTGGCTGGGCGTGGTGGCTCATGCCTGTAATCCCAGCACTTTGGGAGGCTGAGGCGGGCGGATCACAAGGTCAGGAGATCGAGACCATCCTGGCTAACACAGTGAAACCCCATCTCTACTAAAAATATGAAAATTAGCCAGGTGTGGTGGCGGGCGCCTGTAGTCCCAGTTACTCGGAAGGCTGAGGCAGGAGAATGGCGTGAACCCGGGAGGCAGAGCTTGCAGTGAGCCGAGATTGCGCCACTGCACTCCAGCCTGGGCAACAGAATGAGACTCCGTCTCAAAAAATATACATAAAATAAATAAAAATTAAAAAAAAAACTACAAGTGTTTAAGTCTTAGACGGTCATCCACTATAAAAGGAGACAATGTGTTGTCCTTTGAGGAGAGTGAGAGTTACATCCCTGCTCCTGATCATTACTAGATGCCTCTGCAAAATTGATTTTCCATCAGTGAGTCTTAGTTGGTCATCTGTAAACTGGAAATAATGATGCCTTCCTTATAGACTTGGAGAGAATTATGCAAAATATGTAATTGTACATTTTTGGCTATAAATATTTGTGCTATTGTAGAGTAAGTGCCCTTTTGCACCTTTTTCCCCTCTGAAAATAGTGTTTCTGAGATTAATAACGTGATTTTGGGGCTGTTTAGATATTATGAATCCTGACCATTTTTGTACCATTGCCCAGGCTGCTTGATTCTATCCCTGGCTCCATTAGTTTGTGTGGTGAGCAAACTCTTTGCCATCCAGCTCTGTGCTTAGGAGCAAGTGCGCTGTAGTCATATACATCCATGAAGAGAGCATAATTGTACCTCACTAGTAGGGTTGTCATGAGAATTAAATTCAATCACTAAAGTGAAGAACATGGAGCTGGACCCTCTAAACAATGTGTTCTATCAATATTAGTTGCCTTTCCTCTCTGGATCAGAAAACTAATGTGGCTCCTAACCTGACCCCTCAGGTAGGACTCCTTCACTTGCATGCATGTCAGAATTAGCTTGGAGATCTTTTCTAAACCTTTAGCAGAAACTCACTTGTTGTTGGAAATAAGACTTCTATATCAAAGTCCATTCAAGTGATTAAGCCATAGTAATATGGGCCTCAGAAAGTAGATATTCCATTTGACACCTAAAGTGTTATGTGAAAACTCATTTCCCCTCCATTCCATCTGTTCCAGGTATGACCAGCTTTTGCCTTTACTGCCACTCTGATCGCTCATTTCCTTAGACCTGCCCATTGAAAGAGCTCTCTCAGATAATTGTTAACTTAGAGATTCACAGCTCTTGTTCCTCTGTGGTGTCTCCTGTTTCAAGAGCCCAACATGAAAATATGGCATGCTTCTATGATGTTAACGTGCTGATAAAATGAGAGGACACAAAATAGCTTATTATCTGGAAATAGGATGCTGATTATTATCCCTGACCCCAAATGTCATGAATGAGATGATGAGATGGCAAGTGACTGATGATGCTCTATTCTTCACAAGATGCCATCAGCTGGAGATGGAAGCCCCAGTGTGGGTTCCTGGGGCTGCCTCTACTTCCTTCACTCCCTGAATTATTTTCTGTGGACTAAGATTTGTGCTCCGTTTATGGCTCTGATGGCATTGGTGTGTGCTTTCTGGGAAGTAGGAATGGGGAAGAATGCTAGGGAGGTGTCAGCTGTTAGGGAAGCCCTGAGAGGAGGGGATCCTGATGTAAGAGAGGATTGAAAACCATGGCCCTAAGTCAGGTTAGTCTGGCATGCATGTGATGTCTAATAATAAGGGGGGTGGCACACTTCCCCTCCTAAGAGGCACCTGAATTTCCTGTGAGGGGATGTCCCTGCCATGTTTGTGTGCCTTGGAAACTGACTTCTGACACTGTAAGGACAGCATTAGTGTTGTCAGAAGGCTGGGTGGTGGGGTGAGGGTGGGGGAAGATTGAATCCTCAGAGCAACTTAAAGACCCTACTGACAGAGACAGAACAGCCTGCTCCAGCTGAGAGGAGGGCAGGAGAGATAACTAGGTGGGCAACAGGTGTCTCTTAAAGCAGGAACCATACAGTGGTACATGAAGATCTGGACCATCAACTCTGGCTAAGTGAGATGCTGGCCTGAGATGTTAGAGCACTTTTACATGCTTTCATGAGCTGGAGGTAGAACACAGGCCTGCTGATTCTCAGTTCTGTGCTCTCATGAATTACTGCAAGCTGCCTTTTCAAAGGAAAGGCAGACTTGGTTCTCACCATCTTGGAGACACAGTTTCCTCATCTCAAAAAGGAACTGACACCACTCCTTTTATAGGGCGGTCCTGAAGATGGACTGTTATCCTGTGTGTGCAGAAAACAAACTCCGCAAATATAACCCTATTAAGGAGACCCTGTTAATGAGACAGACCCTGGGGTCATTGGAAAATGGAAGGCTCAGCCAATGGTGCCGTTTGCTCAGAGCACAGAGTACTTGGCACACAGGGCTAGAAAATGTAGGCTGCGTCCATGGTGTGAGGTGTCTCTGGCAGGGAGAGAAGGTGGGTTGCTTTTGAGGATGTTTTGAAGGTATGATTATCTTTATCCACTTTCTTAATGGTGCCAGCATTACCTGGGAGTGCTCTTCCTTCCAGAGACTGTATTTGTCTCTGAGCCTCTGTTGCTATGCAACAGCCTCCTCTGAGCTCAGAGCATGATTCAGCGATACTGGTCAGAGCTGCTGCATCAAGAGTCCTGGAGATGAGATGACAGAGAGGGAGTGGGAAACGGTCTAGGAAGTCTGTACAGGAGTGGAGTCTTGGGGTCTTGAATGGCCTGCTGTCTGGGAGGGGCCATCTCTAGAGCGAAGACATGTCAGCCAACACTGATGAGAGACAGAGCGAGCAAAGGAGATGGATCAGTGAACAAAATATATGGAGTGGACATAAAATGAAGCTTATGCTTAGCCTTTTAATATACATAGGAATTTTCCAAAAAGAATTGGCAACACATTCTCCAAACTGTTTCACGAATGACTCTAAAGAATAACATCTGTTTGGTCATCTAAAAAATTAGGAGCTTTAATTTTTAAGAAAGGAAAACCAAAATGGTGATAGATCCCCTTTGCCCGTAATTACAGCTCTAGAATTCTCAGATGGTGACTCAGCAAGAGTGGTAGGAGGGAGTAGGGACCTAGACTTGATGGTTGTCAGCCAGAGCTTCTGGAATTTTCCACACATTATCAGCAATCTTGTGTATTCATCACTATCTGGGATCTCTAAGCCCCAAGATAGGAAGCCCAGTCCTTTTCTGAGATGGAGAGAAAGCTGTACCTGGGAGTGTGTGTTTGGCGTGATAGAGTTTGAGCCCTAAATACACAAACACATACAATGTTGTTGTGTTTTAGCCATAGACACACACACACACACAAATACACCCACACCTACTATGTCTAGGCAATTATTTCAAACTGCTGCTTCTCCCATGAGCAATATGTTTTGTACATATTCCAAAAACAGTAGGTGTATGTGTACGTGTTTTTGTCAAACCATGTACAATTTAATCTTAAAATTATTACCTCAGTGGTTTTCTCGATTATAACATTTCAAAAAGTAAAGATATGTATTTATAAAATGAAATATATATATATATGGAGAGAGGAAAGAGAAAGTGATAGAAATGATTACTACAGTGAAGCGCATTAACATATCCATCTATTCACATAGCTATCATTTTTTTGTGAACGCACTTGAAACCTACTCTCTTACCAAATTTACAGTGTACATTATATTACTATTAACTGTAGTCATCATGCTGTATATTAGATCTCTAGGCTTATTTATCCTTCATAGCTTCAATTTTATACCTTTGAACAACATCTCCCCTCTTCCCCCCATCTCCACTCCTGGTAATGACAGCTCTATGCTTCTATGAGCTTGACTATTTTAGATTCTACATGTAAGTGAAATCATGCATAATTCTTCTTTCTATGTCTAGCTTATTTTACTTAGCATAATGTCCCCCAGGTTCATTCACGCTATCACAAATAGTAGGGGTCTCCTTTTTAAAGGCCAAAATAATATTCCATTGTGTGTATGTGTGATTATATATATACACACACACATATATACATAAATAATTATACAATGTAATATATATTATATATAATCACACACACGTATATATACGTACATGTATATATATATGAATATATATACATATATGTATATATATAATCACACACATATACGTACATACATATACATATATATTTATAATACAATATTCCATTGTATATATAAAGTCCTTGATATAAAATGGGGTGGTATTTCTATATAACCTATGCACGTCCTCCCATATACTTTAAATCATCTCTAGATTACTTATGATACCTAATACAATGTAAGTGCTATATAAATGTTGTTATACAAATTGGTTTTAAAATTTGTATTTTATTGTTGTATTGTTTTTATTTTCTTTTCAGAATATTTTCAGTCCAAGATTGGTTGCATTCATGTATGCAGAATCCACAGATACAAAAGGTCAACTGTACTTATTTATTTAATTCTCACCACAACCTATGAGAAGGATCTATTGTTGCCTGACTTTAGAAAAAAGGAAACTGAGGTACAGTGAAGACAGAGTTAGCAAGTGCCAAGGCTTAGATGTGAACACAGGCTGTGTGGCTCCTGAGTAAATTCATCTATCCAGTGTGTGCTGCTGCCTCTCAAATGATGAGAAAAATCTTGCTTTTTCAGGCCGGGCACAGTGGCTCACGCCTGTAATCCCAGTTACAGGGATCACCTCGTGATCTCAGTGATAGATAACACCAGGTAAGCAAAGTGTGGAGTTTGCCTAATGGCTCCTGGACTGTTTGGTATATTAATATATTACAGGAAAGCTGGGCACAGTGGCTCACGCCTGTAATCCCAGCACATTGGGAGGCCTAGGCGGGCGGAACACTTGAGGTCAGGAGTTTGAGACCAGCCTGCCAACATGGCAAAACCCTGTCTCTACTGAAAATATAAAAAGTAGCCAGGCATGGTGACGCACGCCTGTAATCCCAGCTGCTTCTCAGGTGCTGAGGCAGGAGAATTGCTTGAACCTGGGAGGCGGAGGTTGCAGTGAGCCAAGATTGCACCACTGCACTCCAGCCTGGGCAACAGAGCAATACTCCATCTAAAAAAAAAGAAGAAGAAAAATCTTACTTTTTCATCACGGCACAACACAATAAAACAGTGGGTTAAATTGTGTCCCCTCTGATTGGAAATGTGTATATTAAAGCATTTCCATTTGCTCTTGACCCCAAATCTACCTCGCATTTATAGATTTATCTCTTACCTCATCAGTAAAGTTTAGGTTGGGGTGTTCACAGTGTAGAGGAGTCCCTCCCAGAGAGCAGAGTGGTTATCCTTCATTACCCCAACCTGTACAGGCTTTTCAGACCTTCGCCTACCCCTCTTAGTCTCCAGGATACTGTGAACATAGCAGCCCAGACCCCA
This sequence comes from Homo sapiens, assembly GCF_000001405.40. Classification (NCBI taxonomy): domain Eukaryota; kingdom Metazoa; phylum Chordata; class Mammalia; order Primates; family Hominidae; genus Homo; species Homo sapiens. The sequence continues at coordinate 102,835,646 of NC_000023.11, forward strand.
TTCCGCTGCCCCTCTCCTCTGTCAGTCACCTCCTGCTGGCCCTGCCCCACGTTATGCCTTCCAGCCAGTGACTATCAAGGGGCAGTAGAGCTACCTGGTGTTCCATCATATGGATGCCCCAGAGTATGTTGTTGTTGTTGTTGTTGTTTTACAGTCCTCTTGCACTTTTAAGTTTTTTTCAGGCAGAATTTGAATCATTCGAATGGTTCCATAAAGGTTAATAAGCTAGGTTTTTAGGAAGGTATTGTATTTTTTGGTTTTTGTATACACTTCTTTGCAAAAAAGTTTGATAGTGGAGGTGCATTGGTGCCACCTTGTAACAGAAGCCTGAACTGCAGCCTGAACTGCAGCCTGAACTAGTGTAAGCTGGAAGGTGAAAGGGAGGGACTGTGGTCCAAACTTACAAGATAGAACTTTCTGGAAGTCTGGGCGTAAAAGGTGGCATACACAGGCAAAAAAAGATACTGAAGGCCTCTAAGCAGGAAGTACAGGTTTTTAGTATGTTAAAGAGAAAGAGGTATGTGAGAGGAACTAAAAGATCATTTTAATGTTTATGTGTTGAGACTTGTGGTTAAATAGCTAGAAGCCTATATAAGCAAAAATGGGATCAGACCATTTATGATTTTTGTAATCCACTTTCACTGTTATTGTGATTACCTTTCTGTGTAAATATATTTTTATGATAACATTTGAAATAACTACAACAAAATTTTAGTGTCATTTTTTTAGTGGCCTGGGTATCATCTCATCATGTGGATGCCCTAAAATTTATTTAATTGGTATCCTAATTACAAAAATTTAGTTCCCTTACTATTTTTTTCTATTACAAACAATAGTATACTTAACACTATGCTCATATAGATGCAAATGTCTTTGTGAGCATTTATTTATAAGTTCCTGAAAATGTCATTTCAAAATCCTTTGAACTATAATATTCTTCAAAATACTATTACTAATTTATATTCCTTATATCACAGTATGAAAATGCCTGTTTTTCCACACATTAAAAATAATGTGAATCATTAATCTTGTCTGCAAGAAATCATTTTTTCATGATTATTTTTATTATAATTTGTTTTTGCTACCTTCTAGAATTCCATCCTATGGATGTGATATTATCAGTTTTACAACTCTATGTTATTCAGAGTATTCTGATAGTTCCTATTACTCACATTCTGTGGATGAAATCTTTTCAAAGTCTGTGCACTACAAAAGGGCACAGTTCCCATAGCTGTTTGTACTGGTGAGCAGAATGTGTTCCTCCTAGGAGAATTCTGGTATTGTGATAACAGAACATGATTATTGTATAAGAGAGAGTTCGTGTGTGCTGACAACTACGTTTCTCTCTTCCTTCTGCCCCTTTATGGCCTTAGGTTTCATTTGGTCTCTAAATTCAGGCTCTGCAGTGAAGGAAGGGAATTATCAGGATGACAGGCCTTAACACTGGATCCCCATCAACATCTTCCACTATGTCCCGAAGATAAACTTCTAAAAGAGAATTGTTGGTGCAAAAGGTGTATACCTACGTAACCCTTTGCTAGGTATTGCCATACTGACACCCATAAAGGTAGTTCCGTTTAGGCTTCCCAAGTGGAGTCATGTGGCTGCAGAGGAATGAAGAAACTAGTAATGTTGACATCTAGTCACACAAGGCAGGCACTGGACTTTGTCATGGATCAACTCTCAAGCCACTACCATAATTGGAGGATGTGGAAGTGATCAGAAGTTACCAATTTTGCACACAAGCAAAACCCAAGGTAGCATGAGGGGAAAGGGCACAGTCATTGCTTGGAGGAACACAGGAAAGAGTTAGCAGATTGGGATATAGCAACAGTTGTATACATTCACGTTTATATGAAGCAGGTACGTCAAATCAATGTCAGAAGACCAGATCAATATCATATTTTTTAACAGCTTTCTTGCAGCTAAACCTACAGACAATATAATTTACGCATTTAAAGGGCATAATTTGATGAATTTTATTAAATGTATAGCATTGTTCAACCATCCCATAACTAAGTTTTAGACATTTCCATCACTCCAAAAAGTCTCATCATGCTTGAATGCAATTAATCCTTGCTCCCACCCCAAGCCTCAAACCACAGATATGCTTGGTGTCTCTGTGGATTTCTTTACTCCAGAAATTTCATGTAAATGCAATTATATAATATTTGGTCTTTTGCATATATCTACTTTCACTTCACATATGTTTTGAAGGTTCATCTATATTATGGCATATCCATACTTCATTCCTTTTATTGGCAAAGAATAATCGTAATATATCACATTTTAAACACATTAATCAATTAGTGGACATTTGGGTTGCTGCCAGTTTTGGGCTATTGCAAATAAGGTTGCTATGTACATTTGTGTACAAGTTTTTATGTAGATAAATGTGTTGATCTTGGGTGTGTACCTAGGAATGGAATTGCTGGGTCATATGATAACTCTATCCATGTGAGGAACTGCCAGATGATTTTCATGACTGATTGTCTTGAGAAATACAGACTTAGTTTTTCTTGTGATTAGACTAGTGTTAAAGGTTTTGAGAAAGAATGCCACAGAGTTGAAGTGCCCTTCTTGTCACATCATATCTGGGTTTACATAATGCCCACATGAAGTCACTGGTGATAATGTTTCATCACTTGGTGAAAGTGGTGTCTGTCAAGTTTCTAATAACCATTTTTCATTCCCTACTCTGTTCTTTAGGAGAAAGTCACAAAATCAGCCCTACCCTCAGCAAGTGGGGTGCAAAATTAAGCTTGACCTCAGGGAGAGCAGATAGCTACATATTTCACTTAGAATTATTTGAAAAAGACAATTTTCCTTCTCTCACCTATTTCTTTATTAATTCAAACTTTTGTTTATATTGGTATGGATTCATGTATACCTATGTTAAATGCTGGGATATTTTATTGAACAAATGCATCACAATAGAAACTCCAACATCTTGGTATCTGTGGTGCAGACTGGAACATGAGTGCCAGGGAGATTGGAGCACTCAGATTCCTGGCAGCCTCAGGGCACAAAGCTTTAATGAAACTCCAGGTTCTATTACCGAGCAGGCATTAACAACATAGTTCCCCTGATTTACTTAACCTCTCCTAACTTCCTATAACCTGACCTAAACTATGGATTTCACAATAGGTTACCTGGATGAAGGTGAAGGTTAAAGGATATACAACTTAGAGTATGATATGATTACAATTTTAAAAACATTAATATCATCTCTCCCAGAAGAAATACCTGTTGTCTGACTGAGCCCCTGTCTGCCATCTTAAAAGACAGTCAGTTCACATGGTTCCCATACACAGGTCTCTTGGCCCTAGGGGCAGGATTTCATCATTATCCTCATCATCACCAAGAGGGGTTGTTGAGTGAGCATCCATGAGGGATTGTAAAGTGACTAGTCCCTAAGCCTTGGTGGCTCATCATCCGCAGAAGTCCCCGAGTACATGCAATGTTTCTTAACTTTCTTTCATTATTTATGATCCAAAGGAGGCTTTTTAGACATTCATTTTTTTTCTCGTTAGCTCCTTCCTGCCTGGAACATGAAATTTTAATAGCACAGATATAGTGTTAACTGTTTGTGTGCTGTGTGGTTCATTGTAGTGCCACAAACCATTGTAACGTCTACCATCTCCCCACCCTCCAGAATCAATTTTCAGCCCCTTGGGGACAATATCTCCTTTATTGAGAATGCATGGACATTGTGATGATGGCAAAAGCTGTAACTTCATTCCTGTCCCTTACTTGATGTATGACACTGGAATCCTTTCTTAGCCTCTGTCAGCCTGTTCTTGGTCATCTGTAAAAGGAACTCACAATGCCTTCCTCACAGAACTGTTCTGTGGGGTAAATTGGAAATCCTGTACAGAGTAGATGGCACCTAGTAGGACTTCAACAAATGTTTGTCCTGGCCCACCTTTTCCTTCCCTCTCAGAGAAATGATGACTGTCACCTAATCCAACCAGCATAACTGCCACAAAGACCACCAGGAAATGGAGCAGGAAGTAGAACATTGTGAATGAAGCACTGGGGCCATTTCTGTGTTGCAGGAGAACTTTGCTGAAGGATTGAGGGAGACTGAAGAAGCTCATTGAACCATTTTCTTTAATTCCTTGTCATTTTCTCCTCCCTTGTTTGATCTTCTAGATTGATATTGGAAAAGCAGTTTCCCATTGAGTCTCAAATGAAGAGAGTGCAGATGAAGAGGAGGTAGGAGTCACAAGCCCTTGACCCTCATGCTAGACCCATTACCACCCACAGGACCTTGCAGTGGGATTTCATCTGCACCATCAGCTTCTTCAGAGAGAGAGGTTGTTGAGTGAGTACGCATAAGGGCATAATCCTAGCAACATAAAAAAACGACAAGTGTTTAAGTCCTAGATGGTCATCATCTCTAAAAGGAGATCATATGTTGTCCTTTGAGGAGAGTAAGAGTTACATCCCCACTCCTGATCATTACTAGATGCCTCTGCAAAATTGATTTTCCATCAGTGAGTCTGAGTTGGTAATCTGTAAACTGGAAATAATGATGCCTTCCTCACAGACTTCTTGTGAGAGAATTACACAAGGCATACAATTGTTTCCATACTTTTAGCTAAGTTAGTGCTGTTATCCAGCTTTTCATCCTCTGAAGATAATGTTTCTGAGATTTCTCTAATAAGATGACTTTGGGATTGTTTTGATATGACTAGACATGTTGTTGTGACCATGCTTGTATACCTTTTCTGGTGCAACATGTGTGTTTCTCTCTATAGTCCGTGATTAAGAGAGTAGCATCTGATGGGGGCCTCATTTTGTTTTCTCATAGATGTTGACAAATGTCTCTGCAAAGACATTGTACCAATTTGTTCTTCCCCATTAGTGTATGAAGTTCTTTTCACCTACATTTTCCATTTAAATGGGATGTAGTGTAAACACACACTATCAGTCATCAGGGTTTATTTCTAAACTCAATAATTATTCTATGATATATTCTGAGGCATAAATGTAAACTATGTCATTTATTTAAAAATGTGATAAAAAAATGAAAAGGAATCTAACATTATAACGCCAGGATATCAGATCAGCAGCAAATATTTAAAAAGTCTTATGAAACTTATTTGTTCAAATCTGTAAAAGCAGGTGCTCTCTTCTCATAGTTGGTTGGGATACATATTAATAAAAGGATTGTACAGTTCAATTAGACAGTACAGCAATGTTAAATTTTCATGCTTTTTGAGGAAACAGTTACACTTGTGGGAATTTAGCCTCCTGATATAGCAGGAAGAGCTCTGGCAGTCATCACTCATCTGTCCACATGACTCAGGAAGCTGCCCATTTTCTTTGCTGACTCAGAGCCTTCAAGTCCCCTCTTCCTGAGGCACTGTTTTACAATGTAGGTTTTATTATTTAGGATAGTGAGGCCAAGGGATCAGGAGACAACTGCCATTAAGGAGATAGTTTATTACTCAAAGTTCCCAAGAGGGGGCGCTCTCCATTCCACATAAGTCCACTCAGAGTCCACCAATTTAGGCAGGAGGTAAACGTGGCAAAAGCCTTTATTGTGGTTTTCCGTGGTAAATGACAGACAAGGCAGGATAATTAGGCTTAGGACTGACTACTCGGAATAATTTCAGTAGGTTCTGTGGTGCAGGGGCTGTCCTAAGTTGTCTGGAATTGTTACTGGAAAGAGGTTCTGATCCAGACCCCAAGAGAAGGTTGTTGGATCTCACTCAGGAAAGAATTTGGGGCAGGTCCATAGAGTAAAGTGAAAGCAAGTTTATTTAGAAAGTAAAAGAATAAAAAAATGGCTACTCCATAGGTAGAGCAGCCCCGAGGGCTGCTGGTTGCCCATTTTTATGGATATTTCTTGATTATATGCTAAACATGGGGGTGGATTATTCATGAGTTTTCCGGGAAAGGTGTGGGCAGTTCCCAGAACTGAAGGTTTCTCCTCATTTTATACCATATAGGGTAACTTCCTGATGTTGTCATGGCATTTGTAAACTGTCTTGATGCTTGTGGGAGTGTCTTTTAGCATGCTAATGCATTATAATAGCAGTGTGGACAACCAGAGGTCACTTTCATAGCCATTTTGGTTTCGTTGGGTTTTAGCTGGCTTCTTTACTGCAACCCGTTTTATCAGCAAAGTCTTTATGACCTCCTATCTCATCCTGTGACTAAGAATGCCTTGACCTTCTGGGAATACAGCCCAGTAGGTCTCAACCTTATTTTACTTAGCCCCTATTCAAAATAGAGTTTCTCTGGTTCAAATGCCTCTGACAGAATCAGGTTCTGGTATGATTAGGGGAGGGTACTATTGGCCTGGAGTATAAGAGCCCAGTAGAGGAGGTGTGAGTGTGTATGTGTAGGTGCTCTGTATTAGTTAGTTTGAATATAAAAGGTGTGCTCCTTAGGTGAGTTCTTTGTTAGGACTAGGAATTAGCTGACCCTGGACAGAGTAGTCCCTCCCCAGTTAGCAAGGCCTCAGATGCCAGAGCATCAAACATACAAGAAATAAGAAAAAAATGCTACCACTGTTATCTATCCTTTGATCCAAACAGAAAAATCTGTCTCACGTTGAATACCCACTCTAGGTGGACCATCCAGGAGCCACTCCAAGCTTTGATATGGAGCAGTTCTCAGGTTCCTACTCCTAGAGGGACCTGTAGACCTCTGACATCATTCCTGTCTGGGAGAAATCTCTCTTCCTCTCCCTTCTCTGTGTCCTCAGAGGTCCTCCCTTTCCTACAAGATAATAAGCAGCCCAATCCTTTCCTTAAGTTTTCATAAAAGATGGAAGAAATACTGGCTTCATGTCTGAAGCTTCTGCTTCTAGCTCTGCCACAAACCATTCCTGAAGCAAGGGGAAGGGGCACCAAACTTGGATCCTTGCTGGAAATGCCACCAGCACCTCAGGGTGCCCACATTGACAGATTCTATTCCTGGCTCTAGCAGTAGGCCTGGTGAGCAATGTCTTTGCCATCCTTCTCTGGTAAGGAATATGTGCTTTGTAGTCACATCCGTCTGTGGAGAGAGAATAGCAACACCTCACTAGCAGGGCTGTTATGTGGGTTAATTCCAACTACTAACGCGAAGAATGTAGCACTAGGCTTGGCTAAAAATCGGCTTCATAAATATTAGCTATCTTTCCTCTTTGTGGCCAAAAGTTCATATGACTCCTAACCTGCCCCCTCACCCAAGCTTCCTTAACCAAATTGCAGGTCAAAATCACTTTGGGATCCCTTTCTAAACCCTCATTTGAAACTCTTTTGTTGGTGAAATAGGACTTCTGTATTGAAGGCCATTCAAGTTATGAAGTTGTAATAATGTGGACCTCAAAAAATATATACACCAATTTGGCACCAGCAGTGTATCCAAGTGTTCATTGCCCCTTTGTTCCACAGACACCAGGTGTTACCAGCTTTTGTCTTTTTTGTTTTGTTTTGTTTTGTTTTTTTTTTTTTGACAATCTGATCTGCTTGTTTTCGCCAGACCTTTCCCATTGGAAGAATCATATCAGATGGTCATTAAACTTACAGATTCACAGGGTCACCCCTTAGACTTTCCAGATTTAAAACAAAACAAAACAGTATGACCAGTTGAATTTGAACTTCAGATAAACAAAATTATATACACTAAAACATTCAGATTTACCTAGATGTACTCTATTTTATCTTTCTACCCTTCCCATAGAAGACTCTGTATTGAACCAAGGTGCTCTACACAGTAGCCCCTACTAAGCTCCCAGCAGATGCCAGCATCAGTCATCCATGTAAGTGAGCTTTTTTGGAAGTCCCAGGATGCATTTTTCTGTATTTAGATGATTGCAGTCCCTGATGACAGATACCACATTGAGCAGAAATCATCCAGCGAAGCCTAGTGAACTCACAAAATCCTGAGAGATAATAAATGGCTATTGTTTGGGACGTTTTGTTAAGTAGAAATGAATATCCAAAACATGTGGATTTGGTGAACTTTCCCTCTTTTTCTCTAATCTATTATACTGGAATTTGTAGAGATTCTCTTAGCCTTAAAGCCTTGGTAGGACTTTGTTATATATTTTGCCATAATCTGCATATGAGTTTATGTGTGGGTATTGAATTCTGAACATTTCCTCAATTCCTTCTTGAAGGGATTTTTCAAGGGAAAATTTCACAATATATGATTTTCAACCCACTCTTGGAATTTAGAACCTAATTCAAATCCCCCTCCATAAAAGGAGCTTCCACTGCAATCACTCATTTTAAGGAATTCAGAGGCTGCTACTACACGCTCCTCCCAAGCCATATGGAAAATCATATCTTCAGCAGGTTGCTTGATGAATATGCTATTGGGACAAGGGTTATCTATCACTTGTGAACTGTTTTTCAAAGAAGGTGTCCTGAGATACTTTCTCCTGCTACAGGGATAGCCCTTGGCAAGGAGATTACTTTCCTTGGGTACACATAGTCAGGGCTCCTTCAGGAGACAGCAGGTAGTTAACTGTTCATTGCAGTCCTTGGCCTTTGTGACTGTCCCAATGCAGCACTGCTGGATGGACTAATCTGTCCAGTTCTGGGGTTCATTCATAGAAAGCCCATGTGACAGTAAATCTAAGTCATATTCTCCAATATCACTTTTATGAGGAATAAAATCAATGTATTATGCTTATTACTTTTTTGTGATTTTTTTAGTTGGTTTAGAGTTCAGACTAAGAGCAGGAAGGTATTTTGGGGGCTTCTTAAACACAAAAGCATTGTAAAGCAAGACCATAGAAAGAGTTGAGGAGCCAGTGAGGCACAGAAAGGGGAGTAGAGCTGTAGGCCTGTTGTAAGACCCATCCCTGAGGACAGAGCAGGATGATTGCTCCTGAAGGGCGGCTTACTATTTAGAGTTTTGAAGGGAGAGGACCTGGGGTGAACAACCCATTTCTCCTTTCAAACTTACCAGTCGGTTAAGTCATTCCTGCGATAGAGAAGGAGTGAGTGTGTAGAGAGGCTACATGTGTTTTTGTTTTTTTCTTTTTTTTTTTTTCATGGATGTCTCTCCACATGGAAAAAGTATCAAAAATGTAGGATAAAAATTTTCCAGGATAACCCAATGTGTTATTGAATTGACTAGATGTCTGCCTACTAAATGATGATATTATTATAGGCCTGCTTCCATGAAATAAATTTGAGATTCCTTAAATGACATTTTATGGTATTTTAGATCATTTTAATCATAAATATGATTATAGACATTCTCTAGTTTTCCGCCACAGATGACTAACCACTTAGCATAATGTATGAGTTTTGCACGTTCACTTTCAGAGGGCTAGCTCATCACCAAGAGCCCTGGGGTACGTCCTGGGTCTCTGGATACTGGTGATACTCCTCTACTGTCACTTTTAAACAAATAAAATTTTTGACCACAGGGACCTGCTTTCTTCTACCAAACTGGGCAGAGTTTCCCCAATTGCCTGGGTCCCAGCCTAGTTCCTCTAGTGAGTATGCTTTTGCAGGTGGTGGTCTAAAGTGGTCTATATGCTTTCAGCTATAGGCAAAGGAACTATGCAAAGGTGTGTGAGACATAGAGGACAAGTCAATGCATCACAGTTGCCATGGAAACCTGAAGTCATTATGGGGCTTCTGCATCTTTTAATAGAGCAGAAGACCTAGAATAATATGGCTATGAGAGCAAGGTCCTGCCTTCAGGTGTTTGGGACTCAGTTGAGGTTGTGGGTGCCCCATGGTGGGGGCTGAACTGCCCTGGGATGAATGAGAGAGACATAGGACTCTTCTCACCCCAGTGAGTGTCATGTATTGCTCCAGGGTGTCCTGTAGCTACTTTCCACATAAAGGCCAGGCATGGGAGGATGAGACTGGTAATGACTCTCTTTGACCTCAGCTTCCCCTTCTGTAAAATGGGGATAAGAATGCTCACATACAGGATTGCTGCAACCGGGATTGTAATAACACAAATGCAAGCCCATAGCCCTGTGGTTATTGCAGAATCAGGAATACCTGTGTGAGTTGAGGTCACTTCTCATTCCTTTTCAATTTTGTTGTTAGAAGATAGATGAGGAAAGGAGAAGAAAAAGGTCCTAGTGAGAAACCCACTGACGACCCTTCTAATTGTTATGATCACTACCCAATTGTATCAGTGTCATTGTTCACTAACCCAGTGCCTAGCATGGTGCCAGGCACATAGTTACTCTAAGAAAGCACAGTGATTGCTGGATTCTCTTTCTCCTTGTACAGCTCTTCATGTGGATGTCTGAGCTCATATCAGGTGTCTGAAAGAGGCAGATTCTGAGGATTTGGGTCATGATGGCTGCCAAAGCTTCTACTCCTGACTTAAAGGGCAACAATCCTAGGAGACCACCAGCACTTACATCCCTGGTAGGACATGACACCTGCTTATGGTGAGTTCATGGACCTGAACAAAAGCATGTGGTGGAATAGCTCCTGTGAGGTTCACAAAATAGCTTAAAAATAAAGAAGCTACTTTCATCTCATCACTGGGGAAGAGGTTTAGCGGGTGGAATTTCCTTTCATCAGCAACTGTATGCTTTGAAGTAGCCCTTGACACCCATCTAAGTGATGCCTGCTTTGAAAGCAATGAATTACCCACACTGAAGAAAGAACTTGATCTTAATATGCACTTGTAATAAATACATATTTTTTCTGACTGTATAAGTCATTCCCATTTATCTCCCAGATGGGGGTTGAACTATGCAGTTAGTTAGAAGATGTCCCTAGCAATTTGATTCATGTATTAATATTTCTCCTTGCAGTCTATCAGTTTTAGCCTCGTTTTACATTTTTTAAAAGACTTTAAATCAGAAAAACAAAAATTGAGGGAATTCCACATGAATTTTAATATCAACTTGTTAATTTCTAGAAAAAAATTTATGCTAGTATTTTGACTGGGATTCCATTGAAAGCATAGATCATTTTGGGGAGAACAGACATCATAACAAAACTGAGTCATCCAACTCAAGAAGAGAAGAAAAGGCCTAAAGACAATCTACAGGTCAACTCTAGAAAGATCAATCTATAAAAGAATAGTTATAGTACTTCCAATTTTATATTTGTGGTTAGAATTGAATCAGTTGAATTGTGTTTTTCTTCCTTACCTGATGAATCATGAGTTCTTTGGTGGTGAGAGAGAGCGAGAGAGCATGTGGATATATCAGTGTATGTACATGCACATATATATATATATATATATATATATGTTTATATCACTGAAGTTGTGATGAGTATCTATTGTTAGGAACACTTAAGGAGTGTTAATGTGGTCATGTCAGTCTCTTTCAATTCTTCGCACATTTTATGAACCAAATCAGAGTGATTATTCTTTGCTTTTTTTCCACCTTTCTCCTTGGCCAGCATGGTTACCATGGTGACTCATTGACTACTGTGGGATTTTGTGCAGACTGCGCATCCATGTATGATTCTCGTCTGAATCACTCACACCCAGTTGTCTGTCCACCAGACATAGTATTAGCTTTTGATCTTATATGCAGTTGTTCACTTCTAAAGGGCTCAGAAGAAACTTGCTTTGCTTCTCTGAGGTTAAGCTACATAACATAAGAGGACACTAAGTAACTTAAAAGAAAAAGAAATAGGTTGTTGATATTCTCCTTCCTCAAGCTTTATCAGGAGGTTAGAAGAAATATTACTGGAATCATACAGCATGCACTCTCTTGTGTCTGGCTCCCTTCAATCAACATAATGTGTGTGAGATTAACATGTATTGTTGTTTGTAGTTGTAGATTATTCATTCTCGTTGTTGTAAAGTATTATATTGTTTGGATACTTCACAATATAGTTATCTGTTATAAAAACTTGGGTATTTTCCAGTTTTTGACTTATCATGAGTAATGATCATACGAACATTTTTGTTTGTATCAAATAGATGGACATATATTTTCATCTCTCTTGGGCATATACCAAAGAATAGCATTCCTGAGTCATAGGGTATGTCTGTGTGTGGCTCCATAGATACCACCAAGCAGTTTTTACAGTGTTTTTTTTTTTCAATCTATATTCCCACCAGCAGTGTGTGAGAGTTTCACTTAATCCATATCCTCACCAGCACTTGGTATTTTCCATCTTTTCCATTTTTGTTGTTCTGGTGAGCATGTGGTACTATCTCCTACTGGTTTTAATTGTAATTTCTCCAAAGTGTCAAGTCCCTTTTAATTCAAAGAAGGTCCATCCTTTTTTTCAACCTTCTACTTAGAGTTCTCCAACAAAACAGAACGACTCATATATATATGTGTACATATATATGTATATGTGTGTGATATATGTGTATATATATACACACATATATACACATACACTCATATATGTATGTATGTATATCTGTGTATATATATATATACACACACACACACAGAGACATTGCAGAGATATTACAGGTTTAGTTGCAGACCACTGCAATAAAGCAAATACCATATTAAGCAAGTCACATGAATTTTATGGTTTCCCACTGCATATAAAAGTTATGTTTACACTACTGTAGTCTATTAAATATGCAAATAGCATTATGTCTATAAAAATAGTGTACTTACCTTAATTTAAAAAGACTTTATTGCTAAAAACTGCTAACAATCATCTGAGCCTTCAGTGAATTATTATCTTTTTGTTGGTAGAGGGCCTTGATGCTGTTGATGGCTAACAGATCGGGGTGGTGGTTGCTGAAAGTTGGCACAGTTCTAATAATTTCTTAAGATAAGACAACAATGAAGTTTGCTGCATCCATTGACTCTTCCTTTCACAAAAGATTTTTCCATAAGCATGTGATACTATTTGATAGCGTTTTACCCAGAGTTCAAGTTATTTCAAAATTAAGGTCAATCTTTCAAACCCTGCCACTGCTTTATCAAGTTTATGTAATATTCTAAACCTTTTGTTGTCATTTCAATGATGCTCACTGCATCTTCAACAGAAGTAGATTCCATCTCAACCAACCACTTTCTTTACTCATCCAGAAGAAAAAACTCCTTATCTGTTCAAGTTTGATCTTGAGATTGCAGCAATTCCATCACATCTTCAAGCTCTACTTTAATTCTAGATCTCTTGCTGTTTCCATCACATCTGCAGTTATTCTTCCACTGAGGTCTCGAACCCCTCAAAGTCATCCATGAGGGTTGGAATCAACTTCTTCCAAATTCCTTTTAATGTTGATATTTTGACCTCTTCCTATGAATCACAATGTTCACAATGGCATTTAAAATGAATTCTTTCTAGAAGATTTTTCCATTTACTTTGCCTGGGTCCACCAGAGGAATCACTGAGCAGTAGGCCTCAATAGCGGGCTTAAAGTATTCAGTAAACCATGCTGTAAACAGAGGTGCTGTCATTTAGGCTTGTTGTTTTATTTCTAGAATGCAGACAGAGTATATTTAGCATAATTTTTAAGGGCCCTTGGATATTCAGAATGGTAATTGAACATTGGCTTCAATTTTAAGTCACCAGCTTTATTAACCCCTAAAAAAAAGAGTTAGTCTGTCCTTCGAAGCTTTGAAGCCAGGCATTGTTTTCTACTTTCTAGCTATGAAAGTTCTACATGGCATCTTCTTCCACTATAAAACTGTTTTCTCTACATTGAAAATATTTTGTTTAGTATAGCAACCCTCGTCAATTATTTTACCTATGTCTCTGGATAATTTGCTGTAGCTTCTACATGAGCACATGCTACTTCACCTTGCACTTTCATGTTGTGGAGATGGGTTCTTTCCTTAAACCTCACGAACCAACCTTTGCTAGCTCCAGCTTTTCTTCTGGCTACACTTTTCTTCTGCTGCTTCCTCACATTTTCTTAGCCTTCATAGAATTGAATAGAGTTAGAGCCTTGCTCTGGATTATGCTTTGGCTTAAGGGAATGTTGTGGCTGATTTGATCTTCTATCCAGGTCACTAAAACTTTCTCTTTACCAGCAATAAGGCTGTTTTGCATTCTTTTCATTCATGTGTTCACTAGAGGAGAACTTTTAATCTCCTTGAAAAACATTTACTTTGTGTTCACAACCTGGCTGTTTGGTGCAAGAGGCCTAGCTTTTGGCCTGTCTCAACTTTTGACATGCCTTGCTTACTCAGTGTAATCATTTCTAGCTTTTGATTTAAAGTGAGAGACATGGGACTCGTCCTTTCACCTGAACATTCAAAGCCATTATAGGGTTAATATAATAGCCTAATTTCAATATTGTTGTGTCCCAGGGAATAGGGAGGCCTGAGGACAGGGAGAGAGACCGAGAAACAGCCAGTCAGTGAAGCAGTTAGAGCACATACATTTATCAATTAAGTTAGTCATCTTAGATGGGTGTAGTTTGTGGTGCCTGCCCCGAAACAATTACAACAGTAAAATCAAAGACCACTGTTCACAGATCACCACAATAGCTATTACAATAATAATGAAAAAATTTGAAATATTGTGAGAATTACCAAAATATGACAGACACACAAAATGAGCACATGCTATTGGAAAAATGGTGCTAATAGACATGCTTGATGCAAGGTTGCCATAAAACTTCTGTTTGTAAAACATGCAATATCTGTGAAATGCAATAAAACAGAGATATGCTTGTATGTATATACACACACAAACACACACATATATGTACACACACACACACAAACACACAGAGGGTCCTTGACTTATTATGGAGTTACATCCCAATAAACCTATCCTAAGTTGAAAATATCATAAGTCAAAAATGCACTTAATACACCTAACCTACTGAACATCATAGCTTAACCTAATTTGCCTTAAACACACTCAGAACCCTTACATTAGCCTACACCTGGGCAAAATCATTCCATACAAAGTCTATTTTATAATAAAGTATTGAATATCTTCTGTAATTTATTGAATACTGTACAGAAAGTGAAAAACAGGTGTATGAGTACTCAAAGTACAGTTTCTACTGAATGGATATCACTTTTGTACCACCATAATGTTGAAAAATTATAAGTTGAACCATACTGATAAAGATTTATTATAAGTAGTTGGCTCATGTAATTATGAAGGCTGAGATTTGTCAACATCTGCAGTAGGCAAACTTGATTTCCAAGAGAGCCTGTGGTATAGTTCCTATTCAAAACTGAAGGTCTGAGAATCTGGAGAGTTAATGTTGTAAATTCCAGGCCAAAAGCTTGCTGGCTAGAAACACAAGAAAAGGTGATTTGAATTCATGTCCAAAGGCAGGAAAAGACCAATGTTTCAGTTCAGAAAATGAGGCAGAGAAATTCCTCCTGGTCAGCCTTTTTGTTCTGTTTACATCTTCAATTGATTGGACGAGGCCCATGCACATTAGAGAAGGCAAATTTCTTTACTCAGTTCACCCATTTGAATGTTAATCTCATCCAGAGACACCATCAAAGACACACCAAGAATAACGGTTTTTTTTTGTTTGTTTGTTTGGTTTTTTTTAGACAGGATCTCTCTCTGTTGCCCAGGCTAGAGTGCGGTGGCACCATCTCGGCTCACTGCAACCTCCACCTCCCAGGTTCAAGCAATTCTCCTGCCTCAGCCACCTGAGTAGCTGGGATTACAGGCGTGTGCCACCACACCTGGATAATTTTTGTATTTTTAGTAGAGACAGGGTTTGGCTGTTGGCCCGGCTGGTCTTGAACTCCTGGCCTCAAGTGACCTGCCTACCTCGGCCTTTCAAAGTGCTGGGATTACAGGCATGAGCCACCATGTCCAGCCCAGAATAATGTCTGACCAAATATCTGGGACCTTTGTTGCTCAGTCAAGTTGACACATAAAATTAACCATCACACATTCCAATTTATTTGCTTAAGATATTTTGCCCTATGGAGTTTGCTTTGTGGATTTTGCTGACTTATATCCTTATTGTGTTGTTTATTATATTCCACTGGCAACTTCTTTTCCTTTAAATTTGTATTAGATTTAGAGTCTTGATCCAATTCAGATTTTTTGGCAGAAAAATCTGTGGTGTTGTTTATTCCTAAAGCATTATACCATGAGGAGGTTAATTGTATCTAGTTGTCTCTCCTCTTACGATGTTAAGATTGATCACTAGGTTCAAAAGTTGTTAGATTTATTGATTATAAAAATTCCCATCTGCATTATACCTCAAGTATTTTGCAGCCTCTAAATGTGTATAAGTCCACATTTCATTAAAAGTTGTAGCAAGGTGATGTTCTAATTCTATTTTTGGCATTTATTAGCTTGAATTATTCTATAAAAGAAACATCCCCTCATCAACTATAGGTTAGTATAGTATGCATAGGAAAATAAGATGAATGCTTAATTCTTTTGTTATATTTCTACTTTTCAAAATAATGGGTTGTTCTAGGATTCTTCAGAGGGGAGCAGTGAGTTGATTTTGTTTTGTTTTCTTTTGTTCTATTCTATTATTATTTTAAAGTGTTTTCATAAGCTCTAGATGTTTCTATATCTGATGTGTTTTAACCTATTGCAATATTTTTATTGATGTTCAGATTTTTCTGTCTTTGTGAATGGAAGCTTCTTTAGCTCAACTTATTCTTGACATGGTTTTGAGTATGTTAGTTTGGTCTAGACTCCTCTGGTACCATTCCTACCCCAGACCTGGAGTCAGACATTTTTTCCAAAGGAGTCTGGTTCTTTTTAGTGGGAAATGTTTTAGAGGTCTCATTCTTGGTACTAGAGTTGCCCATTACTATTGGGTTGGTCATTATTACTTATCCTTTTCAGTGCTTAAAACCATTAAATATGTATTATATTTTGAGATAATACACATGATTGTCTTTAATCCTGGGCTGCTGTTCTATCCCTTTATGCATAATCATTTTTATCAATGTTTGTTTTGACCTTCTAATTTTAAAATTATAAGCAAATACATTATTTTCTCCTATTTTATGGTTTAAAAGTAGGCTACTCTACTTCAGTGGAGTCCAATATGATTTCTGCAGAGATAAAGAGTCTCTGTCTACACTGTTCACCACAGTAGCCACTAGGTCCCTGTGGTTCTTGAACACCCAAAATGTGGTGATTGTAATTGAAGAACTGAATTATTTATTTCATCTAAATTTAATCAACCTAAATTTAAATAGCCATATGTGGCTAGTGTCTACCATAATAAACAGCAACAGCTCAGACATATTTCTGCACCTCATTTTTTTCCGCTTAAGAATATATTCTAGAGATCAATACATAGCAGTATAGAGAAGGAGTCCTTGCTTTTTATTGCTGCATAGTATTCTAGGATATAGATATACCTTAGATTATTCAATAAACCACTTATTGGTGGACATTTGTTTTATTTCTAGTCTCCTGTTGTTATGATTTGTTCTGCCAGTAATGGCCTTGTGTTTATGCCATTTGGTCTTTTTTCATTGTGTTTTTGGGATAGATTCTTAGAAGAAAGATTGCTGGTACCAAGATAAAATACCTACGTGTAATAAAATAGAAGATTTAAAACAGAGTGTATCTGGAAATGTAGCAGCAGAAAGTGACCTGAGGTCTTTTCATTCCTTTTGTTCCACATGATTTTTGGTTTCTTTCTTTCTAGGGTGACATGGGTAAAGGAATTTCTTTCTTTTTTTTATTTTATTTTCCTTTTCATTTATTTTGTATTTGTACAATACTATTTGTTTACTTTTTTTTTTTTATTTCCACAGGTTTTTGGGGAACAGGTGGTATTTGGTTACATGAGTAAGTTCTTTAGTGGTATTTTGTGAGATTTTGGTGCACCCATCACCTGAGCAGTATACACTGAACCTGACTTGTAGACTTTTATCCCTCTCCTCCTTCCTACCCTTTCCCCGAGTCCCCAAATTCCATTGTGTCATTCTTTGCATCCTAGCTTAGCTGCCATTTATGAGTGAGAACATATGATGTTTGGTTTTATATTCCTGAGTTACTTCACTAACAATAATAGTCTCCAATCCCATACAGGTTGCTGGAAATGCCATTAATTCATTCCTTTTTATGGCTGAGTAGTATTCCATCATATATATCGATATATACCACAGTTTCCTTATCCACTCATTGATTGATGGGCATTTGGGTTGGTTCCACATTTTTGCAATTGCAAATTGTACTGCTATAAATGTGTGGGTTCAAGTATCTTTTTTGTATAATGACTTATTTTTCTCTGGGTAGATACCCAGTAGTGGGATTGCTGGATCAAATGGTGGTTGTACTTTTAGTTCTTTAAAGAATCTCACACTGTTTTCCATAGTGGTTGTACTAGTTTACATTCCTACCAGCAGTGTAGAAGGGTTCCCTTTTCACTGCATCTATACCAACATCTATTTTTTTTTAAATTTTTTTATTATGGCCATTCTTGCAGGAGTATGGTGATCATATTGCATTTTGGTTTTTATTTGTATTTCCCTGATCATTAGTGATGTTGAGCTTTTCTTCATGTTTGTTGGCCATTTGTATATCTTCTTTTGAGAATTGTCTATTCATGTCCTAGGCCCACTTTTTGATGGGATTGTTTGTTTTTTTTTCTTGTTAATTTGTTTGAGTTTGTTGTAGGTTGTGGATATTAGTCCTTTATCAGATGTATAGATTGTGAAGGTTTTGTCCCACTCTGTGAGTTGTCTGTTTACTCTGCTGACTGTTCCTTTTGCCATGCAAAACTCTTTAGTTTAATTAAGTCCCAGCAGTTCATCTTTGTTTTTATTGCATTTGCTTTCGGTTTCTTATCATGAAATCCTTGCCCAAGCCAATGCCTGGAATGGTTTTTCTGATGTTACCTTCTAGAATTTTTGTAGTTTCAGGTCTTAGATTTAAGTTTTTGATCCATCTCTAGTTGATTTTTTATAAGATGACAGATGAGGATCCAGTTTCATCGTTCTGCATGTGGCTTGCCAATTATCCCAGCACCATTTGTTGAATAGGGTGTCCTTTCCCTACTTGAAGTTTTTGTTTGCTTTGTCGAAGATCAGTTGGCTCTAAGTATTTGGCTTTGTTTCTGGGTTCTCTATTCTGTTTTATATATATATATATATATATGTGTGTGTGTGTGTGTGTGTGTTTGTGTGTGTGTGTATATATATGTGTATATATATGTGTGTGTGTGTGTGTGTGTATATATATATATATATATATATATATATATGTATATAAATGTTTCATATATAGTCTATGTGCCTATTTTTATACCAGTACCATGCTGTTTTGGTGACTCTGGCCTTATAGTATAGTTTGAAGTAAGGTAATGTGATGCCTCCATATTTGTTCTTTTTGCCTAGTCTTGCTTTGGCTATACAGGCTCTTTTTTGGTTCCATGTGAATTTTAGGATTGTTTTTTTCTAGTTCCGTGAAGAATGATGGTAGTATTTTGATGGGAATTGCATTGAATTTGTAGATTGCTTTTGACAGTATGGTCATTTTCACAATATTGATTGTACTCATCCATGAGCATAGGATGTGTATCCATTTGTTTGTGTCGTCTATAATTTCTTTCAGCAGTGTTCTGTAGTTTTCCTTGTAGAGGTCTTTCACCTCCTTGGTTAGGTGTATTCCTAAGTATTCTATTTTATTTTTTTGCAGCTATTATAAAAGGAGTTCTTAATTTGATTCTCAGCTTGGTTGCTGTTGGTGTATAGGAGAGCTACTGATTTCTGTACATTAATTTTGCATCTGGAAACTTTGCTGAATTAGTTTATCAGTTCTAGGAGCTTTTTGGAGTAGTCTTTAGGGTTTTTTAGGTATACAATCATATCAGCAAACAGTGACAGTTTGACTTCCTCTTTACCAATGTGGATCCCCTTTATTTCTTTCTCTTGTATGATTTCTCTGGTTAGGACTTCTACTACTATGTTGAATGGGAGTGGTAAGAGTGGACATCCTTGTCTTGTTCCAGTTCTCAGAGGGAATGCTTTCAACTTTTCCCCATTCAGTATTATGTTGGCTGTGGGTTTGTCATAGATTGTTTTTATTACATTGAGTTATGTCCCTTGTATGCCAGTTTTTCTGAGAGTTTTAATCCTAAAGGGATGCTGGATTTTGTCAAATGTTTTTTCTGTGTCCGTTGAGATGGTCATGTGATTTTTGATCATGGTGGATTTTCTTTTTGATAAGTTGTTGGATTCAGTTCGCTAGTATTTTGTTGAGGTTTTTTTTTTGTTTGTTTTTTGAAATGGAGTCTCACTCTGTTGCCCAGGCTGGAGTGCAGTGGTGTGATCTCAGCTTGCTCCAGCATCCACCTCCCAGGTTCAAGCAGTCCCACCTCAGCCTCCCAAGTAGCTGGGATTACAAGTGCGTGCCACCACACCTGGCTAATTTTTGTATTTTTAGTAGAGACAGGGTTTCACCATGTAGGCCAGGCTGGTCTCGAACACCTGACCTCAAGTGATCCACCTGCCTTGGCCTCCCAAAGTGCTGGGATTACAGGCATGAGCTATCATGCCTGGCCAAGGATTTTTACATCTGTGTTCATCAGGGATATTGGTCTGTAGTTTTCTTTTTTGTTATGTCCTTCCCTGGTTTTGGTATTAAGGTGATACTGGCTTCACAGAATGATTTAGGGAGGATTCCCTCTTTCTCTGTTTTTTAGAATAGTGTCAATAGGATTGGTACCAATTCTTCTTTGAATGTCTGATAGAATTCAGCTGTGAATCCATCTGGTCCTGGACTTTATTTGTTGACAATTTTAAAATTACCATTTCAATCTCACTGCTTGTTATTGGTCTGTTCAGAGATTCTATATCTTCCTGGTTTAATCTAGGAGGGTTGTATATTTCCAGGAATTTATCCATCTCCCCTTGGTTATCTAGTTTATTTGCATAAAGGTGTTCATAGTAGCCTTCAATGATCTTTTATATTTCTGTGGTGTCAGTTGTAGTATCTCCTGTTTTGTTTCTAATTGAGCTTATTTGGATTTTCTCTCTTCTTTTCTTGGTTAATCTTGCTAATGGTCTATCAATTTTATTTATCTTTTCAAAGAACCAGCTTTTTGTTTCATTTATCTTTTGTATTGTTTTTCTTAGTTTTAATTTTATTTAGTTCTGCACTAATCTTGGTTATTTCCTTTCTTCTGATGGGTTTGGGGTTGGTTTATTCTTGTTTCTCTAATTCCTGGAGGTGTGACCTTAGATTGTCTGTTTGTGCTCTTTCAGACTTTTTGACGTAGGTGTTTAGGGCTATGAACTTTCCTCTTAGCACCACCTCTGCTGTATCCCAGAGGTTTTGATAGGCTATGTCACTACTGTCGTTCACTTTGAATAATTTTTAAATTTCCATCTTGATTTTGTTTTTGACCCAGTGATCATTCAGGAGCAGGTTATTTAATTTCCATGTATTTGCATGGTTTTGAACCTTCAACTCATTTTGGAGTTGATTTTCAGTTTTATTCCACTGTGGTCTGAAAGAGTGCTTGATATAATTTCAATTTTCTTAAATTTATTGAGGCTCATTTTGTGGTGTATCGTATGGTCTATCTTGGAGTTTATCTTGGTCTACCTTGTGTTTTTTTAAATTGTATGTTTGTTTTATAGGTCCTGTGAGATTTATGCTTTAAAGAGTTTCTGTTTTGATGTGTTTCCAGAATTTGTTTCAAGATTTAGAGCTCCTTTTAGCAGTTCTTGTAGTGCTGGCTTGGTAGTGTCAGATTCTCTATTAAATAGAATGTATATTCTGTGGTTTTTAAATGGAATGTTCTGTAAATATGTGTTAAGTCCATTTGTTCTAGGGTATAGTTTCAATCCACTGTTTGTTGACTTTCTGTCTTGATGACCTGTCTAGTGCTATCAGTGGAGTATTGAAGTCCCCCACTATTATTGTGTTGCTGTCTATCTCATTTCTTAGGCGTAGTAGTAATTGTTTTATAAATTTGGGAGCTCCAGTGTTACGTGCATATATACTTAGGATTGCGGTAGTTTCCTGTTAGACAAGGCCTTTTATAGTTACATATTGTCCCTCTTTGTCTTTTGTAACTGCTGTTACTTTAAAGTTTTTTTGTCTGATATAAGAATAGCTACTCCTGCTCACTTTTGGTGTCTATTTGCATGGAATGTCTTTTTCTACCCCTTTACCTTAAGTTTATATGAGTCCTTACGTGTTAGGTTGGTCTCTTGAAGGCAGCAGATAGTTGGTTGGTGAATTCTTATCCATTCTGCAATTCTGTATCTTTTAAGTGAAGCATTTAGGCCATTTATATTCAAGATTAGCATTGAGATGTGAGGTACTATTCCATTCATCATGCTATTTTTTTTCCTGTATACCTTGTGTTTTTTTTTAAATTGTATTTTTGTTTTATAGGTCCTGTGAAATTTTTGCTTTAAAGAGGTTCTGTTTTGATGTGTTTCCAGGATTTGTTTCAAGATTGAGAGCGCCGTTTAGCAGTTCTTGTAGTGCTGGCTTGGTAGTGTCAAATTCTCTCAGCATTTGTTCATCTGAAAAAGACTGTATCTTTCTTTCATTTATGAAGCTTAGTTTCACTGGATACAAAATTCTTGGCTGATAATTGTTTTGTTTAAGGAGGCTGAAGATAGGACCCTAATCCCTTCTAGCTTGTAGGGTTTCTGCTGAGAAATCTGCTGTTAATCTGATAGGTTTTCCTTTATAGGTTACCTGATGCTTTTGCCTCACAGCTCTTAAGATTCTTTCCTTCATCTTAATTTTAGATAACATGAGGTCAATGTGCCTAGGCGATGATCTTTTTGCGATGAATTTCCCAGGTGTTCTTTGAGCTTCTTGTATTTGGATGTCTAAGTTTCTAGTAAGGCTTGGGAAGTTTTCCTCAATTATTCCCCCAAATCTGTTTTCCAAACTTTTAGATTTCTCTTCTTCCTCAGGAACATGGATTATTCTTAGGTTTAGTCATTTAACATAATCCCAGACTTCTTGGAGACTTTGTTCATTTTTTAAATTATTTTTTCTTTGTTTTTGTTGGATTGGGTTAATTCGAAAACCTTGTCTTTGCATTCTGAAGTTCTTTCTTCTGCTTGTTCAATTCTATTACTGAGAATTTTCAGAGCATTTTGCATTTCTCTAAGTGCGTCCATTATTTCCTGAAATAATTTCCTTTTGATCGTTTTTTATTTATGCTATCTATTTCACTGAAGATTTCTTCCCTCGTTTCTTGTATCACTTTTTTGATTTCTTTAAATTGGACTTCACCTTTCTCTGGTGAATCTTTGATTAGCTTAATAACTGACCTGAATTCTTTTTTAGGTAAATCAGGGATTTCTTCTTGGTATGGATCCATTGCTGGTGAGCTAGTGTGATTTTTGGGGATTGTTAAAGAACCTTCTTTTGTCATGTTACTAGAATTGTTTTTCTGGTTCCTTCTCATTTAGGTAGGCTCTGTCAGAGGGAAGGTCTAGGGCTCAAGGCTGTTGTTCAGATTCTTTCGTCCCGTGGGGTGTTCTCTTGATGTAGTACTCTCCCCCTTTTCCTAGGGATATGGCTTCCTGAGAGCTGAGCTGTAGTGATTGTTATCTCTCTTTGGCATCTAGGCATCTAGCCACCTAGCAGGCTCAGTCTGGAACTGGGGGTTGTCTGCACAGAGTCCTGTGATGTGAACCATCTGCAGGTCTCTCAGCTGTGGATACCAGCGCCTGCTCCAGTGGAGGTGGCAGGGGGCTAAAATGGATTCTGTGAGGGTCCTTGGTTTTGGTTGTTTAATGCGCTATTTTTTGCTGGTTGGCCTCCTGCCAGGAGGTGGCGCTTTGAAGACAGCATCAGCTGTGGTAGTATAGGGAGGATCAGGTGGGTAGGGCCCTAGAACTCCCAAGAGTATATGCCCTTTGTCTTCAGCTACCAGTGTGGGTAGGGAAGGACCATCAGGTGGGGGCAGGGCTAGGCGTGTCTGAGCTCAGACTTCCCTTAGGCGGTTCTTGCTGCAGCTGCTGTGGGGGATGGGAATGTGGTTCCTAGGTCAATGGAGTTAAATTCCCAGGAGGATTATGGCTGCCTCTGCTGTGTCTTGCAGGTTGTCAGGGAAGTAGGAGAAAGCTGACAGTCACAGGCGTCACCCAGCTCCCATGCAACCCAAAAGGCTGGTCTCACCCCCACCATGGTCCCCCAACAGCACCAAGTGTGTTTCCAGGCAGTGGGTGAGCAGGGCTGAGAACTTGCCCCAGGCTACCAGCCTCCGAGGTGTGAAAGCAAGCTGGGCTTTCATGCCTCCTTTCCTGTGGCATCTGTACACCAGATTCATGCCTTCCCCTGAGTTCTGGCCAGGAGACTTCACATTTGGTTGGAATTGTTACAAAGTTCAACTGGAGTTCAACTGGAGGTTTCCTTCTCCCTGTGGTCTTTTCCCAGTAGCTCTGGTAGCCCTCCCCAAAGACTTCTGTGAGACAAGGCAGAAATGGCTTCCTAGGGGACCCAGGGAGCCCACAGGGTTTTTCCTCTTGCTTCCTCTACCCCTGTATTTCGCTCGGCTTTCTGAATTGACTCAGCTCCAGGTG
This sequence comes from Homo sapiens, assembly GCF_000001405.40. Lineage (NCBI taxonomy): Eukaryota > Metazoa > Chordata > Mammalia > Primates > Hominidae > Homo > Homo sapiens. The sequence continues at coordinate 102,859,989 of NC_000023.11, forward strand.
AGGTCAGAATCTTCTTCCATGGTCTAGTCTTTCAGGTTCCCCAGTGAGGGTGTGTGTTCGGGGGTGGATGATCCCCCCTTTCCCACTTCCATAGCTTGGGCACTTACAGTATTTGGAGTGTCTCCTGGGTCCTGCAGGAACAATCTCCTTCTTTCAGAAGGTCTTTGGGTTCTCTCAGCTTTCCTTGTTTATTTCTGCAGTAGTTCTGGAGCAAAAGTACACGATGTGAGTCTCCACACACTGCTCTGTCTGTCCACATGGGAGCTACAATCTAGTCTTGCCTCCCATCCACTATGATCCCTCTGGAATTTCTTATTGAGCCCCAAGAAGAAATAGTACAGAAGAGCCAGGAATATTAATGGGCCGGCTGGACTGAAGATGAGAATCATTAACCTTGTAGCCCAGCTGCAAAACCCATCAACTGACCACAGGTCTTTGAGAAAGCCCCTTCCCTTTGTTGGCCTCAGCCCAAACACAGAGGAGCACTCAGTGTAGAAACAGTACAGAAACAGTGATTAGAGGTATGGGCTTTGGGGCAAGAAGTTTCTGAATTTGACCCTGGGAACCATCACTTTTTGGTTGTATGATCTATAGTAAGCAATTTATCTATTAATACTATATACCCTATAATTGTTAGCATATTTTATTATTATTCATTTTAACTATCAAAAGGGTGAATAATAGGAGTAGGAATACATGGCCAGGTATTATGTTTCATGAACCTATAATGAATTAACTGTTGGACAGTGTTTGATATATAGATTAAAGGAAGTCTATAGAAATCTCATGAGCAGACCCAAACATATCATATTATTCAATATGTTACCTGTATGCCATTTCCAATCAGATGCATTGTTTAAGAATTGAGGCTGGATCAACTGGTAAAGGGTTAATTGGGAAGCAAATTTGGGGCAAGGCACGGTGGCTCCTCCCTGTGATCACAGAACTTTGGGAGGCCGAGGTGGGAGGATTCCTTGAGCCTGGGAGTTCAAGATGAGCCTGAACAACATAGTGAGATCCCATCTCTACAAAAAATTTTTAAAAATTAGGCAGGAGTGATGGCACATGGCTGTAGTCCCAGCTACTGAGGATGCTGAGGTGGGAGGACTGCTTGAGCCCAGGAAGTCAAGTCTGCAGTAAGCTGTGATCACACCACTGTACTACAGCCTGGGTGATAGAGCAAGAACCTTAAAAAAAAAAAAAAAGCAAAGTTGTATCATATCTTTTACCTTGTAATTTAACCAGAATGCCTCATCCACATGTTAGTACTTAAGGTAAAAGGAAAACTAAAATAACAAAAAATACAGGGTACTAAACTATACATATGGTATTTTAATTATTATATGAGTTGTATATGTAATGCATGTACAGTGTGCATGTGCATACACGTATACACAAAATAAATCCCAAAGAACATAGCCCAATGTTAATTTCAACCATGATAGGATTAATTTTTTTTTTTTTGACACAGAGTCTTGCTGTGTTACGCAGGCTGGAGTGCAGTGGCGTGATCTCGGATCACAGCAGCTTCTGCCTCCCGGGTTCAGTTGATTCTCCTGCCTCAGCCTCCCGAGTAGATGGGATTACAGGTGTGAGACACCTGACATCCTGAGTAGCTGGGACTACAGCCGTGTGCCACCACTTCTGCCTAATTTTTAATTTTTTTTTTGGTAGAGATGGAACCTCACTATGTTGTTCAGGCTCATCTTGAACTCCTGGGCTCAAGGAATCCTCCCTCCTCGGCCTCCCAAAATTCTGTGATCACAGGCAGGAGCCACCGTGCCTTGCCCCAGATTTGCTTCCCACTGAACCCTTTACCAGTTGATCAGCCTCAGTTCTTAAACAATGCATCTGATTGGAAATGGCATACATGTAACATATTGACCACTCAGCTAATTTTTTTTTTTTTTTTGTATTTTTAGTACAGACGGGTTTTGCTGTATTGGCCAGGCTGGTGGTCTCGAACTCCTGGCTTCAAGTGATCCACCTGCCTTGGCCTCCCTAAGTGCTGGGATTACAGGCGTGAGCCACTGCGCCCAGTTTATGATGGGACTGGTATTTTTAACTTCACTACTTGGCCCAATATTAAGCCTTTGCTGAGTATGGATTATACTTATGAAAAAAACACTATATCCCTTAAAACCCCTGCTACTTATGAAATATTTCAGATAAAAAGTATAGAGAACTATAAAATTAATCCAAGTTAAGAAAAACTTTACTCCTCCATGACCCTTTCTTCACTCCTAGAAATAATCAATATCCAGAATGCGGTATTTATTCCACTTTTTTTTTTATTACTTTACTACATATGAGAGCGTCCCTAGACAAAATATAGTATTCTTTTGCATATTTGTCTTCATACAACCACACACACACATTAATACTATAGGTGTTCTTGTCCTCCAACTAGCTAATTTAACATTATATGTCTATATGTACACACACACACACAAACTTGATTCTTATACTCAAGAGAGCATTGTGAGGAGTTCAAGAGGAAACCCTCCTCCAGATCCCAGCACAGTTTTTGACACATTATTCACAGCACCAATGTTTGCTTCCTTCTCATCCCAACTGTGCTGAGATGTTATTTCTTTACATATTCACTTCTAATTTTACCATTAAGTATTCTTTTTGTCTGCATTCTTTTAGTTTACATTGTGGTTCTTTATCAGGCTTTCTGAATTGAATGTTTAACTCATTTTCATTTTTATTGATATAGGTATTTAATGCTTTAAAATAGCCTCTGATAGCAACTCTAGCTAAATTCGTACATCCTCTGTTTTCATTATGATTATATGCACCAAATTCTGCAACTTTAATCTATTTCCATTTGGGTGCAAGTTTTGTTTAATAGCCTCAGATAGAGTCAATTTTCATGAATGATCCATGTTTATATGAAAAGTAGGTGTGTTGCCTAATATTAGGCTTCACAATTTAGAATAAGTGTATCTGTAAGATCTACCCTTGGAATTATGTTGCTTAAGTCTTCTCTACAGTTGTTAAATTTTTCTCCACCTGAACGTTTTTGGATTATAGGAAATGTGGTAGAATTTCTATTATTAAATGGTGTGCTTCTTCCTACTTCTCTTTGCACTACTGTAGTTTTTGCTCTATCAATATTTTTACCACATGACTGCATATATGAGTAGCTCCCATCTTCCTTGTGAATTGTAGCCTTTGACTTTATCAACTGTGTTTTTTTGTCTCTTTAAATCCATTTTGGTCTCAGTTTTTTTCTTTTAATTATCAAGATTGTAACCCTTACTTTCTTTATATTGTCAACTGCCTAGTATATATTTATCCTTACATTTTTAACCTATATGAATACGTTTGTTTTACGTGTATCACTTGGAAAAGCACAGCTTTGGATTTTTCTTCAATAGGCAATCTGAAATACTTTTAATAGATGAGTTAAGCCAATTTATTGTTATTGATATGATTGATGTCTTTGCTCATTTGTGTTCAATTCTGTTGTATTGCTTTTAAACACAGAAATTGTATAGTCTTTCACTAGTTCATATGTTTATTTGCTATCTATATTTAGTATTTCGAATGGTTAATACATAATATCCTTGATATGGAAGAAGTCTTAATAATGAGTAGAGAAATCATCAAAAGATATGAACAGATAATTCACATAAAATGCAATATACATAGTCACTAAACTTTCAAAAATATACCAAATTACAATAATTCTGCCTGCCACGGGCTGCCAGTGTGCACCAGAGGTATCTCATGTTTCATCTTATGGATGCCCCAGAGTAGAGGATTTTACTGTCTTCTTTTACACTTATCAATTTTATTCTGACAGAATTAGAGTCATTCTATATGTAAATTCATACCCTGGGTTTTAAGTGAGGTATTTTTTTTTTGCTCCATGCAAACACGTCTGTGGAGAAGTTTGACAATGGTGGTACGGTGGTGCCCCCTCGTGACTGAAGCCTGAACTGCATGCAGCTTGAACATCACAGTAGGAAAGTGGGAGGGAGGAGTTGTGGCCCAAGCCCCGCCCTACAGAGTTTTCTAGAAGTCTGAGTGGAAAATTGGGCATTCCCAGTGTGTAGGAATACTGACAGCCTCCATTAAAAAAATGGAGCCTTTTACTATGTGGAAGAGAAAACTATGTCAGAATAATAAATATATATTTTAAATGCTTTGAGACATATGGATAAATAGCTGGAGACCTGGGTAAGCTAAAATGGATGCAGATCTTTTATTATCTTTGTAACCCAAGTTTGCCCTTATTATAACCATCTTTTCATGGAAATATACGTCTGTGATAACATCTTAAAATACTTAAACACAAAATCTCACTTTTTTTTTTTGGACTATGTATTTCATTGTGTGGATACCCTCAAATTTATTTCACTAGTATTATAGCAATGAAAATTTAGTTCCCTTACCATTTCTATGACCGAAAATAATGTACTTAACGCCATGCTCGTGTATATGCAAATATGTTTGTAAGCATTTATTTATAGTAAGTTCCTAAAAGTTTCATTTTAAAACCCTTTGAACTATAACATTTTATATTAATAATCAATTCAAAATACTATTACTAATTTATATTGCCTATATCACAGTATGAAAGTACCTAGTTCTCCACACATTAGAAATAATGAGAATCATTAATTTGGTACACAAGAAGTCATCTCTCATCATTACTTTCATTATAACTCGTTTTTGTTGCCTTCTGGAATTCCATCCTATGGATGTAACATAATCAATTTTCACAACTTCTTGTTATTCAGACTGTCCTGATATTTCCTATTATCTACACTGTGTGGATGGCATCTTTTCAGAGTCTGTGCACTGCTGAAGGGCACAGTTACAGGCACAATTCCTGTGGCTATTTGCGCTAGTGAGTTGAATGTGTCTTCCTTGAGTCCAGCAAGCTGTCTTAGGAGAAATATAACACAACATGATAAATGTCTCAGTTTGTGTGAGTGAGTGTGTGTGTGTGTGTGTGTGTGTGTGTATGCTGACAACCACATTTCCCTCTGCCCTTTTGTGGGTTTGTGTCTCATTTGGTTTCTCTTCCCAAATTCAGGCTCAGAAGTGACAAAAGAGAATTATCAGGATGGCAGTCCTTATAACCAGATGCTTATCAACATTCTTCACTACATTCTGAAGATGAATTTCTACAAGGGAAATTGTTTATGTAAGTGGTGTGTACCCTTTGATATGTATTGACATAGTGGCACACATAGAGTTGTGCCATTTAAACTCCCCAAGGGGAGGCATGTGAGGTCGGCCACAGAGGACTGAAGAAATTAGTTAATGCTGACATCCTATCACATAGGGTGGGTCCTGGACTCCGTCATGGACCTGCTGTCATGCCATTGCCACAATTGGAAGACGTGGAAGTGATCAGATGCAATCAAATTTTGTACACAAGCACATCCTGATGTAGCGATGAGGGAAAGGGGGAAGAGGAATGATCATTGCTTGGACTTACAGGACAGAGGCAGAAGGGCTAGGACACAGGCACTCTTTATACGCATTCTTTTTTTTTTTTTTTTTTTGAGACGGAGTATCGCCTGTTGCCAGGCTGGAATGCAATGGTGTGATCTCAGCTCACTGCAACCTCCGCCTCCTGGGTTCAAGCGATTCTCCTGCCTCAGCCTCCTGAGTAGCTAGGACTGTAGGCACGCACCACCACGCCCAGCTAATTTTTTGTATTTTTAGTATAGTCGAGGTTTCACCATGTTGGCCAGGATGGTCTCCATCTCTTGAGCTCGTAATCCGCCTGCCTCGGCCTTCTACAGTGCTGGGATTACAGGCGTCAGCCACCACACCCGGCCCTATATGCATTCATTTTTATGTAAAACATATGCATCAATTCTTTTGTATGAAAACGTTTGGTCATTACTGTGGTACAACAGAAGACCAGGTCAGTACCATATTTTTTTTTCATATGTACACGGATTTTTATTTTGTTTTAGACATTGTCTTACACACAATAGACATTCAGTATTTGTTGAAATTAATGAAAGAAAAGAGAAACATGAAAACGGTCTGAGAAGACAATAATCTGCTTTTTAATTTATAGACAGCAATTAGGTCAAACAATTATAGCAATGATGACAAAGAACAATATCTGAGGTACACTCAAAACCTTATGAGGGTTATTTGCCAGTTTTCCTGGCTATTTCTACACCCTTTGATCTCTAGTGAATGTTTCTACTTACAACTACATATTTTGTAAGTTTTGCCTACTGTATTTCAATCAACACTGTAAAAAATGAAGAGAGTCTTTTTGGTTCAAATTTGGTTTTTAGTTAATTATGTGATGTGTATATGATTTTTTGTTACCTTTTCTGTATAGATATCAGGAGAATCGAAAATATGTTGATGGTGGAATTGTGGTATGACATTTTTACTGACTACTACTCTGCAAAAGTTTTATCTATGAGCTCTATGGGTTGTTCCTGGCTTTTGAAAATTTACTTTAAGGAAGTGTTTTTGGAAATGGATTATAAGTATACAAGTATGCAATCTTATGTATTTGCAACTGTCTAAGATGTTATGATACTTTCCTCCCTGCAATCTGGCATTCATCCATTCAAGACATTTTAATTGAACTCTTACAATGTTCTTAATACTATGATAAGCCCTGAAGGTAAACTGTGACTAAAAATGTTGCAGGATAAAATACAGGATTCCTAGTTAAATTTGAATTTTAGATAAACAACATTCTTATACTAAAAATTATTCCATGTTTATCTGAAATTCAAATTTAGCTGAGTGTCCTGTAACTTTTTATTTTATTTGTTTACTTGTTTGTCTGTGATAAATATGGCAGCCCTAGTAAAAATAAATATAGCCCCTGATTTATTCTAATTTACTCTTTGGTTGGCAAGGAAGGCACTAATCAAATAAACCTGCAGATAAATGAAAAATTGCAACTGAGATAAGTATGAACAAGAATAAATTCAAAGCTGAAGAAGAAGAAAATAATTGGAAGAGAAACCTTGTCAGAAAGGGGACTTCGAAGCTCTATGGAAGTGTCAATGGACCCACAATACAGTGGGGAAGGAAAGAGATGCTCTGGCACTCTTTCTTTTAAATGACAGTTTTATATTCAACTTTAATGGTACAAGCAGTAGAAAGCCTGGCTGCTCACAGAGATGCAGAAAACACTCAAAGCCTTGTTTCAGGACCCACCCACTATCTTTCCCATTTGGCATCTGACTCATAATGAAGCCAGAGGCTGCAAGTTTTAGACGTATGCAAAGGTGGTACATTTCAATATTCAATTCCAATTAATATGGATATTTTCTGGGGTCAGAGAAGGAAAGGTTATTTGTCCCATCAGGCCACTGGCCTTTGCTCCTACCAGAAGTGAGAGGAACCATGCCTGTTTTTAAATAACAGGGAAGACTTTTTCAGCACAGGCTGGTGGGAAAGACACAAATCTATCTAGTCACCTGGGAGCTGTCAGACAGGAATGTTGCAAGTGACTACACCTTGCAGTGCCTCTGGCAGGATTAGGACTCTCAAACTTTCCCAATAGCCCAGCTTGTGATTCCTTCTTGCTTTCCAAGTTGCCATATGCATGCAATATTTAAAAATGGTCTTGGACAGTTTGTATTAATTACTCAGAATTTGAATATGCTCATTGTTTATCATCATTATAATAACAGTCCTACCTCAGGTTTATATGTTTATTCCCATATATTTGGGTTCCTTTAATTATCTTATGTATTTTTATGATGTCTGCAAAATAAAAGGGGAATGAGTGTTATTATACCAATTTTTATGGATGCGGGAACCTGAGCATAGCCTCTCTAAATAAGTTGCTAAAGTCATTTTTCTGATACAATCCACAACCAGATTGACTGCTTACCTAGACTCTTAGCTTTGTCTGGAGCTGTATCAAGCTAGTTAGAAGTGCAAAGTCTAAATTTATTGACTGAAAAAAAAAATCTCGAAAAGATAGTACTAAATATAAATAAATAAGTCACAAAATATGCAGCCAATTAGATTAAACTCATCAAAAATAAACTGACACCTGCTTTTTTTTTGCTTCCATTTGCTTGGTAAATATTCCTCCTTCCCTTTATGTCAAGCCTATGTGTGCCTTTGCACGTGAGATGGGTCTCCTGAATACAGCACACCAATGGGTCTTGACTCTTTATCCAATTTTCCAGTCTGTGTCTTTTCATTGAGGCATTTAGCCTGTTTACATTTAAGGTTAATATTGTTATGTGTGAATTTGATCCTGTCATTATGATGTTAGCTGGTTATTTTGCCCATTAGTTGATGCAGTTTCTTCCTAGCATCGATGGTCTTTACAATTTGGCATGTTTTTGCAGTGACTGGTTCTGGTTGTTCCTTTCCATGTTTAGCGCGTCCTTCAGGAGCTCTTGTAGGGCAGGCCTGGTGGTGACAAAATCTCTCAGCATTTGCTTGTCTGTAAAGTATTTTATTTCTCCCACACTTATGAAGCTTAGTTTGGCTGGATATGACATTCTGTGTTGAAAATTCTTTTCTTTAAGAATGTTGAATATTGGCCCCCACTCTCTTCTGGCTTGTAGAGTTTCTGCCAAGGGGTCAGCTGTTAGTCTGATGGGCTTCCCTTTGTGGGTAACCTGACCTTTCTCTCTGGCTGCCCTTAACATTTTTTCCTTCATTTCAACTTTGGTGAATCTGATGATTATGTGTCTTGGGGTTGCTCTTCTCGAGGAGTATCTTTGTGGTGTTCTCTGTATTTCCTGAATTTGAATGTTGGCCTGCCTTGCTAGGTTGGGGAAGTTCTCCTGGATAATATCCTGCAGAGTGTTTTCCAACTTGGTTCCATTCTCCCCATCACTTTCAGGTACACAGTCAAATGTAGGTTTGGTCTTTTCACGTAGTCCCATATTTCTTGGAGGCTTTGTTCGTTCCTTTTCATTTTTTTCTCTAATCCTGTCTTCATGCTTTATTTCATTAAGTTGATCTTCAATCTCTGATATCCTTTCTTCCGCTTGATTGATTCAGCTGTTGATACTTGTGTATGCTTCACGAAGTTCTTGTGATGTGTTTTTCAGCTCCATCAGGTCATTTATGTTCTTCTCTAAACTGGTTATTCTAGTTAGCAATTCCTCTAACCTTTTTTCAAGCTTCTTAGCTTCCTTGCATTGAGTTAGAACATGCTCCTTTAGCTTGGAGAAGTTTGTTATTACCCACCTTCTGAAGCCTACTTCTGTCAATTCGTCAAACGCATTCTCCATCCAGTTTTGTTCCATTGCTGGCGAGGAGTTGTGATCCTTTGGAGGAGAAGAGGCATTCTTGTTTTTGCAATTTTCAGTCTTTTTGCGCTGGTTTCTCCCCATCTTCGTGGATTTATCTACCTTTGGTCTTTATTGTTGGTGACCTTTGGATGGGGTTTTGGTGTGGACGTCCTTTTTGTTGAAGTTGATACTATTCCTTTCTGTCTGTTAGTTTTCCTTCTAACAGGCCCCTCTGCTGCAGGTCTGCTGGAGTTTGCTGGCAGTCCACTCCGGACCCCATTTGCCTGGGTATCACCAGCAGAGGCTGCAGAACAGCAAAGACTGCTGCCTATTCCTTCCTCTGGAAGCTTCATCCCAGAGAGGCACCCGTCAGATGCTAGCCGGAGTTCTCCAGTATGAGGTGTCTGTCGACCCCTGCTGGGAGGTTTCTCCCAGTCAGGGGGCACGGGGTTCAGGGACCCACTTGAGGAGGCAGTCTCTCCCTTAGCAGAGCTCGAGCGTTGTGCTGGGAGATCTGCTACTCTTTTCAGAGCTGGCACGCAGGAACGTTTAAGTCTGCCAAAGCTGCACCCACAGCCACCCCTTCCCCCAGGTGCTCTGCCCCAGGGAGATGGGAGTTTTATCTATAAGCCCCTAACTGGGCTGCTGCCTTTTTTTCAGAGATGCCCTGCCCAGAGAGGAGGAATCCAGAGAGGCGGTCTGGCTACAGCGCTTTGCCAAGCTGCAAGTGGGCTCCACCCAGTTCGAACTTTCCTGTGTCTTTGTTTATGCTATGAGGGGAAAACCGCCTACTCAAGCCTCAGTAATGATGGACACCCTTCCCCCCACGAAGCTGGAGCGTCCCAGGTGGACTTCAGACTGCTATGCTGGCAGCAATAATTTCAAGCCAGTGGATCTTAGCTTGCTGGGCTCCGTGGGAGTGGGATCCACTGAGCTAGACCACTTGGCTCCCTGGCTTCAGCCCCTTTCCAGGGGAGTGAACAGCTCTGTCTCACTGGCATAGTGCATAAAAATATGTAGTACCATATTTTTAAACAGCTTTCTTGCAATATACTTTACAGACAATGAAATTTACCCATTTTAAGGGTAAAATTTGATGAATTTCAGTAAATGTGTAGAGTTGTGCTACCATCACCATAATTAAGCTTTTAACATTTCCATTACCTCAAAAAGTCCTGTCGTGCTTGAATACAGTTAATTCCTGCTTCAGCCTTGGCAATCACAAATGTTTTCTGTGTCTATGTATTTACCTGTTTAGATGCTTTATATAAATGGAATCGTACAATATTTGTTCTTTATTGTTTGGCTTCCTTCGCCTGGTTATGATATATAGTCAAGGTTCATCCATGGTGTAGCATGTGTCATAATGTCATTCTTTCTAATGGCTGAAAAATCTTGTATGAATAGACTACATTTTTTATCATTTATCTATTGATAGTCATTTGGATTATTTCTAGTTGTTGGCTAATATGAATGACAATTCGACATACATTTGTGTACAAGTTTTCAGGTAGACTTATGTTTTCATTTCTCTTGAGTATGTACCTAAGAGTGGAATTGCTGGTAACTCCCTGCTTATCCATTTGAGGAACTGCCAGATGACTTTCATGACCCTGACAGTCATGAGGAGTACAGGCTTAGCCAGTTGTTCTTATTGTGATTAGACCAGGATTATGTGTTTTGAGAAAGAATACCATTGATTTGAAGTGCCCTTCTTGTAACATTATATCTGGTAGTCAGGATGCCTACTTAATGTCACTGGTGATGTTAAACTTCATCATTTAATTAAGCTGGGGTTTGTCAAGTTTCTCTAGTGTATAGTAACTATTTTCCATGTGACTAGAGAGCATATGGGAGAAGGAAAACACTCCAACGTTTCTAATTTCACTGTGAGTCAGTGTCATTTCTGTGTGGTGGAATGAGTGCCCGGATGGTGCTGGGGAAGGGAAGAAGGGGATTCCACCATTTCTTTTTTTTTTTTTTTTTATACTTTAAGTTTTAGGGTACATGGGCACAATGTGCAGGTTTGTTATATATGTATACATGTGCCATGTTGGTGTGCTGCACCCAATAACTCGTCATTTAGCATTAGGTATATCTCCTAATGCTATCCCTTCCCCCTCCCCCCACCCCACAACAGTCCCTGGAGTGTGATGTTCCCCTTCCTGTGTCCATGTGTTCTCATTGTTCAGTTCCCACCTATGAGTGAGAACATGTGGTGTTTGGTTTTTTGTCCTTGCGATAGTTTGCTGAGAATGATGGTTTCCAGTTTCATACACATCCCTACAAAGAACATGAACTATTCATTTTTTATGGCTACATAGTATTCCATGGTGTATATGTGCCACATTTTCTTAATCCAGTCTATCATTGTTGGACATTTGGGTTGGTTCCAAGTCTTTGCTATTGTGAATAGTGCCGCAATAAACATACGTGTGCATGTGTCTTTATAGCAGCATGATTTATAATCCTTTGGGTATATACCCAGTAATGGGATGGCTGGGTGAAATGGTATTTCTAGTTCTAGATCCCTGAGGAATCGCCACACTGACTTCCACAATGGTTGAACTAGTTTACAGTCCCACCAACAGTGTAAAAGTGTTCCTATTTCTCCACATCCTCTCCAGCACCTGTTGTTTCCTGACTTTTTAATGATCACCATTCTAATTGGTGTGAGATGGTATCTCATTGTGGTTTTGATTTGCATTTCTCTGATGGCCAGTGATGATGAGCATTTTTTCATGTGTCTTTTGGCTGCATAAATGTCTTCTTTTGAGAAGTGTCTGTTCATATCCTTTGCCCACTTTTTGATGGGGTTGTTTGTTTTTTTCTTGTAAATTTGTTTGAGTTCATTGTAGATTCTGGATATTAGCCCTTTGTCCGATGAGTAGGTTGCGAAAATTTTCTCCCATTCTGTAGGTTGCCTGTTCACTCTGATGGTAGTTTCCTTTGCTGTGCAGAAGCTCTTTAGTTTAATTACATCCCATTTGTCAATTTTGGCTTTTGTTGCCACTGCTTTTGGTGTTTTAGACATGAAGTCCTTGCCCATGCCTATGTCCTGAATGGTATTGCCTAGGTTTTCTTCTAGGGTTTTTATGGTTTTAGGTCTAACATTTAAGTCTTTAATCCATCTTGAATTGATTTTTGTATAAGATGTAAGGAAGGGATCCAGTTTCAGCTTTCTACATATGGCTAGCCAGTTTTCCCAGCACCATTTATTAAATAGGGAATCATTTCCCCATTGCTTGTTTTTGTCAGGTTTGTCAAAGATCAGATGGTTGTAGATATGCAGCATTATTTCTGAGGGCTCTGTTGTGTTCCATTGATCTATATCTCTGTTTTGGTACCAGTACCATGCTGTTTTGGTTACTGTAGCCTTGTAGTGTAGTTTGAAGTCAGGTAGTGTGATGTCTCCAGCTTTGTTCTTTTGGCTTAGGATTGACTTGGCGATGTGGGATCTTTTTTGTTTCCATATGAACTTTAAAGTAGTTTTTTCCAATTCTGTGAAGAAAGTCATTGGTAGCTTGATGGGGATGGCATTGAATGTATAAATTACCTTGGGCAGTATGGCCATTTTCACGATATTGATTCTTCCTATCCATGAGCATGGAATGTTCTTCCACTTGTTTGTATCCTCTTTTATTTCATTGAGCAGTGGTTTGTAGTTCTCCTTGAAGAGGTCCTTCACATCCCTTGTAAGTTGGATTCCTAGGTATTTTATTCTCTTTGAAGCAATTGTGAATGGGAGTTCACTCATGATTTGGCTCTCCGTTTGTCTGTTGTTGGTGTATAAGAATGCTTGTGATTTTTGTACATTGATTTTGTATCCTGAGACTTTGCTGAAGTTGCTTATCAGCTTAAGGAGATTTTGGGCTGAGACAGTGGGGTTTTCTAGATATACAATCATGTCATCTGCAAACAGGGACAATTTGACTTCCTCTTTTCCTAATTGAATACCCTTTATTTCCTTCTCCTGCCTATTGCCCTGGCCAGAACTTCCAACACTATGTTGAATAGGAGTGGTGAGAGAGGGCATCCCTGTCTTGTGCCAGTTTTCAAAGGGAATGCTTCCAGTTTTTGCCCATTCAGTATGATATTGGCTGTGGGTCTGTCATAGATAGCTCTTATTATTTTGAGATATGTCCCATCAATACCTAATTTATTGAGAGTTTTTAGCATGAAGGGTTGTTGAATTTTGTCAAAGGCCTTTTCTGCATCTATTGAGATAATCATGTGGCTTTTGTCTTTGGTTCTGTTTATATGCTGGATTACGTTTATTGATTTGCGTATATTGAACCAGCCTTGCATCCCAGGGATGAAGCCCACTTGATCATGGTGGATAAGCTTTTTGATGTGCTGCTGGATTTGGTTTGCCAGTATTTTATTGAGGATTTTTGCATCAATGTTCATCAAGGATATTGGTCTAAAATTCCCTTTTTTGGTTGTGTCTCTGCCAGGTTTTGGTATCAGGATGATGCTGGCCTCATAAAATGAGTTAGGGAGGATTCCCTCTTTTTCTATTGGTTGGAATAGTTTCAGAAGGAATGGTACCAGCTCCTCCTTGTACCTCTGGTAGAATTCGGCTGTGAATCCATCTGGTCCTGGACTTTTTTTGGTTGGTAAGCTATTGGTTATTGCCTCAATTTCAGAGCCTGTTATTGGTCTATTCACAGATTCAACTTCTTCCTGGTTTAGTCTTGGGAGGGTGTATGTGTCGAGGAATTTATCCATCTCTTCTAGATTTTCTAGTTTATTTGCATAGAGGTGTTTGTAGTATTCTCTGATGGTAATTTGTATTTCTGTGGGATCGGTGGTGATATCCCCTTTATCATTTTTTATTGTGTCTATTTGATTCTTCTCTCTTTTCTTCTTTATTAGTCTTGCTTGTGGTCTATCGATTTTGTTGATCTTTTCAAAAAACCAGCTCCTGCATTCATTAATTTTTTGAAGGGTTTTTTGTGTCTCTATTTCCTTCAGTTCTGCTCTGATTTTAGTTATTTCTTGCCTTCTGCTAGCTTTTGAATGTGTTTGCTCTTGCTTTTCTAGTTCTTTTAATTGTGACATTAGGTTGTCAATTTTGGATCTTTCCTGCTTTCTCTTGTGGGCATTTAGTGCTTTAAATTTCCCTCTACACACTGCTTTGAATGTGTCCCAGAGATTCTGGTATGTTGTGTCTTTGTTCTCGTTGGTTTCAAAGAACATCTTTATTTCTGCCTTCATTTTGTTATGTACCCAAGTAGTCATTCAGGAGCAGGTTGTTCAGTTTCCATGTAGTTGAGTGGTTTTGAGTGAGTTTCTTATTTCTGAATTCTAGTTTGATTGCACTGTGGTCTGAGAGACAGTTTGTTATAATTTCTGATCTTTTACATTTGCTGAGGAGTGCTTTACTTCCAACTATGTGGTCAATTTTGGAATAGGTGTGGTGTGGTGCTGAAAAAAATGTATATTCTGTTGATTTGGGGTGGAGAGTTCTATAGATGTCTATTAGGTCCACTTGGTGCAGAGCTGAGTTCAATTCCTGGGTATCCTTGTTGACTTTCTGTCTCGATCTGTCTAATGTTGACAGTAGGCTGTTAAAGTCTCCCATTATTATTGTGTGGGAGTCTAAGTCTCTTTGTAGGTCACTAAGGACTTGCTTTATGAATCTGGGTCCTCCTGTATTGGGTGCATATATATTTAGGATAGTTAATTCTTCTTGTTGAATTGATCCCTTTACCATTATGTAATGACCTTCTTTGTCTCTTTTGATCTTTGTTGGTTTACAGTCTGTTTTATCAGAGACTAGGATTGCAACCCCTGACTTTTTTTGTTTTCCATTTGCTTGGTAGATCTTCCTCCATCCCTTTATTTTGAGCCTATGCGTGCCTCTGCACTTGAGATGGGTTTCCTGAATACAGCACACTGATGGGTCTTGACTCTTTATCCAATTTGCCCGTCTGTGTCTTTTAATTGGAGCATTTAGCCCATTTACATTTAAAGTTAATATTGTTATGTGTGTATTTGGTCCTGTCATTATGATGTTAGCTGGTTATTTTGCTCGTTAGTTGATGCAGTTTCTTCCTAGCCTCGATGGTCTTTACATTTTGGCATGTTTTTACATTTGCTGGTACTGGTTGTTCCTTTCCATGTTTAGTGCTTCCTTCAGGAGCTCTTGTAGGGCAGGCCTGGTGCTGACAAAATCTCTCAGCATTTGCTTGTCTGTAAAGTATTTTATTTCTCTTTAACTTATGAAGCTTAGTTTGGCTGAATATGAAATTCTGGGTTGAAAATTCTTTTCTTTAAGAATGTTGAATATTGGTCCCCACTGTCTTCTGGCTTGTAGAGTTTCTGCCGAGAGATCCGCTTTTAGTCTGATGGGCTTCCCTTTGTGGGTAACTTGACCTTTCTCTCTGGCTGCCCTTAACATTTTTTCCTTCATTTCAACTTTGGTGAATCTGATGATTATGTGTCTTGGAGTTGCTCTTCTCGAGGAGTATCTTTGTGGTGTTCTCTGTATTTCCTGAATCTGAATGTTGGCCTGCCTTGCTAGATTGGGGAAGTTCTCCTGGATAATATCCTGCAGAGTGTTTTCCAACTTGGTTCCATTCTCCCCGTCAGTTTCAGGTACACCAATCAGACGTAGATTTGGTGTTTTCACATAGTCCCATATTTCTTGGTGGCTTTGTTCATTTCTTTTTATTCTTTTTTCTCTAAACTTCCCTTCTCGCTTCATTTCATTCATTTCGTCTTCCATCACTGATACCGTTTCTTCCAGTTGATCACATCAGCTCCTGAGGCTTCTGCATTCTTCACGTAGTTCTCGAGCCTTGGCTTTCAGCTCCATCAGCTCCTTTAAGGACTTCTCTGCATTGGTTATTCTAGTTATCCATTCGTCTAATTTTTTTTCAGTTTTTAACTTCTTTGCCATTCGTTTTGAATTTCCTCCCGTAACTCAGAATAGTGTGATCGTCTGAAGCCTTCTCTCAGCTCTTCAAAGTCATTTTCCATCCAGCTTTGTTCTGTTGCTGGTGAGGAGCTGTGTTCCTTTGGAGGAGGAGAGGCACTGTGCTTTTTAGAGTTTCCAGTTTTTCTACTCTGTTTTTTCCCCATCTTTGTGGTTTTATGTACTTTTGGTCTTTGATGATGGTGACGTACAGAAGGGTTTTTGGTGTGGATGTCCTTTCTGTTTGTTAGTTTTCCTTCTAACAGACAGGACCCTCAGCTGCAGGTCTGTTGGAGTTTGCTAGAGGTCCACTCCAGACCCTGGTTGCCTGGGTATCAGCAGTGGTGGCTGTAGAACAGCGGATCTTGGTGAACCCGAAATGCTGCTGCCTGATCGTTCCTCTGGAAGTTTTGTCTCAAAGGAGTACCCGGCCGTGTGAGGTGTCAGTCTGCCCCTACTTGGGGGTGCCTCCCAGTTAGGCTGCTCGGGGGTCAAGGACCCACTTGAGGAGGCAATCTGCCCATTCTCAGATCTCCAGCTGCATGCTGGGAGAACCACCACTACTCTCTTCAAAGCTGTCAGACAGGGACATTTAAGTCTGCAGAGGTTACTGCTGTCTTTTTGTTTGTCTGTGCCCTGCCCCCGGAGGTGGAGCCTACAGAGGCAGGCAGGCCTCCTTGATCTGTGGTGGGCTCCACCCAGTTCGAGCTTCCTGGCTACTTTGTTTACCTAATCAAGCCTGGGCAATGGCAGGCGCCCCTCCCCCAGCCTCGCTGCCGCCTTGCAGTTTGATCTCAGACTGCTGTGCTAGCAATCAGCGAGACTCCGTGGGCGTAGGACCCTCCGAGCCAGGTGCGTGATATAATCTCCTGGTGTGCCGTTTTTTAAGCCTGTTGGAAAAGTGCAGTATTAGGGTGGGAGTGACCCGATTTTCCAGGTGCCATCTGTCACCCCTTTCTTTGACTAGGAAAGGGAACTCCCCGACCCCTTGCGCTTCCTGAGTGAGGCAATGCCTCGCCCTGCTTCAGCTCACGCACACTGCACTGCACCCACTGTCCTGCACCCACTGTCTGGCACTCCCTGATGAGGTGAACCCAGTACCTCAGATGGAAATGCAGAAATCACCCATCTTCTGCGTCGCTCAGGCTGGGAGCTGTAGACCGGAGCTGTTCCTATTCAGCCATCTTGGCTTCCGATTCCACCATTTCTATTCAACTGAATCATGGACCCCATGAATGGAGTTTGGGGTAAGGGAATGAAATCACCATACACCCCACTTCTTCCTGTTTCCCGGGTTTTCCTGTCCCCTTGTATTACCGCCAGTCTGCATGAGAGATGTGTGTTTCCTTTGCAGTCCAAAGGGGCTTGATGAAAGCCTCATACTGTCTGCTGTTCGGGACACTGGAGCAAGAGAGACCAGAGATCTCTCTGCATATTGGTGCCAGACCCAAACCAGTAACTGTGAGATGTTCTGGGCTCAGGGGTAAGTAACTTCCCCTGCTAGCCTCTCTTGGAGAGTGCATATTTCTGTTATGTGGGAGCTTCATTGCTATGTGGTAGAGTAATGGTGAGGCACACAGAAGCAGGTAGAGATGGAGCGCCTGGTGGGTGAACCAACACCCAGGGCACAGGCTCCAGGACTTGTGCTGCCTGATCCACCTTTCTCATGGTCTAGATCTTCCCATCGTTCTATCCTCTCTCAGGGTACCTGGGATACCTGTGTACATCCCATACTATCACAAAGAGCAGGAGACAAATGAGGTGGGGAAGGGAGCAAAGACAGAGAGAGGTAGAGGTGATCCCTGGAGGGCCTGCTGTTTTCTATTCTCTTCACTGCTCTTTCTTGTTCCACATGAGGTTATATTTCTTTATTTCACCCCACAGTTAACCTCAGAGACCTGGTAATCCATATGACCCCACAGCTATGCCTCATGCCCAAAGGGCAGGATTTCATCTCTACCATCCTCTTCCTCAATGTGAAGGGCTGTTGAGTGAGTACCCTTAGGGAACAATACTGGGGAAGTATAAAATTATCATCCTCCAAATAAGAAGCTGCTGGTTCCATTGTGTGGGAGGGTAGGAGATAGAACCTCATTGCCATTCTGCCAGTTATCTGGAGAGGGTCTTAGTATCTGTGAGCCAGAGCTTGATCATCTGTGAGATGGAACTCACCACACTTTCTTCACACTGCTGTCCTGATGGGTAAATGGAATAAACCATATATTTTTATACCATTATCTTAGTCCATTTAGTGTTGCTATAAAGGAATATCTGAGGCTGCATAACTTATAAAGAAAAAAGTTTATGTGGCTAATAATTCTGATGGTTGGAAAGTTTAAGATTGGGCATCTGCTTATGATGAGGGCCTCAGGAAGCTTCCACTCATGATGGAAGGCCATGGGGAGCCAACTTGTGCAGAGATCACATGGCGAGAGAGGGAGAAGAGAGATGGGAGGTACTAGGCTTTTTTCAACAACCAGCTCTTGTGGCAACTAATGGAGCAAGCACTCACTCATCACAGCAAGGATGGCACCAAGACTTTCATGAGGGATCCACCCCCATGACCCAAACACCTCCTGTTAGGTCCCACCTCCAACATTGGGGATCAAATTTCAACATGAGATTTGGAGGAGTCAAACATCCAAATTGTAGCAAACACTTATTGAAATTATTTCTTCTGAAAATGATGTTTCTGAGATGTCGTTAAATAAGGTGACTTTGGGGCTATTTTGATATTTTGGCCACGCTGCCATGACTGTTCTTGCACACATGCCAGGGACTCTCTGCAGTGCAGACTTGAGAGGGCAGAGTTGACGGGGCCATGCTTGCTTCTCTCATATATGTTCCCCATTGTCTCTGCAAAGGCAGTCCACCATTTTGTTCTCCTGCTGCAGTGTATGTCATTCTTATGACTCCACAATTTCCATTTAAACAGGACACAGCATAAACACAAACTCACTCATCAGGTTTTCTCATCAAACCCTAGGACTATTCAAGGACATATTCTGAGGCATAAAGTGGGACTATTATGTTTGCATTTAGAAATGCACGTGTGAAATATGCCATTTATGTGGAAATAGGTGGAGAAAAATGAAAAGTATTCTAACATTACAGTGATAGGATATTACATTAGCAAATATTAATAATATTGGGAAACCCATTATTGCACAAATCTAGAGAAACAGGTGCTCTCATCTTGTAGTTGGTTGGGATATTCATTAGTAAAGAGATTTTAACTTTCAACTAGGCAGTATATATTAAAAATAGTCATGCTCTTTGACAAAGAATAACCATTTGTGGAAATGTATCCTCCAGGTACAGCATGGCAGATCATTATCACGCGTGTGTCCCCACTGCTGAGGGCTGAGCTGACCATTTCCCTAGCTGGTTTGCTACCTTCAGCCCCACCCGCCTTCCTGACCCTGAGCTATCCATCCTTCCAACCAAACAGGAGAATCTGTCTCATGGATGGATGCCCAGCCTCGATGAACCATATACAGAGCTTCTCCAAACATGGATATGAAGCAATGCTTAGGTCCCTACTCCCAGAGGGACCTGTAGACCTCTGACCTCATCCCTGTCCAGGAGAAACCTCTCTTCTTCTCCCTTCTCTGTGTCCTCAGAACCCTTCCCCTCCCTGCCAGATACAAGCAGCCCAATCCTTTCCTTAAGTTTAAATTTTCATGCAGGATGAAGCAAACACTGGCTTCAGACAGCTTCTGCATCCAGCCCTGCTATAAACCCTTCCTGAGACAGAGGGAAAGAGGCCCAAGCCTGGTTTTCTGCTGGAAATGCAGGAAGGGTAAACACAAGGAGAACAGAGATTAAACTCCTTAACAGTATATGTCCTCATGCTAAAGATCTGCCACCAGCAACTCAAGGTACCCAAGCTGGCAGGTTCTGGCAGTGGGCCTGGCTCTGGCAATGGGCGTGCTGAGCAACATTTTTGCCATCCAGCTCTGTGGTTAGGAGCATGTGCTTTGTAGTCGCAGACATCCATGAAGAAGAGAGGATACTGGTACCTCAGTAGCAGGGCTGTCATGAGATCAAATCCAGACACTAGAAGGACCTGGAGCTAGGCTCCTCTAAACGCTCTGCTCCGTAAGTGGAAGCTATCTTTCCTCCCTGGAGCAGGGAACTCATCTATTAATTTGACCTGCCTCCATGTCCAGGGCTTCTTAACCAGGATGCATATCAGAGTCACCTTGATGAGCCTTTTCTAAACCCTCAGCTGAAACTCCTTTGTTGGTAGAAATAGGACTGCTGCACAAAGGCCATTCAAGTCATTAAGCTGTAATAATATGGGCCTCAGAAAATGTATACATCAATGTTGCACCAATAGTGTATATGAAAGTCTGTCTCCCCTTTATTTCACCAGCACTAGGTATTACTGGTTTTTGTCCTTTTTTTCAGTCTTACCTGCTCATTTTCCTTAGACTTGCCTCATTGGAAATATTATGTCAGAAGGTCAATAAAACTTACATATCCAAAGGCTACACCGTAGGGTTGCCAGATTTTGCAGATAAAAATATGAGATGCCCAGTTGAATTCAAATAAAATAATATTGCATGCCACATCCAGAGTCACATATCCAATACAGTATGTGTGTGTGTATGTATGTATGTATCTATCTACCTATCTATCTAAATAGAGGGTTTGGGGAGAGACTGATTTATTTTCAGAAATTGGCTAGCATGATTATGGTAGTTGGAAGTCCCCAAATTTGCAGGGTGTGTTTGCAGACTGCAGACCAGTGAAGAGCCAATGTTGCAGTTTAATTCCAAAGGCCATCTACCAGCACACTTCCTTTTGCTTCAGGGGATGTCAGTCTTTTTTTTTCTATGCAGACTTCCAGTTGATTAGATGAGGCCTACCCACAGTATAGATGGTAATCTGCTTTACACAATATCCAGAAATTTAAATTTTAATCTCATTCAAAAACACCAAAGAAACATCCAGAATAATGTTTGATGAGCTATCTGTGTACTTTAGCCCAGCCAAGTTGACATATAAATATAACCATCACACACTAAAATATTATTCATTATTTATCTGGAATTAAATTTAACTGAGTGTCTTCTATTTTATCTGGCTACCCTACCCATGGAGGACTCTGTGTCAAACCAAAGTGTTCCAGGCAAAACCCCAGCTTTGCTGGAGATACCAGTACCAGTCATCATCCATGTGAGTGAGCCTCTTGGATGTCCCAGATGTGTGGAGCATCCATATGACTGCATCCCCAGGTGACAGATACCCCATGAAGCAGAAAACGCCCAGCTCAGCCCAGTCAACACACAGAATCCTGAGCGATAATAGATGGCTATTTTGGGGGACAATGGTTAAGGAGAAATATATATGCAAAACATTAGGGTTTTGGTGAGCTTTCCCTCTTTTTCTGTGATCTGTTACTGAATAAGAAAGAGATTCTCTTATCCTTGAAGGCTTGGTGGAACTTAGTTATAATTTTGACTATAATCTGAGTGTTGGTTTATATGTGGATAGAGATTTGTGGACATATCATTGATTCCTACTTGAAGAGATTTCCAATGGAAATTTTCACAATGTATAAATTTTCCACTACTATTGGAATTTGGAGCCTAATACCGTAAGATGAGCCTCTACTACAGTCACGTAAATTAAGGTGTTGAGAGTGTGTTGCTACAAACCACTTCATACTATGCAGCCATAAAAAATGAGTTCATGTCCTTTGTAGGGACATGGATGAAGCTGGAAACCATCATTCTCAGCAAACTATCGCAAGGACAAAAAACCAAACACCGCATGTTCTCACTTATACGTGGGAATTGAACAATGAAAACACATGGACACAGGAAGGGGAACATCACACACCGGGGACTGTTGTGGGGTGGGGGGAGGGGGGAGGGATAGCATTAGGTGATATACCTAATGCTAAATGACGAGTTAATGGGTGCAGCACACCAACATGGCACATGTATACATATGTAACAAACCCGCATGCTGTGCACATGTACCCTAAAACTTAAAGTATAATAATAAAAAAATAAAAAATAAAAAAACCTCAGAGGTTGGCTTAGTGAGTAACGATTCCAAACAAGGGATATTTCTTCACATTTCTCCTGCTACAGGGAATACCCTTGGCAAGAAAGTCACTTTTCTTGAACACACCTAGACAGGGCTCCTTCAGGAGACAGCAGGCCATTATGCATTGCAATCCTTGGCATTTGTGACTGTCCCAATGCAGCACTGCTTTGTGGATACTGTCAATTCTGGGGCTCATTCGTAGCCCATGTGACAGCAAATCTAAGTCACATTCTCCAATATCACCTTAATAAGAAATAAAGCCCATGTAATTTTAAAATTATATATCTTGGTTTAGTGCTAAGACTTGGAGCAGTGGAGTACTTGGTGGGGGCTGGGGGTGGGGGAGGTTAGAGATTCAAGCATTGTAGGCTGGGCGCAGTGGCTCATGCCTGTAATCCCAGCACTTTGGGAGGCTGAGGCAGGTGGATCACGAGGTCAAGAGATCGAGACCATCCTGGCCAACATAGTGAAACCCTGTCTCTACTAAAAATACAAAAATTAGCTGGGCATGGTGGTGCGCGCCTGTAGTCCCAACTACTTGGGAAGCTGAGACAGGAGAATTGCTTGAACCCAGGAGGCGGAAGTTGCAGTGAGCCGAGATCGCGCCAATGCACACCAGCCTGGTGAAAGAGTGAGATTCTGTCTCAAGAAAAAAAAAAAAAAGAGATTCAAGCATTGTAAAGCAAGACCATAGGAATAACTGGGGAGCCAGTGAGACACAGAAAGAAGAATAGACCTGTGGGCCTCTTGTAAGATCCCCTCCTGTTGGCAGAGCAGAGTGAGTGCCTCTGAAAGGCAGCTTACTACCAAAAGTTTTGAAGGAAGGACTCCAGCTGAGCAGCATGTTTCTCCTCCCAAAGGAGTGTGCAGAGAGACTAGAAATGTTTTGGTTGCAAATGGCCATTCACATGGAATAAAATATTGGGATGGGGGATAAAGACTTTGTCAAGACAAACCATTGTATGATTGAATTGATTAGGTTTTTGCCTACTAAATGACTATATTATTCTAAGCCTGATTCCCTGAAATAACTTAGAGATATCTTAAATGACATATTTTGGTGTCCCTAGGTTGTTTAGTCATATGATTATAAACAGTCTCTCAGTTTTCTGCCACAGATACCTAACTGCCTAGCATGGTGTGTGAGTTGTACATGTTCCCTCCCTCAGGGCTAGCTCATCGTCTAGAGCCTTAGGATACCGCCCTGGGTCTCTATGTAGTGATAATACTCCCTCAAGGTCACTTTTAAAGCAAACAAAATTCCCAACAACACGGACTTCTGTCCTTTATCAAATAAGGCAGAGTTCCACCAACTGCCTGGGTCCCAGTCTAGTTTCTTTTATTGGTAAGCTTTCTCAGGCGGTAGTCTGAAGAGTGAAGGTTTTTTGCTTTCCGAGAAAGGCAAGAGGACAGAGGGTGGTGTGGAGGCAGCATTTCCGAAGTGGAGGACAAGCCTGTACATCTCGGTTGCCATAGAAACCAGACATAATAAGGGTGACTGTGACGACTTTTCAATAGAGACTTACATGGCCTGGTGAAAAAAGCAGGGTTGCCTTCAGGTGTTTGAGACTCAACTGAAGATGTAGGGCTGAACTGCCCCGGGGTGTGGGAAGACAAAGGATCCCAGCCAAGTCTCCTTGTTCTTGCTTTGGGACTCGGTGCCCTTGCTGTCTGGTGACAGGACACCACACTTCCCCTCCTGGCCCCGGGAAGTGTGATGTCCTGCTCCAAAGTGTCTCAGAGCTACTTCCCATGTAAAGGAGGAGCGTGAGAGGATGATACAGGCAAAGACTGAGCTTAGTGTCCCCTTCTGTATAATGGGGATAATTATGCTCACCCATAGAATTTCTGGAATTTACTATGATAAAGTAGGTACACGACCATAGCCCTGTGGTTATTGTGGGATCAGGAATGTGTATGTGAATTCAGGCATCTTTTTATTCCTTTTCAGATTTGTTGTTGGGGATAGATAAGGAAAGAAGAAAAAGGCTCTGGTGAGAAACCCATTGTACCTTCTGGATATGATCACTACCCAATTTTATCAGTGTCATTGATCACTAACCCAGTGCCTCGTATGGTGCCAGGCACAGAGTTACTCCAAGAATGTACAATAATGGCTGGATTCTCTTTCTCCCTGTGCAACTCTTCATGCATGTGACTGAACTTATATTAAGTGTCTGAAGGAGGTTCGTTCTGAGGATCTGGGACATGATGGGTGCTGAAGCTTCTACTCAAGATTTGAAGGGCAGCTGTCCTCAGGAGACCCCTGGCACTTCCCTCCATGGTGGGATGTGATGCCTGATTCCAGTGAGTTCATAGAGCTGAACAAAAGTACGTTGTGGAATAGCTCCTGTGAGGTTCACAACATAGTCCGGAAGATGAGAAACTACTTTTTTTAGTAACCTGGATTCCCATCTAAGAGATGCCTTACTTTATCGTAAAGCAATGAGTTGTTCACTTGAGGAGGGAACTTCATGTTTAACATGTATTTGCAACAAATTTACATACATTTTCTGCCTGTATGAATAGTTGTCAGTGATGCCCATGAATTTCTCAGATGGATGTTGAAGTATACAGTTAGAAGGTTAGAAGATCTTCCTAGCAATCTGTGATTACGGTATGCATTCTTCCATGGTTTCTACGTTTTTGTCTATTCTATAATGAAATTTTCTAAGAAGCCAGAAATTAATTAAGTGCTACCTAAAAATATCAAAATGTCAGGTACAAGAATTTGGCATTTTCAAAATTAGTAATTACAATGTAAGTTTGCCCTATTATAATGATACCCAGCTATGTCCAGTAACATAACTAGATTGTTCTGAATACCGTTATTATTTCCCAATAATACAAACATCACAATTTCAGTTCTGTAGTACCTGGCCTACCTACCCTTCCCACTGCCTTGCCCCAGGTAAACACAGCATGCCTGTCACTATACATTATTTTACATGCCTGGAAATATATTTAAATGGAATCATAGAGGTGGTTTCTTTTTTTTTTTTTTATCAACACCTGGCTTTTTTCATTCACTCCACTTATTTTTATATTTATCCATTTTATTGCATTTATCTATTGATATACTTCATTCTTTTTGATTGCTAAATACTATTGCGGTATACAACCACACTAAACATTTTATTATCCATCCATTTGTCGATGGACATTTTGGTTGTTTCTCATTTGGGGCTCTTGTAAATAAAGCTGCTATGAACATTTGTGAATAAGTCTTTTTGTGAAAATATGCATTCTCATTCAAGGGTCAATACTTAGGAGTTCAATCTCTGGATCATGTGGTAGAGGTAAGATTAACATTGTAAGAAATGGCCAAACTGTTTTCAAAGTGGTTGTACCATTTTTCATTCCAATGAGCAGCGTATGAGGGTTTCAGCTTCCAGAAAATTGCCAGTGATTGGTATGGTCAGTCTTTTAAATTTTGATCATTCTTCTGGAATGTAATAGTATCTCACTGTACTTTTCATTTTCTTTCCCTAATTATTAATGATGTTGAATATCTTTTCATATGCTTATTTGACATCTGTATATTTTCTATAGTGGAGTGTCTTTTCAACTCTTCTGTCCATTTATTTATTGGAGTGTCTGTTTTTTCCTTAAGGAGCTTTGTGAGATTTTCTGTATTCTGGATATAAGCCTTTTACCAGATAAATGGTTTCCAAACATTTTCTTCCAGACAAGGGCTTGTCAACAGTATCTTTGGAAGAACAAAGTTTTTAACTTTTGGGAAGTCTAATTTATTGATTTCTTCACCTACAGATTGTAGTTTTGTCTCACTAATGAAGTCTTTACCTAACCCAAAGTCACAAGGATTTTCTCCTGTATTTTCTGGTAGAAGTCTTATAGTTTTAGGTTTTATATGTATATCTATGATCCACTTTGAGTTGACTTTTGTATATAGTATGATATTTGGATCACTGTTTGTATTTGTGAATATAGATAACCACTTCTCCCAGCACAATTTGTTGAAAAGAGTATCTTTGCTCCACTGAATTGCCTTTGCATCTTTGTCAAAAAAACAGTTATCCATGTAGGTTTGGTCGGTTTTGGATTCCTTATTCTATTCCTTTGATCTGCTTTTCTACCTTGATGCCAACAGCACAGTCTTGATTACTGTAGATTTGTAAAGAGTCTTGAAGTCAGGTAGTGTTTGTTCTCTGACTTTGACCTTTTATTCAAAGTTGTTTTTATCAGCTAGATCCATTAAATTTTCACATGAATTTTAGAATCAGCCTATCAATTCCCTTTTTAAAACTTTGGTAAAATTTTTTATTCAGTTTGCATTAAATTTATAGATGAGATCGGGGAGAATTAATATCTTAACAATACTGAGTCTTCTCATCCATGAACACAGTATATTCCCCATTTATTTAAGTCTCCTTTAATCCTCTCAGCAATGTTTTGTAATGTTCAGTATGCAGGTGTTATACAATTGTGGACAGATTATCCATAAATATTTCATACTTTTTGAAGCTACTGTAAATGGCATTATTTTTAAATACAATGCCTAATTACTATATTTTCTCTGAATTATTATATTTTCTCAGCAGCCAAATAATAATAGCTCAAGTTTTTTTTTTTTTTGATTGAAAGCACGGGCCACTTTTTGATGGAAAAAGTATTTGAAAGATGTCTCAGAGATATTCTCCAGAAAAATTAATCATTAAAAGAGCATAGTTCAGTAGATTTCAATTTTATATGTGTGCTTAAAATAAATCTGTTGAAATGCGAGGTTTGCTGTTTTTTGTTGGTGATGGTGGTGGTTGTGGTGGTGGTGTTTTTTTTGGGTTTTTTTGTTTTTTGTTTTTTGTTTTGACAGCATCTTGCTTTGTTGCCCAGGCTAGAGTAAAGTAGTACAATCATAGCTCACAGCAGCCTTAACCTCCTGAGTTCAAGCAATCCTCCCGCCTCAGCCTCTCGAGAAGCTGGGACTCCAGGTGCACACCACCACACCTGACTAACTTATTGTTTACTTTTTTTTTGTAGAGACAGAGTCTCATGTTTCCCAGGCTGATGTCAAACTCCTGGGCTCAAGTGACCCTCCCACCTCAGCCTCCCAAAATGTCGAGATTACAGGCATAAGCCACCACGCCTGGCCAGGTTTTAATTTTTTATCTGCCCACCCACCCACTCAGTAAATCTACATCAATGAATTCCTGGGATCTGGGATGGTGAGAGAGATCAAGTATGTATGTATGTGGGTATGTATGTATTATGAATGTATATATCACTGAAGCTGCCAGGAATGTTTATTGTAAGGGATAGTTGAGGTTAATTACCGTGCATCATGTGAGTCCTATTCAGTTCCAAGCATATATTAGGAATAAGATCAGGGTGGTCATTCATTTTTTTCCCAGCTTTTTTGGGCAAGCATGGTTACCATGATGACTCAGTGACCACTGTGGGATTTGCTGGTACAAACTGAGCATTTATGATTTTTACCTGAATCACTTACAACTATGAGAGTTGTCAAATGTTGCTTTTCTAATTCTGTTATTCCTTCATGAATTATTACTAAGCACTTGAGTGTAGAGATTTCTCTTTCCCTCCCTCCCTCCTTCCCTCTTTCCTTCCCTCCCTCCCTCCCTCCTTCCCTCCTTCCTTCCCACCTTCTTCCCTTCCCACCTTCCTCCCTTCCCTTTCCCTTCCCCTTTCCCTTCCCCTTCCTCTTTCCCTTTTACTTCCCCTTCCCCTTTCCCTTTCCCTTTCCCTTCCCTTCCCTGCTTCCTTCGTGTCTCTCTCTGTTGCCCAGGCTGGAGTGCAGTGGCTTGATCTTGGCTCACTGCAGTCTCGACTTCCCAGGCTCAAACGATCCTCTCACCTCAGCCTCCCAAGTAGCTGGAACTACAGGTACATCCCACCACACCCAGCTAATTTTTTGTATTTTTAGTAGAGATGGGGGTTTCACTATGTTGCTCAGGCTAGTCTTGAACTCCTGGGCTCAAGAAATCCACCTGCCTTGGCCTCCCAAAGTCCTGGGATTACAGGTATGAGCCACTGTGCCTGGCCTCATTATTTATTAATGTACTTATTCATGTTTTTATTTATATCAATGTGACTGTGAGATTCCTATTTTTTTTTCAAAGGGTTACACTCTATTACTATCATTCTGTGCTTTGATGCTCACATTTTTCCAGAATTGGCCAGTGGAAGGATCTTGAAGTTGGTCTCAGTGTTTGCTTGACACCTCCCTAGAATTCTTTGAGCATGTATTTTGCTCTCTGAGCCTGACTGTATTCCCATCTGTGGAAAGGAAGTAATGATACTCACCTCAGAGCATAGCTTTGAGGCTTTGAATAGAAAGTGTCTGAAAATAACAACCTAAAGCTTGTGGTGTCTTGTAGGCCATCAGCAAATGTTCTTCATTCTAACATTGCCTCCTTCACTATGCCAATGTGATGTCTCTGACATTAATGTAATAGCATGACTACTAGGGTGAATACTTGGAAATGTAACAGCAAGCACAGATAAGCCCACATTTCTATTATGTGTGAGCTTCAGTGTCACTGTTGTGTGTAGCAGGGGGTGGTAGGATGGAGCTGGGGAAGAGGAAAAGTGTCATTGCACAGCTTCCAGTTAACTGAGTGGGGACAGGCCAGACATCATCATCCCATCCCCTGTGTTTCATGTGCTTTCCCATCCTCTTACTTTCCTCTCTATTCCATGTGCTTTCTTATCTTCTTAATCTCCCTTCTAATGCAACATCAGAGAAGGGTGTGGACTCTGCATCTCAGAACCAGGAGCTGATAGAGAAGAACCAAGTTTGTTGTGGAGTCTGCTAGACAGGTTACTGGAGCAAGAGTGAAAAGATCAGGGTCTCATCACTGGGACACTTTAGGTGAGTCACTACCCTTCCACCAGCCTCGCCCATATGGCAGGATAACAATTCCCAATCCTCCAGACTACCTGGAATACTCTGGAGTTTAAGTGTGATCCCATGTGAAAAAGCCATCAGTGGTCAGGTGGAATGGAAGAGCCAGTAAACTTTCAAGTAATTACATTTACAGAGACACTTCAGATGTTCCAGAACTCTGCATGGAGGCATTAATTATACTTAAATATGAACTGTTTAGGTCTAGAATTTTTCCAAGTGTGCTCCATGGACCACTTTATCAAATTCATCAAGGGTTGCTTGTTAAAATTGCAGATACTTGGGCCCATCCTAGATCTACAGAATCAAAACCAGGGAGGTGGGGTGAGAAGTGTCTACGTTTTCAGTAATTTTTTTTTTTTTTTTTTTTTTTTGAGACGGAGTCTCGCTCTGTCACCCAGGCTGGAGTGCAATGGCGCGATCTCGGCTCACTGCATGCTCTGCCTCCCGGGTTCATGCCATTCTCCTGCCTCAGCCTCCCGAGTAGCTGGGACTACAGGCGCCCACCACCACACCCGGCTATTTTTTGTATTTTTAGTAGAGACGGGGTTTCACTGTGTTAGCCAGGATGGTCTCGATCTCCTGACCTCATGATCCGCCTGCCTTAGCCCCCCAAAGTGCTGGGATTACAGGCGTGAGCCACCGTGCCCGGCCCATTTTGAGTAATTTCTTTAGTTGTTTCTGGTATTCATCAGTGTTTGAAAAGCACTGCTGTGGATTGGCAACAAGGCCCATGAAAATTTGAATCCTTTGATGTCTAATTTCATTGTTAGTTGCTCATGCTACTCAGTTTTAAATATCCGTGTGATCTCTGGTGTGTCCAATATGTAACAATTCCTTCAATTCAGTAATACTCAATGATTTATGTGTGAAGCTCTGGTCTAGGCACCGGGGAAACATCACAGAAAACAAGACAGGCAGGGGTTCCCAGGAGCTATCATTCTAGTCTGGAAAAACTGACAATAAGCAGGTAAATAAATCAGCAAGCATGTGATTTCATATGAGGATATGCTCTTTGAAGAAAATAAGCATAACTAAATAAAGTAGAGAAGGATCAACATAAGGATTATTATAGATGGGGTTGTCGGTGTACTCTTTCTCAGGAAGTGATACTTGACCTGAGTCTTGAATGATAGGAAGAAGCCAGGCATGGAGAGGCCGTTTTGTCAGTGTCCCTATGTTGTGTGTGGACACCATTGATCCAGGAACAGAGGACAAGCTAGAGTGGCTGGAGCCTAGCAGACAGTGTGCAATCTGGTGGGAGATGAAGTTGAAGGGTAGACAGGAGCCACATGGTTTGGGCCCTGTAAGGAGTTTGGATAATTGTATTGTGAGTGTCAAGATTAGAGTATGGGAGTGACATGGTCTGATTCTTGTTGTCAGAAGGTGACTCTGGCTGCTTTGTGGAGAATGGACTGGAAAGGGACAAGGTATGGAGGGAGGATAACCATTGGGAGAATATTGTAGAAGTCCAGGGAAGAGGTGGAGGTAGATGGGATCAGGGCTGCAGCTGTGTGCAGAGGTGGGGGTGGGGTGGGTGGACCTCAACAGAGGGTATTTGGAGGTAGGGCAGGTAGGACTTGCAGTACCTGTGCAGGTAGGGTGTGGGGGATAAGGCAGAGTGGAGGAGGACCCCAGGTCTTTTTGTTCAGCCAGATGGAGAAATGATGGTGCTGTTTTCTGAGATCAATCCTTCCAAGTGCTTTTGAGATAGTCTCAAGTTAATTAGTTAGGTCATCCAGATGTGGGTTAGTCGTGAAAGTTAGTAATTTAAAAAATGTATCAGTTGATAATTAAGATTCAATTGTAAGACTATAATGCTTTATTTAAGTAACATGAAAACTATTAAACTTTTAAAACTTGAAAAATCTCAATATGCAAATTCACATTTAATGAGCAGTTACTGTGTTCCTACTACTGGTCTAAGAGTTTGCATGTATTAACTCAAGTAATTCTCAAAGCAACAACTCATGAGGTAGGGACAGTTGCTTGCCCCAGTTTACAGAAAAACGAAATTGAAGTACAGAGTGGTTCTTTCACTCTCCCAACGTCACAGAGAGCCAGGTATCCCAATTTCTCTGTAGTATAATTTTTTAAATAATCGAATTCTTGGCTGTTTATCCTTGTAAAACCAAAACACAAAGCAGTATTCGTTTAAAAAATGATTTGTCTTCTTTGGTAAGTATTGCATAATCCCAGTCTACTGATGAGGCATTTGAGTGACTGTAAGGTGAAGCAAAAGTATTCGAAGTCACATAGGTTACAGAAAGTAGGGCTTGTCCCTAGTCCGTCTCCAGATCCCACACTCCTAACCAGTACAATTATGGAGAAGAAAAAGCCATGTCAGCCCATGGTGGTTCATGTATGTCTTTGGTTGGAAAGTATCTTTCAGTAGCTTTTGTGCCATGTACCAAGATGATATCTATTTAAGAAAATGTAAAAAGGTAATAACTGTAAAACCAAAAGAAATTATTTCAAAAATACATTAATCATCATAATATGCATTAGACAACTTGGCTATTCAAATAATTCCTTGGAATTCAAAGATGAATTATCTTCCTTTTTAGGAATTCGTAGTGCTTTTCCAGGTGGAAGTCACTTTGTCCAGTGTTTTAAGTTTCTTTGGTTTGGAGACAGGCCTGATCAGACCACCATTGATTGGTGACGCAGATAAGGTGTGGTAATTTACTCAAGGTCACCTAGAGTTTATGGATTAGGGCTGGCACTGGGCACAGGTACATCTCCTGTCTCACACAGTTATCTGTTCTCAGACCTGGCATTAGCATTTTTCTTATGTATAGTGAATCACTTTTCAAGGGTTCAGAGGATACATGCTTCTCTGAGGTTAACTTGCAGGTAATATAGGAAGACATAGAATACCTTCAAATAAATGGAAATGGGATAATGATTTTCCTTTCCTTTCCCAAAATCCATTGGGACATTAGAAGAAAAATGCCTGGAATCATACAGCATACAGTCTTTTGTGTCTGGCTTCTTTCAATCAGCATAATGTCTGTGTGATTTCCATTATTGTTGTCTATAGTTGTAGATTGTTCATTCTCATTGATGGATGGCATTGCATTGTTCGGATATTTCACAATATATGTATCCCTTTTGGAGATACATATTTTTCAGTGTTTGACTTATGAATAATGGTGTTATGAATGATCTTATACATATGTTTGGATAGACATTTATTTTCATTTCTCTTGGGCATGTGCCAAGGACTGACATTTCTGAGTCACAGGGTATATGTATGTTCAGCTCAGTGGATACTGCCCATTTTTCAAAGTGGTTTTTCCAATCTGTATCCCCATCAACAGTGTGTAAGAGTTCCACTGCTCCACATCCTTGCCAGCACTTAGTGTTTTCCATCTTTTTTGTTTTTTTCTTTTGGTGGGTGTGTAGCAGTATCTCATTGTGGTTTTAATATCAGTTTCTCCTTAATTTAGTTCTCTCTGAAGTTTTAAGTCTCTTTTAGTCAAAGAAGGTCTGTACTCTTTTTAAAAACCTTATTTATTTGCTTAAGAAATTGGATTGTTATCCTGTGGAGTTTGCATTCTGGATATTGCTGATTGTGTCCTTATTTTGTTGTTTATTAAGTTCATCTGGCCACTCTTATGTCCTTTAAATTGGTAATTAGATTTAGATGCTTGTTCAGATTCAAGTTTTTTGGCTTGAATATCTCAGGTGAGGTGGTGTTTATTCTTACAATGTTATACTAGGAGGCTCATTGGATCTGGTTGTCTCTCCTGTGATGTTGAAATTAATCACTGGGTTCAGGTGTTGTCAGCCTGATCTATTCTTTATAAAATTTCCCTATTCACCTTTACTTCATGTTTTTTTGCAGTCTCTGAATATTCTTACCTGTATCTGCATTTCATTAAATGTTACAAAAAGGGTGACATTGTAATTCTGATTTCTTCTGCCTTCACCAGCTGGAATTCATGTATAAAGAAAACTTCCTCTGACCTATTAGATTATACTGAGATATGGTATACACAGGGAAGGTAGGATGAATGTTTAGTTCTTTTGCAGTATTTCCACTTTTCAAAACAGTGACTTGTTTCCTTAGGAGTTTCCAAAGGTAAGCAGTGAGCTTGTTCTGTTTGTGTTTCGTTTTTTGGATTCAGTCTGAGTACTTTTGGTTGCTCATTGCTACTGGGTTGGTCATTGTTTTTTGTCCTCTCCAGTGTGTTTAACCAGGAAAATGTGTATCCTTTGTAAGAGATAAATGTCATCTGCTTTTATCCTGGGCTGCTTCTCTGTCTTATGGTAGGTAATCATTTTATTAGTTTTTGTTATTACCCTCGTTCTAAAAAATATAAGCAAATACAATATGTATATTATTTATTATATTACCTCCTCAGTAAAAATTTATCCAGAACTGAAAATGTTCTGTATCTAAACTGTATAACACAGTAGCCACTAGCTAGCTGTGGTTATTGAGCATGTGAAACGTGATGAGTGAGACTGAGAAACTGAGTTTGTAATTTAATTTAAGTTGCCACGTGTCAGTAGTGGCTACTGTATTGGACACTGCTGCTCTATACTTTTTTTCTTCTTCTTCTTCTTCTTGCTTTTTATTTCACAATGTGCCGTGGACATTAGTCATAGCAGTATAGAGAGGGAGTCCTCCTTGCTTTTTATACTTGCATAGTACTCTAGGGTGTAGTTGTACCTTAGATTATTTAGTTGGCCCTATACTGGGCATCTGTCATATTACTACTATTCTGTTAGGAATTTTCTACCATAAATGGCCTTGTGTATATGCCTTTTATCTTTTTTGCAGTGTTTCTTTGGGATGGATTTTTAGAAGAGGGATTGCTGTTTCCAAGAGTAAATACCAATGTATTTTTATAGATAGCATCAACCCCCCCCCAACAGGGATTGTACCATTTAACATTACTTCTAGCAATGTATGAGAATTCCTATTTCCCCACAGAGTAAGAGGAATGCTGAGGGGAGGAGAACATCATGTGAGAAGTTCATGAAAGCCATCTCACTAAATCAGGAGAATTAGATATTTGGATAGGAGTCCTACTCCTGTGCTTGTCTTTGACAATTCAGTCTCTACTCTTTTCAGTCTTTTGTGGATCTGGGTCCACATCCCTCAAATGGGAGAGGCAGTCTTGCATAAAGCAGAAACTCCATGTCAGCTAGAAGACCAAATGGGAGGGACTTCTCTCCTAGGGAAAAGACAAGCACAAAACCAGAAATCCACAACTCTGATATAGTGAAGGGCTAAAAGAGAAAGTAAGCATGTAGTCCCTTACTCATGAGGAGAACCAAGGATGAAACCAACACAAGGGTGACCTTATCCTTACTCTCTATCTGCGAACTGAATAGAAAGCTGCAAGAGTTTGTGTGTGTATAATTGTTGTGAAGAAGACTGAGATACAAACAACATGCAGATACCCACACTGAAACATACAAACACACTGTCAAATAAATAGTTTTGACCTACTTGTCTTACGCATAAAACAGTATAATGTGAACATGTTTCCAAAGCAATGAATATAAGAGCATCATATTTGTAATTTCACAACTTTTTGTTTTCCACATTTTGTACAATAAGGTTTCTAAATTTAAAACACTAGAGAATTGCACATTTATAAAATAAAAGAATCCTGTCTCCCTACAATGTGCACACACTGATTTATGAAATAGAATTTTTTAATGTACTATTTTCACACAGCAGCATATGAACATGATTCTTAATAAATGCATTTCTACACTATAATTTTGTGACTAGGGTCACAGAGTTTTCTGATTTACAGAACAGAATCTCAATAACTTTATCACATTATCAGTTAATTATTTTCATTGTTTAAGCTTTATCAAATATAATCGAAATGTATATTACATATTAAAAATATTTTCTATCTGTCACACCTTCTCCTTCTCCATAATACAAAGATAGTTTCTCTTAATTTATTGGTATGTACTCTTCGGATGTTTTTCTCTGCATGTAGTATACTAACTTACTTTTATTGACACACACACCTCTAAATCCATGTTAATCTATCTATATAAATTATTTTACATAAATCCATGCACTACATTATAATTTATGACTTAACTGGTTGACTAAATATGATTCTGTTTCATATTTTTTGTTTTGGTGTATTCCCAAGTGTTGGAATTTATATCATTTTTCTGAGATTTATATATTGTCTCTTGATATGATTGGCTTACTTCTCTTGTTCATGAATATTTCATATTTGGAGGATATAAAGCATGATTGAATATGGGTTAGAAATAATTTCTCCCAAATTTTTATATTTCTTTTTATTTTCTATTTTGGCTATACAGATACAATTCTATACTTTATAATTTTTTACTATTTAAAAAGCACTTCAGCACATTGTTTTCGAAAGAACAACTCAACAATAATAATGCTTTAAGGCTGGGTGCAGTGGCTCACACCTGTAATCCCAGCACTTTGGGGGGCCGACATGGGCAGATCACTTGAGGTCAGGAGTTTGAGACTAGCCTGGCCAACATCAGGAAACCCCATCTCTATTAAAAATACAAAAAATTATCTGGGCTTGGTGATGCACACCTGTAGTCCCAGCTACTCAGGAGGCTGAGGCAGGAGAATCGCTTGAACCTGGGAGGAAGAGGCTGCAATAAGCCAAGATCATGCCACTGCACTCCAGCCTGGGTGACAGAGCAAGACTCCATCTCAAAAAAAAAAAAAAAAAAATATATATATATATATATATATGCTTGAAGTTATATCAAATGTTAGCTGACAGGACAGAAGGGAAAAAATGTTTTGAATAATTCTAGGTTTAGAATCCTGGAACAATAGTTTATAAGGTAGTTTCCCTAGATCAAGTTACCAGTCTTTTAATTTGTGTTCCCTGATCCAACTAATGGGCATAATTATTGGTACTGGATAGAATTGTTGAAATCAAAATGAGATGAAATATAAAATACCCTTTATATAGTAGTTGTGTACCTGTTAATAGACTACCATCCAGGTTCCCTTTCCAAAGGGCCACAGCTTGGTCTAGTTCAACATCTCAGAGATCAGCCAGTCCATGTACATACAGAAGATACTTTATCTTCCATTTAGTAGTGTAACTTGCTTATTTAACTGTAGTGGGTAGAATTGTGTCCCCCTCAAAACATGTCCCAATCCTAACCCACACAAACTTTATTTGGAAATAGGTTCTATGTAGACATAATGAAGTGAAAGATCTCCAGAAGGGAATATCCTGAATGTAGGTTGATGCCTAACTCCAATGACTGGTATCTATATAAAAGAAAGCAGAGGGAGATTTGACACATCCAGGGAAGAAGGCCATGTGAATATTGAGGCAGAGATTGAGTTATGCCACCTCAAATCAAATAAAGCAGGAGCCACAAGAAGCTGGAAGAGCTAAGAAAGGATTCTCCCCTAAAGGCTTTGGAGGCAGTGCAGTCCTGCCTACACCTTGATTTTGTACTTCAGGCTTTGGTTTTGTACATCGGAATCATGGCATAATAAATTGCTGTTGTTTAAATATGCAAAGTTTATGATAATTTGTTATGGTGGCCCTAGGAAACTATTACATGTACAAACATCATACCCCAAATGTCATTGATTATGAATAAACATTGGTCAATACCCTAATTTTTTTTCATGGCTACAGGGATACGAATGCCAGTAAGACATGTGAAAAGTATTTAAAAGTGCCAACATTTCGTAGGTACTATATGCTTTTAATGTATTGGATCATTCAGTGCCCAGAACACACTTATGAGTTAAATACTATTGCAGAATTCAATTTTACAAATGGAAAACTGAGGGACAGAGAGGATAATGACTTTGCCTAAGACTGAACAGTTAAGGAGTGGGACAGCTTGGACTTATGTCCAGTGCATCATGCTCTAGAGCCTGGGAAACTGTGAAAGCTCTGTTGTTAGGTGAAAGAAGCAGTCTGCAAGCATACATACTTTAGGAGCTCATTAAAAGTAATATGCCCTATGTTAGTGTATTTATACAAAACCTGGACCTAGTAAGAAATGGGTGGATTATGACTTTGGAGAGAATGTTCATGGCAATCCCAGAGACAGAAGCCATAGGGCAGTGGGATGATGAGTGGGAAGTGAAAAATGTTAACAGAGCATGTAGAAAACTCTTTTTGGTACTTCGAATATGAAGGAGAAGAAGGATAAGGGAGGGAGAGACAGAGACAGGGAGAACTGTATCCTGTAGCTGAATGGGTGATAAGGGGGTCCAAGGAGAGATTTTTTTTTTAAATCTTCAATTTCTTGAAACTTGACCAAGTTAAAAGCTAATGTGAAAAAAAAGCTATCTCAGAATTAACCCTTGAAGTTGACCACATGTTTATTTCCCTTATGCTTTTATATCACATTGGAGCTCATGAGATACCTCTGATGGAATAGAATGGGTTTGAGCTCAATAGGTATTTAGTTATTACCTAATGAAAGAATAGACATTGTGTGTGAAGAAATGCTAGTAACTCTTGGATTTTTGTCTCTCAGGGAGGCAGCAGATGGCTGAAATTCTGATCCGATGTGGCTGGTTAATGCATGATCTGAAAACCCCTGCACTGGTGATTTTGGGACAGATCTAGAATATACCAATAAATATATTAACATACCAAGTAGTCTAGGAGCAGCCACTGGGCGAACACCAAACCTTGCATCCCTGCTGCTGTCTCTGAGCTCAGCAGGTAAGTTCAAAGACATGCCTGTCTTCCCAGTGTGGGGAACTAAATTTGGGTCATCTCAGAAGCATGATGTTGGGCAGCTCTTACGAGCTTCTGATAACACCCACGAAGCAGAGAAACTACTGTCTACAAAACTTTGAACTCAAGGCATGTCACAGGGACATTTGCTTTCTTCAAATAGATGTCTGTGTTCTCATAAGGGGGAGCAATGAGAAATGATTTTTCACAATGCCTGCCTTAGCACTGAGGCTCAGCCAGCCCCTAGTGCTGTGTCCCATTTAAAGGCCATTTAAGTCCCACCCCATGCCATATACTCTCAAGAGGTTTCCTCATATACCCATCAGACAGCTATGTAAGGATGGTATGGTCAGTCCCATTTCACAGATGACTAACCTCAGGCTCACAGAGCCTAAGTCACCTCTTCAGGTAAGTGGCAGGGTTTGAATGAAATTCCATCCCTCACCCTCCCTAGAGTACCCTGAGCAGCCTCCCTTTTAGAAGATGGGTTTCTGGGCTTGAGAAATGGTGAGATTTCACCCACCTGCTATTGTAACCCCATGAGTCTTTACTCAACAACTTTTCTGGGTGAAGATGACAGAGGTGAGATCCCATTCTTTGTGCCAAGAGACCTGTGTGTAGGGACACATGAGTTGGCTGATGCCTGAAGTGGTGAGTGGGCTCAGGCAGAAACTCAAGTGTTGTACTTGAGACAGGTGAGCATATATATGTGTGTGTATATATATATGAGTTTATTAAGTATTAACTTACACAGTCACAGGGTCCCACAATAGGCTGTCTGCAAGCTGAGGAACAAGGAGAGTCAGTCCGAGTCCCAAAACTGAAGAACTTTGAGTCCAATGTTTGAGGGCAGGAAGCATCCAGCACGGGAGAAAGATGTAGGCTGGGAGGCTAGGCCCGTCTCTCTTTTTCACATTTTTCTGCCTGCTTTATATTTGCTGGAAGCTGATTAGATTGTGCCCACCAGATTAAGGGTGGATCTGCCTTTCCCAGCCCACTGACTCAAATGTTAATCTCTTTTGGCAACACCCACACAGACACAACCGGGATTAATACTTTGTATCCTTCAATCCAATCAAGTTTACACTCAGTGTTAACCATCGCAACTCCTTTAGGCAAATGCACTCTGTATTTCATCTTCTTTAATGTCAACAGCTATTCAAGTTACCCACAAGAATACCCACTGAATTATGACCATTATTCAGATCAGGGTACTTTAGGCAAGTTTCTGTACATCAGGGAAATACCTTTGTTGTGTCTCGATTAGCAGGTAATTCTGAATTATTCTAAAGTTTTCTCCAGTTTGTCTCTGTGCCTCCTGGTCTCGGGAATGATCTAATCTCCTTGGGCACTGCCATTACATGTTCCAAGGCAGTTTAACATTTTTTTAAAAATTGTGATCCATGTGGTTTTAAGTCAGAAGATAATTTAAATTGAAAAATTCTAAATTAAAAAAAACTAAGAATAGCGTAAAAACTCTGGAAAAATCCGTACAAACTAGAGCTGAGATACTGGATTAGAATTCATGCTTTGTGAAGCACACTAACAAAGAGCTTGGCAAATAATTTCAGTGGAGAAGTCAAATAGTTAGATACATGAACAATAAACACATTAACTATGCCAAAACCACAAAAACTAATAAGATGTAAATATAAATCCTGAGAAGAAAAGTGGAAAAAATAGGTTGCAAAAGAAGATAAGGATGTGATTCGACCTTTGGAACAGACTGTGTGTGTGTAGGTGAACATATTTGTGTGCATCTCACTTGTGGAGACACATTTCACAGTATGCACCATTCTGTGGACAGCAGACAACTAGGGGTCAGGGATTAGGAGCTGCTCCAGTGAGAGATACAGGTTAATTTCAATTCATATATGTGTTTTTATATATTGTTTTACATTTTATATTCAGGAAAAAGTATTTTGATGAAATATTAAAAACAATATGCTGTGAACATATTGACAAGAGTATGGTACACATATATTCCTTACTTCAGGCATTCATTTATTCAATTTCCTGGGGAAATAAAGTAGATTTTTAAAAAATGAATTGACTCACACGCAAGTGTGTGTGTGTGTGTGTTCTAGCTCCTCTAGCTCTACCACCTCAAATACAGTTCACAATTGCAGCATTATCCCCAGTTCAGACTGATGCTGTACTTCCAATATCAGATTTAGATATCCCCGAAAACGTACTTTTTTATAACCCAGAAAAATGATGGATACAGAGGGATTCCTGTAGGTACGTAAAAAATTCCAGAAAACTGGCTGATCACATTAATCAACCTCCCAACCTCCATCCCTCCCTTTCCCCTGCTGAACTCACCAGTCAGCTCTCAGAGTTGCAATCCTGGCTCTGGCCACTAGGAGACATCGCAGCCATCTTCACATTTGTTCTTTTTTAAGGAAAAGGAGTACATCTAACAAACAGTAACAGATGTTATAACATGGTTTGTTCACTGAAATACCAGTTGTTTGGAGTATTCGCGTGTATATTAAAGCAGTTCCATTTGCTGTCGTCCCCAAATCTACATCGCATTCATTGATTCATCTCTTCCCTTCTCTGTTGGTAGAGGTTTCCACATTGTAGGAGGGTCCCTTCCAGAGAGCAGGGCGTTCGTTCACTCTCCATTACCCCACCCCTGTATAGGCTTCCTGGTCCTTCTACCACTGCCTCCCACTCATCCCCTCTCCAGGGGCACAGCTGCCCAGACCTGCCCCTTGTGCCGTCATCCTCTCTCAGTCACCTCTCACCTGCCCTGATGCTCACTTAAGATTCTGTCTTCCAGCAACAGCCAAGGAGTGTTAGACCTACCTGGTGTTTCATCCTATGGATGCCCCACAGTATATGTATTTGCAGTCTTCTTTTACACTTACCAGTTTTTTTTTCCTTTGACAGAATTAGAATGAATCATTCTGCACTTAGGCTTATAAGCTGTGGTTTAAGAGAAGTATTTTTTGCTCCTTGCAGACACGTCTTTGCAGAAGAGTTCTATAATGGTGGTACAATGGTGCCCCCTCGTGACAGAAGCTTGAACTACAGCTTGAACATCGGTGAGCAGGAAGGTGGGAGGGAGGGGCTCTGGCCCATGCACACCCTATAGAGCGTTCTGAAACTCTGGGTTGAAAAGGAGACATTCCAGGTTAAAGGGATATAGAAGGCCAATAGATATTCCAGCCTCTTTATATGCTGAATAGAGAGCTGTATGTGAGAATAACAGAAAAATCATTTTAATTTCTGTAGAGATGAAAATATACTGTCTACGTTGTTCAACACAATAGCTAATGGCAACTGTGGCAGTTGAACACCCGAAACGTGATGAATGTGACTGAGGAACTGAACTTTTAGTTTCATGTAAGTTTAATCAACTTAAATTTAAATGGCTATATGTGGACAATGCCTACTATATTGGACAGCAGTGGCTCAACACATTTTTCTGTACCTTTCTTTCTTCACTTAACAATTTATGCTGGAAATCATTACAAAGGAGTAGAAGGGGGAATTCTCATTGCTTATTTTACCTCCATAGAACTCTGGGATGTAGATGTACCTTAGATTATTCAATCAATTCCTTATTGGTGGACATCTGTCTCATTTCTAGTCTTGTCCTGTTACAA
Organism: Homo sapiens; assembly: GCF_000001405.40. Taxonomy (NCBI): domain Eukaryota; kingdom Metazoa; phylum Chordata; class Mammalia; order Primates; family Hominidae; genus Homo; species Homo sapiens. The sequence goes on from NC_000023.11 coordinate 102,901,397, forward strand.
ATTGTTCTACCATGAATTGCCTTGTGTTTATGCCTTTTGTCTTTTTAAATTTTATCTTTGGGGGTACATTCTTAGAAGAGAGATTGCTGGCCCCGGAAGAAAATATCTGTGCTGCATAAAATAAAAGATTTGAAACGAGAGGATCTGGAAACATGGCGACAAGCAGTGAATGTTGGTTCTATCTCATTATTCTTTTGATTCCATGTACTTTCTGGTCTCCTATTTTCATTCTAGTGTGACATGATGAATGAATTTATTGAGCCCCAGGAAGAAGGAAAATTAAAGAAGAGCAAAGAATAATAGCTGGACAGAAGATGGGGGTCATTGAACCTATATCCTAGTTGCCAGACCAGTAAACTGACCATGGGACCTGGGGTGAGTCCTGTTCTTTTTTTGGCCTCTAGTCTACCACAGAAGGACATTTAATATAGGAACAGTGGTTAGCTGTGTGGGCTTTGGGGTGAGAAGGACTTGGATTTGAGTCTGGGAACTATTCACTTGATGGTTGCATAATCTGGAGCAAATAATTTATTATGTATCCTATAATTGTTGGCATTTTTATTATTGTTTATTTTATTTTATTATTATTACACCATTCATCCAAAGGGTGAATGATAGGAGTCAGGATTACACTGTCGGGTATTGCAATGTTCCGTGAAACTTTGCTTTTATAACTGATGGAGTCTGACATACAGATTAAAGGATGTCTATAGAAAGCTCATGAACAGACCCATATATATATTACATTTAATATGCAATATAGATATGGCATTTCCAATCAGATGCATTGTTTGAAAATTGGGGTTGGGTCAGCTGGTTCATTAAAAGGTAAAGTTAGATTATATATCTTGTAATTTAATCAGAATGACTCATCCACATATTACTACCTTGTATAAAAGTTCAGATAAAAGTAGAAATGAGAATAAAAACCCAGAATACCAAGCTCCATATATAGTATAACAGTTATATAAAATGTAATGTATGTATATCCATTACATTTGCTTATATACATGTATAAAAAAACAATTAAAATAGCATGATGTAAATTTCAGTAAGGATAGGAATACTGATGATAAAAGAAAAACTTCAGCCAAATTAAATTTAAAGGACTTTGAGCAATGAACAATTCATGAATTGGGCAGCCCCCAGAATCACAGCAGATTCACAGAGACTCTAGCACAGCCATATGGTGGAAAAAGATTTATAGACCAAAAAAGGGAAATGATGTACAGAAATTGGAAGTGAGGTACAGAATGGCTGGATTGATTATAGCTTGGCATTTGCCTTATTTAAACCCAGTTTGAACACTCAGCAGTACACAAATGGTTGAAGTATGGCCTCTGGGATTGGCCAAGACTTAGCTATTGTTACAGGCACATACTCCTAAGTTATGTTTTCAATTTTGTCTATTAAGCTAGGTTACAGTTCATCCACAAGGACTCAAATATAGAAGTACGAAGTCCTTCTCAGGTCACATTTAGTTTGCTTTAACACTGGATATTAATATTTTTTAATTTCTGCACTTGACTCAATATTAAACTTTTGCAAAGACAAGTGTGGAATACATTTATGATAAAAATGTAACTCCTAAAATATGTTACTTAAGAAATATTTCCGAAAAAATCATAGCCATAAAATTAACCCAGGTTAATATTATACCTACTTTAGTTTTTCTCTAACCCCAGGTCCCATAGGCTCCCATCTGGCAGTGGGTTTATGCCTTCCTCCTGAAGTCACATTCTTAACCAGAACACTCTTTTCATGGGGTTGCACTCTCTCCACCCTTTCATTTGTTTTCTCTCTGCACTTAGCCTGGGCAACAGAGCAAGACCCTGTAAAAAGAAAGAAAGAGAGGAAGGGAGGGAGGGAGGGAGAGAGAGAAAGGGAGGGAGGGCGGGCGGGCTTTGCTGTCTCTTCTTTGTAGCACAGGTAACCTGATCATGCAGTGGAGGAGAAGGAAAATCATCCCCTCATTACATTTTGTTTGATGTCCTTTCTTGCTACCTTCTTTTACCTTCCATTTGGACATTGGAATAGCAGCCTTTCATTAAGCTCTGGAAAGGAGATAGCACCGAATGACAGAGCATGAAGATGAGTCTGCTATAAAACAGACTGAAACCAGAAGTCCTGGGTCCCAAGTACTAGATCTGTCCTTGTATACGCAGTGGTTAGGGATGTGGGCTTTGGAGTCAGATAGATCAGGTAGAAAATGTGTGTACATTTAATAGCTGCTTTCATGATCTTTAGCAAATATTGAGTCTTCAAATTAATGAAACCCATATTTAGTATACATACATTAAATATGCGTGCATAGAGAATGAAATGAGCATTAATACAAAAATAATTCTACGTTTAAAATTAACTAGTGATGGGGTTATTGATTAATTATATATCTGGACTTGATTATATTTCCCTGAATTTCTTAATTGGTATGGATCTTTTTAAAATCAGAATTAAGTCTCAGAGAAATAGTGGTTGTTATGAAATATTAAAGTAACACAAAAAATTATAGAATACAACAGACTTCTACATATTCATGTCAACATATAAAACTTTCATAGGTGAGTCAAACACACTTTAAAGTCTTCTCTTATTACCTCAGCTGCCTTCTTTCCCACAGGTGACCATGATGCAGAATTTAGGTTTTACGTTTTCAAGACATTTTTCTATACTTTTATTACATATGCATATACCTGTAAGTGAAATATGGTATTGTTTTCTGACATGGTTTCATCTCTAAATACCTGGCTACCTCATGAAATAGGAGAAAGGAAGAAACATGAGGAGAACAAACACACATTCGCATCTTAATAGAGGGACCTACCATATATGCCTATTTGTCATTTATACTCTCTTTCAGACTCACTGAAGCAGACACACCCATTTTCTCAGTTTATATGCTGTGGGGAGCTCCAACAAAATCTGCAGATACCATTTTCCAAGCGTCTTTATTCCCTGATGAATTCAAAATCTTAGAGTTTCCCTGAAGCTAACTATCCTAAAATAATATCTCAGTGTATCCTGACATGAAATACCTTCCATTTGTCCAGACCTAATTTTCTATCTTTCATCCAAACTGTAATTCATGTAGGCTTACCCTGTCTATCTAGAATCTAAACTGGGTCATGCTGGTGAAAGAAGACAGTGATTCCCTGAGTTGATTTTCATATGTCCAGGCTACTACCCAAATCCATTGATTAGTTCAGGGATGCATGTCATTTAGAGCTTGATCTGATTTTGTATCACAATTGCTCAGCATGAGTATATTTTGCTTTCCATTTGTTATTTTTGATTGCACAAGGAAGGTATTTCAAAAGAGTTTTAATTTGTATGTGTTAATTGATGATCCTGGGGACAGAATCCATAGTGTAATGGGATAAAGAGTCAGTGAAAAGTGGAGAGTATTAACAAGGAATGTGTAAAACTCTTTGTGGAACTTTGAATTTGAAGAAGAGAGAATCCAGTGGGGGAGGACACATACACATACACACATACATATACACACATACACACACACACATACACACAGAGAGAGAGAGAGAGGGAGAGAGAGCGCTGGAGGGAGAGCGCCAGAGAGAGAGAGGGAGAGAGGGAGAGGAGTGGTATCTCTATCATGTGGTTGAATAGGTGATGAGAGGTCCAAGGAGGGATTTTTGAAAATCATCAATTTTTTGAAACCTGATCAAGTTTAAAAATTAATGAGAAGAACCATCTCATCTCAGATTTAAGCAATGAAGTCACCCATATATTAATTTCCTTTCTTGCCCAGTTAATTCGACTTTAGAGTTCATGAGGTACCTCCAATGGAATAGCATGAATTCTGGGCTCTGTAAATATTTAGTTGTTAGCTAATTAAAAACTGGATAATTGTGTGTTGTATTAGTCTGTTCTCATGCTGCTAATAAAGACATAACTGAGACTAGGTAATTTATAAAGGAAAGAGGTTTAATTGACTTACAGTTCCACATGGCTGGGGAGGCCCCACAATCATAGCAGAAGGCAAAAACACATCTTACATGGTGGCAGGCAAGAGAGCTTGTGCAGGGAAACTCCCATTTATAAAACTATCAGATCTTGTGAGACTTATTCACTACTATGAGAACAGTATGGTGTAAACTGCCCTCATGATTCAATTATCTCCACCTCGCCCTGTGCTTGACATGTGGTGATTATTACAATTCAAGGTGAGATTTGGGTGGGGACACAGCCAAACTCTATCGTGTGTCAAAGACTTGCTAGTAACTATTGGATTTTTGTCTCTAAGGGAGGCAGCAGATGACCGAAAACCTGGAGTGATGTGGCTGAATACCGCATGATCTGAAGACTGCACTGGTGGCTGCGGTATGGGTCCAAATTTTTCCTTAACAAAAACAAAAAAAGAGCCCAAAACCATACTGACTAGTCCAGGAATAGCCATTAGGCAAACAACTTTTTGCTACCCTGGTGTTACCGATTTCTGAACTCAACAGGTGAATTCAAAGATATGCCTGTCTTTCCAGCATGGGGAGCTGGATTTGGGTCAGCTCAGGCGCATGATGTTGAACAGCTCTTATGAGCTTCTGATAGTGCCCAGGAAGTACAGAAACAACTGTCTACAAATCTTTGAACTCAAGGCATATCACAGGGACATTTGCTTTCTTCAACTAGATATCTGTTTTCTCATAAAGAGAAACAATGAGAAATGGTTTTTCACAATGCCTCGTTAGCCCTGAGGCTCAGCCATCCCCTAGTGCTGTGTCCCAACATTTAAAGGCCGTTGAAGTCCCACTCTATGCCATATACTCTGTACAGGTTTTCTCATTTACCCCTCAGGACAGCACTGTAAGGATGGTGTGGTCAGTCCCATTTCATAGATGACCAAACTCAGGCTTTCAGAGCCTAAGTCACTTCTCCAGATAGGTGGTAGGATTGAAATGAGGTTCCATCCCTCATCATCCATAGACAGCCCTGAGTAGCCTCCCTTTTAGAAGATGGGCTTCCAGGGCTTGAGAAATGGTCAGATTCCACCCCCCTGCTATTGTGGACCAATGCGTCCTCACTCCACAACCCCTCTGGGTGATGAAGAAGATAGAGAAGATTAAATCCCACCATTTATGCCAAGAGACCTGGGTGTAGGGCCACATGAGTTGGTTGCTTCTCGAAGTGGTGAGTGGGCTCAGGCAGAAGCTCAAGTGTTGGCCTTGGGACAGGTGAGCTGGAGAGAAGGAAAGTAACATACACTAAACTACTGTAAGAAAATGCACTTTATATTTCATCTCCTTTAATCTTAACTGCTATTCAAGGTACCTATCACTTTGACAATTATTCAAATCAGGGTACTTTAGGAAAGTTTATGTAAAGCAGGGAATAAACTCTTTTCTCTCCAGTTCAGCAGCTAACTCTAGAATTACTTTTAAGTATTTTTAAGTATTTTTCCATTTTTTTCTTGATATCTCCAGGACTCTCAATGCTTGAATTTTTCTCAAGGCCGACAGTACACACGCCCTAAGGTGTTCTTCACTAGTATTTCTTTTTAAATTACAATCTATATATATCTTATTCATATTATTGAAGTTGAAAACACATTCTAAATGAAAATAACACTAAGAATGTCTGTAAAATAACGGGGAAACATTTTCAAACTACATCTCAGATGTTGGATTAGTATCCATAATTTATAGGGCAAACTCAGTAACAAAACAGTTGGCAACTAATTTTGACATAGAATTCCAATAGATATAGACATGAACAAGGAACTTGTTGATTATGCTAAAACTATAAGAACTAATAAGATGCTAATATAAATCCTCAGAAGAATATTAAGTGGAAAAGACAGCTTGCAAAAGGAGATGATTAATGTGGTTGCACTTTTTGGCAAAGATTACGTGCATATGTAGGTGAACATGGTCATGTGCACCTCATCCACAGAAACATGTCTGGAAAGTGTGCACCATTCTATGGACAACAGACCTTTTGGGTCAGGAGGTAGGAGTTGAGCTACTGAGAGGTGAAGATTAATTACAATTCATATATGTGCTTTTGTATATTGTCTGAAATTTGGTATTCAGGAATAAAAATATTTTGATGAATATTTAGACACAACATAACATACATTTGCACAGATTGACAAAAGTAATGTGTATTATGTTCATTAATTTGAAATAGCTATTACTGTATTCTATTTAATGGTGAAGGAAGTAGTTAAGTAGAAGGACACAAAACAAGTCTCAACAAATTTAAAAAATCAAAATCATATCAAGTATGTTCTCAGACAAAAATGTAATAAAAGTAGAAATCAATAACAAGAGGAACCTGGGAAACTGTACAAATATGTGGAAAATAAACAAACAGCATGCTCCAGAATGACCACTGAGTCAAGAAAAAAAATATGGAGGATATCAAAAAGTTATTTGAAACAAATGAAAATGGAAACACAACATACCAAAATCTATGGGATACAGCAAAAGCAGTGCTTAGAGAAAAATTTGTAGCAATAGATGCCTACATCAAAAAAGTAAAAAGATTCCAAATAACCAATCTAACTGTTCACCTCAAGGAACTAAAAAAGGAAAAACCAAATCCCAAATGAGTAGAAGGAAGGAAACAGTAAAGGTCAGAGCCAAACTAAACAAAATAGAAACTAAAAATATACAAAATTTTAATGAAACAAAAAGTTAGATTTCTGAAAAGATAAAAAATTGATAAACCATCAGCTAGACTAACCAAGAAAAAAAAGAGAGAAGACACAAATAAACAACATCAGAAATGAAAAAGGAGACACTACAACTGATAACATGGAAATACAAATAATCATCAGAGACTATTATAAACAATTATATACCACCAAATTGGAAAGCCTAGAGGAAATAGATAAATTCCTGGACGTATACCACCTACCAAGATTGAATCAGGAAGAAATAGAAAACCTGAACAGACCAATAGTAAGTAATGAGATTGAATCAGTAATAAAAATTTTCCAACAGAGAAAAGCCCAGACCTGGATGGTTTCTCTGATGAATTCTACCAAACCTTCAAAGGAGAACTAACAAAAGTTATATTCAAACTACTGAAAAAAAATTGAAGAGGAGAGAATTCTCCCTAACTCATTTTATGAGGGCAGCATTATTATGATATTAAAAACCAGACAAGGACTCAACAACAACAAAAAACTACAGGCCAATAACCCTGATGAAAATAGATGCAAAAGTTCTCAACAAAATACTAGCAACCTGAATCCAACAGCACATCAAAAAGATAATATGCCGTGATCAAGTGGGATTTATACCAGGGATGCAAAGATGGTTCAACATATGCAAATCAACAAACATAATACATTACATCAACAGAATGAAGGACAAAAACCATATGATTATCTCAACCAATCCATAAAAAGCATTTGATAAAATTCATCATCCCTTCATGATAAAAACTCTCAAGAAACTAGGCATCAAAAGAACGTAACTCAAAATAATAAAAACCATATATGATAAACTCAGGGCTAACATCATAATGAATGGGGAAAAGCTGAAACCATTTCATCTAAGAACTGGAACAAGACAAGGGTCTTGTTTTTTCACCTTCATCACTACTATTCAACATAGTACTGGAAGACCTAGCCAGAGCAATCAGACAAGAGAAATAACAGATATCCAAGTTGGATATCTTTACATTTGTTCCTCTTTGCAAATGATATAATTTTATATCTAGAAAAACCTAATGACTCCATCAAAACCCTCCCAAATTTGATAAATACAATATAGTTTTAGGATAGAACATCAATATACAAAAATCAGTAGTGTTTGTATGCACCAATGACGAAATAGCTGATGATGAAATAGTGGAGAAAGAAATTAAAAAGGCATGCCTACTTGAAATAGCTACCAAAAAAAAAACCTAGGAATAAATTTAACCAAGTAGGTGAAAGACCTCTACAAGGAAAACTACACAACACTGATGAAAGAAATTGAAGAGGACACAAGCAAATGGAAAGATATCCTATGCTCATGGCCTGGAAGAATTAATATAGTTAAAATGACCATACTGTCAAAGGTAATCTGCAGATTCAATGCAATCCTTATCAAAGTACCAATGACATTTTTTGCAGAAATAGAAAAAACAATCCTAAAATTGATATGCAACCACAAAGGAACCCGGATAACCAAACCAATCCAGACCAAAAAGAACAAAGCTGGAGGCATCACACTACTTGACTTCAAAATATATTACAAGGCTATGGTAATCAAAACAGCATGGTATTGGTATGAAAACAGACACAAAGACCAATGGAACAGAATAGAGAACGCAGAAATAAATCCACATGTTTACAGACAAAACTGATTTTCAACAAAGGCACCAAGAACGTACGTTGGAGAAAGGACATCCTCCTCAATAAATGGTATTGGGAAAATTGGATATGCATATGCAGAAGAATGAAACTGCATCTCTGTCTCTCATCATATACAGACATCAACTCAAGATCAATTAAAGACTTAAATGTAAGATCTGAAACTATAAAAGTACTAGACAAAAACCTGGGGGAAACACTTTAGTACATTGGTCTAGGCAAATATTTTATGGCTAAGACCTTAAAAGCACAGACAACAAAACCGAAAATAGACAAATGACCAATATGTGTGTCCACCACAGAGTCCAGGGCCTTTCCTCTGCAACACCTTGTCAGCGTCAGTACTTTCTTCATTCCTCTGTAGCCTTTCTCACCTCCCTATACTTGGGGAGTCTAAATGGCACTACTTTATGAGTGTCTGTAGAGCAATACTTATCAAGGCCTACATAGGCACACACGCTTTGTGCTAGCATTTCCTTTTATATGTTTATCTTCAGGACTTAGTGAAGAATGTTGATTAAAATCTGGTTACAAGTACTGCCATCCTGATATTTCCCTTTTTTCACTTTTGGGCTTGAATTTAGAAAGGGAGACGAAATGAGATGCAAAGACACAAGCCAGAAGGAAGTAAAGGGAAATGTGGTTGTCAGCACACACATACACTCACACTCTCTCTCTCACACACACACACTCACTCCTACATCAACCAGGTTCTGTTATCACAATACTACAATTCTCTCAACATAGTTGTTGGGCTCCAAGGGGACCCATTCAGCTCACCAGAGCAAATAGCCATGGGAACTCTGCCCTGGATTACAACCACTACCAGTGCACAGACTCTGAAAAGATGCTATCCATGTCGTGTAGATAATAGGGAATATTGGAACACTCTGAATAATATGGGGTTGTGAAAATTGATTATGTCACATCCACAGTATGAAATTTCAGAAGAGAGCAAAAATGAGTTATATTGAAACAATGATGAGAGATGATTTTTTTTGCCTATCAGATTAGTAAAGATTCACATTATTTCTAATATGAGCAGAAAGGAACTTTCACACTGGAATATTAGTAGTATAATGCTTTTATTAAAAGTATTTTGATTTCAGATAAATGCATGGGGGCAAGATGGCAGATAGGAGGCAGGACCAGCTTGCAGCTCCTGCTGAGATGGACAGAGCAGCATGTGGAGACTCGTACTGTAAACCTTTGCTCCAAGAAGTACTGCAGGAACATACCAGGAAAGCTGAGAGAATCCACAGACCCTTTGAAGAAACTGGATCACTGTTGCAGGCCCCCTGAGATGCCGAAAAACTGTGAGTCTGCTTGCTTTGTCAGTGGGGAAGCTGGTGGTCTGGGACAAGTTCTCAGCCCTGGTCACTGGTTGCCCTGAAATAGACTCGGTGCTGTTGTAGGGCACAGTGGGAATGACACCAGCCTTTAGGGCTGCAGGCTGCATGGGAGCAGGGTGAGGCCCATGACCGCTGACTTTCCCCCACTTGCTGGCAAACTGTATGGTTCAGCAGAAGCAGCCATAATCCCCCTGGGAATATAACTCCATTGGACCAGACACCACACCCCCATCCCCCACAGCAGTCACAGCAAGCCACACCCAAGGAGAGGCTGAGCTCAGCCATGCCTATCCCTGCCCCTACCGGGTGGTCTTTCTCTACACACCCTGGTAGACAAAGACCAAGGTCATAATCTCTTGGGAGTTCTATGGCCCTGCCCACCGCCTGAGAAATCTGAATACTTAACCAGCTGTCCCTAGGGAAAGTTGGCATCCTCTCTGCAGGACCACAACTGATGCACTCTTGAAATCACCACCTCCTAGCTGGAGGCCAACCAACACAAAACTAGCACACTAAACCAAAATACAACCAAGGACCCTTACAGAGTCCACTTCACTCCCCTGCTACCTCCACTGGCTGCAAAACCTGAAGATGGATCACATCACAGGACTCTTTGCAGACACTCCCCAGTACCAGCCCGGAGCCCAGTAGCTCCACTGGGTGGCTAGACCCAGAAGAGCAAAAACAATCATGACACTTTGGCCCTCAGGAAGCCGCATTTATAGGGGAAGGGGGAGAACACCACATCAAGGGAGCACCCCATGGGACAAAAGAATCTGAACAGCAGCTCTTGAATTCCAGATCTTCCCTCTGACATAGTCTACCCAAATGAGAAAGAGCGAGAAAAAAATTTCTGCTAATACGACAAAACAAGTTTCTTTAACACCCCCGAAACATTGCACTAGCTCACCAGCAATGGATCCAAACTAAGATGAAATCTTGGAATAGCCAGAAAAAGAATTCAGAAGGTTGATTATTAAGCTAATAAAAGAGGCAGCAGAGAAAGATGAAGTCCAACTTAAATAAATCAAAAACGTGATGCAGGATATGAAAGGAAAATTATTCAGTGAAACAGCATAAATTAAAAAAAAAACAATTACAATTTCGAGAAATCGGGGAACATATAGAGAAATGCAAAACGCACTGGAAAGTCTCAGCAATCAATCGAACAAGCAGAAGAAAGAACTTCAGAGCTCAAAGACAGGCTTTCAAATTAACCCAATCCATCAAAGACAAAGAAAAAAGAATTTTAGGCTGGGTGTGGTGGCTCACGCCTGTAATCCCAGCACTTTGGGAGGCCGAGGCAGGTGGATCACGAGGTCAGGAGATCGAGACCATCCTGGCAAACACGGTGAAACCCTGTCTCTACTAAAAATACAAAAAAAAAAAAAATTAGCCGTCATAGTGGCAGGTGCCTGTAGTCCCAGCTACTCAGGAGGCTGAGGCAGGAGAATGGCGTGAACCCGGGAGGTGGAGCTTGCAGTGAGCCAAGATCGCGCTACTGCACTCTAGCCTGGGCGACAGAGCAAAACTCCGTCTCAAAAAAAAAAAAAAAAAAAAAGAATTGTAAAAAAAATGACTAAAGCATCCAAGAAGTTTGAGACTATGTTAAATGTCGAAACCTAAGAATAATTAGTGTTCCTAAGGAAGAAGAGAAATCTAAAAGTTTGGAAAACGTATTTGAGGGAATAATCAAAGAAAACTTCCCTGGCCTTGCTAGAGATCTGGAGAAATACAAGAAGTTCAAAGAACACCTGGGAAATTCATTGCAAAAAAGATCATTGCCTAGGCACATAGTCATCAAGTTATCTAAAGTCAAGACAAAGGAAAGAATCCTAAGAGCTATGAGGCAAAAGCATCAGGTAATCTATAAAGGAAAACCTATCAGATTAACAGCAGATTTTTCAGCAGAAACCCTACAAGCTAGAATGAATTTGGGTCCTATTTTTAGCCTCCTTAAGCAAAACAATTATCAGCCACGAATTTTGTATCCAGAGAGAAACTAAGCTTCATAAATGAAGGAAAGATACAGTCTTTCCCAGACAAACAAATGCTGAGAGAATTCACTACTACTAAGCCAGCAGTACAAGAACTGCTAAAAAGAGCTCTAAATATTAAAATAAATCCTTAAAATATACCAAAATAGAATCTCCCTAAAGCATAAATCTCACAGGACCTATATGACAATAACACAGTCCAAAATATATGTATGTATGTATATATATATGCAGGCAACAAATAGCACAATGAATAAAATAGTACTTCATCTCAGTACTAACATTGAATGTAAATAGCCTAAATGCTCCACTTAAAAGATACAGAATGGCAGAATGGATAAGAATTCACCAACCTAGTTTCTGCTGTCTTCAGGAGATTCACGTAACACATAAGGACTCACATAAACTTAAGGTAAAGGGATAGAAAAATATATTCCATGCAAATGGACACCAAAAGTGAGCAAGAGTAGCTATTCTCACATCAGACAAAACAAACTTTAAGGCAACAGCAGTTAAAAAAGACAGAGGGACATTATATAATGATAAAAGGACTAGTCCAACAGGAAAATATCACAATTCTGAATATATATGCACCTAACACTGGACCTTTTGATTTATAAAACAGTTACTACTAGACCTAAGAAATGAAATAAACGGCAACACAATAAAAGTGGGAGACTTTAATACTTCACTGACAGCACTAGACAGGTCATCAAGACAGAAAGTCAACAAAGAAACAATGTACTTAAACTATACCTTATAACAAATGGACTTAACAGATATTTACAGAACAGTCTACCCAACAACTACAGAATATATATTCTATTCATCAGTACATGGAACATTCTCCGAGATAGACCACATGAAAGGCCACAAAACAAGTCTCAGTAAATTTAAGAAAATCGAAATTATATCGAGTACTCTCTCAGACCACAATGGAATAAAATTGGAAATCAACTCCAAAAGGAACCTTAAAAACCATGCAAATACATGGAAATTAAATAACTTGCTCCTGAGTGATCGTTGTGTCAACAATGAAATCAAGATGGAAATTTAAAAATTCTTTGAATTGAAAGATAATAGTGACACAACCTATCAAAACCTCTGAGATACAGCAAAAGCAGTGCTAACAGGATAGTTCATAGCATTGAATGCCTACATCAAAAAGTCTGAAAGAGCACAAATAGACAATCTAAGATCATACCTCATGGAACTAGAGAAACAAGAACAATCTAAACCCAAACCCAGGAGAAGAAAAGAAATAACGAAGATCAGAGCAGAACTAAATGAAATTGAAACAAACAAAAACAATACAAAAGATAAATGAAACAAAAAGCTGGTTCTTTGAAAAGATAAATAAAACTGATAGACCATTAGCAAGATTAACCAAGAAGAGAGAAGTTTCAAATAAGCTCAATTAGAAATGAAATGGGAGATATTACAACTGATATCACAGAAATACAAAAGATTATTCAAGGCTACTATGAACACGTTTATGTGCATAAACTAGAAAACTTACAAGAGATGGATAAATTCCTGGAAATATACAACCCTCCTAGATTAAACCAGGAAGAGATTGAAATAGTAATACAAAGATTGCCAATAACTAAAAAATAAGTTCAGAACCAGACAGATTCACAGCTGAATTCTATCAGACATTCAAAGAATTGGTACCAATCCTATTGACACTATTCCAAAAGATAGAAAAAGAGAGAATCCTCCCCCAAATCATTCTATGAAGCCAGTTTCACCATAATATCAAAACCAGGGAAGGACATAACAAAAAAGAAAGCTACAGACCAATATCCCTGATGAACATAGATGCAAAAATCCTCAAGAAAATACTAATGAACCAAATTCAACAACATATCAAAAAGAAAATCCACCATGATCAAGTGGGTTTCATGCCATTAATGCAGGGATGATTTAATATACACAAGTAATAAATGTGATAGAGCACATACACAGATTTAAAACAAAAATCACATGATCATCTCAATAGATGCAGAAAAAAGCATTTGACAAAATCCAGCATCCCTTTATGATTAAAACCCTCAGCAAAATCGGCATAAAGGGGACATACCTTAGAGTAATAAAAGCCATCTACAACACAAACAAAGGGAAACGCATCCCATGCTCATGGATGGGTACATATGGAACCAAAAAAGAGCCCAAATAGCCAAAGCAAGACAAAAAAAAAAAAAAAATAGGCGCATAGACCAATGGAACAGAATAGAGAACCCAAAAATAAAGCCAAATACAGCCAACTGATCTTTAACAAAGCAAACAAAAACATGAAGTGGAGAAAGGACACCCTATTCAACAAATGGTGCTGGGATAATTGGCAAGCCACATGTAGAAGAATGAAACTGGATCCTCATCTCTCACCTTATACAAAAATCAACTCAAGATGGATCAAAGACTTAAATCTAACACCCATAAAGATTCTAGAAGATAATATTAGAAAAACCCTTCTAGACATTGGCTTAGGCAAAGACTTCATGACCAAGAACCCAAAAGCAAATGCAACAAAAACAAGAATAAATAGATGGGACTTAATTAAACTACAAAGCTTCTGCACAGCAAAAGAAATAATCAGCAGAGTTAACAGACAACCTACAGAGTGGGAGAAAATCTTCACAATCTATACATCTGACAAAGGACTATTATCCAGAATCTACAAATAACTCAAATCAACAAGAAAAAACAAAACAAAACAAAATAAAAATATCAAAAAGTGGGCTAAGGACATGAATAGACAATTCTCAAAAGAAGATATACAAATGGCCAGCAAGCATATGGAAAAATGCTCAACATCACTAGTGATCAGGGAAATGCATATCAAAACCACAATGCAACACCATCTTATAACTGCAAGAATGGCCATAATAAAAAAATAAAAAAATAATAGATGTTTGAGTAAGGTGGGGTGAAAAGGGAACACTTTTACACTGCTGGTGGGAGTGTAAACTAATACAACCACTGTGGAAAACAGTGTGGCGATTCGTTAAAGAACTAAAAGTAGATCTCCCGTTTGATCCAGCAATCCCACTACTGGGTATCTACCCAGAAGAAAATAAGTCATTATACAAAAAAGATACTTGCACACACGTTTATAGCAGCACAATTTGCAATTGCAAAAATATGGAACCAACCCAAATGCCCATCAATCAATGAGTGGATAAAGAAAATGTGAGATATATATATATATATTATATATATATATATGAATACTACTAAGCCATAAAAAAAAGAAATAATGGCATTCGCAGCAACCTGGATGGAATTGGAGATTATTATTCTAAGTGAAGTAACTCAGGAATGGAAAACCAAACAGTGTATGTTCTCACTCATGTGGGAGCTAAGCTATGAGGACGCAAAGGCATAAGAATGATACATTGGTCTTTGGGGACTCAGGGGAAACAGTGGGGAGTGTTGAGGGATAAAAGACTATACATTGGGTACAGTGTACACTGCTTGGGTGAAGGGTGTGCCGAAATCTCAGAAATCACCGCTGAATAACTTATTGATGTAAACAAACACCACCTGTTCCCCAAAAACCTATTTAGATAAAAAAAAATTAAAAAAAGTAAAAGTATTTTGATTTCATCATCTTGATATAAAATTTTTAAGTGTCTGGGGCTTAAAGATACTCTTTCAAAAACTTATAAAGAAATTATTACTGAAATATTTGTACATATGAGCAAGAGTGTTATATATACCATTGTCTGTAATAGAAACTATGGTAAGGGAACTAAATTTTCACCACTAGGTTACTGTGGAAATAAACTTTAGGATATCATATAAATGAAACACTGGGTCCATAAAAAATATTGATATTATGTTGTAATTTCAAATGTTATCATAGAAATGTATTTCCATGAAAAGATAGTAATAAAGATGTAAAGAGGGTTACAAAGATAACAAGTAGCCTGGATCCCTTTTTTCTTATATAGGTCTCTATTTATCCAGGGGTCAAAGAATAAAAATTAAAATATTTTGTCTTCCTCTCACATAGAGCTCTCTTCTCGGCATAGTAAAAGGCAGCAATTTTTGTCTGGAGTCCTTCAGTACCCCTATACACTGGGAATGCTCACTTTTCCACCAAGATTTCCAGAAAGCTTTATAGGGTGGGCTTGGGCCACAATCTCTCCTTCCCACCTTCCTGTTCTAGCTGCAATGCAGATTTGTGTCGGGAAAGGGCACCACGGTACCACCATTATCAAACTTTTCAGCAAAGAAGTGTCCGCAAGGAGCAAAAACTACAATACCTCCTTACGACCCACCTTATGAACCCAGGTACAGAATGATTCTGTCAGAAAGATACTGATGTGTTTAAAAGAAGACGGAAAAAAAAATAAACTGCAGGACATCCTTGGCTATCCTAGGCGGGCAGCCATAGGGCAGTGTGGGGCAGTGGGCGGTGACAGAGAGAGGATGAGGGCACAGGAGCAGGGTCTGGGCAGCTGTGCCCATAGTGTCCTGAAAAGGGAATGACAGAGAGAAGGTGGGAGGAAATCTGGGAAGCCTGTATAGGGGTGGGGTAATGGAGGAGGCTGAATGCCCTGCTGTCTGAAAAGGACCCCCTACCCACCCTCCTGCAATGTGGACACTGCAACCTGCACCAAGGAGGGAAGTGAAAAATCAATGAATGCAATGTAGATTTGGGGTCAACAGATAATGGAACTGTTTTCATATACATGTGAATTTTCCAAACAACCACAGAAAACTTGTAATATTTGTTACTCTATGCAAAATAAGCTGCTTTTAATTTAAAAACAAAAATTGAGATAGCTATGATGTGCCTTCTGGTAGCCAGAGCCAAGGTTGCAGCTCTGAGAGTAGACCAGGTTGCAGGGGAGGCAGGGTTCAGCATAGGGAAGGGAGGGATGGAGTTGGGAGCTTGATTAATGGGATCAGCCTCATTCCAATCCTGCCATTTATCTGGGGAAGTGACTTAGGCTCTGTGAGCCTGAACTTAGTCATCTGTGAAATGTAACTGACAATACCAGAGCTTTCCTGAGGGGTAAATGAGAAAACCTGCCCAGACTATATGGCATAGAGTGAAACTTTAGTGGTCTTTAAATGTTGGGACACAGAAGTAGGGGTTGGCAGACCTCAGGGCTAAGGAGGCAGTGTGAAAAATCATTTCTTACTGTTTCCCCTTTTGAGAAAAATACACATCTAGTTGAAGAAAGCAAATGTCCCTGTGATATACCTTGAGTTGAAAGATTTATGGACAGCTGTTTCTCTAGTTCTTGGGTGTTATCAGAAGCTCATAAGAGCTGTTCAGCATCAAGTCCCTGAGCTGACCCAAATTCAGTTCCTCATGCTGGGAAGATAGGCATGTCTTTGAACTCACCTGGTGATCTCAGTGATAGATAACACCAGGTAAGCAAAGTGTGGAGTTTGCCTAATGGTTGTTCCTGGACTGTTTGGTATATTAATATATTATAGGAAAGCAGGGTGCAGTGGCTCATGCCTGTAATCCCAGCACCGTGGGAGGCTGAGGTGGGCGGATCACTTGAGGTCAGGAGTTCGAGACCAGCCTGGCCAACATGGCAAAACTCCGTCTCTACTAAAAATACAAAAAGTAGCCGGGCATGGTGATGCGCGCCTGTAATCCCAGCTACTCAGGATGCTGAGGCAGGAGAATCGCTTGAACCCGGGAGGCGGAGGTTGCAGTGAGCTGAGATCGGGCCACTGCATTCCAGTCTGGGCGACAGAGTGAAACACTGTCTCAAAAAAAGAAAAAGTTTTATACACACACACACACACACACACACACACACACACACACACACACACATATATGTAAAACAGGAAAATTCTAGACTGTTTCACAGCCACCAGGGCGGTGACCCTCAGATTATGCATTATCCAGCCACATCACAGCAGTATTTTAACCATCTTCTACCTCTTGAAACACAAAAATCCAAGAGTTACTACCATTTCTATACACACAATTGTCCATTCCTTCATTCATTAATAACTAAATATATATTAAGCTCAATACCTGTATAACTAAAGGCATCTCATGATCTCTAAAATGGAAATAATAGAGTAAGAATGAAAATAATATATCACTAACTTCAAAGATTAGTTTTAAGATGGTATGCTCCTTCACATTAATTTTTAAACTTGATCAACTTTTAAGAAATGAAAGATTTTCAAAAATTCCTCTTGGACCCCTCAATACACATTTAGCCACAGGATTGATACCTCTCCTTTCCTCTCCCCTCCTGTCTCCTCCCCTCCCCTCTCCTCCCCTCCCCTCTCCTCCCCTCCCCTCTCCCTCCCGTCCCCTCCCCTCCCCTCCTCTCTCTCTCTCTCTCTCTGTCTCCTGCCCCCTCCACCTCTATGTCCTATCTCTGGGTCTCTCTCTTCTCCTTCAAATTTAAACTACCTAAAAGACCTTTCTCCAGTCCTTGTTAACATTCTTCACTTCCTACTGCCTGCTTATCCCACCTAGTTAGCCAAGCAGTGACTGCCACAGAGACGGGAAAGCGGGATGGTCTTCATGAAATCACTCAGAGTTCAGCATTACAGCTTCAGTGGGGGAATGGGGAGGATAAGGAGAGGGGAACCCTGACACAGCGGGATTCGGGGTAGAAGTATAGTCATAGTCTCATTCAGCCCAGGGTCCCAGGAGCAATCAACAAATGTGAATTAATACACCATGTTTTCATTACCTGTGTATCCACTGATGAACTTTTAGGTCAATTCTACATCTTGACTATGATGTATAATTACACAAGTACCTTCCTTATGTAATTAAAAGTTATAAAAGGAAAATATACACATGCCCAGCACTTGTAATAGATGTCAAATCAAGTTCTAAATGGAATGCATCCCTATACCATCTAAGGGATTTGGGCAGTAGTCTGAACACATGAAAACTAACTCCCAGAAAATACTGTCTTCTTTCAGCAGGATGGTCTAGATTAGGTTCTGGTTATAAAGGACAGGCCTAAATTAGTAACAGTTTGAAAGAAAGGTAGAAAATTAGCCCCAGACAAATGAGAAAATGTCTTGCATTCAAGATACACTGAGATTGTTTTAGGCAAGTTAGCCACAGGAAAACTGAGACATTGAACATATCAGATAAAAGAAGAGTTTGAAAATAGTAACTGTAGAATGTTTTACCGCTCTCTATAGCATATAAACTGAGACCTGGATGTGTCTGTTTTAGTAGTCTAAAAGATAATACACACGACTTGGAGACATATATATATAGCAGGTCCCACTGTTGAGATATGAATGCATGTTTGTTCTCCTCAGGTTTCTTACTTCTTCTTCTTCAATGAGGTAGCCAGGTATTTAGAGAGAAAACCATGCTACAAAACAATATCATATTTTACATACAGGTATGTACATGTGTAATTATAAGGTAATGTCTTAAAAATGAAAAATCCAAATTCTGTATAGTGATTATCTCTGAGGAAGTAGGAGGCTAATACAATCAGACTTCAATGTGACTATCGATTGCCTATATACTATTTTATATGTTAGCATGGTTACATAGAAAGTTCTCACATTCTATAATTTTTGTATGTCTGAACTATTTTATAACAAATACTGTTTCTATGAGCAAAAATTCTGACTTTTAAAAAGCTCCATGCTAATTTATAAATTGTGGAAAGCATAGTCAAGCTCAGAAATAAATAAATAATCCCTGACCCCTCCCACTTATTAATTTTTGATAAATTGTCCTTTTTGTATAGTTCCTCCCACTTTGTTCTCTATGCAGGCATACTTAATATATATCCATTACATATGGGTTTCATTTGTCTGGAGACTCAACATTTCCTAAATATCATAAAACCAGTAATTAAGTATGCCGAAATATTGTACTCACTCTGACTCCGAGGCTCGTGTCCTTAACCCCTGAGAATGTCAGTCTTTTCCTGTGAAAGGGATGAGGCCAGATCAGGCCAGCTGACTTCTCATGGTCTTTTTTACACAAAGCTAAATCTGCTATTGAGGACCCAGGTCTCCTGATTTCAGTCTGTTGTACAGCAGATTCATCTTCATGTTCTGTTACTCTATGCTGTCTGCTTTCTGGTCCTCAAGGAGAGGCTGCTATTTCGGTGTCCAAATAGAAGGTGAAAGAAGATGGCACAAAAGAACATCAAAGTAAAAGTAATTTGCTTAGGATAATGGCCTCAAGCTCTATCCATGTTGCTGCAAAGGACATGATCTCATTCTTTTTTATGAATCTGTAGTATTCCATGGTGTATGTGTACCACATTTTCTTTATCCAGTCCACTGTTGATGGGCATCTAGGTTGATTCCATGTCTTTGCTATTGTGAATAGTGCTGTGATAAACATACACATGCATGTGTCTTTATGGTAGAACGATTTATATTCATTTGGGAATATACCCAGTAATGGGATTTCTGGGTTGAATTGTAGTTCTATTTTAAGTTACTTGGGAAATCTCTAGACTGCTTTCCACAGTGGCTGAACTAATATACATTCCTACCAGCAGTGTATAAGCATCCCCTTTTCACTGTAAGCTCACCAACATCTGTTACTTTTTAACTTTTGCATAATAGACATTTTGACTGTTGTGAGATGGTATCTTATTGTGGTTTCGATTTGCATTTCCCTAATGATTAGTGATATTGAACATTTTTTCATATGCTTGTTGGTCATGTGTATATCTTCTTTTGAGTAGTGTCTGTTCATGTCCTTTGCCCATTTTTTAATGGGGTTGTTTTTCTGCTTGTTGATTTAGTTCCTTATAGATCCTGGATATTAGACCTTTGGAAGATGCATAGTTTACAGATGTTTTCTCCCATTCTGTAGGTTGTCTGTCTGCTCTGTTGATAGTTTCTTTTGCTGTGCAGAAGCTCTTTAGTTTCATTAGGTCCTGCTTGTCAATATTTGTTTTTACTACAGTTGCTTTTGGTGTCTTCATCATGAAGTCTTTGCCAGGGCTGATGTCTAGAATGGTATTTCCTAAGTTTTCTTCTAGGGTATTTATAGTTTTATGTTTTACATTTAAGTCTTTAATGCATTTTGAGTTGATTTTTGAAGGGTAAAGGTGAAGTTTCAATCTTCTGCATATGTCTAGCCAGTTATTCTAGCACCATTTATTGAATAGGAAGTCCTTTCCCCATTGCTTGTTATTGTTAACTTTGTTGAAGATCAGATGGTTGTAGGTGTGTGGCTTTATTTCTGTGTTCTTTATTATGTTCCATTTGTCTGCGTGTCTGTTTTGTACCAGTACCATGCTGTTTTAATTACTATAGCCTTGTATTATAGTTTGAAGTCAGGTAGTGTGATGCCTCCATCTTTGCACTTTTCATTTAGGATTGCTTTGGTTATTCAGGCTCTCTTTTGGTTCCAAGTGAATTTTAGAATTTTTATTCTAGTTCTGTGAAAAACATTGCTAGTAGTTTAATAGAATAGCATTGAATCTGTAAATTGCTTTGGGCAGTATGACCATTTTAACAATATTGATTCTTCCTATCCATGAGCATGGAATATTTTTCACAATCTTAATTTTTAAGAGGGCAGAATTGAGAACAAAATGGATTTTAAAAGATAAAAAAGCACACCTAATAATAGTAAAGGTTAAAATTCACTAGGAATACATTATGTATTAATACTTGTGTACCTAGTCACACAACACAAATGTAGTTTTTTTGTTTATTTGTTTGTTTGGGTTTTTTTGTTTGTTTGTTTAGGTGGAGTCTCACTCTGTCGCCCAGGCTGGAGTGCAGTGGCGCAATCTTGGCTCACTGCAACCTCTCCCTCCCGGTTTCAAGCAATTCTCTGCCTCAGTCTCCTGAGTAGCTGGGATTACAGGCGCCTGCCACCATGCCCAGCTAATTTAGTAGAGATGGGGTTTCACCATCTTGGCCAGGCTGGTCTTGAACTCCTGACCTCAGGTGCTCCACCCGCCTCGGCCTCCAAAAGTGTTGGGATTGCAGGTGTGAGCCACCACACCCAGCCAAAAATGTAGTTTTATAGAGGAAAACTGCAGAAGCAGCAATGAGATATATGAAAAATCATACTAATATCTGAGGCTGTTAAGCTTGGGCCCAAATGCAAATACAGATTAAAATTGTAGAATGCAATGAGAGTAATGAAAATAAAAACAGAACATATTCAGAATTTACAGCTAGAGCAGTGGTCAGATAATATTTTTATGCATTACATAGCTATATCAATAAAAAGGAATTGAACAATCAATTCAAAAAGCCAGATAAAGAACCACAACATAAACTAAAAGAATGCAGTTGAATAGTTAAAGGTTAAAACAGAAATAAATGGGTTAAAAAGGCAAACTACAGTATAATTTATATGTAAAAGTAAGGAAGATTTATTTGAGGAGATACCAAAAACATGAAAAGTCACTGGGTAAAGTATTCAAGAAAATTGAAGAAAACACAAATACACAATTTTGAAACAGAAACGGTGACAAGGTCTTCAAAACGAAGGAAATTTCAAGTCTCTTAACTGAAAAATTTGCATAATTCTATTCAAATACATTTGGAAACAGATAAAATCAGTAATTTTCTAGAAAAACACAACTTACCCAGACTGGCCTCAAGAAACACAAAAAGTCTTAACAGACCAATTGCATACAAGACATAGTGAATTTGGTTAAATTATCTGCCTTCAAAAAGCACCAGACCCAGAGCTTTCCCAAAGAGAATTCTAGCAAAACTTTCAAGGTATGATAATACCAATACTATTTAAAATAGTCGAAGGGCATAGGGAATATATGAAACAATGAAGCAAGTACATAAAGTTGATTCTGAAACATGCCAAAAACTGCAGGAGAAATGAAATTCCAGAATAATCTCATCACAGAATATGAACTAATGTTCTTAAATAAAATATTAGTAAACAAAAGAGGACATAAAATACAGGTCATGACCTTATGGGGCTTTTATATATATAAACATGTTTCAATATCAATAAAACTATTACTATAATCTAGTATATTGATACAGCCAAGGAAATAATTATATGATCACCTCCATATGCAGAAAGGTATTTAACAGCATCAGCATTCCACAAGACTAAAGATCCAGATTTTAAGCAAATAAATTAGAAGGTTAAAAAAAAATGCGGTGGAACCCACTTTAGATTAAATGAGACGAAACATTTCAGAGTTAAATTAAAGAGAAATTAAATCAAAGAAATTACATTTAAAACCATAATTAGATACCACCATAGACCCACAAGAAATAAAAAAGATTGAAAATGCCAAGTGAAGTGTTGGTGAGGATGTGGAGCAGTGGAACTCTCAACACTGCTGGTGGGAATACGGATTGGAACACTTTGAAAAACTGGCAGTGTCTAGTGAGCTGAACATACATATACCCTAACTCAGAAATGCCACTCAATCATATATGTCGAAGTAAAGTAAAAATAAACGTCCATCTAAAAGATATGTACAAGAATGTTCAAAGCACCATTATTCATAGTAGGTCAAAATTTGCAAACCTTCATACCAGATACATATGTCGTGAAATATCCATACAGGCCGGGTGCGGTGGCTCACGCTTGTAATCTCAGCACTTTGGGAGGCTGAGGCGGGCAGATCACCTGAGGTCAGGAGTTTGAGACCAACCTGGCCAACACAATGAAACCCCATCTCTACTAAAAATACAAAACGTAGCTGGGCATGGTGGTGGGCACCTGTAATCCCAGCTACTCGGGAGGCTGAGGCAGGAGAATAGCTTGAACCCGGGAGATGGAGGTTGCAGTGAGCCAAGATCACACCACTGCACTCCAGCCTGGGGAACAGAGCTGGACTCCATCTCAAAAGAAAAGAAATATCCATACCATGTATACCATCCATCAATGAAAATGACTATCTACAACTACAGACAACAAAATGTAAATCACATATATATTATGTTGGTTGAACACAGCCAGACACAGGAAAACACGTGTTTTATGATTTCAGGAAATTTTTTTTTTAACCTTCCAATAGTGTTTGGGGAAGGAGAGAAAAATCAACACTCAATATCCTTTAAGCTTTTTTTTAATTTTTAATTTTTGTGGGTGATAGGTGTATATATTTATGGGGTACATGAGATATTTTGATACATGCATGCAATGCATAATAGTCACATCATGGAAAATGGGGTATCCATCCCCTCAAGCATTTTTCCTTTGTGTTACAAACAATCCAATTATATTATTTTAGTTATTTTAAAATGTACAATTAAATTATTATTGATTGTAGTCACCCTGTAGTGCTATCAAATACTAGGCCTTATTCATTCATTCTATTTTTTGTACTCATTAACCATCCCCACCTCTCCCTCACCTCCCCGCCTCTACCCAGACTCTGGTAACCATCCTTCTACCCTCTATCTCCATGGGTTCAATTATTTTTTGAGTTTTGGTCCCACAGATAAGTGAGAACATGTGATATTTGTCTTTCTGTGCCTGGCTTACTTCACTTAATGTAATGACCACCTGTTCCATCCATGTTGTTGCAAATGACAGAATCTCTTTATTTTTATGGCTGAATAGTACTCCATTCTGTATATGTACCACATTTTCTTTTTCCATTAATCTGTTGATGGACACTTAGGTTGCTTCCAAATCTTGGCCATTATGAATAATGTTGCAACAAACATGGGAGTGAAGATACTCTTCGATATACTGATTTTCTTTCTTTTGGATGTATAACCAGCAGTGGGATTGCTGGGTCATATGGCAGCTCTATTTTTAGATTTTGAGGACCCTCCGTACTGTTCTCCACAGTGGTTGTACTAATTTACATTCCCATCAACAGTGTATGAGGGTTCCCTTTTCTCCACATCTTTGCCAGCATGTGTTATTGCCTGTCTTTTGCAGAAAGCCATTTTAACTGGAGTGAGATGATATCTCATTGTAGTTTTGTAGGAAGTGCAGAAAACTCGTTTTAGAGCTTTAACTTTGGTTGGAAAAAAGGAAAGAGAGAAAAAAAAGTTGGGGGAGGAAAGATATCCAATCCTGTGGCTGAATAGGCGGTGAGGGGTTAAAGGAAGAATTTTTAAAAATCTTCAATTTCTTGAAATTTCAGTAAGTTTAAAAGCTAATGTGAAGAACCCATTTCATCTCGTATTTAACCCTTGAATTTTCCTATATATTATTTTGTTTCTTACTCTCCTATTTCCACTTTAGAGCTCATGAGATGTCTCCAATGGACTAGTATATGTTTTGAGCTCAATACAAATATAGTTACTAGATGAGGAAAGAACGGACAACTGTGTGTCACAGAAATGCTAGTAATTTCTGGATTTTTGCCTCTCAGGGAGGTAGAGGATGGCTGAAATCCTGGTGTGATGTGACTGGATCATGCATGATCTGAGGACCCTTGCCCTGGTGACTGGTGGACAGGTTCAGATTTTTCCTATAAACATATTAACATACCAAACTGTCCAGAAGCAGCTATTAAGCAAACACCATACTTTGCTTTCCTCATGCAATCTATCACAGAGCTCTTCAGGTGAGTTCACAAATATGTTTGTCATTCCAGTGTGGGGGAACTTGATCTGAGTCTGCTAAGAGGCATGATATTGAATGACTCCTGTGACCTTCTGATAATACCTAAGAATATAGAAAACCTTCTATCTCAAAAACTTTGAACTCAAGGCATATCAGAGAGATATTTGCTTCTTTCTTCTAGATGTTTGTGTTCTTATTAGGAGAAACAATGAGAAATGATTTTTCACAATGTCTCCTGAGCCCTGAGGCTCAGCCAGCCCTTACTGCTATGTCTCAACATTTAAAGGCCATTGAAGTCCCACTCCATTCCATATACTTTGGACAACGTTTCTCATTTATGCCTGGGGACAGCTCTGTAACAATTGTATAATCAGTTCCATTTCACAGATGACTAAGCTCAGGCTCACAGAGTCTAAGTCACCTCCCTAGGTAAGTGGCAGGATTGGAATGAGGTTCCATCCCTCACCCTCCCTAGAGGATCCTGAGCACCTTTCTTTTAGAAGTTGGGCTTCCAGGACTTGAGAAATGGTCATATTCCACTCTCTTGCTATTGTGGCCCCAGAGGTGAGGTGCTCACTCTTCAACCTCTCAAGGTGATGAAGATGATAGAGGAGATAAAATCCCTATCAGCAACTAGTTTTTAGTTATTCTAAAGTTTTCCTCATTTTGTCTTCATGCCTCCTGGTCCCTGAATGATCTAATTTCCCTGGGGGCTGCCATTCCAATGGGAGCATTCAAATTTTTCTTAAAAAAAAAAATGATCTGTAAAGTTTTTAAGTCATAATATTTTTGAAATTGAAAATCAATTTCGATAGTAATAAAATTAAGAATTATCTTAAAACATTGGAGAAAGTATTTGCAAACTGTACCATATATAGGATTAGTATCCGTAATTTGTAACACACACTAATGACAAAGATATTGGTAATTCATTTCAACAGAAAATTTACATAAAATAAACATGAACAATAATCTTGTTAAATATGCCAAAACCAAAAGTACTAATAAAATGCAAATACTTAAAAATCCTGAGAATTTATATAAAGTGGAAAAAAATTGCAACAGAAGATGAGGACTGTGATTGTACTTTTGGAGAAGACTATGTGAATCGGGTGAATGTATTCATGTGCACCTCACCTACAGGGACACATCTGAAGAGTATGCAACATCCTTAGGACAACAGATCCCTTGGGTCAGAGGTTGGAGTAGGGCTAGTGAGAGATTCAGGTGAATTACAATTTGTAAATGTGCCGTTGATTGCGATTCCTGTTGTCAGAAGGCGACTCTGACTGCTGTGTGGGGAATGGACTGGAAAGGGACAAGATAGGGAGTGGGGATAACCATTAGGAAAATATTGCAGAAGTCCAGGGAAGAGGCACAGGTGGATGGGACCAGGGCTGCAGCTGTGTGCAGGTAGGGAGGAGTGAACCTGGACAGGGCGTGTTTGGAGGTACAGCAGGCAGAACTTGAAGTGGCTGTGCGTGTAGGGTGCATGGGGATAAGGCACAGTCAAGGATGACCCCTCAGTTTTTTGTATAGCCATGTGGAGAAATGACACCGTTTTCTGAGAGCAGTCCTTCCATTTGCTCTTGAGATATTCTCAAGGTAATTAGGTCATCCAAACGTGGTTGTAGTGAAAAGAAGTTATTTTAAAATGCATCAGTTGATGATTAAGATTCTGTTGTATTAAACTTTATTGAAGACACGTGCAAACTGTCAAACTTTTAGAACTTGAAAAATCTCAACATGCAAACTCACATTTAATGAGCAGTTTACTATGTGCCAACCACTGTTCTAAGGGCTTTTGTGCCTCAACTCAAGTAATTCTCAAAACAACAACCCATGAGGTGGGGATAATTGTTTTCCCCATTGTACCTTAAAGACAACTGAAGTATAGAGTAATTCTGTTACTCTCACAAGGTCACAGAGAGCCAGTTATGCTGATATCTCCGCAGTAGAATTTTTAAAATTATGGGATTCCTGACCAAAATGGCAAGGCAATATTTGTTTAAAAATATTTTGTCTTCTTAGGTCAGTACTCTATTATCCTTGTTTTACAGATGAAGCATTTGAGCTACTGCAAGCTGAAGCAAATGTATTCAAAGTCCCACAAATTTAAGAAGCAGGGTTGGGCCCTAGTCTGTCTCCACAGCCAACACTCCTAACCAGTATACTTAGAAAAGAGGAAAAGACATTTGCCAAACCATGTCAGCCAATGGTGGTTGATGGTAGACAGGACCATATGTCTTTGAGTGATAACTATCCTTCAGTAGCCTTTCTTCCATGTACCAGATGATATTTATTTAAGAAAAACAAACAAGATAATGTAAAAACAAAAGTATAATTATTTTTAAAAAGGTAATAATCATCACAGTTAAGTTTTCCTTAGACAACCTGGCTGTTGAAATAATTCCTTGGACTTCTACAGTTAATTCTATTCCCTTTCAGGAACTCCGAGTGCTTTTACACATGGAAATCACATTTATTCTGGTTTCTATCCTTCAACTGGTTGAAAGGCAGGGCTGGTCTGATTTCCTTTGATGGGTGAGGCCATTTCTCCTAGGGATGCACCAAAGAGTGGCATTTCTGAGTCATATGACATGTGTATCTTCAGCTCAGTGGATACTGTCAAACAGTTGTTCAAAGTGGTTGTTCCAATCTATATTCCCACTAGCAATGTTGAGACTTCTACTGCTCCACATCCTCACCAACACTTGGTATTTTCTATCTTTTTCATTTTTCTCTTTCTGGTAGACATGTGATAGTATCTCCTTGTGATTTTAATTTTACTTTCTCTTTAACTCTCCTTGAAGTGTTGTCTCTTAAAAGCTATCTGTTGTTTAAAAAAAAAAACCTTTCTATTTATTTGCTTAGAAAACTGGATCTTTCATCCTTTGGAGGGTGCATTATGGATTTTGCTGATTGGATTCTTATTGTGTTGTTTATTAATTTCCTCTAGCCTCTCTTATTTCTTTTAAATTGGTAATTAGATTTAGAAGTTTGATCAAATTCAGCTTATTCAGCAAGAGTACCTCAGAAGTGGTGTCCTTTATTACTAAAGTGTCAAATTAGTAGGTTCATTGGGTCTGGTTGTCTCTCCTCCTGTAAGCTTGAAATTGATCACTGTATTTCAGTGTTGTCACCCTGATCCATCCATTATAAAATTTCCAGTAGCATTTCATCATAAGATGTTTGAACCTCTGAAGTAGACACCCAAAACCTATTTAATAAACTAATTAGATGTAGACATAGGAGTATGCAAGGAAACAAAACTATGTATATGACCTGTCCATCTTTTTGTAAACATGAATTTTTCAAAGAGAGTTGTGGTCATGCTGTACTTATTGTTTCATTATCTACTTTGAGGAAAATTTTGTTTCTGTTTATACAAATTATGCCTTTTCATTGGAAGAAATACAGAATGCTCTCACCTGGTGCCCAGAGTCAGAATTGCAGAAATTAAAGTCAACCAAGAGCTTGGAAAGGGGTAGGAGATTTGAGTGGAGTAAGGGAGGCACATGTATTCTATTGTATAGAATTGTAGAGAACAAAGCTTTCTGGAATTTTCTATATGCATGTTTCCAGAGCAATGAATATGTGGGCATCATAAATATAATCAGGTCACAATTACAGTGTTTTTTGTTTTTAACATTTTGAACAATGAAATTTCCACATTTAAAACACTAGGGAATTGCAAATTTATAAAACAAATATCCTCTATCTCCCTCCAAGGCAAATATACTGATTTATTAAATAAATCTTTTTAATATACTATTTTTATACCACAGCATATGAATGTGATTCTTAGTCAATAAATGTATTTCTACACTATCATTTTGTGACTAGGGTCACAGATTTTCCTGATTTACAAAACATTATCTTAATGACTTTGTCACATTATTAACTTTTTTTATTGTTTAAGCCATATGAAACATAATTGAAATGTATATTAGAAATTAAAAATATTCTGTCTAAATCTTCTCCATCTCCATAATACAAAGATGGCCTGTATTAATTTATTCGTATCTATTCTCCAGATCTTTTTTCTCTCCATGTAGTACACTAACTTATTTTTAGCCACACACACATACATATAAACCCATGTAGAGAGAGATAGATATATATATTTTTTCACAATGGAACCATATACTACATTATAATTTATGACTTTGTTGATTGTCCAAATCTGATTCTTTTTCATTTTGTGTGTGTGTGTCTACAAGTGTTTTGGGGAGATTAATATTGGTTTTTATTGCATTGTCTCTTGATATAATTGACCTATCTCTGTTGTTTAAGAGTACTTCATACACAGAGGATAAAAACCTAGATTAAATATGCATACAGCATTTATATATTAACATATAAAAGCTACCTTATCTAACATTTGTAGTGTAACTTGCGTGTTTAACTGTAGTGGGTAGAATTATGTCCCCCTCAAAACATGTCCCAAACCTAACCCACCCAAACTTTATTTGGAAATAGGGTCTATGTAGATATAATTAAGTGAAAGATCTCCAGAAGTAAATATCCTGAATGTAGGTTGATGCCTAACTCCAATGACTGGTGTCTATATAAAAGAAAGCAGAGGGAGATTTGACACATGCAAGGAAGAAGGCCATGTGAAGATTGAAGTAGAGATTGGAGTTATGCTGCCTCAAGCCAAATAAAGGAGGAGCTGGAAGAGCTAAGAAAGGATTCTCCCCTAAAGCTTTTGGAGGCAGTGTGGTCCTGCCTACACCTTGGTTTTGTACTTTGGGCTTTGGTTTTATACTTCTGAACCATGAGATAATGAAATTCTGTTGTTTAAATGTGCAAAGTTCGTGATAATTTGTTATGGTGGCCCTAGGAAACTATTCATTGGCTGATATCCTACTTTTCATGTCTACAGTGATACTAATGCCAGTAAGATATGTAAAAAGAATTTAAAATGACTAACATTTCTTATGAACTGTATGCTTTTAATGTATTGAGTCAGTCAGTGCTCACAGCTGTTTTACAAGGTAGATACTGTGACTAATCCTTATTTTATAGATGAAAAACTGAATGACAGAGAGAATAAAGACTTTGCTTGATACTGCATAGTTAGGGAGTGGGACAGCTTGGATTTGTGTCCAGTACCTCATGCTCCAGAGCCTGTCACAGATTTGTGTTAAATTTAAAGAAACGACTGGACAAGCATGCATATTTTATGAGTTCATTGAAAGCAATACTCAGTATGGTTATATATGTAAACAAAAAACTGAACCTAGTGACCAAAAAGGGGATTGTAACCTTGGCGAGATCATGTTCATTGCAATCCTGGGGACAGAAGCCACAGCGCAGTGGGATAAAGAGTAAATGGGAAATAATGTTAATAGAGAATGTAGAAAATTAGAAAATTTTTTGAAGGAGAAGGAAAAGACAGAGTCAAAGAGGGAGAGAGGGAGGGGAGGGGGAGGGGAAAGGAAAGGGAGAGGAGGGGAGAGAGAAGAGGGGAGAGGAGAAAAGAAAGATATCCTGTGGCTGAATTGAATTGATGATGTATTAGGCCATTCTTGCATTGCTATAAAGAAATGCCTAAGACTGGGTAATTTATAAAGAATAGATGTTTAATTGGCTCATGGTTCTGCAGGCTTACAAACATGGCACCAACATCTGTTTAGCTTCTGAGAAGGCCTCAGGGAGCTTTTACTCATGATGGAACGTGAAGCTGAAGTATGTATGTCACATGGTGAAAGCAGGAGAGAGAAAGTGGCGGTGGGAGCGGTGGGGGGGCGGGGGGGTGCCACACACTTAACCAGATCTCAGGAGACTCACTATCATGAGGACAGTACCAAGCCTTGAGAGATCTGCCCCCATGACCCAAACACCTCACACCAGGCCCAACCTCCAACACTGGGGATTATAATTCAACATGAAATTTGGCAGGGACATATATTCGAACTGTATCAGGTGATGAGGAACAAAAAAGGATTTTTAAAACAAAAAAGAATTTTCAATTCTTTGGAGTTTGAGAAAGTTTAAAGTTAATTTGAAGAAACCATCTCCTCTCAAATGTGAACCATGAAGTTACCCATATATTCATTTGAATTCTTACCCTCTTTCCACTTTAGTTAATGAGACACCTCCAGTAGACTAGTATGCTTTTAAAGCTCAATACACTTTCAGTTATTACCTAATGAAAGAATAGAAAATTGTCTGTTATAGAAATTCTTGTAATTCCTAGATTTTTGCCTCTCAAGGAG
Source organism: Homo sapiens (assembly GCF_000001405.40). Classification (NCBI taxonomy): domain Eukaryota; kingdom Metazoa; phylum Chordata; class Mammalia; order Primates; family Hominidae; genus Homo; species Homo sapiens. The sequence continues at coordinate 102,932,761 of NC_000023.11, forward strand.
GCAGCGGATAGCTGAAATCCTCTTGTAATGTAGCTGGATAATGTGTGATCTGGGAACCTTGCACTGTTTACTGCAGAACCGGTCTACAGGATTCCTATAAACATATTAAAATACTGAGCAGTGCTGGAGCACTCATTAGATAATTGCCACTCCTTGTGTCCCTGATGTGATCTGTCGTGGAGCTCACCAGGTGAGTTCACAAACGCTCCTGTCCTACCACTATGGGGAAGTGGATTTGGGTCTGCTCAGAGGCATGATGTTGAATAGCTCTTAGGAACTTTCAAGCACCTAAGAATGCAGAGACCTTTGGTCTCTAAAACTTTGAACTTAAGGCATTTCAGAGAGAGATTGCTTCTTTCTTCACGATGTTTGTGTTGTCATTAGGCGAAACAATGAGAAGTGATTTTTTCATGATGACTACCTTAGCCTTGAGGCTCAGCCAGCCCCTCATGCTGTGTACCAATACTTAAAGGCCACTCCCTGCTGTATATTCTCAACAGATTTTCTCATTTACCCCTCAGGACTGCTCTGTAAGGTTGGTATAGTCAATCCCATTTCACAGCTAACCAAGCTCAGGCTCACAGAGCCTAAATCACTTTTCCAAGTAAGTGGCAGGATTGGAATGAGGTTCCATCCCTCACCTTCCCTAGAGGACCCTGAGCACCCCCTTTTAGAAGATGGCTTTCCAGGGTTTGAGAAATGGTCAGATTCCACTCCCCTGCTATTGTAGTCCCATGGGTTCCCACTCAACAACTCCTCTGAAGATGACAGGGGAAGTGAAATCCTGTGCTTTGTGCCATGAGATCTGGTTGTAGGGCCACATGAGAGGGCTGATCCTTAAAGTGGCAAGTGGGCTCAGGCAGAAGCTCAGGTGTTGGCCTTGGGACAGGTGAGCTGCAGAGAAGGAAAGAAACATGCACTGAATTACTGTAAGCAAATGCACTTTACACCTCATCTCCTTTAATCTTAACTGCTACCCAAGGTCATTATCACCATTATTCAAATTAGGCTGCTGCCTTTAGAGGAGTTTACGTAAATCAGGGAGACAACTTTGTTGTTTCCTGATAAGCACAAACTCTGTAATACTCTAGACTTTTATCATTTCTCTTCATTCCTCCAGGGCCCTGAATGCTCTAATCTCCCTCCAGGCTGGCAGTACCTGCTCCCCAGGTGTTTTTCAATGTTTTTTCTTTGAAATTTAAGATCTGTGTAATTTTAAAGTCAAATTTTGAAGTTTAATTGGGTTAGTATCCATGATTTGTGAAACATAGTAACAAAATGGCAACTATTTCAACAGAGAATTTAAATGAAATGTACATGAACAATAAACATACTAAAATACGCCAACCCCACAAGAACTAATAAAATGCAAATATTTTAAAATCTTGAGAATTTATAATGACAAGATGCAAAAGATAAGTACCATGATTGCACTTTTGGAGAAGACAATGTGTGTGTGTAGGTGAACGTGTTGATGTGTACCTCACCTTCAGGGACATGTCTGGAGAGTATGCACCATCCTAGGAACAGCAGACCCCTTGGGGTTAAGGAGTGGGAGTTGACCAGTGAGAGCTCAGGTTAATTTTGATTTATCAATATGCTCTTGTGTACTGTTCAAAAACTGGTATTTGGGAATAAAAGTATTCTGATGAAAATTTGAACACACAAAATACTTTGGAACAAATTGTCAAAGTTAAGGTGTACATAATGTCCATTAATTTGAAAAAGCATTCCTTATATTCTATTTTATTGTGAAAGAAGTAAATAACAAGTCCAATTGACAGAGGTTTTGTGTGTGTGTGTGGGTGTTTGTGTGGGTGTGTCCTCTAGCTCTACCACCCCAAATACAAAATCATGGATGCAACTTTAGTTCCAGCGGGGATTGGAACCAATATCAGTTTCATATATTCTGGAACATGATGGATACATGGAAATTGCTACCATTAGGTGAATAATTCCAGAAAACTGTGGCTGATACATTGGAGCTAACCTCCAACCTCCATGCCTCCCTCTTCCTGAGTCCCTGGTTTGAGATTATCAGAGCTGCGTTTCTGTCTCTGGCCACTAGGAGGCATCAGAGCTATCTCTGTTTTTGTACATTTTGCAGAGTAACATGTTTCAAAATGACTTGTTTACTTTGATTCCAGTTCTGTTTGGAAAATTCACATGTATATTAAAGCAGGTCCATTTGCTGTTGACCCCTAAATCTACATCGCATTCACTGATTTATCATCTCTTCCCTTCTCAGTGTAGGTTGAAGTGTCCACACTGTCGGAGGGGGCGGGGGCGGGGGCGGGGGAGGAGGGGTCCCTCCAGAGAGCAAGGCATTCACTCTCCATAACTCTATCCCTGTACAGGCTTCTCAGACCTTCTCACACTCTCTTTCAGTCTTCCCCTCTCCAGGACACTATAGACACAGTTCCCCAGATGCTGCTCCAGTGCCTCCGACCTCTCTCCGTCACCTTTCTACAGCCCCGTCACTGCTACCTGGTGTTTCATTTTGTGGATGCCCTGGAGCATATGTTTTTACATTTACACCGATCAGTTTTTTTCTTACCAGCATGGGGAACTGGTTTTGTGTCTTCTCGGAGGCATGATGTTGAACAGTTTTCGTGAGATTATGAAACACACAAGAATGTAGAGAACTCCATCTCTAAAACTCTGAAATCAAGGTGTATCAGGGAGATTTGCCTTCTTTATATGGATGTCTGTGTTTTCATTAGGAGAAACAATGAGTAATGATTTTTCACGATGCCTGCCTTGGCCTTGAGGTTCAGCTAACCCCTACTGCTATGTCTCAATATTTAAAGGGCCATTGAAGCCTCCCATTCCATGCCATATACCCTGGACAGGTTTTCCCATTTATGCCTGGGAATAACTCCGTGAGGATGGTATAGTCAGTCCCATTTCACAGATGACCAAGCTCAGGCTCACAGAACCTAAGTCGCCTCTTGAGGTAAGTGGCAGGATTGGAATGAGGTTCTATCCCTCACCCTCCCTAGAGGACCCTGAGAGCACCTCCCTTTTAGAAGATGCACTTCCAAGGCTTAAGAAATGGTCAGATTCCACCATTCAGATCATGGCGATGTCTTTAGGGGAGTTTGTGTAAATTAGGGAGACAACTTTGTTATTGTTTGTTCTGTATTGATGAGTATTTAGAATGCTTCTCATTTTTTCCTTTTTAAAAAGATTTCAGCAATACTGTAGCAAATAACCTCTTACCTGGCTATTTTGTACATGTGAAAAATGTTTCATCCATTACATGCTTACACATCTATCCCTTGGGGCTTGATTTCAATAATTTAAACTCCCTTATATGTGTCTGAGCATTCTCATTCCTTTAACCATCTTTATACCTGTTGTAGTTACAATATTTAAATGCATTTATAACTGAGAAGTGTGTTTCCATTTCCTTGATGTATTTGGTCCCTCATCCTGCCCCCATACACAGACACACACAGAGCCACTTTTACCTTTTTCTTTTGCAAATTAAAAAAAAATTCTTATTCAGTTTTTTCTACATTGAAATTTTGTCAAACGATAGGTGATAAAAGTATATTTAGATAGTTGCATTTGCATTCCTTATATATTAGTGAGCTAGAATGCATTTTCTTATGATTATTGGCCATTTGCATTTCATCATCCATGAACCATTTATATATTTTGTCAGTTTTGCTGTTTTGTTATAGGATCTGTACGTGTGTTAAATCTAAAACCCTTCATTGATCTATGCATGCGTTATTTCAACACATCTTTCTTGGCTGAATATTATTTATGAGACACTCTAGAAAAATCCATATCCTAGATGTTTCTTCTGAGATCTTGGCTCTTATATTTATGGGAGATGTCCCCCTGCAGCAAAAAATGTGTTAGTGCCCATGCAAACATGCGTGGCTTGTCAAGGATCACATGCACAGACAGTTCACACTTACTCCTAAACCCGGCATGGCCACAGAGTAGAAAGGATGTGTGGGGCATTATATAAGGAGAGCACTGGCTCAGGATTGTGATTTCTGTGATCTCTATACTAACGGCAAGATTTTTAAAAATTACGTAACATTTCTGAGTTTGCCTTTTCTCATTTGTAAAATGAAAACAATCATAGCTACCAAAGACAATTGTTCTGAGAAGTAAAAGAACAAATTATTTTAAGCGTCATACACAGCGTAGGGTACATACGGTACTCAACACATCTTAGTCTGCTTCCTATCTCATACCCGTCCTTCCTTTAAAGGAGATTCCTTTGACATAATCCAAAAGGCATGGTTCCATAACGATCACATGAAAGTTTTAAGGGAAATGTATAGGTTTCCATGATGAATTAACTGCTGTGTCACTACTCTGTGCTGGGTAAGAAAAAGGAAAACAATCGCTGAACCGGTTTCCCAGGGTTTGTAAAAGAAAACCATCAAAGCCACCACCTCATTTCACTTTATTTCGTAGACTTCCCCATCCCATTTTTTATGTTCTATGCTAATTTCTCAAGAAAAATAGGCCCGGCACCGCCTCTGCGCACAACCTTGCTGGTCTGGCCCAGGCGGGGGGCGGGGCCAGCACGATGAGCGCCCCGGGCAGCCCCGACCAGGCCTACGACTTCCTGCTCAAGTTCCTGCTGGTGGGCGACAGGGACGTAGGCAAGAGTGAGATCCTGGAGAGCCTGCAGGACGGCACGGCCGAGTCCCCGTACAGTCACCTGGGGGGAATCGACTACAAGACGACCACCATCCTGCTGGACGGCCAGCGGGTGAAGCTGAAGCTCTGGGATACGTCGGGGCAGGGAAGATTTTGTACCATATTCCGCTCCTACTCTCGTGGTGCACAAGGAGTGATCCTGGTCTACGACATTGCAAACCGCTGGTCTTTCGAGGGTATGGATCGATGGATTAAGAAGATTGAGGAACATGCCCCTGGTGTCCCTAAAATCCTGGTGGGGAATCGCCTACATCTGGCATTCAAGAGGCAGGTGCCCAGGGAGCAGGCCCAGGCCTACGCCGAGCGCCTGGGCGTGACCTTCTTTGAGGTCAGCCCTCTGTGCAATTTCAACATCATAGAGTCTTTCACGGAGCTGGCCAGGATAGTGCTGCTGCGGCACAGGTTGAACTGGCTCGGGAGGCCGAGCAAGGTACTGAGCTTGCAAGACCTCTGCTGCCGCACCATCGTGTCCTGCACACCTGTGCATCTGGTGGACAAGCTCCCGCTCCCCATTGCCTTAAGAAGCCACCTCAAGTCCTTCTCCATGGCTAAGGGCCTGAATGCCAGGATGATGCGAGGCCTCTCCTACTCCCTCACCACCAGCTCCACTCACAAAAGGAGCAGCCTCTGCAAAGTGAAGATCGTCTGCCCACCCCAGAGCCCACCCAAAAACTGCACCAGAAACAGCTGCAAAATTTCTTAAGGAAGGCACCAAAAGGAAACAAGCTGGAATCGCTCCAGGAAAAACTCTGAATGGTTACACCTGGAAGAGGGAAGATGCATTCTAGATTCAAAGAAATACGTTTTCAGTTTCTCATGGGAACAATGCTGCTTGGGAATGTGTGTGATGCCTTCTGTCAATAAAAGCACTTTACGCAGTTTGACTTTGAATTTCTACGTGGATGTGCATGTGTTTATAAAGGGGAAATTAGTACTCTGCTTAACTCTTGATAACATGAAATTTTGAATGTTACTTATATCATAATCACACTGCATCTTTTTCCTTAAAATAACCGCTTTTGTAAGAATGGTGATATGACAGTGATGAGTATAAATTCAAGGGAATTTGAGATGCAATGATAGTGAGATCATTCCGAGTCATTGATATTACTAGAGGGGACTTTTTGTAAACCTCCTTTTTGATGTCAAAGCACCAATTTATAAAACACTGCAGATGCATATAGAGATTATACGTAACAGATCTGTCCAGTTTGTGCACGAAATGGATTTGATAAAGTTTTTGCTATGTTATTTTACTACATTTGGAGATTAATAAGTGATTTATATGTATGTTTTTCTGTAAATCTACTTTTTTGTACAAGATGTTCTACAAGATATGAAGCTAAGGGAGGAAAACGCCAAAGATATCTCTAGTTATGTTGAACATAGCCAACATGGTTTCAATGGGTCAGTAAGAAAAAAGCCATTTCAGTAAGGAATGAAATAAGTACTTATTTATGAAAATGTTTCTTAACAATAAAAAAGTATATATTTTTATCTTTTGGTAAAACGAAAAGAAAAAGAAAGAAAAATATGTATAATGTAACCCTGCAAGATTAGGCTTTGCAGAAAAACAATGCAATAGAACACGGGGGGCCAGGCCCATTATAAGGCCTTAGGTGAGTAATTTCCCCTGTGCTGGCCAGTTTTGGTTAACACCTCTCAGATCGATATAGAGGTTAATGAGATCACATCTGGGAAAGCACTTCTGAGACCTTAGATGGGAAGGAAGGAGAAGTGATTTCCATGTAGTTACTTTCCAGTTTACACTGTGGGTTATTATAATTGATATTGGATGAACTGAGTAAATATAAGTCCTTGTACTCTTTTGTAATTGAATGACCATTTATTTGTGCATTGTCATAGGTTGATTGTAACATAAAGTCCCGCAGAAGGGCAGTACCTCTGGCCTCAGGGAGCCTTGGGGACTCACCCTTCCTGAACTCTGGTACTTTTCTATCTCATGAATTTCCCACAACATTCCTGGGAGGTAGAGGATATAATCTCTGTACCATCCTGTAGCTTAAGAAACAGTGATGTTTGCAGGTTAAGCAACCTGGCTGGGGAGCATCCTACCACTAAGTGGAAAAGCAGGGACCGGCACCCTATATGCCCCCATGCAGACTGTGACGCTGAGCTGCACATCACACCATAACCAAGCAAATCTTGCTTTCCTGCTGACCCAGGCCACTACTGAAATCTGTATCTTCAGCTCTGAAGCCAAGCTCCCAGTTCTGTCTCTCTTCTGAAAGACAGCCTTGTCAGACCTAAATTTCCTACTCTGTAGACAAGGGAGTGTGTCTGGGCCATTGCTTTAGAAACTGGAGTCCGCAGACAGTTCCTGTATCAGGAAGAATATGCACTCTCAGAGGGACAGGGGTCATGCTGAGGATGAATACTTGAAGGAGCAGGCCCTAAACACATGCAGATCGGGGATGCATAGAGTCTTTAATAGAAATTACCAAATCAACCTGGAAAGAGGTTGTACTAAATGACATCCCCACCACCAATATGAAACAGGGTAGACTTCCCTGCATGTGCCCACCTTACTGGAATCCTGAATGGTTTCTTTTTATACTTTGATGATATGACAGGTGGAAATTCTTTCATTGTCATTATATTTAATTTGATGTTCAGATAACTTAAAAAAATCCCTAGTATACAAAATGCTCTAATAATCATCATTGCATTATGTTTTTATTGCAAAATGGTCCATTTTCACATGTAGCCTAAAAACAATGAGCAACAGGCACTTGAGTCTGCAGGTTCTAGAGCTACTGCTGGCATTACATTTCCAGGGTGTGTGTGTGGCCTCTGGGTGCTTCTAATGACACTGTTTTCATAGAAGGGGATTAAGAATGTCTCTCCATGACATTGGTTGAGTTCAAGTTTGGAGAGGATCTGGATCTGCACTTTATGGAGTCTTTTTGAATGACACAGGAGCTGGACCACAACACGCTTCTGAGCAGGCTGTAATCTTTTCCCCATTGTGGAAAGCAAGCCTGTCTGTGACCTCACCTGCTCAAGTCAGGGTGGATCCCTCCAGGATGTAAGGTACGGAAGTCGGCCTAAATCTGCTTCTGAACACTGAAGCTGGGTGCTCCCATCTTGCAGAGACCTGAAAAATTGCCTGCTCTCAGCCACCAATGCCACAGATTCAGTCACTTGTGTGAGAACTCTGTCCTGAGAGATAAAATACCATAAATTACCAGCAGCTGTTTGACACATCTTGCATCCATCCATCCATCCATCCATCCATCCATCCATCCATCCATCCATCCTTGCAGTTAATAGACATTAAGGCCAAACTCTACACGATCCCTTTTGTGAAGTTTTAGGCTTCCCCAGAATAGAAACAAGGAAGTAAAGTGTGGAAATAGGGGCGTGGTGAATTCAGTTTGTAGATCTAAAAAGAGATGGCCCCTTCCTCTTAATATTCAACCTGAAAGGGTCTCTTATCATTGATAATTTTAAAACATAATTTAATACCCTGGACCCCTCTCTACATCCACAGTTACGGTTCTCTTTACATATATTCTCTCCATTGTAACCAAAGTTCTATGAAGAATTCTCAATACTCAACTCACATTCCTCCACCTCAGTCCTCATTGCTCATCTAATGGCGCTTTGTTCCCCCACCCCACCACTGAAATGAAACCCACCAAGGTCTACAGCCACTTCTTTTTCACATTTATAGATCAAGAATGTTGAAATAAACATCCTAATGTTTTCATCTGTGTAATATTTCAGAAGTTTTCTTATGCAGGTACTTATAAATTTATTCAGAAATGTATGCATTTATATACTTATCTTCAAAAGATAAGGTTCATCCTACATTTAATATCATAACTTGCTTGTTTCACTGAGAACATACCTCAAAGTTTATTGATTATGAATAAACATGAGTCTATACCATAGGGATAGTAGAGATACTAATGGCCAGTAAAGACAGAAGAAAAGAAATTAAAATAGCTAAAACATATTATTTGCCAAGTCCTTTTTAGGCATTGAGTCATTCAATTTTCAGAGCACCCTTACAAGGTAGAAACTGTTACTAATTCCCATTTCGTAGATGAAAATCTGAAGTACAGAGTGAATAAAGACTTTGCCTGAGACCACACAGTTAGGGAGAGGGAGAGCTTAGATGTGTGTCCAGTACATCATGCTCCAAAGCCTGGGAGACTGTCAAAGCTCTGTTGTTAGGTGAAAGAAGCAGTCTGCGCAAGCATGCGTACTTTGGGAGGTTACTAAAATGAATATTTTGTATATTAATATATTTATATGAAAAGCTAGATATAATGAGAAAAGGTAGATGATTATGACCTTGGTGAGAGGACATTCATTGCAATCATATGGGCAGAAGATATAGTACAGTGGGATAAGCAATCAAAGGGAAATGAGGAATGTAGAAAACCCTTTTCCAAAATTTGAATTTAAAGGTTATATATATATATCATATACACATTTAGTAATTGGCAAATGAAAGAATGGATAATTGTGTGTCAAAGGTATGCCAGTAATGCTAAGATTTTTGTCCCTCAGGGAGGCAGCAGGTGGCTGAAATGCTGGTTGCTGTGGCTGGCTAATGCATGACCTGAGGACCTGTGCACAGGTGACTACAGGACAGGTCCAGAATTTTTCTATAAATATATTAACATAGCAAGTAGCCCAGAAGCAGCCTCTGGGCAAACACCAAACCTTGCATCCCTGGTGCTATCTATCTCTGAGCTCGCCAGGTGATTTCCCAGTCATGCCTATCTTGCACACTGCCCCCACCCACAACCTGGGAAGCTGGATTTGGGTGTGCTCAGAAGCGTGATGTTGAGTAGCTTGTATGAGACAATGAAATACTTCAAAATGCAGAATACTTTCTTTCTCTGAAACTTTGAACTTAAGGCATATTACAGAGATACTTGCTTCCTTCAACCAGATGTTTGTGTTCCCATGAGAAGAAATAATGAGATGTTTCCCTAGGATCCTACAAATGTGAGCATTAAATATAATTTGTTTGTTTTTATTTTAGAGTATTTTCATTAGATCTAGATACTTCTATGTTTGTCTTGATTGACTCTATTGCATTATTTTATTTGACCTTCAAATAGTTTTATCTTCGTGAAGTGGGAGCCCCTCTAGTTTGGCTTCTGGTCTTTTTGACATGTCTTCTGGTATGTTAGTTGGGCCCAGCATCGTCAGCTACAATTCCTACCCACACCTGGAATAAAGCACTTCTCCAAATAACCTGATTCCTTTTAATGGGAAATGTTTTTAGTAAATTCAATCTGGAGACTAGCGTTGCTCATTGCTATTAGATTGGTCCTTGTTTCTTGTCCTTTTCTGTGCATGGATCCAGCAAATATGTATTATGCTTTTAAGGGAATACACATGATTGTCTTCCATCCTGGGCTGTTCCTCCATCCCTTACATGCAGTCATTTTGATCAATTTTTTTTGAGACAGGGTCTCATTCTGTCACCCAGTCCAGAATGCAGTGGCACAATCACAGCTCACTGCAGCCTCTCCACTCCCCAGGCTCAAGTAATTCTTCCATTTCAGCCTCTGCAGTAACTGGGACCACAGGCATGCATCACCACACCCAGCTATGTTTTTCTTTTTAATTTTTAGTAGAGAGGCCGTCTTGCTATGTTGCCCAGACTATTGATCAATTTTTGTTTTAAGATTCAAATTTATAATATTATAACCAAATGTAATATTTGTATTAGACTTCTCCTATTTCATAGGTGGCATATTCTACATTAGTGGAGTCCAATAGAATTTCTGTAGAGGTGAACATATTCTGTGTCTACACTGTCAAACACAGTAGCCACTAGCTACCTGTGGTATTGAATATGTGAAACGTGGTGAATGTAACTGAGGACCTAAATTTTTAGTTTTATCTAAAATAAAATATATCTAAAATACCTTGTTTAAATAACTACACGTGGTCAGTGCCTACCATATTGAACAGCAACAGCTCCACACATTTTTCTGTGCCTTGCTTCTTTCACTTAATAGTATATCCTGAAAATCATTACATGGCAGTAGAGAAAGAGAGTCCTCCTTGCTTGGTATATGTGCATTGTACTCTAAGATGTAGATGCACCTTATTCAATCAATCCCCTTTTAGTGGACATTTGTCTTATTTATAGTCTTGTCCTGTTACAAATTGTTCTTCTAGGAATGATCTTGTTCTTCTGCCTTTTTGTCTTTTTGAAATGTATGTTTGGGATAGATTCTTAGAATAGAGATTGCTGGTTCCTGGAGAAGACACCTGTGCCTCATAAAATAGAGAGGGAACAGGGAGTCCAGCCTGACTGGAGTGAAGAGTGGGGGCCTCCCAGGGGAGCAGACAGGGCTCTGAGATAACTGGGCACTCCAGGTCTGAGGCCATCCAGATTTGGGACTGATTGTGGAAGAACACATTTGCTTCGGTGATATGCTGCATGTCACCTTTACACCCTGAAATTACACAAATTTGGTGAGAACAGAAGTGTCCTGAAGACCTCTCACAGGTCCATGGGCGCAGGAAGGAGACAGGAGCACTGAAAATAGTGAAGTGGTTGATATCAGTGCCCTAAGCCTTCATTAAAGTGAGAAGCAAATGTTAAGAGGAAGGATTTACCACTAATTGGGTCCTCAGGCTGTCTGGAAATCATACACCTACTATAGTTTCTCTCTGACCCCAGGTCTGATGGTCTCCCATCTGCCAGCATATTTATGCCTTCCTCCTGGAGGCACATTCTTAGCCAGAACACTCTCTCCAGGAGGTCACACTTTCCATGCTTTCATTTGTTTTCTCCTTGTATCCTCCCTGAGATGTTTCATGAGGCTTTTCTCCTCTGTTGCCTCAGCTCCTTTCATCAGCTCAGTGAGTTGTATCACAATTCAACACTGCTCTGACAAATTTAGGCACAATTTAACACTCACCTTTACTATCATTTACATGTTGCATCTTTGCAGTTATTTATTTAGAGTTAAATTTGTGGTCCTACCCCAACAGAGCTGCATGTGTTGACCAAATGCCCCTTTCTGCTTAGGCAACTCTGTGCTGCTGTAGACTCATGGCTCACCATAATTTACTCAAATGGGCAGCTTTCCTGTTGTCCACATTACATGACCTTTTCAACTGTGTTCTGTAGAATCTCTGTGCAGGATTTCCTCCTGGGATGTGATGGTTTATTTCTGGATTTTAGTCATGGTATCTTCACATGTTCCCACGTGCAAAATTGACCCTATCACTCTGCATCCTTGTTGGATGCCTTCAGTGATTTACTAGGTGGGCCCACAATGTCCCTTTCATTTCTCTCTAAATGCATCTCTCTGCCAACTTACTCAAGGTAGGGAGTAAAGAAGATGCAGGAGATGATTCCTGGGCTGCCCTGAGTCCTCTGACCTGGGAGGATGCATTTAATACCCAGGAAGTGGATCTGACAAAATTCGATTGGTGGTGTTAGCACAGTTTATAACATCTGGAAAACACTGCATTCAAAGGGAGATATTTTTTAAGAGAAGAGAAAATGTCATTTGAGGCCAAAGTAACCTACTGCCCAATGTGGTGATATTCAGATCCTGTCTATTTAGAATATAAGGAAAATATGTACCCCATCCTAGGATATCTCACAAATTTATTAATTCATACATTCATGGATGATAATGTGCCCTGAACAGTGGTAAGTGCCTGAGTGCCCAGCTCTTTCAATGGCATGGTCAATAAAGTCCTGTTAATATCTGCCGTTTATAGTATAGTCTTCAATATTTACTCTACATATATTGAGGACCAATCAGATCTTGTACTTCCTGCTTCAACCATCAAACAGAATTTGGCTATCTCAAGAGGAATATGGAAATCTATTCTATTTAACTGTAATAGTGTTTCTTCTGTTGTTCTTTATTCCTTATAGATGTTTCTGGACTGTTTCGATTATTAATTATTTTGATAAAAGGGATTTTAAACTTTTAAAGACATTGGAAGTTGGCTGGGCGAGTTGGCTCACGCCTGTAATCCCAGCATTTTGGGAGGCCAAGGCAGGTGGATTACGAGGTCAGGAGTTTGAGACCAGCCTGGCCCAGATGGTGAAACCCCATCTCTACTAAAAATACAAAAATTAGCTGGGCACAGTGGCATGCGCCTGTAATCCCAGCTACTCGGGAGGCTGAGGCAGGAGAATCGCTGGAACCCGGGAGGCAGAGGTTGCAGTGAGCTGATATCACGCCACTGCACTCTAGCCTGGGCGACAGAGCAAGACTCCGTCTAAAAAAAAAAAAAAAAAAAAAGTGAAATTATAATAACTGAAGAACTAAAGTAATGCAGATTTATGTCCTAGCCTATTATACTGGATGAAAACAGAACTTTAAAAATATTCATCTCAATTTGCTAAATAATACATGTAATTGGGCCTGTTTGTGTATTATATTATATATATATATATATATATATATATATATATATAAATGAGTGTATTTATCATATATATATAAATATATATATTTGGTAGATCTTATTCCTGCTTCTACTTAAATATGTGACCCGATAATAGTGAGTTACCCCTTGTGAACCTTAACTGGGGCATCTGCAACATGGGCATATTGATACATACCTGGCTGAACTGTTGTGGGAAGAAAATGTATAATGCTTAAACCTATGTGAAGTGTCTAACATGTAATGCTACAACAAATATATGTATTGGCTTTCCCTGTGTTTTCTCTTCCACAAAAGACGTAGTTTACATGAACATCTCCTAGAGGTCAATTAGAGTTGAAGCAGCAGGAAATAAAATGTTTACATATTTCTATGAGAGAAAAGCTTTTCTGTCTTTTCTTTGTAGAAGTTACCTGATGCATGGAGTGGAGGAGAAAGAAAATAATTTCATTATTTTTTATTTGATGTCCTTTTCTAACATCTTCATTTACCTTCTATTTGGACATTGGAATAGCAACCTCTCATTGAGCCTCAGAAAGGAGACAGCACAGAATGACAGACCATGAAGATGGGTCTGCTGGGAAACAGATGATATCAGGAGAGCTGGGTCCCAAATACCAGATCTGTCCTTATGTACAGAACCATGGGGAGTCACTTCTCTCCTGGCCTCAACCCTTTCACAGGAAAAGATTTTATTTCCCAATAGTGGGGAGGTGTGGCTTTGGAGTCAGATAGAGTGGGTAGAATATTTGGGCACAATTAATAACTAGTTTAATGATCTTTAGCAAATGTTAGGTCTGCAGATAAATGAAATCCATGTGTAATGCATATACATTAAATATGTCTGCATAGAGAATCAAATGGGAGGTAATTCACAAAAATGATACATTTTAAAAAATCAGCCGTGGGGTTATTGATTAATTTATCCTGGAGCTCATTATGTTTCCTAAAATTTCACATTAGTAGGGATCTCTTTTGAATTCAGAATCAAATATAGAAACAGTAGTTTTTATTAAATATTTCAGAAATACACAAAATTATAGAATATAAGAAACTTCTATGTTAACATAAAACATATGCAATTAAAATTCACTTTGAAGTGTTCTCTAACTAATTAGTTTCCTTCTTCCTCACAGGTAACCACTATGCAAAATTTGGGGTTTACATTTTTAAGACATTTCTCTATATTTTTATTACATTTGTATAGATCTACACATGAAATATGGTATTTTTAATGGTATGATTTTGTTAACTGAAATATCACCAATTTATAGATTTTAAAAAGGATAGCTTTATTTCTTATAAAAGGTTACAGCCTGCAGAGTGGCCATTCTGATGGGCTGAGAATGTAGCCGTTGGAAGAAGCCCAGAAGCAGGCACTTTGAGGGAGTGAGAGGTAAGACAGGAATTTAAGCTGAAGGGGTTGGACAAAGATACATACTCAACACGTTATAGGAGGAGCTATGAATATTAATGAAGGGGGTCCTGGCACATGGGTACTGAACAAACATGTATGTTATACATATGGACCAGGTTCACCTTGGGGTGGAGACTTCACATTTAAATGTATTACAATTAGGCCCTATACGTTAAAAGAACTTTTCAGAACACAAAGGCACTCAAGTCCTGCCCTCTTTAAACTGGCCAGAACCGGTCCATGGTTGGTGATCTTCTAATCAGAATAAAGTTACCAAAATCAGTCTCTTGTCCAATCAAAACTGTAGCTATTGCTGGTGGAACAGGGGCTGGGGATCAGCATCTAGTGGTGGATGAGCTGCAAGTTGTTTTAATATTGCTTATCTTGAGGCCAGTACTTGTTTAGCTGCTGGAGAAAAATGCAAAGGAAAGCTTGTGTCAATTAGAACACAGTTTATTCTTTAAGTGTAGAGTGTGTGACTTAACCCTTGCCTGGCATGGCCTTAGGTCTTATTTATAATTTGATATCTTATTGCCACAAAGAGTCTGTTCTGCCAGTCTTATGATCTCTATTTTAACATTAATGCTGGTCAATTGTCGTATCTAAACCACAAAAGGGAGGGAGCATAACAAGTTCTATCTGACCCCACTTCCTGTCATGCCCAGGAACTCAGTTTTAAGGATTTTGGGGGGTCCTCTTGGCCATGAGGTTTGTTCAGTCGGTTGGGGGGCTTAAGGTTTTACTTTTAATTTACATTTTTATCTCTAAATGCATGAATACCTCATGGAATAAGAGGAAGGAAGAAACATAAGGAGAACAAATACATGTTCAGATTTCAACAGTGGGATTTGCCATATATGCCTACATGTCATGTATACTCTCTTTCCAACTTGCCAAAACAGACAGGCTCATTTACCCAGTTTATATGCTTAGGGAGCATTAATAAAATCTGCAGATATTATTTTCAAGCCCACTTTTTTTCCTGATGTATTCAAACACCTAGAGTTTCCCTGGAGTGAACTAGCCTAAAACAATGACTTAGTGTATTCTTTCATGAAACACCTTCTATTTGTCCAGACTACTTGTACTTAACTCAAACTGTAACTCATGTGGGGTTACCCTGTACATCTGGAACCTAATCTGGGCCAAGCTGATGAAAGAAGACAGTGATTCCCTGCAGTTAGTTTTCATATGTCCAAACTACTATCGAAATCCCTTGATTGGTTTAAGGATGCATCTCATTTAGAACCTGATCTAATTTTGTTTGACGGTTGTTATGACATGAGTACACTTTTCCATTTCATTTATTATTTTTTAATTGCACAAGAAACACACTTCAGAGGTGTTTGAGTTCACATGTGTTACTTGATGTTGTGGACAGAGGCCATAGTGCAGTGGGATAGTCAGTGGAAAGTGGAGAATATTAACAGGGAATGTAGAAAACTCTTTATGGAACTTTGAATGTAAAGAAAAAGAAACCAAGAAAGAGGAGGAGACAAAGAGAGAAAGAAAGAGAGCAATAAAGAGAGACAGAAGAGATATCTCCATCATGTGGCTGCAATGGATGCTGGTAAGTCCAACGAATGACATTTGAAAATCTTAAATTACTTGAAACTTGATCAAGTTTAAAATTATTGGGCAGTAGAAAAATTCAAAAGAAAAAATAATGGGAAGGAGCCATCTCATCTCAATTTAACATTTGAAGTTGCCCATATATTCATATCTTTTCTTACCCTCTCATTTCCACTTTAGAGCTAATGAGATGCCTCCACCGGGACAGCATGAAATCTGAGCTCAATAAACATTTAGTTATTACCTAACAAAAGAATAGACAATTATGTGTAAAAAATTCTGCTAACTATTGGATTTGTGCCTCTCCAGAAGGCAGCAGGTGGCTGAAATCCTGGTGTGATGTGGCTGGATAATACATGGCCTGAGGACTCCTGCATTGATGACTGCAGGATGGGTCCAGAATTTTCCTATACATAAATTAAAATACTAAGCAGTCCAGAAGGAGCCATTAGCAGACATCACACTTTGCTTACTTTGCTATCTATCACTGAGATCACCAGGTGAGTTCAAAGACATGCCTGTATTCCAGGCAAGGGAAACTGGATTTGGGTCAGCTCAGGGGAATGATGTTGAACAGCTCTTATAAGCTTCTGATAACACCCAAGAAGTAGAGAAACTACTGTCTACAAAACTTTGAACTCAAGGCATATCAAAGGAACATTTGCTTTCTTCAACTGTTTTCTTATAAAGGGAAATAATGAGAAATGATTTTTCACAATGCCTGCCTTAACCCTGAGGCCCAGCCAGTCCCTACTGCTGTGTCCCAACATTTAAAGATAATTGAAGTCCAACTCCATGCCGTATATTCTCAAGAGGTTTTCTCATTTACCCCCCAGGACAGCTCTGTAGAGATGGTATGGTCAATCCCATTTCACAGATGACCAAGCTCAGCCTCACAGAACCTAAGTCACCTCCCCAGGAAAGTGGCAGGATTGGAATGAGGTTCCATCCCTCACCCTCCCTAGATGGCTCTGGGCAGCCTCCCTTTTAGAAGATGGGCTTCCAGGCCTTGATAAATGGTCAGATTCCACTCCCTGGCTGTTGTTCCCCACAGGTCCCCACTCCACAACCCCTCTGGGTAATGATGAAGGCAGAGGAGGTGAAATCTCATGCTTTGTACCAAGAGACATGGGTGTAGGGCCACACGAGTTGGCTGATCCTTGAAGTGGTGAATGGGCTCAGGCAGAAGCTCAGGTGTTGGCCTTGAGACAAGTGAGCTGGAGAGAGGGAAAGTAACATGCACTGAACTACTGTAAGCAAATGCCCTTTACATCTCATCTCCTTTAATCTTAACTGCCGTCCAAGGTACCCATGACTATGACCATTATTCACATCAGGGTGCTGCCTTTAGGAAATTTTATGCAAATAAGAGAGACAACTTGTTCTTTCCAGATCAGCAGCTAACTTTGGAATACTTAAGGTATTTTTCTATTTTGACTTGATGGCTCCAGGCCTGTTAATGCTTTAATCTTCCTCAAGGGATAGTACACACGCCTCAAGACGTTTTTAAATATATTTAATCTTCTATAATCCTAAGTATCAGTCAAATTACCCAATATCACCACCATTATTCATATAAGGTTACTGATTTTAGGTGTGACTAAGTAAACCAGTAAAATACCCTTGTTATCTCCCTATCAACAGTTAATTTTGATTATTTTAAAGTTTTTCTCATTTTGTCTTCATGCTTTTGGGGCTGTGAATGATCTCATCTCCTTGGGGTCTGCCATTACATGATCCCAGAGTATTAAACTTTTTTTTTTTGAGATAGAGTTTCACTCTTGTTGCCCAGGCTGGAGTACAGTGGTGCAATCTTGGCTCACTGCAACCTCTGTCTTCTGGTTTCAAGCGATTCTCCTGCCTCAGCCTCCCAACTAGCTTGGATTACGGGCGCCCTCCACCACGCCTGGCTAATTTTTGTATTTTTTAGTAAAGATGGGGTTTCACCATGTTGGCCAGGTTGGTCTTGAACTCCTGACCTCGTGATCCGCTAAACTTTTTTTTTAAATTATGACCCATATAGTTTTTAAGTAACAATATTACTGATGTTGAAAAATTCTAAATGAAAGAAAAAGGTTTATATATCCCAGAAAATATACTTTTAAAAAATAACCTAGATAAATGGATGCACACAAATTGTGACAAGTATGTGAAAAATTCCAGAATACTGTGCCCGATGCCATTAATTAGATCCCACCCTCCCTTCCTCCCTCCCCTCTCCTGCCCCAACTCTACTCCCAGATGTGCAATAATTTCTCTGGCCACCAGGAGGCATCACAGCTATCTTCATCTTTGTCGTTCTTTTTTAATGAACAGAAGTGTATTCTACAGAGTAATGAATGTTATGAAAATATTTATTATAATAACAATTCTGTTTGGAAAATTCACATGCATATTAAAAACAGTCCTATTTGCTGTTCACCCCAAATCTACATCGAATTCATTGATTTATCTCTTCCCTCCTCGGTGTAGATTGAGGTGTCCACACTGTAGAGGGGTGCCTTCCAGAGAGCTGGGTGTTCACCCTCCGTTACCCTACCGTTGTACAGGCTTCTCAAACCTCTCACTCCCTCTCACTCATCCCCTCTCCAGGACATTATGGACGCAGCTGCCCAGGACCCACTTAGGCACGCCCATACTCTCTCAGTCACCTTCTGCCTGCCTTGCACTATTAATGCTAATGATTGCCAACGTGTGCTAGAGCTGTCTGGTGTTTCATTGTTGATGCCATACATATATACAGACTTATTTTACACCTATCATCAGGTTTTTTTCTGACAGAATTAGAATTACTCTGTAATCTAGATTCATAAGCTAAGTTTTAAGGGAGGTATTTTATTTTTTGCTCCTTGCAGACCCTTCTTGATAGAGTTCGATAATGGTGGTACCGTGGTGCCCTCTCGTGACAGAAGGCTGAACTACAGCTAGAACATCGCGAGCAGGAAGGTGGGAGGGAGAGGCTGTGGCCCAAGCCCACCTTACAGAGCTTTCTGGAACTCTGGGTGGCAAAGCGGACATTCTCAGTATTCCCAGGGACATTGATGGGCTCAAGACAGAAATCGTTATCTCTTACTGTGCTGAAAAGAGAGTTCTATATCAGAAGAAAAAGGTCATTTTAATTTTTATTCTTTGACCACTGGAAAATCAGAGACCTAAATGAGGGAAAAATGGATCCAGACTACTTGTTCAAGTCTTTGTACCCCTCTTTAAATCTTTATTAGCATTTTTTCATGGAAATAAATTTCTATAACATTCGAAATTACGTTACAATATACGTTCAATATTTTTATATTAACTGGTGTTTCATCGTAGGATGCTGTAAACTTTATTTCCCCAGTATCCTAGTGGTAAAAAGTAAGCTCCCTTACCATAGTTTCTATAACAGATGATATTTGTAACACTTGCTCATATACACAAATGTCTTGGCAAGAATTTCTTAATAAGATTTTGAAAGCATCCTTTTAAAATCTCAGATACTCTAAAATTTTATATTAATATAATGAAATCAGAATAATATTTATCAGATATACTCCTAATATCCCAGTATGAGAGTTGCTATTTCTTTTATTTTTATATTCAAGTATAATTCATTTCTTTATTCACTTAATACTTTTTAAACTTTTACTTTAGGCTAGGGGCTCAGGGGTATATTTGCTGGTTTGTTATATAGGTAAATTGCTTGTCACAGGGGTTGGGTGTACAGATTATCTCATCATCCAGGTAACAAGCATAGTACATGATAGGTAGTTTTTCAGTCCTCTCCCACCCTCTATTCTCAAGTACACGTGTCCACGTGTACTCATGTTTATCTCCCACTTACAGGTGAGAACATGTTGTATTTGGTTTTCTGTTCCTGTATTAGTTCACTTAAGATAGTGGCCTCCAGCTCCATCTATGCTGCTGCAAAGAACATGCTCTCATTCTTTTTATGGTTGTGTAGTATTCCGTGGTGTGTATGTACTACGTTTTGTTTATCCAGTCTACCATTGATGAGCATTTAGGATGATTCCATGCGTTTGCTATTGTGAATAGTGCTGTGGAATGTGTGCATGTCACTTTATAGTAGAATAATTTATATTCCTTTGAGTATATACCCAATAATGGGATGGCTGGGTTGAATGGAAATTCCATTTTAAGTCCTTTGAGAAATCACCACACTGCTTTCCACGATGTCTGAAGTAATTTACATTCCCACCAGAAGTGTATAAGCATTTCCTTTCCTCCACAACCTCGCTAGCATCTGTAATTTTTGACTTTTTAATATTAGCCCTTCTGACTGGTGTGACATGGTATCTCATTGTAGTTTTGCATTTATCTAATGATTAGTGATGTTGAGCACTTTTTCATATGCTTGTTGGCCACGCATATGTTTTCTTTTGAAAAGTATCTGTTCATGTTCTTTGCCCACTTTTTAATAGGGCTGTTTTTTGCTTATACGTTTGTTGAAGTTCCTTATAGATTCTGGATATTAGATCATTGTTGGATGCATAGTTTGCAAGTATTTTCTCCCATTCTGTAGGCTGTATGTTTACTCTGTTGATAGTTTCTTTTGCTGTGCAGAAGCTATTAATTTAGTTAGGTTCCATTAGTTAATTTTTGGTATTGTTGCAATTGCTTTTGGTTTCTTCATCATAAAATATTTGCCAGGGCCAATGTCTAGCATACTATTTCCCAGGCTTTTTTCAAGACTTTTTTTTTCCTTTTTTTTTTTTTTTTTTTTTTTGAGACGGAGTCACGCTCTGTCGCCCAGGCTGGAGTACAGTGGCATGATCTCGGCTCATTGCAACCTCCGCCTCCCGGGTTCACGCCATTCTCCTGCCTCAGCCTCCTGAGTAGCTAGGACTACAGGCGCCCGCCACCACAGCCGGCTAATTTTTTATATTTTTAGTAGAGATGGGGTTTCACCATGTTAGCCAAGATGGTCTCGATCTCCTGACCTCTTGATCCGCCCGCCTCGGCCTCCCAAAGTGTTGGGATTACAAGCGTGAGCCACCGCACCTGGCTTTCAAGACTTTTTATAGTTTTAGGTTTTACATTTAAGTCTTTAATCCATCTTGAGCTTAGTATATGATGTAAGGAAGGGGTCTAGTTTCAATCTTCTGCATATGGCTAGCCAGTTATACCAGCACCATTTATTGAATAGGGGGTTATTTTCCCATTGCTTATTTCTGATGACTTTGTTAAGGATCAGATGGTGGTAGGTGTGTGGCTTTATTTCTGGGCTCTTTGTTATGTTATATTGGTCTCTGTGTCTGATTTTGTACCAGTACGATGCTGTTTTGGTTACTGTAGCCGCTCAAAGTCAGGTATGCTATGTAGCATAGTTTGAAGCCAGGTAACATGATGTCTCTGGCTTTGTTACTTTTCCTCAGAATTGCCTTGGCTATTTGGGCTCTATTTTGGTTACATATGAATTTTAAAACAGTTTTTTCTAATGCTGTGAAGAATGTCATTGATTGATTGGAATAGCATTGAATCTATAAATTGCTTTGGTAGTATGGCCATTTTAACAATAGCAATTCTTCCTATCCATGAGCATGGAATGTTTTTCCATTTGTTTGGGTCATCTCTAAATTATTTGAGCAGTGTTTTGTAATTCTCTTTGTAGAGATCTTTCACCTCCCTGGTTAACTGTATTCCTAGGTTTTTGTTTCTGTTTTTGTAATTGTAAATGGGATTGCATACTTGACTTGGCTCTCAGAGTTGGACATTGTTGGTGTATAGAAATGCTAATGATTTTGTACACTGATTTTGTTTGCTAAAGTTGAAGTTCGAGGAGCTTTAGGGCAGATTATGGGGTTTTCTAGGTACAGAGTAATATCATCTGCAAACAGATAGTTTGACTTCCCCTCTTCCTGTTTAGATGCCTTTTATTTCTTTCTCTTGCCTGATTGCTCTGGCTAGGACTTACAGAATTATGTTGAATAGGAGTGGCAAGAGTGGGCATCCAGTCCTCAAGGGTAATGCTTCCAGCTTGTGGCTGTTCAATATGATATTGGCTGTGGGGTTGTCATATATGCCTCTTATTTTGAGGTATGTTCCTTCAACGACTAGTTCATTGAGGGTTTTATCATGAAGGGATGTTGAATTTTATTGAAAGCCTTTCTGCATACATAGAGATGATCATGTCTTGTTTTTAGTTCTGTTTATGTTATGTTTTAGTTCTGTTATGAACATATGAAACATATGTTCAACCAACCTTGTATCCTAGAGATAAAGCCTACTTGATCATGATGGATTAGCTTTTTGATGTTCTGCTGGATTCAGTTTGCTAGTATTTTGTTGAGGATTTTTGCATCTATGTTCATCAAAGAAATTGGCCTGAAGTTATTGTTGTTGTTGTTGTCTCTGCTAGGTTTTGGATCAGGATGATGCTGGTCTCATAGAATGAGTTAGGGAAAAGTATCTCCTCCTCAATTTTGGGGAATAGTTTCAGTAGGAATGGTCTCAGTTCTTCTTTATACATCTGGTAGAATTCGGCAGTGAATCAATCTGGTCTTGGGCTTTTTCTTGTTTGTATGCTTTTTATTGCTCATTCAATTTCAGAGCTCATTATTTGCCTGTTCAGGGATTCAATTTCTTCCTGGTTCAATCTTGGGGAGTTGTATGTTTCCAGGAATTTATTCATTTATTCGAGGTTTTCTAGTTTTTATGCATATAGGTGTTCAAAGTAGTCTGTAAGGGTTGTTTTTTTTTTTGTATTTCTGTGGAGTCAGTAGTAATGTCCCTTTTGTCATTTCTGATTGTGTTTATTTTTATCTTATCTCTTTATTAATGTAGCTAGCAGTCTATCAATCTTATTTATTGTTTTGAAGAACCAACCTGGACTAATTGACCTTTTGTATGTTTTTGTGCAAATAAGTTTTAGTCAGTTCAGCTCTGATTTGGTTATTTTGTGTCTTCTGCTAGCTCTGGGGTTGGTTTGCTTTCGTTCCTCTAGTTACTCTAGGTGTAATGTTTGGTTGTTCATTTGAGGTCATTCTAACTTTTTGTTGTGGACATTTAGCACTTCACCATTAAAACTGGTTTAGCTGTGTCCCAAAGATTCCATTATCTGATATGTTTTATCTTTGTTCTCATTAGTTTCAAATAACTTCTTGATTTCTGCCTTAATTTCATTGTTTACCCAAGAGTTATTAAAGAACACTTTGTGTCAGGAGTTCAAGACCAGCCTGGCCAATATGGTGAAACCCTGTCTGTACTAAAAATACAAAAAAATTAGCTGGGCATGGTGGCACGTACCTGTAGTCCCAGCTACTTGGGAGGCAGCGGCAGAAGAATCACTTGAACCTGGGAGGCAGAGGTTGCAGTGAGCCGAGATCACACCACTGCACTCCAGCCTGGGCGACAGAGACTCCGTCTAAAAAAAAAAAAAGAAAACCACCACCAACAAAAAAACCACTTTGTATAATTTCCATGTAATTTTATAGTTTTGAGCAATTTTCTGAATACTGTTTTCTATTTTTATTCTACTGTAATGTAGTCTGAGAGGTCTGAGAGTGTGTTTGGTATGATTTTGGTTTGTTTGAATTTGATAAGGCTTTTTGTTTTTGTTTTTTGTTTTTTTCTGTTTTTTTTGTTTTTGTTTTTGTTTTGTTTTGTTTTGTTTTGTTTTTTTTGAGATGGAGTCTCACTCTGTCACCTAGGCTGGAGTGTAATGGTGCTGTCTCAGCTCACTGCAACCTCCACCTCCCGGGCTGAAGTGATTCTCCTGCCTCAGCCTCGTGAGTAGCTGGGATTACAGGCGTCTGCCATCATGCCCAGCTAATTTTTGTATTTTTAGTAGAGACGGGGTTTCACCATGTTGGTCAGGCTGGTCTTGAACTCCTTAGGGAATCCACCTGCCTTGGCATCTCAAAGTGCTGGGATTACAGGCATGAGCCACCACGCCCAGCTGATAAGGATTCTTTTACAGCCGATTATGTTGTTAATTTTGGAGTACGTGCCATGTGCATATGAGAAGAATGTATATACTTGTTTTTGGGTGGAGAGTTCTGTAGATGTCTGTTAGGTCCATCTGGTCAGCTGTTGAGTTCAGGTGCTGAATATCTGTTAGTTTTCTGCCTCGATGGTCTAATACTATCAATGAGATGTTGAAGTCTCCAACTTTTATTGTGTGGTTATCTAAATCTCTTCATAGGTCTCTAAGAACTTGCTTTATTAATCTGGGTACTCCTATGTTGGTGCATATATATTTAGGCTAATTGGGTTTTCTTGTTGAACCCTTTACCATTGTGTAATGCCCTTCTTTGTCTTTTATGATCATTGTTGCTTTAAAGTCTGTTTTGTCTGAAATTAGAAAAAGAACCCCTGCTTTTTTCTGTTTTCCATTTGCTTGGTAGATTTTTCTCCATCCCTTTATTTTGAGCCTTTGGGTGTCATTGGATGTGAAATGGGGTCTCTTGAAGACAGCATACAGTTGGGTCTAGCTGCTTTATCCAATTTGGCATTCTATGCCTTTTGATTGGGGCATTTAACCTGGTTATATTTAAGGGTAATATTAATATGTGCAAGTTTGATCCTGTCATTATGTTGTTAGCTGGTTATTATTGCAGACTTGATTTTGTGGTAGCTTTATAGTGTCAATGGTCTGTGTACTTAAGTCTGTTTTTGTGGTGGCTGGTAACGGTCTTTCCTTTCCATATTTAGCACTTCCTTAAGGACCTTTTGTAAGGTAGGTCGGGTGCTAATGAATTGCCTTAGCATTTGTTTGACTGAAAAGGATTTATTTCTCTGCTTACGAAGCTTACTTTGATGGAATATGAAATTCCTGGTTGGAATTTCTTAAAAATGTTGAATATAGGCCCCTAATCTCTTCTGGTTTGTAGGGTTTCTGCTGAGACTTCACTGTTAGCCTGATGGGTTTCCATTTGTAGGTGACCTGCCCCTTCTCTATAGCTACCTTTAATATTTTTTCATTTTGACCTTGAAGAATCTATGTGCCTTGGAGATAATTGTCTTGTATAGTATGTTGCAGGGTTCTTTGCATTTCCTGAATTTGAATGTTGGGCTCTCTAGTGAGCTTGGAGAAATTTTTGTGGCTGATATTGTCAAATATGTTTTCCAAGTTGCTTTCTTTCTCTCCCTCTCTTTCAGGGATGCCAATGAGTCATGGGTTTTGTCTGTTTATATAATCCCATATTTCTTAGAGGTTTTGTTCATTCTTCGTTATTGTTTTTTGTTTTTGTCTTAGTTATTTTCGAGAACTGGTCTTTGAGCTCTGAGATATTTTCCTCAGCTTAGTGGGTTCTGCTGTTAATACTTGTGATTTTTTTAATGAAATTCTTGAAGTGAGTTTTTCAGCTCTGTCATATCAGTTGTGTTTTTGTTTTTTGTTTTGTTTTTGTTTTTGTTTTTGTTTTGAGACAGAGTCTTGCTGTGTCACCCAGGCTGGAGTGCAGTGGTGAAATCTCGGCTCACTGGAAGCTTCGCCTCCCGGGTTCAAGTGATTCTCCTGCGTCAGCCTCCCAAGGAGCTGGGATTACAGGAACGTGCCACCATGCCTGGCTAATTTTTGTACTTTTAGTAGAGACAGAGTTTTGCCATGTTGGCCACTCTGGTCTCGAACTCCTGACCTCAAGTGATCTGGCCACCTCAGCCTCTCAAAGTGCTGAGATTACAGGCGTGAGCCACCATGCCCAGCCTGGTTCTTTGTTACAACAGCATTTCATCTTTTATCTCCTATATAGTTCTATTGTATTCCTTATATTCCTTGGATTGGGTTTTGACTTTCTCTTGAATGTCGATGATCATTCCTATCCATATTCTGAATTCTATTTTTGTCATTTCAGCCTTTTCAGCCTGGTTAGGAAACATTGCTGGGGAACTAGTGCAGTGATTTGGAGGTAAGTAGACCCTCTGGCTTTTGAGTTGCCAGAGTTCTTGCACTGATTGTTTCTCATGTGTGTGGGTTTGTGTACCCTTAACTGTGGTGTAATTTGAGTGTAGTCAGTTACCTTCATTTCTCGATGTTTTCAGAGGGCTAATGCTTTGTGCAGGGTATTTATTTGTAGCTGAATTATTGTCCTTGGTTTCACAGAGGATATATTAAAGTATTTTTTTGTGTTGAAGTTTGGGCTGTGATCCAGTAGATGGTGCTTAAGCATGCTGGCTGATAGGTAGACTGTTGTTCAGTCACATGACTACTCTGTATTTGCCCGCATTTGCAGCTGTGCTCTCTCTCTCTCAGTGCTCTGAGAGTGTAGGCTCCTTTCCCACTCAAGTGCTGGCTGCAGATCTGGGTTTGGCACTCCTGGACGTCATACTACAGCCCCGGGGTAAGCTCAGCCTTTATGTTCCCTCCACAGCATGGGGGCAAACACGAACCTTGACAGTGGCAATGGCAGAGGGCCTTTAATTTGTCTCTTGGGGCTCTATCCCAGAGACATGCAGAACTGCTGTCAATCAGAGTGATTGGCCTTGTGTGGGGTGGTTGCATTGTGGGCTCAAGCCTGGGGGCCCATGGGGAACACAGACTGGCCTCTTCTTACAGCAACTGCAGCATGCTGGAGGTGTGAGTAAGGCACTCAGGGGTCTCTGTTTCTTCCACAGTCCAAGGACATCGAGCACAGTACCTTTGCAGTGGCAGTGTCAGAGGGACTTTCAGTTGTCTCTGGGAGCCCCACCTCACAGAAATGCAGAGCGTCTGCTAATGCAAGTGTTCAGCCAGAGGGTGAGGTGGCTGTGCCATGGGCCTGAGCTGGGAGCCCTTCTTGGTGAAGAGTAAAGGGTCAGGGACTCACACGAAAGGGAGACTGAGTTCCTCTCCATATGGTGACTATGGCATGCTAGAGACATGAGTAATGCCCTCAGGCTCTTTGTTCCTTCCCCAGTCCAAAGACAACAAGGTCAAAACCACTGCAGTGGCAGTGGTAAAGGGGCTGTCTGTTGCCACTGGGAACTCCACCCCAGGGAAACACAGAACCACTGCCAGTGGGAATGCTTAGTTGGGGGTGGCGTAGCTGCCCTGTAGTCCCAAGCCAGGGGCCTTGCCTGTTGAAGAGTAGGGAGCGAGGCCTCACAGGGAAGACAGACTGGGCTCCTCCCCATATGGTGGCT
The DNA here is from genome assembly GCF_000001405.40 of Homo sapiens. Lineage (NCBI taxonomy): Eukaryota > Metazoa > Chordata > Mammalia > Primates > Hominidae > Homo > Homo sapiens. Next base: position 102,959,915 of record NC_000023.11, read on the forward strand.
GTGGTGTGCTGGTGGTGCCAGCAATGCGACCTGGACCTTTGTTCCTTCCCCAGCCCAAAGGCAGTAAGGGCAGTACCACTGCAGCTGCAATGAGAGGGGCTGTGGGTTGTCTCTGTGATTTCCTCCCTAGAGAATGACAGAGCTGCCACTGACTTAAATGTTTGGGCGGGGACAAGGTGGTTGTTCTGGGGGCCTGGGTAGAGAGACCCTGCCCACTGAGGAGTAACAGGGCCAGGGCCCATGTGGAAGAGAGTCTGCCTTCTTATCTAAAAAGCAGCTGCACTGTGCTGGAGGATTGCATTAGTCCTAAGTCTTTTGGCTCCCTCCTGAGCCTGAGGGAAACAGGAGCAGGAGCTGCAGAGCAGCAAAAATGGCAGACCTGCCTGCTACAATTGAGAGCTCTGTCCCAGGGAAGTACAGATCCCCCAGGGGGATCTGCTACTGGCCCAAGAGCCCAGACATGGGTGGGGTGGCTGGAGTCCCAAGTCTGGAGGCCCTGCCCAGTAAGAAGTAGTGGGGACAGAGATCTATGTGGAAAAAAGTCTGGCCACTTTTCTGTAAGGCAGCTGTGCTGTGCTGGGGGCCTGCATTAGTCCTTAATCACCCTGCCAAGACTGGGGGACCCGTCTGCTACCACTGAGAGCTCCATTCCAGGGAAATACAGGGCTGCTATTGGCTCTAGAGCTCAAGTGAGGCTGGAGTGGCCATGCTAGGGACCCAGCCAAGTGGGCATTATCCAGCAAGGTGCAATGGAGGTGAGGCCTGCAGTCCATCTGCTCCTCAGCCCCGTGGATTTAGCCCCTATACTGGAGGCATTCCAGGGAGCCTGGCCTCTCTTGTTGCCAGAGCTACAGCCACTGGTGCTGGGGTGCCCAGCAGTCCAAGGGCCCTGGAGCTCCATGTGTGCCTGAGCAGTGGCTCTGCCTAGACTCCATGTAGCTCTCCATGTCAGTCTGCAGGCTCTGCTCAGGGAGTCAAGGGGATCTTCTGAGCACAGGGTTGTGAAGATCTGTAGCAGAAGCTTTAGTGAAATTTCAGACATTAACAACAAAGTTTCCCTGATTTATTTAACTTCTCCTAACTTTCTATAACCTGATATAAAATGGACATTTAATTATAAATTACTTGAGTAAAGGTTAAGATTAATGAAAATACTACTCAAGTAACTTATAATTAAATGCCCATTATCATCATCAGCATCATCATCTAAAGGGGTTATTGAGTAGGCATCCATGGGGTGGTGTGAAATGACCAGCCCCTAAGCCTTGGTGGCCCATTATCTACAGAAGATATCACTGGGCACATTAAATGTTTCCCAATCTTCTTTCGTTATCCAAAGGAGCCTTATTAGACATGTTTTTCCTCCTTATTAGTCCCTTCTTGCCTGAAATGTGAAATTTTAATACCACAGATATAGTGTTAACTGTTTATGTATTTTGGTCCTATGTAGTGCCACAAACCATTTTAATGTCTACTATCTCCCTACCCTTAAAAACCAATTCTCAGCCCCTTGGGGGCAATATATCCTCTGTTGAAAATGCATGGAACATTTTAAAGAGGACAAAAGCTGGAACCTCATTCCTGCCTTTTACTTGATGTGTGACACTGGAAAACTTCCTTAACCTCTGTCAGCTTGCCCATGGTCATCCGGAAAAGGGAACCACTGAGAGCTCATGATGTGTTACTTACAGAACTGTCCTGTGGGGTAAATGAGAAATCCTATACAGAGAAGATGGCACCTAGAGAAATCCTATACAGAGAAGATGGCACCTAGTCTTCAACAAATATTCATCCTGGCCCACTTTTCTTCTCCTTCCCAGAGAAGTGATGACTGTCATCTAAACCAAACAGCATAACTACCACAGAGACCAGCTGGTAATGGAGCAGGAAGAAGTAGCATATACTTACATTTAGTTTATAAATGAAGCTTTGGGGCTATTTCTGTGATGCAGGATGGCTTTGCCAAGGAATGTGGGAAGAGGGAAAAGATCATCAAACCATTTCTTTAATTCTGTGTCATTTTTGCCCCATTATTTGAGCTTCTATACTGATATTGGAAAAATAGTTTCCTATGGAGTGTCAAATAAAGAAAGAGTGCAGATAAAGAGGAGAGAGAAGTCACATGCCCTTGACCCTCATACCATTACCACCTACAGGACTCTGAACCAGAATTTCATCTGCACCAGTGGGTAATTCAAAGTGGGAGGAGTTGTTGAATGTGTATCCATGAAGGCACAATACTACAAACGTGTAAAACTACTAGGTTTTAAATCCTAGAATGTCATGGTGTATAAAATATTGATAATTATTGCTTTGGTTTTGAATTAGGGGAAAATATATCCTCGTATACTTGGAAGTGGCTCCCTCAGTATCTTTTATTCTTGAGCTTCAGGGATATTCTTCATTCTAAATGTGTATCTCTTTCCTGTGGGTGGGGTAAGGAATGCTTGAATGTTCCTGACAATGTTTTTGTATAATTGCAGGAGCATTTGATATTTATTACAGTTATAAATACATAAGAAATGAAATAAACAGCATTACTCTAAAACAAAAGAGAATACCTGCTCTCAAAATATCTTGAGTATTTCAAAGAGAATACCTGCTAATGCTTATATCTGTATAATATTCTTTCACAAATTTTCTTATGCAGGTACTTATAAATTTATGCAGAAATGAATACATTTATATACTTATCTACAAAATATAAGATCTCATTCTACATTTAGTTTTATAACCTGCTTGTCTCACTAAAACCATACCTCAAAGGTCATTGGTTGTGAGTAAATATGAGTCTTTACCACAGAGATAGTAAATACTAATGGCCAATAAAGACAGAGAAACAAATATGGCTACAATATGTTATGTGCCAAGTGCTTTTTAGCTACTGAGTCGTTCAATTCTCACGGCACCCTTACAAGGTTGAAACTGTTGCTGATCTCCATTTTGTAGATGGAAAACTAAGGAGCAGATAGAATAAAAATTTTACCTGAGACTGCACAGTTAGGGAGTGCGACAGCTTGGATTTATGTTCAGTACATCATGCTCCAGAGCCTGGGAAACTGTCAAGGCTCTGTTGTTAGGTGAAAGAAGCAACTACACAAGCATGCATATTTTAGGAGCTCATTAAAAGTAATACTTCACAGGTTAATACATTTACACAAAAAACTGGACCTGGTGACAAATAGGTGGATTGCAACCTTGGTAAGATCATGTTCATTGCAATCCTGGCGACAGAAGCCACAGTGCAGGGGGAAGTGAAGAATTTTAACAGGAAATGTAGAAAACTCTCTTTGGTAGTTTAACTTTGAAGGGAAAGAGATGGAGATTCTGGCTGAATGGGGAGATTTTAAAAAATAATCAATTTCTTGAAACTTGAGAAGGTTTTAAAATGAAGATACTTAGGGGTTTTGCTAAATGAGAAGATTTTAGCTGTTCTTGCCATGCACAAAAAAATGGGTAACTATGTGGTATTATGAATATATTTATTTTCTTCACTATATAGTAACTAATACTTTACTTTCTGTATGTATCTTAGAACATCATATTGCATATCTTAAATATAGACAATAAATGTATTTTTAAAAGTTAACGTGATGAAGCTATCTTATCTCAGATTTAACACTAGAAATTGCTCATTTTTTTTTTTTGGCTGGAGTACAGTGTTGCGATCATGGCTCACTGCAGCTTCAACCTCCTGGGGCTCCTGTGATCCTCCCAGCTCAGCTTCCCGAGTAGCTGGGACCACAGGTGCATATCAACACACCCAGTTAATTTTTTTTGTTTGTTTATTTTTGTAGAGACGGGAGTCTCTTTAGGTTGCCCAGGCTGGTCTCGGACTCCTGGGCCCAAGTGATCCTCCCACCTCGACCTCTTAATGTGCTGGGATTATAGGTGTGAGCCACTTCACCCAGCACATTTTCTTTCTTACGCTCTTATTTTCACTTTAGAGCTCATGAGAGGCCTCTAATCGACTAGTATGAGTTTTGAGCTAAATATGTATTTAGTTATTAGTGAGAAAATGGACAATGGGCAATTGTGAGTCAAATAAATGCTAAATTTTTGCCTCTCCAAGAAGGCAGCAGGTGGCTGAAATCCTGGTGTGATATGGCTGAATAATGCATGATCTGAGGACCCTGTACTGGTTACTCCTGTACACGTTCACAATTTTTCTGTAAATGTATTAATATACTGAGCAGTCCAGGAGCAGCCATTAGGCAAACACCACTCCTTGCTTCCTTCATGTGACCTATCACTGAGCTCACCAGCTGAGGTCAATTACATTCTTCCCAACCTGGAGAACAGAATTTGGGTCTGCTCAGAGGCATGATGTGAAACATGTCTGGGATAAAAGCTTTGTTCTATTGACAGCAAACCTTTTTGTGTTAAGGGGTAGGGGAAGAGCAAGTGAAGGATGCAGATTAATTTCTATTTAGGAATATACTTTTATATATTGTTTGAAATTTTGTCTTTTAAAAATATTCATACAAATTTAAACAAAAAATTACTTGTGAACAGATTGACAAATGTCATGTGCACACATATTTATTAATTTGAAAAAGCATTCACTGTGTTAAATTTATGGTGAAATAAAGTTGATTAAACTTTGAAATAACTGAGTATGTATGTGTGTGTGTCCTCTGGCTCTATCATCACTCCAAATACACACTCACAAGTGAAGTTTCACCTTGAATTCAGAGATGGGCTTGACTCCAATTTCAGTTTTAGATATCCTAGAAAATAGTTGATGCAGAGAGATTGCTACAATCAGGTGAATAATTGCAGAAAACTGCCTGATACCTTGGAGTTAACCTCCAGCCTCCATTCCTCTCGCCCCCTTGCTGAGCCCCCTGTTCTGAAACTCTCAGAGCTTCCATCCTGTCTCTGGCCGCTAGGTGACATCCAACTCTATTCTGCTTTTACTGCTTTAATAAAAATGAGTATATTTTGCAAAGAATAAAAAATATCTTGTAATAGTTTTTATGCTGTGATGCCAATTCTGTTTGGAAAATTCACATGTGCATTAAAACAGCTCAATTTGCTGTTGACCTTAAATCTACATCTCACTGATTTAACTCTTATCTCCTCAGTGTAGGTTGAGGTATCCACACTATAGAGGGGTCCCTCCTAGACGACAGAGTGATCACACTTCATTACCCAACCCCTGTACTGGCTTCCCAGATCTCCTCCCACTCCCTCACAGGCTCCAGGACACTGTGGACACAGCTGCCCAGATCTGTCAATGGCACCTGATCCTCTCTCAGACAACTCTTGCCTGTCCTATACTGTGCTTTGCTTGCTGGGGACTGCTAAAGCACACTAAAGCTGCCTGGTGTTTCATGTGGGTGCCCCAGTTTGTTTTTACTGTCTTACTCTTACTAGTTTTTTTTATTTTTGGAAGAATTAAAATCATTCTGTACATAGGCTCATAAGTCTGAAGGGAGGTATTTTTGTTTTGCTCCTTGCATGCATTTCTTTGTAGAGAATTTGACAATGGTGGTATATTGGTGCCCCTCATGACAGAAGTCCAAACTTCAGTTTGAACGTCACTGAGCAGGAAGGTGGGAGGGACGGGCTTTAACCCAAGCCCACCAGACCGATTTCTGAAAATCTGAGTGACAAAAAAGGGTATTCCCAGTGTATAGGGATATTAATGGCTTCCAAACAGAAAGTACAACTTCTTCCTATGTTGAAGGGAAAATTCTATGTAACAAGATTAAAAGATCACCTGGCCAGGTGCAGTGGCTCACGCCTGTAATCCCAGCACTTTGGGAGGCCAAGGCAGGCGGATCACGAGGTCAGGAGATCGAGACCATCCTGGCTAACATGGTGAAACCCCATCTCTACTAAAAATACAAAAAGTTAGCCGGGCATGGTGGCGGGCGCCTGTAGTCCCAGCTACTCGGGAGGCTGAGGCAGGAGAATGGCGTGAACCCAGGAGGCGGAGCTTGCAGTGAGCCCAGATCGTGCCACAGCACTCCAGCCTGGGCGACAGAGCGAGACTCTGTCTCAAAAAAAAAAAAAAAATCACCTTTATTTTTATGCTTTAAGGCCTATAGATAAATAGCTATAGATCTATACAAGCCAAAATGCATCCAGCCCACTTATGAGCTTTATAACCTGCCTTTGCCCTAATTACGACCATCTTTCCGTGGAACTAGTTTTCTATCATAACACTTTAAATTACAGCAAAATTTTAGTTTTCTTTTTATATCAACTAGATGCTTCATCTTATTGAAGTATATTTGGGGCATCCATATCTTAGTAATGAAAACTTAGTTTATCTCTATTTCAAATTTTGGTGTACTTAACCTTGCCCATATATATGAAAATAACTTTGTAAGCATTTCTCTATAAGAGGTTCTTGAAATTATTCTTTCAAATCTATGTAAAGCTATAAAATTTTATGTTAACACAATATATTCAGAACATATTACTAATGTATATTCCTGACAATACTGTGTGGAAATGTCTGTTTACCACTTATTAGAAATAATGTGAATCATTGCAAATCTGATAGGCAACAAACCACCTCTTATTGTCTTCATTAAAACTTTTTGTTACTTTCTAGAATTTAATTCTGTGGATGTGACATAATCACATAGTATAAATAATAGGAAATATCAGAATAACATGGTTAAAATGATAAATTTTATTATGTGAATTTTATCTCACATTCCTCACCAGTGCATATAGCTATGTGAACTCTGCCCTGAGCTGCACCTTTTAGCAGTGTACAGACTCTGAAAAGCCACCCACACAGTGGTTTTTAATATATTCACAATGTTGTATAATCATCACCACTATCTTTTACCCATTAAGTAGTCACTCCCCATTCTCCCCTCCCTCAACTCTTAGTAACCATTAATCTGCTTTCCATCTCTATGGATTTGCTTATTTTGGAAATTTCATGTAAATGCAGTCATATTTTATGTGGCCTGGGTGATTAAACTTGGATTCTTAACCTATACTAAATATGGTGATAACCTTCTTCCATCCTTCTCTTTTCCCCAGGGGATGGTGTTCTCACTGGTATTCAGGCAGTGTAAGCAGTTAGTCACAAAAGCCTTAGGGTCAGGCAGATCTATGTTCAAATCCTGACTGTCGTGGACAATTTACTTCGTCATCTCTGCTGTTGCCATCTCAAAATATTTTAATTTTTTTTCTTTTTTGAGACGGAGTTTCACTCTTGTTGCCTAAGCTGGAGTGCAATGGCACCATCTCGGCTCACCGCAACCTCCGCCTCCCAGGTTCAAGTGATTCTCCTGCCTCAGCCTCCCGAGCAGCTGGGATTACTGGTATGTGCCACCACACCCAGCTTATTTTGTATTTTTAGTAGAGACGGGGTTTCTCCATGTTGGTCAGACTGGTCTCGAACTCCTGACCTCGTGATCTGCCCACCTCGGCCTCCCAAAGTGCTGGGATTACAGGTGTGAGCCACCATGCCCAGTCTATTTAATGTTAATTTTTAAAAAGTAAACTTTTAATTCTAGGACAGTTTTAGCGTTACAGAAAAATATCAAATACAGTACAGGAAGTTCTCATATACCCCTCATCCAGTTTCCTTTATTATTGATATATTAGCAGGGTACATTTACTACAATTAGTGAAAATTTTCGTATATTATGTACTAAATTCAGACTTCCTTCAGTTTGAGACAGGATCTCATTCTGTCACCCAGGCTGGAGTACAGCTGTGTGATCATGACTCACTGAAGCCTCAACCTCTTGGGCTCAAGCAATCCTCCTGCCTCAACCTCCAGATTTCCTTAGTTTTTATCTAATACTTTTCTTCTGAGATCCCAATCCAGGATCTCACATTGCATACAGTAATTATGACTCCTTAGGCTCTTCTTGGTTGTGAGTTTCTCAGCCTTTTCCTATTTTCAATGACCTTGACAGTTTCAAGGATTATTGGTTGGCTATTTTATAGAATGTCCCTCAACTGGGATTTGTCCATCTCAAATTTTTAAAAAATGTTTACATGCGATAATTGAATATACTTATGTAATTTGTAAAGATCAAATCAGTGTACTTGAAATATCACCTTAAATATTTGTCTTTTCTTTATGCCAGAAACAAATTATTCTAGCTATTTTAAATATATAATCCATTATTGTAAACTATCGTCATCAATGGGTACAAATACAAAGTTCAATAGAAGAAAAAGATCTAGTGTTTGATAGATCAGTAGTGTAAATATTGCTTATAATAATCTATTGTCTCAAAATCCTTAATTTTGAACAAGGGGCCCTGCACTTTAATTTTATACTGGACCCTGAAAATTATGTAGCTGGTCTTGCTTTTGCTTCATGGGGCAGAGGAAAGGCAAGCTGAGCTTGGACTAGCACTTGCAGCAGGCTCTGGCCAGTATGCCTTGGTACTGCCTGCAGGACCTCACTGCTCCGAAGCGGGGGTGCTGGGAGCTATACCCAGGGGCAAGAGGAAACCATAAACATGGAAGAGGACTCAGGGAGGATTCCAGGCAGAGGGAACAGTGTAAGCAAAGGCCCCAAGTCAGGAATGTGATGATGTGGTCAGGAGGCTGCCAGGTCATAGCCCTTCTACTTAAACAGCATATCCAGATGCCAAAGGAAGAGGTGGCCAAGAAGGCATAAAGGAAACCCTCCCAGCAAGGCCTGTGCCTGCTATTTTAGAGATAATACTTGATTCTATAGGAAATGGGGAGTCATGGGTGCTGATTGAGCTGGAGCTAGGCCTCATTGGAGCTGTGATGTGGAAGTACCTTTTGAGTTGGATGTCAGGGCAGATTGAGGAGGCAAGTCAGTGAGGTGGCCACTGGATGGTCCTGGGACCATGAGACCCTGTCCTAGGGGTTCAGCGGGCAGAGCCTGGGGACTCTTAAGAGGGAGAAAGAGGTCTCCAGTTTTTCTGCCTCAGAGTGTGGGGACCTGGGAGTCATGGAGAGAAAGAAAGTTGGGGAACTGGGTTGGAGAAGGCAGGGGTTGCGGTGGGAGAAGGCAGGGGTTGCAATGGGAGAAATGGTGAAATGAGAAGGGATGGGTTGGGGAGAAGTTGGTAGATCTGAGTTTGGATGTGGTGAGTTAGAAGTCACTGTGAACTTCCCAGCATGCAGCTGTGAACACAGGACTGACTGATGCCTATAGAAGTGGTCACCATCTTAAAAAATAACAATGCTAACTAATGTATAAACAGCAACTACAGTGACACAGACACCATGCCGAGAGCTCTCCAGTAATGGATCCAAACCAAGATGAAATCTTTGAAATACCAGATAAAGAATTAAAAAGGTTGAGTATTAAGCTACTCAAGGAGATACCAGAGAAAGGTGAAAACCAACAAACAATTTTAAAAACAATTCAGGATATGCATGAAAAATTTTCTAAAGAGATATTTTAAAGAAAAACCATTCAGAACTTCTGGAAATAGAAAACACATTTAGGTAATTACAAAATGCAGTGGAAAGTTTTAGCAATAGACTAGGACAAGTAGGAGAAAGAATTTCAAAGCTCAGATGTAAGGATTTTGAATTAACTCAATCGGACAAAAAAGAAAAAATAATTAAAAGAAATGAACAAAATTTCTAAGAAATGTGGGATCATGTAAAATGGCCAAACCTAAAAATAATTGGTTTTCCTGAGAGGGAAAATGCATTTAAAAGTTTGGAAAATTTATTTGAGGGAATAACTGAGAAAAACTTCTCTGGTCTTGCTAGAGATTTAGATGTCCAAATACAAGAAGCTCAGAGAACTCCTGGGAGATTCATCACAAAAATGACTTTACTTAAGGCATATTGTCATCAAGCTATCTAAAGTCAATGTGAAGGAAAGAATTCTGAGTGCAGTGAGACTAAAGCACCAGGTAACCTATACAGGAAAACCTATCAGACTAACAGCAGACTTCTTACCAGAAACCTTACAAGCCAGAAGGGACTGAGGTCCTATCTTTAGCCTCCTTAAACAAATTAACTGTCAGCCAAGAATTCTATATCCAGTAAAACTAAGTTTTATAAATGAAGGAGAAATAAAGTCATTTTCAGACAAAGAAATGCTGAGGGAATTTGCCACTACCAGACCAGCCCTACAAGAAATACTAAAGGAATTCTAAATCCTGAAACAAGAGGTTGCTATGCACCAGAATAGAACATTTTGAAAGCATAATGCTTACAGGAAATACTATGAAGAAAATAAAGTATCAAGGTAACAATTAGCATGATGACTGGAACGGCACTTTACATCTTAATATTAACAGTGAATGTAAATTGCTGTTCCAGTCATCATGCTAATTGTTACCTTGATACTTTATTTTCTTCATAGTATTTCCTGTAAGCTTTATGCTTTCAAAATGTTCTATTCTGGTGCATAGCAACCTCTTATTTCAGGATTAATGCTCCACTTAAGAGACACAGATTGGCAGAATGGATAAAAAGAAAATCCACAAACCAAGTATCTGCTGTCTTCAAGAGACTCCCTAATATGTAAGAATACAAATTCGAGGTAAAGGCTGGAAAAAGATATTCCACTTAAATGGAAACCAAAAGTGAGCTAGAGCAGCTACTCTTATATTGGATAAAACAGATTTTAAAGCAACAACAGTTAAAAAAAAAAGACAAGGTCATTATATAATGACAAATGGATCAATCCAACAAGATATGAAGATATTATAATCCTAAGTTTACATGCACCTAACTCTGGAGATCCCAGATTCATGAAACATTTACTACTAAACCTAAGAAATGAGATAGACAGCAGCACAATACTGGGAGACTTCAACACTCCACTGACAGCACCAGACAGATCGAGACAGAAAGTCAAAGAAAAAATAAACTTAAACTACGCTGTAAAAAAAAAATGGACCTAACAGATGTTTATAGAACATTCTGTCCAAGAACTACAGACTATACATTCTTCTCATCAGCACATGGAACATTCTCCAAGATAGACCATATGATAGGCCACAAAACTAGTCTCAAACTGAGAAATACCAAAATCATATAAAGCATCTTCTCAGACCACAGTGGAATAAAACTAGAAATCAACTACAAAAGGAATCCTCAAAACTATACAAATACATGGAAATTAAACAATCTGCTCCTGAATGATTTTGGGGTTAACAATGAAATCAAGATGGAAATTTAAAAATCATTTTAAATGAATGAAAATAGTGACACAAGTTATGAAAACCTCTGGGATACAGAAGCAGTGCTAAGAAGAAAGTTTATAGCACTAAATAGCTACATCAAAAAGTCTGAAAAAAGTCACAAATTGACAACCTAACATCACAACTCAAGGACCTAGAGAAACAATAATAAACTAAATCCAAAGTTAGCAGAAGAAATAAGGATGAGAACAGAAATAAAATTGAAACAAAAATGACTCAAAAGATCAATGAAACAAAAAACAGGTTCTTTGAAAATATAAACAAACTTGATAGACCATGATATGGTTAGGCTTTGTGTCCCCACCCAAATCTCATTTTGAATTGTAATCCCCATAATCCCTATGTGTCAAGGGAGAGAAAAGGTGGAGGTAATCGAATCATGGGGGTGGTTTTCCCCATGCTGTTTTCGTGATAGTAAGTTCTCATGAGTTCTCAGGATGAGATCTGATGGTTTTTTATAAAGGCCCTTTCACTAGGTACTTCTCCTTCCTGCCACCTTGTGAGGAAGGTGCCTTGCTTCCCCTTCACCTTCTGCCATGATTGTAGGTTTCCTGAGGCCTCACTAGCCAAGCTGAACTGTGAGTTGATTAAACCTCTTTCCTTTATTATAAAATCATCCAGTCTTGGGCAGTTCTTTATAGCAGTATGAAAACTAATACAATGAACTGGTACCAGGAGTGGGGTACTGCCATAAAAATACCTGAAATGTGGAAGTGACTTTGGAACTGGGTAACAGGCAGATATTGCAACAGTTTTGGAGGGCTCAGAAGAAGACAAGAAGATATGGGAAAGTTTGGAACTTCCTAGAGACTTGTTGAATGGTTTTGAGCAAAATGCTGATAGTGATATGGACAATGAAGTCCAGGCTGAGATGGTCTCAGATGAAGAAGCAAAACTTATTGGGAACTGGAGCAAAGGTGCCTCTTACTATGCTTTAACAAAGAGACTGGTAGCATTTTGCACCTGCCCTAGAGATCTGTGGAACTTTGAACTTGAGAGAGATTATTTAGGGTATCTGGCAGAAAAAAAAAAACCAAAACTCTAAATGGCAAAGTTTTCAAGACGTGACTTGGGTGCGGTTGCTCTTAAAAGTATTCAGTTTTATGCATTCACTAAGAGATGGTTTGGAATTGGAATATGTTTAAAAGGGAACCAGAGCATAAAAGTTGGGAAAATTTGCAGCCTGACAATACAGCAGAAAGGAAAAGCCCATTTTCTGAGGAGAAATTCAAGCCTGCTGCAGAAATTTGCATAAGTAACAAGGAGTCAAATGTTAATCGCCAAGAAAATGGGGGAAATGTCTCCAGGGCATGTAAGAGATGTTCACGACAGTCCTTCCCATCACAGGCCAGGAGCCCAAAGAGGAACAAAATGATTTCATGGCCTGCTGCTCTGTGCAGCCTCGGGACTCTGTGCCCTGTGTCCCAGCCACTTCAGCTCCAGCCATGGCTAAAAGGGGCCAAGGTACAGCTCAGGCAGTGGCTTCAGAGGGTGCAAGCCCCAAGCCTTGGCGGCTTACACATGGTGTTGGGCCTGTGGGTGCACACAAGTCAAGAACGGAGGTTTGTGAACTTCTGCCAAGATTTCAGAGGATGCATGAAAATGGCTGGATGTCCAGGCAGAGGTGTGCTGCAGGGTCATGGAGAACATCTGCTAGGGCAGTGCAGAAGGAAAATGTGGGGTCAGAGCCCCCACAGGGAGTTCCAACTGGGGCACTTCCTAGTGGAGCTGCAAGATGAGGGGCATCGTCCTCCAGACCCCAGAATGGTAGATCCACTGACAGCTTGCATTGTGCACCTGGAAAAGCTGCAGATACTCAATGCCAGCCTGTGAAAGCAGCCAGGATGGGGGGCTGTAGCCTGCAAAGCCACAGGGGCAGAGCTGCCCAAGGCCATGAGAGCCCACCTCTTGCATCAGCATGACCTGGATGTAAGACTTGGAGTCAAAGGAGATCATTGTGGTGCTTTAAGATTTGACTGCCCTGTTAGACTTTTGGACTTGCATGGGGCCTGTAGCCCCTTCGTTTTGGCCAATTACTGCCATTTGGAACAGGTGCATTGACCCAATGCCTGTACCTCATTGTATCTAGGAAGTAACTAATTTGCTTTTGATTTTACAGACTCACAGGTGGAAGGGACTTGCCTTGTCTCAGATGAGACTTTGGACTGTAGACCTTTGGGTTAATGCTGAAATAAGACTTTGGGGACTGTTGGGAAGGCATGATTTTGAAATGTGAGGACATGAGATTTGGGAGGGACCAGGGGTGGAATGATATGGTTTGGCTGTGTCCCCACCCAAATCTCATCTTGAATTGTAGCTCCCATAATCCCCATGTGTCATGGGAGGGACCTGGTGAGAGGTAATCGAATCATGGGGATGGGTCTTTCCTGTGCTGTTCCTGTGGTAGTGAATAAGTCTTACGAGATCTGATGGTTTTATGAAGGGGAGTTCCCCTACATAAGCTCTCTTGCCTGCCTCCATGCAAGATGTCCTTTTGCTCTTCCTTCATCTTCCACCATGATTGTGAGGCCTCTCCAGGCATGTGGAACTGTGAGTCCATTAAACTTCTTTCCTTTATAAATTACACAGTCTCAGGTATGTCTCTATTAGCAGCATGAGAACGAACTAATATGCCACATAATCTAAATAGACGTAGAAAAGCTTGATGATCAGATGCCCAACATCCCCTCCCAGCCAACAGGCAGACACTCAACATCCCCTCATGATAAGGACCCTCAGCAAGCTAGGCAAAGCAACATACCTCTAAGAGCGATCTATGACAAACCCATAGCCAATATCATACTGGACAGGCAAAAGCTAGAACTATTACCCTTGAGAACAGGCACAAGACAAGGATGCCCACTTTCACCACTGCTATTCATCCTAGTACTAGACGTCCTCACCAGAGCAGTCAGGCAAGAGAAAGAAATAAAGGCATCCAAAAAGGAAATGTCAAACTGTCTATCATCCCTGAGAATATGATTCTATACTGAGAAAACCCTAGAGACTCTACCAAAAGCCTCCTGGAACTGATAAAATTGTTTCAGGATCAAGAAAAGAAAAAGAAAAAAAGACCAATGTACAAAATTTAGTAGCATTTCCATATATCGATAACATTCTGAGAGCCAAATCAAAAACACAATTCTATTTACAGTAGCCACAAAAGAAAATAAAGTACCTAGGAATATGCCTACACAAGGAGGTGAAAGCTCTACAAGGAGAACTACAAAACATTGCCTAAAGAAATCATAGATGACACTAGTGGAAAGATATCCCATGCTCATGGATCAGAAGAACCAACATCATTTTTAAAATGGCCATATTGCCAAAAGCAATCTACAAGAACAATACAATTCCTATCAAACTACTGTCATTCTTCACAGACTTAGGAAAAATTTTAAGTTCATATGGAACTAAAAAAAAGAGCCCAAACAGCCAAAGCAATCCTAAGCAAAAGGAACAAAGCCAGAGGCACCATACTACCTGACTTCAAACTGTAAGGCTACAATAACCAAAGTAGCATGGTACTAGTAGATAGACACATAAGCCAATGGAACAGAATAGAGAGCCCAGAAATAAAGCTACACACCTATACCCATTTGATCTTTGACAAAGTCAACAATAACAAACAATGGGGGAAGGTGCCCCCTATTCAATAAGTGGTTCTGAGATAACTGATTATCCATATGAAGAATGAAACTGGACCCCTACATTTTAGCATACTCCAAAATTAAGTCAAGATGGGTTAAATACTTAGATGTAAGACCTCAAACTATAAAAATCCTAAAAGAAATTCTAGGAAATGGCCTTGGCAAAGAATTTGACTGTATCCCTAAAACAAGTGAAACAAAAAACAAATTGACAAGTGGGACGTAGTTAAACTAGAGGGCTTCTGCACAGAAGAATCTAGAGTAAACAAACCACCTACAGAATGGGAGAAAATTGTTGCAAACTATTCATCTGACAAAACTCTAGTATCCAGAATCTATACAGAACTTAAAACAATTCAAGAAGAAACAATCCTGTCATAAAAATGGGCAGAGGACATGGACATTTCTTAGTAGAACCCACACACGCAGCCAACAAATAAAAAATACTTATCATTAATCAAAGAAATGCAATTCAACCACAATGAGATACCATCTCACAATAGTCAGAATGACTATTATCCCCAGAGCCAAAAAACAGATGCTGATGAGACTGTAGAGAAAAGGAATGCTTATACACATTGGTGGGAATGTAAATTAGTTCAGTCACTGTGGAAAGCAATTTGGAAATTCAGCTAAAAACAGAGCTGCCATTGGACCCTACCAAAAAGACATCGGAACATGCATGTTCATTGCAGCACCATTCACAATATCAAGCACAAGGACTCAATCTCGATGCCCACCAACTGTGGGCTAAGGAAAATGTGGTACATATACACCATGGAATACTGCACAGCCACAAAAGAGCAAAATCATGTCCTTTGCAGCAAATGGAGTTGGAGGCCATTATCCTAAGCAAATTATTGCAAGAACAGAACAACTAAATACTGCATATTTCCACTCATAAGTGGGAGCTCAACATCGGTTACTCGTGGACAAAGATGGCAACAGTAGACACCAGGAACTACTAGAATGGGGGATGGTGAAAAACTATCCATGGAGTACTATGTTCACTACCTGGGTGAGGGGACCATTCATATACCAAACCTCAGCAACACATAATTTATCCATGTAACAAACCTACACATGTACCCCAGAACCTAAAATAAGCTGGGAAAAAAAGCCATTGAGAAAGTAAAGTGGCCTAGTGCAGTCTTAGGAATGTGAAAGGTGCAAAAAATTATCAGGCTCAGAGGCATGAGACTTGACACATCCCTTGTACCTATGCCCAGGGGTAATTTAAAGGCACTGTTTTAGCCTTCCCTGTCTTCAGACTAGCTGATAAATTATCTGAAGTGTTCTCGCAAGTTGTACAATCTGACCTTCATCCATTATCCTCATGTTCCTGGATTTTTTAAATACAAAGAACAATGTATAGTCAATCGGTAACTGATGTTATTTTACTGAATCAATGTAAATTTCTGGTAAACAACTTAGGAACTGCTCCCTTTTACTTTAAAGAGCTACTTGTAATTGCTTCCAATTGGAGTATATATTCAGGGCAACATGAATCCAAGACTCCTAGACTGCAGTCCTCAACCTTAGCCCAATGAATTATATTAATTTTGCCCCAGTTTCTTCCTTTAGGTTGATAGTATAAAAGAGAAGCATGGATTTAGGAGTTTCAAAGTGGACTTTCTAGTTCATTTTCTTGGGTACTTTTAGAATTAAGTAATTCACACGTAAAGCTGTTATAACTTTTCAGCCTTGAGAGGAGTGTGGCTATATGGCCTGAGTCACACAGCATACAGCTGCCAACTTCTGCTTTTTTGTATAAGTGATTAGGAAAGATAAAATGATGTCAAAAATGAGAAACCTCCAGACCTTCCTTAGGTAATGTTAAAGCAATCTTCCTTGGAATGTAGCAAGCTATAACCAATCAGATGGCTATAATGCATATACTGACCTTTCATGGAAAGTGTTGTAACCCTTCTTAAATGTCTTTGCCTGTGTAAGTGAAAACCTAATTTCTCCCTTTGGAGCACTGACCCCTTTCCTACATGGTCTGTTTTCGAGGTGGCCATCCTCAAGCTGTGTAAACTCTATGCTTACTGTTTTCTGAATCTCACTATTTAAAGTTGACATACTCAGCTGCTATTCACTAGGACCACCAAACCCAGCACAGTCAAAATTATAGTCTAGCACTTCTATGAAGTCTTAACTGATTAGATCTAGTCCTAGCTCTAAAGATGCTGATCACAATTGCTAGCTTCATCCACCAGGAACAAGCCTAGAGAGATTAAGACAACAGACTGGAGAAAGACAAGCAGCTCCAGGCTGTTTTGACCTAGTGTTAGGGTGGTGGCTCTGTTCTGGGGCAGGAGGCAGCCTGGCTCAGCTGTGGATGATATGTTAAAGACAAAAGTAGGTTGAGTTCTGCTCCTGCTTCTCCCCTATTATGTTGAGACAGGGTTGGTCTCATACCTACAGGTATTTACACCTCTGGGCCAGGTGTCATCAAGAATAAAATCAGGTCCAAGCAAAAAGCCCTAAGTCAGCTAAGTAAAAACTGGGAGAATTGCTTAGTAATCTCTCGTGTCAAGAAAACCTCCCACCTCTGCCAATTTCCCCAGGGCTATTAAATTACAGCCTAAAACTCGCTTTCTATTGCACCCTCTGCCGTGTAAGCAGAGAGGCCTTGCCCTTTGAAGTCAGTTTGTGGGCAGGAGAGTGATTAGCCATCTTCCTGGCACCCAGGCATTCTATTTTAGGGTTCATCATCTCTCCGGTATGAGAGACAAGACTAGCTGGATTTCCTAGGCCAACTAAGAATTCCTAAGCCTAGCTGGGGAAGGTGACTGCACCCACCTTTAAACACTGGGCTTGTAACTCAGCTCACACCCCGCATCAGGTAGTAAAAGAGAGCTCACTAAAACACCAATTAGGCTAGAAGCAGGAGATAAAGAAATAGTTAATCATCTATTGCCTGATAGCACACAGGAGGAGGGACAATGATCAGGATACAAACCCAGGTCATTCGAGCCAGCAGTGGCAACCCCCTTTGGGTCCCCTCCCGTTGTATGGGAGCTCTGTTTTCACTCTATTAAATCTTGCAACTGTAGACTGTTCTGATTGGTGTTTGTTCCGTCTCGAGCTGAGCTTTTGCTTGCTGTCCACCACTGCTGAATGCTGCCGTTGCAGACCCACCATTGACTTTCACCCCTCCGGATCCAGCAGGGTGTCCGCTGTGCTTCTGATTCAGCGCGGCACCCATTGCCGCTCCCGATCTGGCTAGAGGCTCGCCATTGTTCCTGCATGGCTAAGTGCCCAGGTTTGTCCTAATCAAGGTGAACACTAGTCGCTAGCTTCCACGGTTCTCTTCCATGACCCATGGCTTCTAATAGAGCTATAACATTCACTGCATGGCCCATGGTTCCATTCCTTGGAATCCGTGAGGCCAAGAACCCCAGGCCAGAGAACAAAAGGCTTGCTGCCATCTTGGGAGCTCTAAGAACAAACACCCGCCGTAACACCTACCCCTAACCTGTGGGGTTGGGGTTACTTCGAGCACTGGAGGCCTGGCCTTCCCCCAGAGGCATTGTTAGTAGCCAACATCCCCCGGGAAAGTGAGCTCAAGCCAAGATGAGGTTTTAAGAGTACAACTATTTCAGGATAGTTAACTGGATCACAGATTTCAGGAGGAGAAATGTTAAAATAGATAAATCAGAGATTAAAAAGGCATTAGCAACATTAGATTAGGTGTGAAAGTCATTAAAATACAGGATACAATGGTTATGAGAGCAGAATTGATCTAAGGAACAAGTTAGCTTACTTAAAAATCAAGATTGATAAGATCATCTAGAAGGAAAGGGGCAACGCAGATCACATGAAAAGAACACTTAAGATGTGGAGAATGGTCATGCTATCATCCAAACAATAGGAGTCAGAAAAAAATCTGAGGGGGGGAAACATCCGAAGGTTTAGCGATACTAAAGAGTAAAATGGCCCACGAAGAGGATAAGTAAGGAAAACTTCATGCCACAGGTGAGGGGGGCGCTGACAGTCCTACATTCAAGAGTTGGAGGAAGGAAGACAGTCAAAGGAACAAAAGCAGACAAGGGCGGGGGCCCTCCGGCAGCTGCCGATGACGCCATCAGCAGGGCCCTGTGGCTGCTCAGTCCCTGGATAGGTGAGACAGTGCTCTTTGGAGGAAGCAACATTTGAGAGGCCAGAGCCAGGAGAAACTTCTCTCATTACACACAGAAAGGTGCCCCTGCCTCCCAAGGGAGCAGCAGGGACAATAGGATCCGAGGGAAGATTAGAGATAGAATCCATCATAGAGATCACAGAAGGGCTTGTCCTAGGCCATGACAGAAACACTGACCCTCTGCAACATCTGCAGGGACAGCAGGGGTTCAGTGCCTCAAGCAGGACAGTCAGGCCCATGAAGTCCCAGCTGTGGGACTGAGGCCAAGGAGGGCCAGGATAGCCCACATTGAGGCGGCTCCATAGCGGTTTGGCGTGGAGGGAAGGTGGGGGGCGGGGGAGGCGGGGACGGTGGCGGTGGAGGGGTGGTGCGTGGGGAACCTTTAAGACTGATGCCATTTAGCCAGCTGCTACCACTCAGCTTGGTGCCAGCTTTACTCAAGCCCCTCACAGTGGTGGGGTTTCTTCCACACATGGCTCTCCCACTCTTCTTTCCCCTTAGTGCCTGTGCCAGACAGGATCCCCCTTGGCCTCAACCCTCAGTCCAGTCTCTGCCACAGCTTGCAAGTGGGAAGGCACTAACATTCCTCATTTCTGCAGTGAGGACATACATTTCTCACTTGCGGCCTATATTCCTCCTGCCTCCCACCTCACTGCTTATTAATCTGAGGCTTTTCTGCCCCCTCAACATTCAGCTAGTGCTGTTCTCTCCCCTCTTCACAGCAGCCCCCTCCGCCCCTGCTAAACTAAAGGTCTTGAGGCAGAGTGGGGCCTTGTCTTAGGAGGCCCTGCCACAGTAAGTCATTGTGTGGGTTGATGAGTGATGGTTAGGCTATTCCCAACACCTGGGTACTCTACCTTAGGGCTCATCCTCTCCCCACCCCCTGCACTCAAAGTCTTTTAAGAACTGAATTCTGGCCTTTCTCCATAGGCATTGCAGGGACAGTAGCCAACACCACCTGGGAAAACAAGCTCGAGGCAAAATGAGATATTAGGAGTGTACCAAGCTCATATTGTCCACACAGCTACACAGCTACTCTGAACTTTTGCCCAGTAGCTTCTTCCTGTGACACCAAACCACACCAGGCTCTCATGCCAGAGCTCAGTCTTCATGATGGATACCAGGAGGTCAGGTGATGCAGAGGCTGCGTAGGTATTTCGTAGCACCTGGCCACTGGCTCTCCAATCAGCTAAGCCACTGTTTAAAGACCCCAATTGTCTTTCCAGAACCCACCCTGCTTAAAGAAAGCTATTAGTTCCAACAGCCAGACCCAAAGTACACGAGCTCAGGCATAGCATTGGCCTCTTTCAGGATCCTGCCTGTGACATTGCCCAGATATGAGGCAGCAGCCATGGGTCAGCCATCCCAGGATCAGCTGGAAGGAATGGCCTAGGGGGCCTGATTGCAACTAAGGCCAAGACTTTGCCACTTTCCCAAGCCAACTTTCTAACCATCCAAGGTGTACCCAGCTCAGGAACCCAAACATGCCCAGGCCACCTTAGAGGGTCAGACAACCTCAGGCACCCAGAGTCCAGGGCTGAACAGAGACTGTTCATTTCTGGAGTTCTCTTCCAACCAGACTCTACAGCCAGCATCAGGTTCCTTTCTAGCTCAGACCAGATGCTTCCCAACTGCCAGCTTTCCATCCCCTTCCCACTTAACACTTCATCAGGTGGGAGCCCTGCACAGCTGTGCCCTAAGGACTTCTCATACCCACAGTCCTTTCTCCCTCAATGGCTGCTTGGCTAAGCACCACATCTGCTTCAACTCCCCTGAGCAGGGATGTCTCAGAACTTCCTCCCTTGGGGGAGGCTGCCATGACCCACACCCTTTCAGGACCTGTGCCCAAGCCAGCAGCCTTTAACCCTGGGGCCTGGATAACCCCACACTGAGGGCAGGCCGATACTTATATTTCCCACGTAGTCCTTATCTCAAGCCCAAGTCAGAAAGGCATTGCCAGTCACCAGGCCAGTTGCCTTCTCCCTGCCCAGAGCAAGCCCATCACCTGGAAAGGGAGCCCCTAAACCCAGTCCCTGCTGTCAGAATACCAGGCCAGGTAGATGGAACCTTCAAGTTGAAGGTTCCTCATCCGGCGTCAGCACACATGTTGGTGGAACCTTCTGGCTCTCCTGGAACCAGGAGTCTCTTCCAGATTCAGCCAGGAATAGCCACCTTCCAAGCCAATTCATTCTTGCTCATCAGCCTCAGCCTAAAAGGCTTACTAGCTTCACTCAGGCACAAGTCACTTCAGCCCTTCTCTGGAAGCCTGTGATGACAGGCACTAGGCTCCTACACCCCTCCGTCCAGCCAAGGCATTGCATGAAGGGTTTTATAGGGCCCTGATCCTCCTCCTTCTTCTAGATTAGCTGTTCTAAAGACTTTAGCATGCATTAGAATCACCTTGGTGGCTTGTTAAAACAAGGTTGCTGAGCCCCATCCCCAGAGTTCCTGTTTCAGTAGGTCTGAGCTAGAACTGAAGAATTTGCATTTCAAAGATGTTCCCAGATGGTTCCAATGTTGAGTCTGCTGCCTACGCATTGAGAACCGCTGTTATAAAGTCACCAGAAATGTAAAGGGCCAGTGCCTCCCCATCTTAATGAAAGCACAGATAGAGATGGTTTTATAAGAATAGCTCTAATACATCGGGGCTGATTCCTTGGAATTGAATAAGGAGAGTAGTCTGCCTTGGCTTTGAAGTCTCTGTGGTCCCTAGGGCTTCAGTAAACCTCAGGGGACACTGCTATCGCTTGGGAATTGGAATGCAGTACTGAGTGCTTGATATTTCTGCTTCCTTAATCAGTGTCCTGGTGGGTTGGGAGAAGGAAGGCAGAAGAGGGTGTGTGAATATGTAGAGTACATCCTGGAAATAATAGGAGCTAGATTCTCGGCACATCTCTGCCACCAACTCCCTCAGGTACACTGGTAAGTCACTTGCACTCATTGAATCTTGCCTTGCTCAAAGTGCTGAGATTGGACCACATTTATCATGGATTAGCCAACATTTATTGTTATTTGTGTGCCAAGCACTGTGCTTAGTGCTGGAAGATAGAGATAAAAGATACAGGCCTTTGCCCTGGAGGAGTTTGCAACCTGGTAGTAGAATAACAGGAAACTAATTATCAGGATCCACATGGGAAGTGAATGCGTTAGTAAGCAACGGGAAGCCTATTCTGTTGCTCTCTGCAGTTCTTTTCAGCCCTAGACGTAAAAGAGAAGAAAAAGCAGCCAGAGGAGAAGACTGACTCCGCCATTTTGGGGCAAATAGTCTCCCCAGCTCTGGAAAACAAGCACACTAGCTTTCAGAGGGAAGGGATTATATTTAAATTAGATATGAAATCAAGCTCTTAAACTTCTCTCCACCCATTTTCTGCCTCATTCTAAGGCAGACTGTGAGCATACAAGAGCCCAATCTGTTTTTATTGTTTATACCGACTTATAGTTTACAAAGTGTCATATAGGCTAAGATGCTGATGTTCCATCCCAGAACAATTTAAGCAGAATCTTTGGTGCAAGACCCAGGCATCAGAAGGTTCTCTGTATAGAATCTGTGGTTGGTTGGAGAATCATTGATCTAGATTAGCAGAAAAAAAGATTTCCAAAAGCCCAGTGGAAGAAGCACAGCTCTAGCGGGGTTCTGGGAACAGTAAAGCCCACAATGTGACTACTGAAGAGGGAGGAGTAGTGAGAAAGAAGGTGGGAAGATGGCCTGAGCCAGTTTCACAAAGGGCCTTCCTTAAAAACTGGCATTAGGTGTTTTTCATGGTTAATGGGGAACCATTGAAGGTCTCTGAGGAGGGACATGATGTGATCAAAGCTGAATACCAGCCACAGCAGTCTCTGCTTCCTCCTTCCTCTTCTCCAACTCCTAGATTTTATTTCCATCATATGACAAAAAGGAAAGGGCTTGAGCTTTGGAACCCATTCTGTCAGAGAATGCAGCTTTAGGGTGGATACTGGCGGACAGACAAGAGGGGAGGAGTGCCCAAGCTAAGAGATTAGAAGAGAGACAACTGTCAGAACTGAATCCTGCACCTTCACAACTATTGACAATTCCCTTTGTGGCCTTGGGCAAGTAGGTTAGCATCTCTGAACCCAAGTGTTCAAACATGGCTCCTCCTGACTGCCCAGGAATACATAGACAATATTATAGAAGCATGCTTTGAAAAGGTGAAAGCTGGACCCAGAAGCAAGGTGTATTTATAACAGTATCCCTTACTGAGCCCAGCTGAGCAGGCAGGGCTGAAGGACTAGAGAATTAGATGATTGGAAGAACATTTGAACAAGATCATTTCCTGTTAAGTCCCAAATCTGGGCGAAAGCATAAGGGTGGGTGAAGTAAGCACATTTACTTTTCATGATCCCAAGCTCAAATGTGAGAAGATGGTAGCAGGGGTGATGTGGAATAGAAAATGGATGAAACATTTATAAGAGCCAGGTTAATATTGCAGGAGGGGCCAGACCACAAATGTGGAGAAGGGAGGCAAGACCCTTGTGTAACCTTCTCAGACTTGGTTTATCTGGAAAGATGCAATTGCACACATGGTTTAAGGGGAACTGCCTGAGGACTGCAGGAGGGGGATGGGAGGTTGGAGTAGAGGGTTATGATGAGGAGTTTCCTCTTCCAAATTCAGATCCCAGTTTTGCTGTGTGACCTGGACACACGGTGTTATCTCTCTGGGCTTCCATCTACTAATTCACCTGCTGCCCCTAATTAGGCTAGAACTGGATCCTTGCTTGGGTCGTTAATATTGCTCTGATCAAATTGGTGGTGTAAAAGTGATAATATAAGCCTAAAATGAGTGGTGAAAAATAAAAGATTAATTTAAATAGCAAATATACTTCAAAGTGGTTTCCTTGCTTCCCAGCACCACCTCAGTCTCAGGCCCTGAGCCTCTGGCCTGCCCCCACCCTCAGTCTGTAAGGCCCTTCCCCAGGTGCTCAGCCTCAGGGCAGCCTGGTTGCTGGTCGTGTCTGGCCTGCCTGATTCTGGTTCCTGGCTTGGGACAAGTTCCCATTGGAGCCCTAGCTCTGGGGACTGGCAGTCCCTAGGTGAGATTCTTGTTCCCAGGATGAGCTCACTGGTGACTATAGAGCCATGGAGTGAGTCAGCAGCCCCACCAGAGGGTAAGGCTATAAGGCCTCAGTCTCCCCTTCCAACCCTCCTATCCTCCATTTCAATCTACTATATCTACATCTTCAATTCTGCTGTGAGTTTGGGAACCACAGCCTCGACTTAGCTTGCTTTTCCCTTTTCTATTTTAAATCTGTTTTTTAAACCAGTATGTCACACCAACAATCTGCAGTAGTAGCATACAGTGCAGGTCACCTTATTTTAACAACTGCAGTGCTAACCAAGATACCAGGGAAATGAAATTGTAACCGGGCCTCTTGAGATTTCAATACCCCAGCACTTTTAGTGACCGAATGAAATAATGAAAATTCTTATTACACACTTGCCTGCTTCACGTTAATTGCTTACTTTTTGCCCGATATCCCTTTTTCCCACAATATAATTATAAACTGCTGATATACTATTTCTTTTTCAAGCAGGAAGAGAGAACTTCAGGGTCACGAAAAATTTTGCAGAAAAAATGAATGCCTTTAAGGACACTGTGAGCGGCTGCTGACACTCAGAAGTCTGGTTGCTCAAGGTGTTATCTGAGACTGAAGGAACACAGACTTTTTCCCTGGGTTCCCTGAGAATCCCCCTCCCTTATTCTCTAGCTGCATTAAAAACTCCCTGTTTCATCTCCTTGTTAAGACGAATTTGAGAGATTTACTCTCCTGCCTTCTTACTTTGGCCAAATCCAATAACCGTTTCTCTGTCTCCAAGCACTGGTATCTCAGTGTTTGGCCTCAGCTGCACATCAGGTACACGAGCCTGAATTTGGGGTTCTACAACAAAGTGGTGATTAAAGAGTTTGACTTCTCCTTCCATTTTCTTTTTTACACAATTGCTCAAGTGGTTTAACCAAGAAGACACAAAAGACCAAACTGTAAAGCAGTAAGACAAGGCATTCATTGGAGTCTTAGGAATTGCAACTCAGAAGACACAGATTCAGCTAAAGGCCGAATTGTGTTCCGAAGAGAAGGAGTGTATGGTTTTTTTATTTTCTTTTTTGAGAAAAGGTCGCACTCGGTCACCCAGGCTGGAGTGCATGCTGTGATCATGGCTCACTGCAGCCTTGACCTCTGGGCCCAAATGATCCTCCCACCTCAGCCTCCTGAGTAGCTGGTACTACAGGTGCATGCCACCACATCTGGCTAGTTTTTATTTTTGTTTTTTGGTTGTTGTTGTTGTTTTCTGTTTTTGGAGAGATGGGGTTTCACCATGTTGCCCAGACTGGTCTTAAACTCCTGGGCTCAAGTAACCTGCCTGCTTCAGCTTCCCAAAGTGCTGGGATTACAGGCATGAGCCACTGTGCTTACCAAGATTTTTAGAAGGAAATTAAGGGTGATTGCACAAGTTGTTTTAAAAGAACTATCATTGGTGGAGGTGTCTGGCTTAGTAATGAGTCCATAGTTCATTGGTTGTCGCTGCAGGAGTTGCAGTTGCAGTGCTGGTGAAATTCAGCAGTTTACGAGGATGTTGTGGTCTTGGCAGTTTGGCACAGTTGGAAGGTTTGAGACAAGTTCCTGTTATTTTGCAAGGTTTCAGATCATGTAAGTAGTGCCTGTTAGAATGATTTCCTGACTCCATTTCAGAGCTCTGAACGAGTAATGCCATTTTGTATATCACATTTCACAGGTACCTAATAAGAGCAAGGCAATTCCATGATGCCATCTGCCGAATTTGTTGCTGAGAAGCAGTTGCTGTTAGTCGAGGTAGGCCTTGCACAGTCTGATAGGCCCTGGTAGGCTTTGCCCAGATGGTAGCTTATCCCTGTGTTCAAGGAAGAAACTTGTCTCTTGATCCACTTTCATTCAAGGCTGTTCCGAATGTTGCTGGTCCCAAAGCATCCTTCTGTGCTGGTAGCTCTAGTACTTGAGGTGTCAGGTAAAACTCACCATGTATGAGGCCAGCTTTGGCATCACTGTTCGGCCCTAAGGGGCTATTCTTAGGAGCTGTCCTCCTTCAAATAATCCTTCAGTATGGTAGTAATACTGTTTCTCATAAGTCTAACATAGTGGCTATGACAAGAATTTGCATACCTTGCTCTCAATACTCATCTATATGCTTTCTCTATTTCCCAGCCCCTGTGCCTGATGGGTCATGTGATTAGTTCTCCGCAGTATGCTGTGAATAGAAGTAATGTCATTTCTGGCTCAAGGAAGTAGGGTGACTGTGCCTTCCCCATGCTCTTCCTATGCAAAAGTGACCCTAGAGGCTATATAATCTAGATAATATAGCTAAAGATAAAATATTCCTAGGCCTATACTGGTAAGAAAGCCTTACACAAATCACTTTACCCTCATAAGACTTAAGAAGTAAACCTTTGTTATGTTGCCTAGATCTGAGTCTTTGTCACAACAGCTTTACTTAGTGTTACTTGGACTCATGCTTGTCCCCATGGACTAAGCAATTTTCTCCCTACCAATCTCACTGCTACCCCACTCTTTGCCTCAGCAGTGACAAAGAATCATTACTGATTCCATGGTAAACTCAGTTGTCCCTCAGAGCTATGACTCTGGGACCCAGGCTGTGCTCAGGGGTTGAATGTCCTAGTGAGGCATCTGTTTCCTAAATAGAGTCCCTCCCTTCCATGGTGGCTCTGTGATGCTTGGTTTCTCTCTGTTTGGCTTTACCTCTGTTGGGCCCCAAAGGACCTGTCATATTTACTTTTCTCTATTTTACCTCTAGTTCTGGTGAAATGCCGTATAGTTTTACTCTCCTGTGGTTTCCCTTCTAGTTCTTTTTTTTTTTTTTTAAGATGGCGGAGTCTCGCTCTGTTCCCAGGCTGGAGTGCAGTGGTGCGATCTTGGCTCACTGCAACCTCCGCCTCCTGGGTTCAAGCGATTCTCCTGCCTCAGCCTCCCGAGTAGCTGGGATGACAGGCATGCACCACCACGCCCAACTAATTTTTGTATTTTTAGTAGAGACAGGGTTTCGCCATGTTGGCCAGGATGGTCTCTATCTGACCTCGTGATCCGCCTGCCTCAGCCTCCCAAAGTGCTGGGATTACAGGCGTGAGCCACTGCACCTGGCCCCTTCTAAGTTCCTTTAGGCCACATCTAGGAAGAGAATATGGGCTTCATCTGCTTTGGTATGAACTGAAGACACAACACCACTGGTTTTCCAAAAGATCCTTAAGCTAGTGAGCAAGCTATGCATTTATCATCTAACATAATGATTATCTGCTTAATGCCAAAGTAGACCCGGGACTAGAATTTTTAAAGGAAAACACTTGACTCTTCTGTCACCAGAATGTTTTATAGAAAAACACGTTGTTAACCAATACTACACATTCAGTGTTGCTGCTTCCGGCCTTCATTCAGCATGCGGATTTGGCAGTTACATAAACTTTGGGGCATATTCCGCTAGAAGCTCAAACAGATCTTTTGCCCATTTGAGTTGGTGTGTTGGCCTTATTAGAGGTGAAGACCCTTGTAAGTTTCTCCTGACTTGCCACTGGGCTCACTTCTGCTCAGGATATCATTCTCTCCCCATGGCCTGCCTAGGAGCTTGCTGAGGGTCTTCCTGTTCTATGGAGAATTACTAGAACTCCACTGAGTGGCTAAGGCTGGATAATGAGGCAGATAGACCACCTACTGCCTAGGAGGGTACTAAGGGGCAGGCATTCAGTACCCAGGACCATTCTATGGCCCAGGGCAGAGAAGCTTCTAAGATAACAAGAAGCTGTGGTGGGGCTCCTAGGATTGTTGCCTGGGGGTCTTGCTTATCAGGAGGGCCCAGTAGCCTCATGTGTGAATATGTGGTATATAGGGGGTCAAGATTGCCCCATGCTGTGTCCTTGCCTCATACCTCTGATACTGAAAACAGAGCCCTGCTCCAGTAGCATCTTTCCTGTGGTCTGCCCAAATAGCTTTTCTCTCACTCTTTTCCTTTGAGTCTCTGTTATTTACCCAAGGTGGGGATGGCAGGAAGGGACACATAGCAGGTAGCATCTGGACATCCTTCCTTATACCCTAGCTTGCTGTCCTGCTGTGTGTATACAAGGGGAGCTGTTTATGGGGACTATTGTCCTGGTCCCCTGACCTGTTCTGTCCTTTCTTAGGTGAAATTTCTTGACATCCCTTAATTCTGGGTTATTTGACTAGTGTTACAGCCAGCAACATGGAAGGTGTTTACCAGTGTCCTTCTCTGCATGTTTTTCTAGGTCCTTTTCTTCTAGTTACTACTTTCCCTAATACTGACAAAATGCTTATTCTACTTAGCATCTAACCTCTCCTGTCTGTTCACTTGTCAGTGTTTATCAAAAATCGGTCTTGACAATCCTTGAATAGGCTCTGGAAGTCTAAGGACTGAATTAGCATTGGACTATCAATGTGTGGGGCTGCCTTCTCATCTAGCAATATTTCAGCATGTTGTCTAGCATCTGTCCTAGGTGGGACAAGTGTGGGTGAGAACTTACGTTACTGTCATGGTTTGTACTCCTGGCTACATGCTAACTTCCCTCTTTGTTTTTTGAATTATTCAACATCCTGAGAACTTCATTCTCTTGGCTAGAGTATGAAGCCCTGTACCTTCCCTGCAATAGAGGCGGCTGCATAGCTGTAGTAGGTAAGGATTAATCTTGGTTCAAGAAATCTTGGTTCAAGTTAGGGGTTTGACTCCCTAACCAGGAGTCAAACCAGCCTTTTCCCGGGATCTAGTCTGTTCTGCCCTGAACAGTTCTGCCTTCCCCATGCTCTTGCTTCTGATGGGGATAGGTTGGGGTATAATGGTGACTTGGGAAAACAAGCTGAGTTGACAGAATGCCAGAATTCCCTGTCAGTCTCTGAGGATGGATGTCTCAGTCAACCAGGTAGGATAATAGACATGTTCTAACAGTTTACATGTGGCCATGCTAGTGGTGCCATCTGGGCAAGATCTGTTGCTGAACACCAGAAATTCAGCCTAGGTCTGGTTGCTCACAGCACAGAAAAGCCACTCACTAAGACAATGAGTATTGCCAGGGAAAAAAAGTTTTATTGCTGGTGATGTCTCCCAAGAGATGGGAGACAAGTCTTAAATCTATTCCCTTTACCAACTAAAGTTATGGGTTCATATAGAGGTGGGAGTACAGGAATTAGGGAGGCGGATTATGGAAGAAGAGTTGGTCAACGGGCAGCAGGTGATCAGATAAGAAGTCTGGTGCGTCACTGTCTGGATACTGTGATCTATAAAGTTTTAGCTCTCTGATGCTACCTGGGAGCTCTAACAGTAGGTTTTCTGAGAAAGGAACTCAGATTATACAAAAGTAAGTTGCTCAAATTTTAAGACCAGGAAGGTCAATTTCTATGTTCATTCAAAAAAACTATAAACATCAGCTCTATGAGAAAAGTAGGCCAGTTTCCCTTCCCTTTCTATTTATCTAGTCTTCAATCATGGGGAATCTAGTCACTGATCTTTCTAGCTGCTTCATTCTAAGGGGCATCGTGGGATAATGAAGAATGAAAACATACCTGTAACTGGAAATACTCACAAGTACCTGGCTAGTTTCTGGCTTTTTGGAACTAGAGTGATTAATAATGTAGAACATGGAGAAGATCCCCTAGGGAGTTTAAGAACAATCCTAAGCCTATCCAAAAGTCAACTGTGGGATAAATTGACTGATAGAGCAAGAGTTTGTGAAATATGGGTTAATGGGTTACCTTCCCATCTAGAAGCAGGAAAGATCTAGAGAACAATAACCTGAAAAGTGCATATTCCCTTCATGATTTCTTATCTAGAGTCTTTGACAGGGCTTTGAATATTAAGGCTGTCAGAAGTTTATAAGACCATGACTGTTTCCCCTGGAGGGAACCCAGAGGGACTGGTTTTCTCAAATATGATAAATATACAGCTTAACACTGGCCAAATTAACAGATGAGTAGGTAGTCAGCAGCACCTCAAGGATCAATCCATTGTGGTTGCAACTCGTCTTCAGCCTGGAATTACCAGGTTTTCAGCAGGGCTTGGTCCTTCAGTGTCAGAGTAGAGAGGCATATCACTAGGGAACTAATCTGTCAGAAAAAAACTCAGACTAATTGGTTTTTGTTTTGTATGTGATTTAGCTTTTGTTGGGAAGAAAAATCCTCAGATGGGGAGTCTACAGGTCAGAGAAATGGTCGCCTATATAACATTTCAAAGGGGCTAAGAGCCAACCCACCTCTAGGGGCTACCCATACTCTCAGCAGGGCAAGGGGTAAGACCTTTTCCCAGGTAAGATTTGTCTCCTGGGAAGCTTTAGAAAGAGACTTCCTTAATGTCCTACTTATTCTTTCAGCCATCCCAGAAGTTTGAGGTCGCCAAAATAAATGCAGTTTCCAATCAGTACTCAGTGACCACAATACTTTCTGGGCTACTCGGGCTATAAAAACAGCTCCATTGTCACTTTGGAGAGTGTGTAAGAGTCCTAAATCAAGGAATATGCTTCATTAGAGCCTTTACAACTTCAGTAGCTTTCTCAGTCTTGGTGGGGCAAGCCTCAACCCAACCTATAAAGGTACTGACAAAAACCAGCATCAAATATACAGGGGCTCAGGGCATTATAGTGAAATCTAATTGCCAGTATTCCCTAGGATGAGTTACTTTCCATTGATTTCCTTGTTTAAAGGGAACTTTTGTGCCTTCCTGGGGCTTTGGGTTATTTTTTCAAGCAGATAGGACAACTTTGGACTACAGTTTGTATTGTTCATTGCAAGTTAGGCCGAAAGATAAGGCTGTATCCAGCATAGAGTAGCTTCCCACTATAATGGGTGCTTTGGATTTGTTCATGAATTGGTCTAATTAAAGTTTCTGGAAGGATAACTTCTTCCTTCATTATTTGTAAGCCATTTATGATCAGCAAGCTTAGAAAATCCTCCTTGCTCAGCTCTTTTAAGATAAGACTCTGAATATCCTGGGAAATACGGATCTAAACAGAGTAGGAACAAGAGCCAGTCTGAGTGGTGAGCCCCCTGACCACATTTTTCACCTCTAGGTCAGTCTTAATATTTATTTATGCAACATGGGTGTCCAGTGTCTTTGACGGTGAATAACTGCTGCTACTTTGGGCATTTTTACTGTCTCCAATAATTCAAGAATTTGAGGACCATGCTTTATTATTAGAATTAAAAAGGCCAACTTTCCTTCCAAATTACCCGGTGAGCATGGGATATTAGGAAAACATACTTAGAGTCAATATAAATGTTGACTTTCCTTCCCTTAACCAAATGTATAGCTCTGGTTAAAGCAATGAGCTCAGCCTTTTGGGCGGACGTCCAGGGGCTTCATCTATGTGCTGGGTAGTAACTATAGCATGTCTGGCCCTTCTGACTCCTTGTTCCATGAAACTGCTCCCATCAGTGAAGCAATCTTTGGATTTTGTCAATGGCAAATCTGAGGTCTGGACTACTGGAATAAACCTGATCAATTATTTTAATGCAGTCATGATGAGGAGGCTGGAGATTCCCTGGTAGCAGGGTGACAGGATTCAGACTAGAAACAGCCTTAAGACTTACATTTGGGTTTTCTAGAAGCCTGGCTTGGTACTTTCCCAGTTGGCCAAACAATTAACCAATAGCCTCCTTTCTGCTCAAGCGAAGATAACGTATAATGCATAGTATACACTGTCAGTTTTCAGCTTCCTGCAACATGTCACAGGTAGCAGCCACTGCCCTTAGGCAGATAGGCCAGCCATTAGTTATCATGTCGAGCTGTTTCAAAACATAGGCCACAGGATGTTTTTAAAGTTCTAAGGTCTTGAGTTAATATTCCAATTCCCTGTCCTCCTTGAAGATTTGCATAAGTCAGGAATACCCAGTACTTTCAATGTCTCTTTGAATGACAGGGTCAGAAGAACACATATTTCCGAAAGGTTGTGACTAAGGGTTGGAGACCCCTTCTAGCCTGGAGCTTTAGAAAATACTGTTTAATCCAGGGGTTGTAATTCCTGGTCTCAACATGGATTAGTGCCACACAGGCCCATCAAGGATGCCCAGTGGCCCATACTTCCAGATTTAACTCCTGAACTTTCAGAGGGCAGAGCCTGAGGGAAAGTAAAACAGACAATCAAGGCTGCTTGGAAAGAAGGTGCATGTTCTGGAGGGACTTCAGCTATATTCATTCTGGAAAGTCACTTGGGCATATAGCTTAGATCCCAACCTAGTAATGAGAGGGGATATTCTGGCCCATAGAGAGAAGCATGGATCAAAGAACTTCCCTATCATATGTTTTGAGGCTAAAGAAAATATTTTGGGGAGGGTTTCTCAGGCACTCCAGTAACTATCATAGATTCTCTTCCAAGTTTAATCAATTTAAGATTTAAAACTGAGTAGGTTTCTCTGATGCCTATCAGAAAATCAACCAACTTATCACCCACTTTAACAGCTACCCTAGCTGTTTAACAGCATGATATTAATCATGGGTTGCAGTGTCCAAAAGTGGAAAGAGCCTTAAGGTCCCATTGTTCCAGGTCATCTCCAGTGGGTCCAGCCATTTGCAAGGCTGGGTTAGTTGATCTAAGTACAGAAGTTCTATACTAAGTCAAGGCATAGCATTATCAAATGCAGAATAAAACTACGGGTGGTATTGAGACAGCCAAATGGGAGGGGGTCCCTGGAGAAATTCCAACCGGCCTGCCACTGAGATGGAGCCTCTGGAAGTTCACAATGTTTGCAGCAGAGAGGAGTCTGCCCCTCTTCTTCCGGGGTGGAACCTGGGATTTGAACGGCCAGGCAGGAAGCACTCTAACAGGGACTTTGGTCTAGTGAGAGTCCCCGTTTCCCCTTTACTTCCTTTTCACCCTATAAAACGCTGTCTTACTCACCCTTCAAACCATCCGCAAGCCTAAATTTTCATGGCCATGGACCAGACAAGGAACCCGTTTTTAGCTGAACTAAGGAAAACTCCTGAAACAGTATTGGAGGAGAAAGGGCTTGTCTTATTTTTCCCCAGCCCACAGGACTTACCAGAAGATAGGTTTAAGTGGTAAATTCCCTTATGTTCCTCATGAGTCTCTTTGAAGAAACCAGGATGTTTTGTGGCAACTCTATTATCCTAGTTTCCAGGATGTTCCTAACTCAGTGACTTGTCAGACTGCCTAGGAATTGGGTTGACAGTTATTTGTGACCTCTTATGGTTAAAGGTACTTAGGCATGTGAAGAATAGATAAAAAACTGATCTCTCTCAAATGTAGAGAAGGCGGCCAAGGTTAACACTGGAGGCTTAAGTCAGGGTTAGATCACATAAGATTTTCTAGGCCAAATCAAAGATTTGGTTCTATAGCCTTTAATGCTCAGGAGCCATGGAAGGAATGTAAGCAAAGGCAATAGGTAGGCTAGTGACCAGATCAGACTGACATCTTTAAAGATCATCTTTAAGATGATCTAGGCCTATAGGATAGAGACTGGCTGGGAAGGCTAAACAAAGAATTGCAAGGTGAGCAGTTAAACTGTTGCAGCTGCTTGGGCAAGAGGATGAACTTGGGATTGGGATTTGAGCTGAGATAAAATGGATGGGTTTGAGAGTTGTTTGGGAGATAGGATTTAATAGTGTTTGTCAAGGGAGAAAAGAAGTAGAAGTTTTTAATTACCTCATGGTAAACTTTAGGTTGACAACATGACATTATCTGAGAAGATCCACTTCTAGAATTCCTTAGAGGCAAAATTCCCTCAGTTTAGGGCGGTCTTGGTTTGAGTTGCCCAGTTCTCAAGTGGAGATGTCTAGCAGGCAGGTAGAGATCAGTCTGGTAGACCAAGAGCAGACTGTCAGCTAGAGATCAGCCATTGGTGTGTTGATAACAGAAGATCCAGGATGCTGAGATAAAGCTATTAACTGAGAAGTGAACCTAAAAACAAAGGCTACAAACCTCCATTACCTCCTCTGCCCAGAGTTTACATGTGGAGACTAAGCAGTAGAGAAAGATGACAGTCAGCAAGATGAAGTGTCATGGAGGCTAGTGTTTCCAAAACAGAAGTCATGTGTGTTAAATGGAGGATGGGTGAGGGATGAGGCCTAATAAGAGAACAGAATGTTTCTTTGGGGATTAGCTATTTGTAGACTACTGAGGAACCTTAGTAGCCAGCAGTCTTTACCTACCCCAATCTGATGCTTATCCATATCTCTTGGGGTTCTTCTTAGTCCCCAAGAGACTTCCCCCAAGGAACCCCAAGAGATATGGATAAGCATCAGATTGGGATAGGTAATGTGTTGAGATGGAGAATATGGGCTGCTTAGCTGTGGAAAAATAAGATGCCAGATAGAAAAGCTCACAGGGTAGAGAGATGAAGGTCTTTTTAAACTTAACTAGAGTCTCCTGTATAGCCATGGAAGGAAAGAGCCCAGTGGTAGAAAAATTGAAGGTAGGAGAGAAGGTTATTTGATATGGTAAGGCCCCTGAAAGAAGGGTTTGCATCAGCCTTCTAGTTCTTCTCTTGCCCAGTTACTGTCACTGGCAATGCTAGATACTAGACTGGTTAGAAGCTGGCTGTTGACCTTAATCCACAGAAGCCTCCTAAGATCTGTCCTCAGATATCTGAGGCTGGGGACCCAGGCAGATATCTGGGAATACTACTGAAGGCTTCAGGCAGGCATACCTGAAATGCCAGGAGTCATCTTAAATGCCCCCTTCATCTCACCTCACAAGTGGGCAGTGGTCACCCTAAGAGCTGAGTTATAGAAAATTTGTGTGCTCTTGAATCTAGATGGAAAGCAAGGCCTCGCTTCCACTTGTGGGTCTCAGGACTTTACCCAGTTGCTTTTCTCACTCCCCTTCCCCTTCAAAGGTAGCAAACTAGGCAGTAGCATCTTGGGACCCTGGCTGTGAGCATTCTGGCTCCTGGCCTGCTCAATGTTGTGTGTGGAAACTTGTTTTCAGGGCCTTTACCATCTTATCAACCTGGAGCCTCCGTTCCTGCCAACCATGGGTATGAGGACAATGGTAGCTGTGGCCCTTGGTGTTGGTGCACTCTGCCTGCTTGTACATGGCCTTCTTGCTAGGCCACATGCCAGAGCTGGCCTTTCCTCTGGTCCATTCTGATCACAGCTAGGCTGCTCTCTTTTCTAAGCTCTAGAGCTTTGCTTCTCTTGCCTCTGAGTTCTGAGGTCAGTCAGTCTATTCTTTACAATCCAGAGGATAAGGCATTTAAGGTCCAAGTATGTTTAGTTCAGACTGTTTTCTACTTCACCCCAGTTGTGTATGTAACATGTTCTGGTTTGCAGGAGTAAATGTGGCTAGAACTTGTGGCTACCTCTTAGCTGGACTTGGCTGTGACTTACTTGTCCAAGTCTCTTCTTTCTGACTTTCTTCCCAGATCTTCTTTCCTAAACTTGCAGACTCCAGGGATTTCTCCAGAATTTTTACGTCATAAAAATTTTTGTCATACAGCTGTGTGTGTGTGTGTGTGTGTGTGTGTGTGTGTGTGTGTGTGTACAATACAACCTAAACAATAGATCAACAATTTGGCATGGCTTGGAGTTACTAAATCATGAGAAGGCCAATACCCTGTTAATACCATTGCCATTGCTTCATCATTTCCAAAGGAGATGAGACTCCAAGGGTTTGCTTTGACTAGAGAGCTTCCAGAAGATCACAGCAGATAAGCACTTGATCTTTACTTGAATAAAAGCCTGAATCAGTCCATAGTCTGGGTCACTGCTGTTTAGTCATGGTTATTTCTAGTCACTGTTCTATCCTGCCTTATCCTGCTTAGTCAACAGCCGAAGTTACTAAAGAAGTCCCCTTAAATTTTCTCTCACAGTCCTTCTAAGTTTATCACCTTAGAACATGTTACCTAGGGTTCTGATTATTTTTCCAACCTAAAGATGATGACCTCAGGGGATCTACCTACTATGGTAATCCTATATGCAGATAATGGACACTCTTTCTACCATGGCCAGGGGTAGAAAGAAAGCTTAGCTCCTGTCTTTAAGGCGCTCAGTGTAATGAGTGACGGGTCACAGGTGGCTATAGGAAAGCTCTGGACTGTATACAGTACAATCTAAACAATGGATCATCAACTTGGCATGGCTTGGAGTTATTAAATCATGAGAAGGCCAACATCTATAGTTTACAGGTATATGCCAGGTAAAGCCTAAAACTGGCCTGGGAGGCTTACCAGGCAGCTCTGCTTCAATCAGGATTCCAAATTGCCTGGCTACTCGGGAAGAGCAATCAACAGAGCAAGGTTTCCAAGTGTGGGAAATATTCATCTAGTCAACGAAGCCTGGGTCACATGTCTACCTTCTACCTGCAAGAGAGATTAGGAAAATAATTAATTCAAATTTCATGTGCTACAGGGCAAGTGGATGCTGCTTCCCACTAAGACTTACAGGGCAAATAATTCCTAAACATGGGCAGAGATACTCTGATACCAGGTGGCCAAAGGCAGCAAGGCTAGTTTCATTTGTGTGACATTAACCTCTCCAGGTTTGGCTCTTACCTGTTCACATAGGCTGGTCATAGACTTAGAAGGAGCAAGATATATAATTAGTGACAGAAAGTTTGGAGAAGGAGCATATAGATGAGGTCCTTAGAATGGACCCCAAGTGTGGCGATATCCCTTGTGAACACTAACAAAGGCTCAGCTCTGGAGGAGGCCTTAACTTAGATGAACAAGGTGGCCTTCCCCTTAGATCAGCTTCTTCCGTAGCCACCCCAGTACTTGAAGGACTCATGGATGAGGTGCTATGGTTCCAAGATTAAGGCCATGCATGAGATCAACAACTCAAACTTCTCACAAAGGCTGAACTAACTTATCAGCAACAGTGACCAGGGGCTCACTGATAAGGCACTTTAAACTTGGAAGACAAGCCAGCTACCTGATGATGGGTTCCCTTCATTGGACTTCTATCATGGAGTGGGAGGGTGCTGACCATTTGGCATTACCAGAAAAGATACTTGGATTTATACCTGTCCCTGACAAATTTGTTTTAAAAATGTCAGTGAATTCAAATGTAACATTCAGGTTCATTATTTTCCATACAGCATTGTCTGACAAAGGAACCCGCTTCTCAGCACAAGTGAATCAATAAGCTGAAGCCCATGGAATCTGTTACCATGTACCTCATCTCTCAGAAGTCACTGCCTCTAGAACGGTAGAAAGTGCTCTGAAACTTCATTATGGTACCTCCTGGGATTCACTGCTTTGAGAAGGTGGAGTACTGTCATAGAGGGTGTGGTATGTGTTCTGAACCAATGACTACTGTGATTTATCTCCCTCCTACCCAGACTGCTTGGATTCAGATACTGAACAGTAAAAACAAACATGGTTCCTCTCACTGTAACAGCAAAAGTCCTTATAACTTGACTTCTTTTCTTGGGTTTCTGGGTTCTGCTAGTTCAGAGGCCTTACTAACTTAAGGAGGAATGCTTCCAAGAAACATAATTTTATCATTGAAGTGGGAGTAGAGATAGACCCTGGTCATTTGCGTCTAACCCTTTGAACAGACAAGTAAAGGGAGCATTACAATGTTGGCTGGGTCGACCATGTCAAAGATGAGATCATCTTAACGCAATAGAGGGAGTGAGAATAGAAAATCCAGGGAACTCCCATGTAAACCTCCTGATATTCAGGAATAGATTAGATGATAGCAGCCTTACACTGGCAGTGCTCCAATGGATATATTTACATCAGTGACAAGTTTGGATCATTCCATCATCTAAATAATCCAATCAGCTAGTTTGATTAAGCGAAATGAAACAAATGACAGTGGCCTCATAATTGTTATAATAAAAGGTCTTTAATCTGCATTTATCTTTCTTGTGACTAGTGTTTACCTCTGCTTTATGAAAGGTAGAATGCATATTCTTGTCCACAGGTCACAGGACAGGATTAGGATAGACCTAAAAACAGAATGAGCATCACCTGATACTAGATTAGAATGGAAGACAGCAAATTTGTGGTGTGATGGGGGAGCAGGAGATTGGTGTGTATCTGAGTAGCATCACTTCTTGAAGTATAGGAAGAATAGATATTAGGTAAAAAGAAGAGTGGACTGTAGTGAACATCTAGTTTTCTTCTTGTTGTGGACTTAAATATTCCCTCTGGGTATCTCCTTTCCATGCAAGCATATAAGTCTTGGTAGGAGTCAGTGTCTTCCTACCATAGAAACAAATTATTTTAAAAATTGCTTTGGCTGGTCTTAAAGCTCATGCTTAGGGGAGGGCAGTAGTAGGATCTTCAAGCTGTTTTGGATCGTGACTTGTGGGTGTTTCTGGCTGAGCCTTGCTCTCTAGTTCTGAGTGATTCCCTGGGATATATACTCCTTAAACACCTTTTCTGTTCAAATCACATGAAGTCTATTTCGGACACAGCCACTGGGTGAAAACATTTAAGATACCCTTGGATACATGTTATCTGGCCTTGATTAAGCTGCTGTCTCATTCTCCAGATGCACTGGAGGCCCAGTCTGCCCCCTTAAGTTTATACCCTCATCTTAAAAGCTGGCTACTCTTAGTTTGTTAGCCTTCCTACTTACATATGGGCAGCATCTGCAGGATCATGGCTAGACCTTCTCATAAGCCCTTCCTACATGAGTAGATGGTCTTGGCTTTCTTATTCCAAAGACATCTTCTTTTAGATTCCCCTGTCTTGCTGATCTTACACTTGGCAGTGCTCAGGAATCCCCTTCCCCCTTCCACCTGGTTCAGCACTCTGCCTTTTACTTTTTATCTGAAGAAAGCCCACCAGGAGCTGTATGAATTTGGTCCCTCTCTTGCCCCTGACCATTCTGGGCCACCGGGTACCTCTGATCCAGAGGCCTATTCTTGTGTGTCTTTCCTACATGGCTTAAGTCCTGAGTGCAAGATGTTGAGTTCTCCCAGAGAGAACAGAGTGGTCCAGTCTGGTCCTATGTCCTTTCCTGAAGCCTTCTAGGACTCCTAGGGGCTATGGCCAGCTTGCATAATAAGAATCCAGTATCCTTTTCCTCACCCATGAGGAACATCCAAGAAAATGCTCTGCTTGCCCTTAATCCAGCAGTGCTTTTCTAAATCTCCCAAACTCACTAAGCACCTACTGAGGTCTGTAGGATAGGGACAGATTGACATTACTTCTGTCTTTGACCTCGGTACCAGGTGGGCTAAAGGGGCCTGATGGAGCCTAACAGCCATGGTGTGAACCTGAGTGTCAGACTTGGTGTACTACAAGATAGGGTGTTGAGTGAGAACCCTCTTTGTAGGCTTGACCCAGAAGTAGAGAGTCATACATCAACTGTACACCACT
This sequence comes from Homo sapiens, assembly GCF_000001405.40. NCBI lineage: Eukaryota > Metazoa > Chordata > Mammalia > Primates > Hominidae > Homo > Homo sapiens. Next base: position 102,999,136 of record NC_000023.11, read on the forward strand.
GCCTCTCATGTCTACCCTAGATTACCACAGGAGCTTCCCAATTAGTCTCTGGGCTTCCATTTTTGTTTCCCTCTCATCCATCCTCAATATTTCAAGTGTAATTTTTCTAGGCATACATCAACATGTTTTTCTCTGACAGCCCTGGCTCCTAATAATTCGGATGCTGTTTGGCAGAGCCCTGGTTACCTCCAATAATTTGCTTCTGGAAACAGCTGTCTCACACCTTTATGGCTTTTTGGACTATTCCCTGTGCCTGGAATTCTGAGGCACCTTCCTTCTAAGGAGAAAATGGGGCAGAAGTGCTTAGCATGTGCTATGGGCGTCAAGTCCAAAAGACCCTCTCTTCCTTCAGACTGAGGAAGAAGACAGGCCGACTGGCAGATACTCTCTTCCCTCTGCCCCCAACTTCTTGTCCCAAGAGAGCCTTTCACCAGGCCACCAATAAGCTTCCAAGTGTCTGCCCCATGCCTAGTTCTGTGATGCTCCTGAGGGTGAAAAGGAAGGAAAGGTGGGGCTTGTCAAGAGGTGACTGGCTGCTGACACTTATTTGGTACTTAGGGCACTCTTAAACACTTCCCATGCATTAACTCACCTGGTCCTCACAACCATATGGAAGGTACTATTCCCTCATCTTATAAATGAGGAAACTGAGGCCTAGAGAGAGAGAAGTAATCTGCCTAAGTTCATGTGGTTGGAAAGTGGTAGCACCAGGACTTTCTCAGACTGTCTAGTCCCAGGATGTACACTTTTTCCCTAATAGCTTGTGAAAAAAATATAACCCAACTGACAGAATTTTATACTGAATACCCATATACCATTAACACTTAAAGAAGCTTGTTTTATCACTTATCTACACATCCCCATAACTATCAATCTCACTTTTGGTGCATTTCAAAACAAGTTGCAGACATCTGTATACTTCCCCTGTATACTTCAGCATGAATACTAACAAGATCAAGATTTTAGTCTTTTGATATAAAATGACATGAACTTGGGCCGGGAGTGGTAACTCATGCCTGTAATCCCAGCACTTTGGGAGGCTGAGGTGGGGGGATCACAAGGTCAGGAGTTCAAGACCAGCCTCGCCAACATGGTGAAACCCCGTCTCTACTAAAAATACAAAAATTAGCTGGGCGTGGTGGCGGGTGGCTGTAATCCCAGCTACTCAGGAGGCCAAGGGAGGAGAATCATTTGAACCTGGGAGGCGAAGTTTGCAGTGAGCTGAGATCACGCCATTGCACTCCAGCCTGGGCAACAGTGTGAGACTGTGTCCCAAAAAAAAAAAAAAAAATGACATGAACTTATACTTTCAACCACCTTGCTCTACTGCTTCTGTGCAGAGGCTGCACAAAACAGAGTAGGCCATTGTATAGTCATTTTGCAAATGTTCACTAAGCTGCCATATACAAAAGAATTTGGGGTTATGAAAGTAGATGAAACTCCCTACTAACAATTCACACCAAGTGCAAAATTGAACAGCACCCAGTGAGAAGAACAGTCAAGTACTGTGGAAGCACAAGCATGAAGCTGTCCACACAAGGGAAATTGGAAGCCTTTATTGAGAAGGTGCTGGAACAAAGACATTAAGTAGCCAGGAACAGCATCCCAGGTGGTGGGCACAACATGTACAAAGGCAGGGAGATGTGAAATGGGATGGCTTACACAGCTGTAGGTGGCCTGGTTTTGACTGGAGCATAGAACTGGTCATAAGGTATGTGTTAGTAATTTGCAGCAATAGGAAAATAGTAATTACCACAGACTTGGCTTAAAACAGCACAAACTTATTACCTTATAGTTCTGGGAATGAGAAGTCTGAAATGGGTTCTGTCCCTTATGGAGCACTAGGGGAAAGCCTGTTTCCTTGTCTTTTTCAGTATCTAGAGCTCTTCCACATCTCTTGGTTCATGACCCCTTTCTGTTTTCAAAGCCAGAGGTGGATGGTAGAGTCTTAGTCACACTGCAACACTCTAACACTGCTTCCTTTGTCACATTGTTTCTGAATTGCTCCAATCCTTCAGTTATAAGGACCCTCTTGACTACATTGGGCTTGCCTGGATGGTCTCCCCTTCTCAGGATCCTACCCTTAATCACATCTACAAAGTCTCTTTTGCTAGGCGAGGTAACACAATCACAGGTTTCAGGAATTAGTATGTGAACATCTTTGGGAAGATCAGTATTCCCCCAGTGACAGGGAGACTGGGTAGCAGGGATTGTCAGGGCTATGTGTGCTGGTCTTGGGCTGAGGCTTCTGGGAAGATGCAGTCTTGGATAAACTTGACTTGGTGGAGAAAGGGCTGGGTCAAGTATAGAGGAGGACAGTCCAAGCCCCACCATGGTCTTCTTTACCTGTTGGCCTTGGCACAGAGGAGATACCCAGGAAGAATTTGCAAAATGAAAAAAGGGTGAGGTGAGCCTGGCCTACAGCCAGTGGGTGGAGAAGTAGTCCCTACTAAGCTGCGCTCTCCCTGGGGGTAAGCTAGAGACTACAGCAGGAAGATGGGGCTCTCTGTATTGTATGAGACCTGAGACAAGTCTAATACTATTTGTCACTCTGTCACCCATTTAATGGCCATGGAGAGTAGTTGAAAGAGAATCAGTGGGGAAACTTAATTATCCCTGGTTTGTGTGTTTATAGAACAGATTTCAGGCCTCTCCCGGGCTTTGCTGGGAACCCGAGGCCAGAGATGCAATTCTGCTTGTCAGAAGTGGCCAAGCAGAGGGAGAAGCAGGTGGTCAGCCTGAGTTGGCTATTCTACTCTGTTGAGATCTGTCAGTTACCTTGTCAGCCACGACTGAGCTCTAATCTCCTGTCTAGAGGTTTTAGCAGGTTAATGATGATGGCCCAGAGCCCACCCTAACTCCTCAACATGAATACAAGCATCCTGCTGCTCAGCCTAGTGTCTGTCTCCCAATGCAACCCTGTTCTTGGTAGCCCCTGTAGTTGGTACCTAGCAGTGAGCCTTTCAGCATAGTATGTTTCTTCATGCCCAGCTCTGCCACTCCCTTCATCTTCCTTGGTCCACATGCCACCCCCACTAGCTCTTCCGTGCCACCCACCCCTGCCCCATCTTTATTTCCTTATGGGCTGTTTCCTCACTGCCCTAGTGTGCTGGCCTGACCCTTAGCCATGTAATCAATTCTGAGAACATGACTGCTGCTGGAGGTCATGCCAGGAAGACTCAGGAGGCTTTCCCTGGCTTGGCCACCCCAACCTCTGTGTGACAGTGTACTCCATCTTCCCATTCTATAAAACAGGAGTTGAGACTAGTCAAGTGGTCCCCAACCAGGCAATTCTGGTGAGCAGCCAGCTCCTGGGGCTGACAATCTGGGCTTTTCTGACTTTCACTCCTGTACAGGGTACCATGATGGGTGACTGCTAATGAGAAGAGTTGAGAAAGAGACTGTGTACTCCCTGAGATGATAAATTCTGAGCACAGGAACATTATTGGTTTTACTGATGACCATGTGCACAGCACACAGTAGGAGCTTTGTGAATACCTGGATGCACACCATGACTGAAGCTGCTGATGGAGCTCCAAGTGAGTGAGAGTAAAGCAGCTGGCCCTTTGTCTCATTGTCCTGTTTTATCTGGCAGCCTCACTGAGCAGCCTCTGCTCAACACTTGCCTCTTCTGTGTGTGAGGCTGGGACTTGGCAGGGCCCAGGGACAGAGGAAAGAATGTAAAAACTTGCTATTCTTGGCCAACTCTGCTTCTTCTAGTGGTAAGACTTCTGGAAAGCCTCTCAGAACCTGATTTAAGTCATCTTTAAGTTGGAATGTTGATAAACGCGTAATGTACAAGGTTGTTATTAAAGTGTTTTGTTAACTGTGAAGGGCTACCTGAATATTTTATTCTGTTCAGAAACTTATAGCAGGGCTGTGGTCTCAGGTAGGGCCAAGTTAACTTTGTCTTCTCCCTGCTGCAGGTCCTCTAATAGAAACCATAACTACCAGAGCCCTAGGTTTTGAGCCCTTACATGTGCCAGGGCTAAGCTCAGAACTAGAGGTGCTGGTTGGGACATCTGATAGGCTCTTGCATTCTGCGGCCTCAATAGCTAACCTGAGAGGCCAGATATAGACCCCTGAATTGCCAGAGTACCAAGAAGTATGAGATGTGCTGTTCCCATGGCCCAGCCTTCAGAAACTCAAGGAAAGGGAAGGGCAGCCATGCCAAGGAGGCTCCCCGTAAGAGAGTAACACTGAGCTATAGCTGAAGGTAGCATTTTAGACAAAAGAGAAAGAAGCAGATAGGGGACTCCGGGTAGAGTGAAGCAAGCAAACACACCTTAGGCAGGCCTGGAGGTGTCAATGACATGGCCTGCTATCCATGCTAAGAGGAAAAGGATTGTCTCACAAAGTCCTGGAAGAAGCCATGGGACACAGTGTGCTTGGAGGTTGGAGCCAGAAACTCCGTGGCTGCCTTCTGCTCTTCAGTAGAACTGTCCCTCTTCCCCTCATGCAAAAGAGCCATCCCCTATTCCTGGGCCCTCAACCTCTCTCCTCTAGGAAGACATTCTTCCACTGTCACTCCCAGGATATTTGTACAGATCCTGTCAAATTCTGTCCAAATCAGTAGAAAATAACTAAAAATTGGTAAGTAAAGAAACAGCAGCAAGAGCACATCATTTAGAAAGACAAAAGCAAATACCAGAAGGAGCACCTAAAAACATTAAATGTGGCTACCTCTGAGCAGCTGGACTGAGTGGGACCCAGGGAAGACTATTCTCATTAAAGCCTGTCAGAAACTTCTGATCTTTTTAACTTCAAAAGTGAAAAATAACTTAATACTCTTGCCTGACCCAAATCCCTCCTACTGGATTGGAAGTATTCTCTTACTGTGTCCTTCGAACAAATTGGGATGGGCAATGTTGGTGTTCTGAGGAGTCCTCTGACACCAGGGGAGATCATCACTCCCCTGACCTCAGGGCTGTTAGGAAAAATTTCCTTTAATCTTCTAGGCCTCCCAATCCTGATCAGCACAAATAAGGTAGCTCTGAAATATTCATGGATTCTGAACCACACTGTGATATGGGGGTGCTGGGTGTGGTCTCTGAGCCACACCACCACTTGGCTTCAGCCTCATTCTCCAGGGGCCAGCTCAGTCATCTTAGTCAAGTTATGTAACCGCTCAGCGCTGCCTCAGTTTCCCTATGGGTAAAATAGAGCTGCTAACATTACTGCCTCTCAAGGTTTCAGGAGGCATAAATGAGATACTGCCTGTGATGCAGAGCCTGGCATGTCATAGGCACCTAATGCATGTAAACAACTTCTTAAGATTTTGGAACTGCAGAAGCTAATAAAATGATAGGATATTAGATACTGGATAAAGCAGAAGTCATTTTATATGGAGAACACTGAGGCTCTGAAAAGCCTGAGGTAATAAGTCAGAAGAATTTGGAAAGAAGCCCTTATGCACCCTTTCCCCAGCAGACAGATGGAGCATGGGGAATTGGGAAATGACTTCAGAGCTGTGAGTAGATGTGGAGCTGATGGGACAGGTACAAAAAGAGGAAAGGAAGCAAGAAGTAGATGCCACAGAGGGTGGAAATGGAGGAAGATGAGGCAGCTGGGCTATCCCTGAACTGAAAAGGCACTCTGGGCTGCTGAGGGTGGCAGGAAGTGGCTGGAGATGATGTTTGTCAAGGGCTACTAAGAGCAGCGCCAGAAGCTGGCTGAGCAAATGGAACCTTCCCTCAGCTAACCATGCCTTCAAACATCTGTAAGACTGGCAGGGAGGACTGAGAAGCAGCTGTGCTAGGGCCTGAGGGATGGCTTGAGTGTGTGTGTGTGTGTGTGTGTGTGTGTGTGTGTGTGTGTGTGTGTGTGATGTGAGTGTTCCTGTGGCAAGCTAATTCCGAAGGTTGCAAAACACCCTGAGACCCTGGGTGTATTGTGTGATGTGAGTGGCCTCCAGCCACAGAAAAGGATGCCTGAAGGGACAGGAGGTCTGCTTCCTTTAGAAGCAGTTGCCTTCCCAGCCAGCCTCGGCAATACCTCCTTAATCCAGGCTGTGCTGGAGAGAAGTTCTGGATCCTGCTTATCCCTTGAAGCTGAAAAGACAAGGACTTCTCTGTGACTGGGTCAGTAACCAGGCCCTGAAATATCTTTGGAATTCCCAAGAGTGGGAACAAGGAAGAAAGAATGTCTGAGAAGTATAATGGTGGGGGGCAGTTCCAGGATTTCTACATAGGAGGGTCTTAGGGACAGCAAGCTGACAGGGATTGGGGGCTCATCTTTTTTTTTTTTTTTTTTTTTTTGAGACGGAGTCTTGCTCTGTCACCCAGGCTGGAGTACAGTGGTAAGATCTCGACTCACTGCAACCTTCACCTCCCAGGTTCAAGCAATTTGCCTGACTCACCCTCCCGAGTAGCTGGGATTACAGGCACCCACCACCACACCTGGCTAATTTTTGTATTTTTAGTAGAGATGGGGTTTCACCATGTTGGCCAGGCCGGTCTCGAACTCCTGACCTCAGGTGATCCACCAGCCTCAGCCTCCCAAAGTGCTGGGATTACAGGCATGAGCCAACACACCTGGCCCTGGGGGCTCATCTTAAAGCTTCATTTGTATATTCATTCAGGGGAACTTGGTGACCTGATGGAGACTGGAGAAGATGGAACCCTCTGGAGGGCCTTTCATATCTCTTCAGTCTTGGGTCAAGGAGGCAGCTTCTAAATCTCTAAAGCTTGGCAAGGCCTTCATGATTCTCCCTACTCAGGGCTTGGGAAAGGAGTCCATCTGGTAGGACCAAGTGTTTCCTTCCATACTGTCCTACTCCTGGGGGCTTGCCTTACCTGAGAGAGAGCAGGCAGAGGGAAAAGAGGCTGAGTGGAGGTAGCCCTGTGCTGAGAATAGGAACATTTTACTGCTCACTTGCCATGTGACCTTAGGTTTGTCATCGTCCTCTCCCCTGCTCGCCACACCACTCTGGGCCTCCACTTCTCGGGCTTTAACATGAAGACAATTATGCTTGATGACCTCTAGGAGCTCTACCAGTGTGAGTTTAGACTGAAAGGGCATAGGCCCAGGGCACAGTTGGCAGATAACCACCATGCAGGTGTCAGAAGGCGAGCAAAGGCAGAAGCCACCTGGGCTCATCTGGACAGGTGCCTCTTCTTCCTGGAGACTTTGGGAGATGTTGGTGACTTTGAACACAAATCTCAAAATCACGAAATCCAAAGCTACAGCAGAGAGATCTGCTCCAGCTTTGCATCTGAGCCAGAAGCCAGCCAGGCAGCTCACAACCTAGGTGTGGGCTCCTTTGGCAACCAGACACAACTTAAATTTGCATGTTTCTTTACACATAAATGACTGCTTTTGACTCATTATCTCTCCCAAGCTCTGTTTATCCATGTTGTTTCCCCTAGAAAAGTATGGGATTTTACATTTACCCTTCTTAACCCTGTTTCAAGCTGTCAATTATCTTTTTATATCTTGATTCCAGTGTGTCCTTGTATTAACTTGCTCTCCCAGCCTCATGTATCCTGTAAATCTGATAAGTGGTCTTCTGTGCCTTTACCCAAATCAATGATAACATTAAGATGTGATCAAGTTCAGAGAGCCCTGGCCTTTAGGGAGCCCTCCAATTTGATTGACTCATTAATTAATCTCTTTGGATATAGTTGTTCAACCACCTATGGATATGGCTAACAACCTTGTCCACAGGAAAGTCTTGAGATACTTTATCAAATGCATTGCTGAAACCCAGAAGTTCTAAGCCTATGGCAATCTTCTGATTTATGTGGCCAGAGATCTTAACAAAAGTAGGGGCTAACTGGATTTGGCATGACTTCCTCCTGGTGGCCATATGCCCTTTGATCATTGTTCCTGAACCTGCTGGCTTAGTGATTAGTGCTATAACTTTGCTCAGAACTAACATAAATTAGCCTGACTTTCCATGAATCTTTCTCTTCAGAAAACTGGGGCATTTGTTGACCTCCTTTTGCCTCTTTTGTTTGTGGATTCCGAGGCTTGCTGTTTCAGGTTCTGCAAACATAACTGCTAGTTCTTCCAGGAACTTCAAAGACAATTTTTATTCACACTAAGAAGTCAAACTTGTTTAATGCAGCTAGCAGTCCAGAAGACAAAATTATTGTTTGGCTATGTAAACCATTTTATAATATCTATGAAAAATACCTCTCCAAAAAGCTAATTACAAAAACCTTTGCCACAAATGAAAGGACTAATTATCATACAAATAGATCTTAAAAATAAGATACAACCTAAGAAAAATGAGTAAAGGATATGCATAAGCAGTTTATGGAAAAACATATAGGCAGCCCAGGGACTCTTTGGTAGACCCTGGTCAGAGGAGCCTGCACCGGACCATGGCCATGCCTTATGCCACCACTGGGCCTGGCCACCTCATGCGCCCATATCAACTATGACTTGAATCAGTTCCTACACCTGTGTGTACACCTCAACTGCATACCTGACATCTGGGTGCTGCATTACTGGAGCACAGCAGCAGCAGACATTTTGACACAGCCTTCTTCCTTTGCTGCCTGCGGGAGCCACTGGCCATCTACTCTAACTTGGCCAAGGTGGTGGGCTGCCAGTGGTCATCTCCATCAGCAGCAACTGAAAGTTTTATGCCTGAAGAAATTTGGCACCCACATAGTTTTATGAAATAAGACTTATTCTTTGCCTCTCTCTGACTTGCACAAATTTTGTTTGGATCTTGCATTAGAAGGGGTAGAAAGACGGCTGATGATCACGTTAACTGCTAATGAAATGCTCCAGCTTTTACCAGGTGATAAGCTATATTTAGATTCACACTTTTTACAGTCTTGTCTGCTAAAAAAAAAACTGAAGAAATCATGAAGGTAGACAAAAAGTTTCACCAAGTAGTGATGTAAAATTGACATCTTAACACTCATGTGACTGTTCAAAGTATAAATACACTCATTCTAAGAATTATGTAGTAAGAACCATTTGTAGGATGCTTCTTGTTTGTAAGCTGGCATACTTGAAGTAGTCCTAATAAATGAAGGTTGACTAAACTTGCTTGAATCTTTAGAAACTTTGTGCCTGTAAAAGTTATAATGTGGTGTTTATTTCAAGTATACTATAGAACTCTTGCTTATTTTATTCTGTAAACTTTACAGTATACCACAAGTACAAAATCTATAAAGTATTGTAAACTAAACATAATATCTTAAGTCCCTCACCCACTGTACACACCCCCTCTTGGCCAAGGGGACCCTGCCAGAGAAACCTTAAACTGAGTTCCTGGCCATAATGGGAAGAGAGGTCATTCATACATTATTATACCCCCTCCCTTTAGGAGTTTAGGCACAGCAGTTAACCAGCATTAATGTTAAAATAGATATTTTAAGACAAAACTCTCTTTGTGGCAATAAGATACCAAATTTTAAACAAGGCCTAAGGTCATGCAAGGCAAGCGTTAAGTCACACATGTAGGCCATTAATCTTGTTACATAGCATCCCTATCTTAAAACATTCTTTTCTGTTGATGCCAAGTTTTAGATAGAGCCTTACTCCTTTAACGAACTGCAAATTAAAGAATCTCTGAATCTACCTATAAGCTCTAAACCCCCATACTGCTTCCAGATATCCTGCATTTTCAGTGTGAATGAAAGGATACCTTCCATGTATTGACTCGTATCTTTGCCTGTCACTCTTGCCTCCCTGAAACATATAAAACTGAAGTATAATCTGAGTGCCTTGGGTGCAGTTTCTTAGGACTCCTTAAGACAGGCTGAAATCACATTGGTTCAGAGTAAACTTTAAAATATTTTAGAGTTGGCCGGGCACGATGGCTCATGCCTGTAATCCCAGCACTTTGGGAGGCCGAGGCGGGTGGATCATGAGGTCAAGAGATCAAGACTATCCTGGCCAACATGGTAAAACCCCGTCTCTACTAAAAATACAAAAAAATTAGCTGGGCGTGGTGGCGGGCACCTGTAGTCCCAGCTACTTGGGAGGCTGAGGCAGGAGAATCACTCGAACCCAGGAGGCGGAGGTTGCAGTGAGCCGAGATTGTGCCACTGCACTCCAGCTGGGCGACAGAGCGAGACTCCATCTCAAGAAAAAAAAAAAAAAAAAAAAAAAAAAAAATATATATATATATATATATATATATTTTAGAGTTTGGTTTATCCATTAACAGTATTAATGATCTTGTTACCCAAACAAAAATTTCACAAGGGTTCTCACTTCTGTATTTTATTATCTCAAGTTTAAATAACATGCTCTACTGCTACTGTTCTTACTGTCCAGTGTGTTAGCACTTCCCTAATGTGCTTTGAAGGTTGCTCCATGAATTTCCTTGACACTGCTGAAATTAACTTAAGGGTGGCTGATTACATGGTTAACAATACACTGAGACAAACTTCAAGTGATAATGTCATTGTTTTCTTGCTGTGTTTAGCTTGATGACTAAGATACAATTCTTTTAAGAATCAAGTGACATTATTATATTTCCCAAATTATGAATCTTCATTAATATTTTAAGGAAATATAAAGCCATAGCAAAACCCATTATTTTTATTTTGAATTGTAAATGAACACAAAGAGGTTAGAGAGACAGTATTTAATGTTTATTTTCAGTACATTTAATATAAGTAATTTTTTTCACCTCTAAAGAGGAGGAATGTTTAAAGGTGGGAAGTGATAGTTAAGACACCAATTATATTTCAAGATCTTTGACTATACTATATGTCATACACTGGATTTCATTTTTCACAAAATGCCTTAGTTTTCTTACAAGAGAAAGGCAATGATGACTCTTAAATACAAGAGTCTGATGCACATGAAAATATGCTTAATCTCTCATGATTATGAAAAATAAATCAAATCTGTCATCAGATTAGCAAAAATTAAAACCTAATGCCCAGGCTGGCCAATATGGTGAAACCCTGTCTCTACTAAAAATACAAAAATTAGCCGGGCATGGTGGTGCTATAATCCCAGCTACTCTGGAGGCTGAGGCACGAGGATCGCTTGAATCCGGGAGTCTGAGGTTGCAGTGAGCTGAGATTGCGCCATTATACTCCAGCCTGGGCGACAGAGTGGGACTCCGTCTCAAAAAGAAAAAAAAGAAAGAAAGATTCTACAACCTTTCGGTGATTTAGTTTTATAGTTTTGATAAGTCCCTAGTAATAAGTCTAGATCAGAGACTTAGTTTAGGATTTAGATTTTGAGGATATTTATCAAAGATGTTACAAATCTCAAAACATTTGATCAAAACAGTGTAAGAGTTATTTAACCAAGAATGATAATCAAAAGTCTTTCAAAGCAATACAGAAAGTTACATGGATGTAAAAACCTTAATTATTTTAAATCTGTTTTACTAAAGAATCAAAAACCTGTAAATATAAAAATTTTATTTTGACAAAATGTAAAATCTTTGTTTTTTAGACAAGTTACCAAAAAGACAAAAACCTTCTGCAGTATGATTGCTTCCCTTTATAGGAAGCCCATTTAGATTATGTGGAAATTAAACCTGATGAGAAAAGTACTGAATTTAATCATACACATGAAGTATGTGTCCAGGGTTATGAGTATAGCAGGGAAATATAGGACTCAGTAACCTCATGTCAAGTTTCCTGGTTACATGAAACAATTCAGACACATCAAGAAAAGCCAAGAGTACAAAATTAGGTTATACTGGAGGAAAACATTGCTTTTTTAGACTTTCAAGATAAAACATTTTGGCATCAGGCCATAACAGCAGATAGAACCAGAGGGAAAAAAATTACAGGAGCTTACAAAAAAGTTGGAGAGAGTTATCATCTCAAGCTTTCTCAAGGGGAGAGAAAGCTGAAAGCAGTGAGGCACAACAAAGGTTTTTTTTTAAATTTCCAACTTTTATTTTAAGTTCAGGGGCACATGTACAGGATGTGCAGGTTTGTTACATAGGCAAACATGTGCCATGTTGATTAGCTGCACAGATCATCACATCACCTAGGTTTTAAGCCCAGCATCCATTAGCTATTCTTCCTGATGCTCTCCCTCCTCCCACCCCCCACCCTCCAACAGGCCCCAGTGTGTGTTGTTCCCCATCATGTGTCCATGTGTTATCACTCAGCTCCCACTTATAAGTGAGAACATGTGGTATTAAACTTTAAGATATGAATCTGAGAAATTTTCAAAATAAACAGGTTATAGTATTAAAAATAAAAATATTCTTGTAACTTCATTAAGAGCAAATCAATACCTTAAGAAAATCTTGTTTTAACATAGAAGATCAATCTTAGAAAGACTATCATAAATAATTCCCTTCAAATTATAGCCAACTTAATCATATACAAAATTCTTTCCTGAACCTTATCACAACTTAGACCACTAACAACATGCTTGGACTTTCTGACTTGTCCTATGCTACGTCTTTCCTAAATAAGCAGTCATCATATTTTAGGACAAAATTTTACCATATAAGATTCTCCCTCATACAAAATTATTCTGTTTATAAACTTCCTTACCAAAAATACATCTTCCTATCCATAACTTTCTTCATACTTCTTGTCTACTTACTGGTTCCTTTCTTCTTTCACAAATAACTTTTAAATAATCTCCCACTTACATTAAATTATCCTTTTTCTCAGTAAGAACATAACAAAGAATTATATATTAGCTCGAATTCTTAGTAACTTTAAATTTTAGTGAAAACCTAGGAAGAAAGAAACCCTAAAGTATCTATCAGATGTTAGCATTTTATAGATGAAACCACTTCACTATTTTTAGCAACATGTCTCCCCATATTATAACCCTTAATTGGAAATGGCCCAGACATCCAATGAACATCTATTATTCAGTTCACAATAATTTTAAGATATTAAATTACATAAAGTTCACTTACAAGGATTAATCCCATTTGTATGTACTCAATTCTTTCATTTTTAATGGTTTATCTAGATTACTTCTGAAAACTGAAATATTAGAGAAAACTAGTCATCATTTAAGTTATTTCTCTGTTAACCATTTTTAAAGCCTGTGATCATCAGGTGTTCACCTAAGTACTAAAAGTAATGGTAAAAACCGCAATTGCTTTTGTGCCAACCTAGCAAAAACCTTAAATACATGGGCATTTTGTCAATAACTTACATTATTCTGTTTTTATTGAACCAGCAATCTCAAGTTAGTTTTATTTGTCAATGAAATCATGCAAAGATTATTCTGGTTTTGGCTGGGCTTATAGTCTTATAACCTTTGTTATAAGTGTTTTATAGATCATTCAGGTCCACAGTTCTCAATCCTGGCTACACATTGGAATCACTAAGAGAGCTTTTTAAATACCCAATATCCAGGTCTGCCCCCTAGAACATTCTGGGATGGAATCCATGCTTTAATATTTAAAATGCTCCCCGGAAACTTCTGTTTCCAGCCATAAGAGAGGACTAGAAACTGGATCTAGCCTTTCATCCAGAAATCTGGACAAAATACAGTGTATGTTAGCATTCAGACGTTAGACAACAGTCATGGCAAGACTGTGAGATCTATTAGAGAAAGGAAATGAAGCAAGTCCTACAATTTCGTCAACTAACTGGTCTAAATTGAGGAAACATTGAAGTTCAGGTAGACCAACGTGGCTAGAATTTGTGGGCAGAGTTCTGGAGAGTTGATAGCTGCAAAGAAAGAGTTGCACAGTATTGCAAAGAGGTCCTTGGGTGTTTTGTTAAGAATTGATCTGAGCATACGTGAAAAAAAAAAATCTAAGATCAGGAAAAGAACCACTAGAAAGCAATAGGATGAACAATTCCCAGAGCTCAAACAGGGCTAGGAATTGTTCTTGTTCATTCCAGCCAGAGTGGAAAACCTTGTAACATAGAAGACATCACCTAGAGTCCCAAGAAGGGTGTCACCTTAGTAATGAAGCTAAAATAGCCCTAAAATAAAAGGTGTTATGGACTCACCCTAAAAAAAAAAAGATAAAAAGCCTTGAAAGGATCCAATTATTTCCAAGTAACTTACTTGGCTCTCACAATAAAACTTTATAGGAGTACATACTCATCTCCCAACAAAGTACAACTCACAATGTCTGGCATCTGACCAAAAACTACCAAGTATGTTCGTGTTCTATTGCTGCCATAAGAAATTACCACAAACTTAGTGGTTTCAATAACACCCGTTTATTATAGTCTCTGTGAGTAAGAAGACTGGGCATCGTATAGCTCTTCTGGGCTCTCTGCTTATGGTCTCAAAAGGTTGAAATCAAGGTGTCAGTTTGCTGCATTCTCATTTGGAACTTGGGATCATCTCCCAAGCTCAACTTCAGTTCCTGAAAGTTGTAGGACTGAGGTCCCCATTTCCTTGTTGGCTGTCAGCTAGGAGCCGTCCACCTTTCTTCTCATAATGCCCCCTCCATCTTCAAACCAGCAGTAGCGCATCAAGTTCTTCTCATACTTCAAATCTCCCTGACTCCCTCTTCTACATCTGCTTTCAAAGACTCTTCCTTTAATGATTACATTGGGCCCACACAGATAAACCAGTATAATTTTCCTATCTTAAGGTCAAATGATTGGTAAACTTTACTAACAACATACCTCGAAGGTCATTGATTGTGAATAAACATGAGCTTATACCATAGGCATAGTAAAGATACTAATGACCAATACAGATAGAGAAAAAATCAAAATGGCCAGTGTATTCTTATTATTCTTATTCTTCCTGTTCCTCAGTTTCTCATCTCATCTGTAAAATGGACATTAGCAGCACTATTTCGCATGTGAGCATTAAAAGACCGAGTACCCAAAAAGCACTTGGAACATAAGAACTTTGCCCAAGACTGCACAATTAGGGAGTGGGACAGCTTGGATTTGTGTCCAGTACATCATGCTACAGAGCTTGGGAAACTCAGAGATTTGTGTTAAGTGAAAGACGCAGTCTATAAGAGCATATACATTTTAGAAAGTCATTATACAGTACTTACTACTTTGTATTTAAATATATTTATATATAAAAATGAACCTAGTGATGAAAAGGTGTATTATGACATAGGTAAGGTGATGTTTATTGCAATCCTGGGGACAGAAGCCATAGTGTAGTGGTATAAATAGTCAGTGGGAAGTGATGAATACTATCAGGGAATGTAGAAAGACACGAGAGAGAGAGAGAGAAAAAATGAATATTGATACTGTGGCTAAAGGGAGGATGAGGAGTCAGGAATAAACTTTTTTGAATCTTCAATTTCTTGAACAAGTTTAAAAATTATATGAAGGAACCATCTCATCTCAAATTTAACCTTTGAAGTCGCCCATATATTCATTGCCTTTCTTATCCTCTTATTTACAATTTAGAGCCCATTAGATGCCTCAAACATAATAGTATGGATTTAGAGATCAATATATAGTTAGTGAATGAAAAAATGGACAAGTGTGTGTCAAGGAAATGCTAGTAACTCTTGAATTTTTGCCTCTCCAGGAGGCAGAGATGGCTGAAATCCTGGTGTGATATTGCTGGATAATGCAAGAGCTGAGGGCCCCTGCCCTGGTGACAGCAAATGGGCCCAGAATTTTCCTATAAATATATTAATATACTGAGCAGTCAAAGAGCAGCCACTAGGCAAACATGACCGACCTCTTGTTTCCCTGGTGCGATCTACCATTGATCTCACTAGGTAAGTTTAAAGACATTCTTCCCATCATGGGGAAGAATGATTTGGGTCTGCTCAGATTCATGATGTTGAATACACCCAAATCAGCTTCTGAAAACACCCCAAATGTAGAGAAATCTCTGTCTCCAAAACTTTGAACTCAAGGCATATCAAAGACATTTGCTTCCTTCCTCTAAATATCTGTATTCTTATTAAAAGGAACAATGAGAAATGACTTTTCACAATGCCTTCTTGGCCCTGAGGCTCAGCCAGCGCCTAATGCTGTGTCTCAGCATTTAAAGGGCCGCTGACGTCTTTTACTCCATGCCATAATCTCTGGACAGGTTTTCTCATTTACACCTGGGGACAGCTCCATAATGATGGTATGGTCAGTCCCATTTCACAGATAACCAAGTTCAGGCTCACAGAGCCTAAGTCACCTTTCCAGGTAAGTGGCAGCATTGGGGTGAGTTTCCATCCCTCACCCTTCCTAGAGGACTCTGAGCAGCCTCCTTTTTAGAAGATGGCTTCCAGGGCTTGAGAAATGGTCAGAGTCCACCCCCTGCTATTGTGACCCCACAAGCATTTACTCAACAACTCTTCTGGGTAATGAAGATGATAGAGGTGAGATCCCATCCTTTGTGCCAAGAAATGTAGGTGTAGGACCACACGAGTTGGCAGATACCTGAAGTTGATGAGTGGGCTCAGGCAGAAGCTCAGGTGTTGGCCTTGGGATGGGTGACCAGGAGAGAAGGAAAGTAACATGCACTGAACCACTGTAAGCTAATGCACTTTATACTTCATCTCCTTTAATTCTAACAGCTATTCAAGATACCCACTGATATGGTTTGGATCTGTGTTCCAGCCCAAATCTCATGTTCAATTGCAACCTCCAGTGTTGGAGGTGGGGCTTAGTGGGAGGTGACTGGATCATGAGGGTGGTTTCTCATGGTTTAACACCATCCTCCTTGTTGTTGTCATGGCGATAGTGAGTTATCATGGATCTGGTTGTTTTAAGGTGTGTGGCACCTTCCCCTTCTCTTTCTCATCCTCCTGCTTCAGCCATGTAAGACAAACCTGGTTCCCCTTAGCCTTCTGCTATGATTGTAAGTTTCCTGAGGTTTCTCCTGAGACCTTCCCAAAAGCTGAGCAGATTGACAGCATCATGATGCAGAACCGTGAGCCAATTAAACCTCTTTTCAATATAAATTACCCATCTCAGGTATTTCTTTATAGCAATGTGAGAAAAGATTAATACACATATCATGATGATTATTTAAATCAGGAAACTAAGGAGAGCTTATGTAAAAGCAGGGAGACAATTTTGTTATCTCCTGATCAGTAGCCAATTCTGGAATTAGAGGTTTTGTTTGTTTTACATTTTGTCCCAATGCCTCCAGAACTCTGGATGTTCTAATCTCCTTCAACCCTGATAGTACATGTGCTCTAATGAAGTGTTCAAGAATTTTTCTTTTAAATTACTACCTGTACATATTTTCATCATATTATTGAACTTTTAGAACACATTCTAAATGAAAATAATACTAGTGATTATACTGAAACAGGGGAGAAAACATTCACTAACTACATATCAGATATAGCGTTAACATCCATGATTTCTGAAGAACACTTGCTAACAAAATGGTTAGTAACCAATTTCAACAGATAATTCAAATAAATATATATGTGAAACGCAAACATGTTAAATATGCTAAAATCATAAGAACTAATAAGATTATTAGTTATCACTAATAACAATATTAAGTGAAAAAGGATAGTTGCAATAGAAGCTGAATACTGTGATTTCACTTTTGGAGCAGACTGTGTGTGTAGGTGAACGTGTTTATGTGCACCTCACCTGCAGGGACACATCTGGAGAGTATGCACCATTCTATGGAAACAGACCCCTTGGGAGTCAGGGGATAGAAGTAGGGCCAGTGAGAGGTGCAGATTAATTTTGATTTATGAATATATGTTTGTAAATTGTTTGAAATCGGTGTTCAGGAAAAAAAGTATTTTGATAAAAATTTGAAAACAAAAAATACTTGTGAACAGAATGACTAATGTAATGTGCACATATATTCATTAATTTGAAAAAGCATTCATTGTATTCCATTTTTGGTGAAAGACGTAGAGTTTTAAAACTGAATTGACAGTGTAGTGTGTGTGTGTGTGTGTGTGTGTGTGTCTGTCTGTCTTCTCTAGCTCTATCACCTCGAATACACACTCACAGTTTCAATTTTACCTTCAATTCAGACAGAGGCTGGAACCGATCTCAGTTTTAGATAGCCCTAGAAATGAGAGATACAGAGAGATGGCTACCATTAGGAGAATAATTCCAGAAAACGCTGGCTGATTACCATTAAGTCAAGATCCCAACCTTCATCCCTCCCTACTCCTTGCTGACTCCCCTGATCTGACTCCCAGAGCTTCAATCCTGGCTCTGGTCACCAGGCGCGATGCTTCTCCAGTTTGCTCTTTATCATCTTGTAATGGTGTGTGTACTAAGATAGCAATTCTTTTTGGAAAATTAACATGTATATTAAAGCCTTTCCCTTTGCTGTTGGCACCAAATCTATATCACATTCATTCATTTATCTCTTCCCTCCTCAGCGTAGGTTGAGATGTCTACACTTTAGGAGGGTCCCTCCCAGAGAACAGGGCACTCACCCTCCATTATCCCACCCTTGTACAGGCTTCCCAGACCTTCTGCTGCCCCCTCTCAGTGATCCCCTCTCCAGGACACAAGGGACACAGCCGCCCAGACCCCACTCTGTCACCCCCATCCTCTGCCAGTCACCTCCTGCTACCCTGCACTGCCCTTTGCCTGTTGGAGACTACCAAGGTGCACTAAAGCTGCCTGGTGTTTCATGGTATGGATGTCCCAGAGTACATGCTTTTACAGTCTTATTTACACCTATCTGGGTTTTTTTCTGACAGAATTATAATTGCTCTGTACTTCAGTTCATAAACTGGGTTTTAAGGGAGGTTATCTTTTTTTACACTTCATTGTAGAGAAGTTTGATAATACTGGTACGTTGATGTCGCCTTGTGACAGAAGCCTGAACTGCAGTTTAAACATCGCTGAGCAGAAAGGTGGAGGGGTTGTAACCCAAGCCCACCCTACAGAGCTTTCTGGAAGTCTTCGTGAAAAGGAGGTCATTCCAAGTATATAAGGATACTGAGCATCTTCCAACAGAAACTGCAACCTATTAGGGTGCTGAAGAGAAAGCTTTATGTGAGAGAAAAAGAGTATTTTAATTTATATTCTTTGAGACCTGTGGATAAATATCTATAGACGTGTATACGCACAAATGGATCCAAGCCACTTAGGACTTTGTAACCTGATTTTGCCTTTATTATGACAATTATTGTATGTAAATACATTTCTATCATCACATTTTAAATTATTTTACAACTTTTTAAAATATCAACCAGGTGTTTCATTATACAGAGGCCCCCAAACTTATTTCATTAGTATCCCAGAGATAAAAATTTAGTTTATATTTTTACGACAAACAATAGTACACTTAACATCCTTGCTCATATATATGCAAAAACTTTGTAAGCACTTCTTTATAAGTTTCTAAAAATAATTTTCAGGTTTTTTTCTTCAACTTTTGTTTTAATTTCACGGGTACATGTGCCAAATGTATAGGTTTGTTACATAGGTAAACGTGCGCCATGGTGGTTTTGCTGCACAGATCATGCCATCACCTAGGTATTAAGCCCAGCATCCTTTAGCTATTCTTCCTGATGTTCTCCCTCCCCCTCCCGACAGGCCCCAGTGTGTGTTCTCCCACCACTGTGTGTCCACGTGTTCTCATCATTCAGCTCCTACTTATAAGTGAGAACATGTTTGGTTTTCTGTTCCTGCGTTAGTTTGCTGAGGATAATGGCTTTGGTTTGTCAGAATTTTATTTAGGATTTTTGCATAGATGTTCATAGGGATGTTGGCCTGAAGTTTTCTTTTTTTTGTTTTATTTCTGCCAGGTTTTGGTATCAGGATGATGCTGGCCTCATAGAATGAGTTAGGGAGGAGTCTCTCCTTTTCAATTGTTTGGAGTAGTCTCAGAAGAAATGGTACCAGCTCTTCTTTGTGTTTCTGGTAGAATTCAGCTGTGAATCTGTCTGGTCCCAGACTTTTTTTTTTTAATTTGTAGGCTGTTTATTGCTGCCTCGATTTCAGAACTCGTTAATGGTCTCGTCAGTGATTCAACTTCTTCCTGGTTCAGTCTTGGGAGGTTGTATGTGTCTAGGAGTTTCTCCATTTCTTCTAGATTTTCTAGTTTTAAGTGCATAGAGGTATTTATTGTATTATCTGATGGTTGTTTGTATTTCTGTGGGGTCAGTGGTGGTATTTCCCTTATTATTTCTGATTGTGTTTGTTTGATTCTTCTCTCTTTTCTTCTTTATTTGCCTATCTAGCAGTCTATTTTACTTTTTTCACAAAACCAGCTGCAGATTCATTGATTTTTTGAAGGCTTGTTTGTTTGTTTGTTTGTTTGTTTTTGGATTTTTTTTTTTTGTCTCTACCTCCTTCAGTTCAGCTCTGATCTTGGTTATGTCTTGCCTTCTGCTAGCTTTGGGTTTTGTTTTGTTTTGTTTTGTTTTTTTCTCTTGGTTCTCTCGTTCTTTTAGTTGAGATGTTAGGTTGTTAACTTGAGATATTTCTAGCTTTTCGACGTGGGCATTTAGTGCTATAAAATTCCCTCTTAACACTGTTTTAGCTGTGTCTCAGAGATTCTGGTACATTGTCCTTTTATTCTCATTAGTTTCAAAGAACTTTTTGATTTCTGCCTTAATTTCATTATTTACCCAAGAGTCATTCAGTAGCAGGTTGTTCAACTTCCATGTGGTTGTGTGGTTTTGAGTGAATTTCTTAATCTTGAGTTCTAATTTAATTGTGCTATGGTCTGAGACACTGTTTATTAGGATTTCAGTTCTTTTACATTTGCTGAAGAATGTTTTACTTCCAATTACGTGATCAATTTTAGAGTAAATACCATGTGACAATGAGAAGAATATATATTCTGTTGATTTGGGGTGAAGAGTTCTATAGATATCTATCAGGTCCACTTGATCCAGAGCTGAGTTCAGGTCCTGAATATCTTTGTTAATTTTCTGTCTCAATGATCAGTCTAATATTGACAGTGGGGTGTTAAAGTCTCACACTCTTGCTGTGGTGGAAGATAAGTCTCTGTAGATCTCTAAGAACTTGCTTTATGAATCTGGGTGCTCCTGTATTAGATGCATATATATTTAGGATAATTAGCTCTTCTTGTTGAATTGAACCCTTTGCCATTATGTAATACCCTTCTTTGTCTTTTTTGATCTTTGTTGGTTTAAAGTCTGTTTTTATTTTTTATGTTTGTTTGTTTGTTTTTTCAGAAAGTAGGATTGCAACCCCTGCTTTTTTCTGCTTTCCATTTGCTTGGTAAATTTTCCTCCATCCCTTTATTTTGAGCCTATGTGTGTCTTTGCACATGAGATGGGTCTCTTGAAGACAGTATACTGAGGGGTCTTGGCTCTTTACCCGCCCTGCCTTTCTGTGTCTTTTAATTGGGGCATTTAGCCTGTTTACATTTAAGGTTAGCATTGTTATATGTGAATTTGATCCTGTCATCATAATGCTAGGTGGTCATTTTGCAGACTTATTTATGTAGTTGCTTCATAGTGTCACTGGTCTGTGTACTTTAGTGTGTTTTTGTAGTGGCTAGTAATGGTTTTCCTTTCCATATTTAGTGATTCCTTCAGGAGCTCTTTCTTTTTTTTATTATTATTATACTTTAAGTTTTATGGTACATATGCACAATGTGCAGGTTAGTTACATATGTATACATGTGCCATGCTGGTGTGCTGCACCCATTAACTCGTCATTTAGCATTAGGTATATCTCCTAAAGCTATCCCTCCCCCCTCCCCCCATGCCACAACAGTCCCCAGAGTGTGATGTTCCCCTTCCTGTGTCCATGTGTTCTCATTGTTCAATTCCCACCTATGAGTGAGAATATGCGGTGTTTGGTTTTTTGTTCTTGCGATAGTTTACTGAGAATGATGATTTCCAATTTCATCCATGTCCCTACAAAGGACATGAACTCATCATTTTTTATGGTTGCATAGTATTCCATGGTGTATATGTGCCACATTTTCTTAATCCAGTCTATCATTGTTGGACATTTGGCTTGGTTCCAAGTCTTTGCTATTGTGAATAGTGCTGCAATAAACACATGTGTGCATGTGTCTTTATAGCAGCATGATTTATAGTCCTTTGGGTATATACCCAGTAATGGGATGGCTGGGTCAAATGGTATTTCTAGTTCTAGATCCCTGAGGGATCGCCACACTGACTTCCACAAGGGTTGAACTAGTTTACAGTCCCACCAACAGTGTAAAAGTGTTCCTACTTCCCCACATCCTCTCCAGCACCTGTTGTTTCCTGACTTTTTAATGATTGCCATTCTAACTGGTGTGAGATGGTATCTCATTGTGGTTTTGATTTGCATTTCTCTGATGGCCAGTGATGATGAGCATTTTTTCATATGTCTTTTGGCTGCATAAATGTCTTCTTTTGAGAAGTGTAGGTTCATATCCTTCGCCCACTTTTTGATGGGGTTGTTTGTTTTTTTCTTGTAAATTTGTTTGAGTTCATTGTAGATTCTGGATATTAGCCCTTTGTCAGATGAGTAGGTTGTGAAAATTTTCTCCCATTTTGTAGGTTGCCTGTTCACTCTGATGGTAGTTTCTTTTGCTGTGCAGAAGCTCTTTAGTTTAATTAGATCCCATTCGTCAATTTTGGCTTTGGTTGCTATTGCTTTTTGTGTTTTAGACATGAAGTCCTTGCCCATGCCTATGTCCTGAATGGTAATGCCTAGGTTTTTTTCTAGGGTTTTTATGGTTTTAGGTCTAACATTTAAGTCTTTAATCCATCTTGCATTAATTTTTGTATAAGGTGTAAGGAAGGGATCCAGTTTCAGCTTTCTACATATGGCTAGCCAGTTTTCCCAGCACCATTTGTTAAATAGGGAATCCTTTCCCCATTGCTTGTTTTTCTCAGGTTTGTCAAAGATCAGATAGTTGTAGACATGCGGCATTATTTATGAGGGCTCTGTTCTGTTCCATTGATCTGTATCTCTGTTGTGGTACCAGTACCATGCTGTTTTGGTTACTGTAGCCTTGTAGTATAGTTTGAAGTCAGGTAGCATGATGCCTCCAGCTTTGTTCTTTTGGCTTAGGATTCACTTGGTGATGTGGGCTCTTTTTTGGTTCCATATGAACTTTAAAGTAGTTTTTTCCAATTCTGTGAAGAAAGTCATTGGTAGCTTGATGGGGATGGCATTGAATCTATAAATTACCTTGGGCAGTATGGCCATTTTCACGATATCGATTCTTCCTACCCATGAGCATGGAATGTTCTTCCATTTGTTTGTATCCTCTTTTATTTCATTGAGCAGTGGTTTGTAGTTCTCCTTGAAGAGGTCCTTCATGTCCCTTGTTAGTTGGATTCCTAGGTATTTTATTCTCTTTGAAGCAATTGTGAATGGGAGTTCACTCATGATTTGGCTCTCTGTTTGTCTGTTATTGGTGTATAAGAATGCTTGTGATTTTTGCACATTGATTTTGTATCCTGAGACTTTGCTGAAGTTGCTTATCAGCTTAAGGAGATTTTGGGCTGAGACAATGGGGTTTTCTAGATATACAATCATGTCATCTGCAAACAGGGACAATTTGACTTTCTCTTTTCCTAATTGAATACCCTTTATTTTCTTCTCCTGCCTAATTGCCCTGGCCAGAACTTCCAACACTATGTTGAATAGGAGTGGTGAGAGAGGGCATCCCTGTCTTGTGCCAGTTTTCAAAGGGAATGCTTCCAGTTTTTGCCCATTCGGTATGATATTGGCTGTGGGTTTGTCATAGATAGCTCTTATTATTTTGAGATACGTCCCATCAATACCTAATTTATTGAGAGTTTTTAGCATGAAGCATTGTTGAATTTTGTCAAAGGCCTTTTCTGCATCTATTGAGATAATCATGTAGTTTTTGTCTCTGGTTCTGTTTATATGCTGGATTACATTTATTGATTTGCGTATATTGAACCAGCCTTGCATCCCAGGGATGAAGCCCACTTGATCATGGTGGATAAGCTTTTTGATGTGCTGCTGGATTTGGTTTGCCAGTATTTTATTGAGGATTTTTGCATCAATGTTCATCAAGGATTTTGGTCTAAAATTCTCTTTTTTGGTTGTGTCTCTGCCCGGCTTTGGTATCAGGATGATGCTGGCCACATAAAATGAGTTAGGGAGGATTCCCTCTTTTTCTATTGATTGGAATAGTTTCAGAAGGAATGGTACCAGTTCCTACTTGTACCTCTGGTAGAATTCGGCTGTGAATCCATCTGGTCCTGGACTCTTTTTGGTTGGTAAGCTATTGATTATTGCCACAATTTCAGAGCCTGTTACTGGTCTATTCAGAGATTCAACTTCTTCCTGGTTTAGTCTTGGGAGAGTGTATGTGTCGAGGAATTTATCCATTTCTTCCAGATTTTCTAGTTTATTTGCGTAGAGGTGTTTGTAGTATTCCCTGATGGTAGTTTGTATTTCTGTGGGATCGGTGGTGATATCCCCTTTATCATTTTTTATTGCATCTATTTGATTCTTCTCTCTTTTCTTCTTTATTAGTCTTGCTAGCGGTCTATCAATTTTGTTGATCCTTTCAAAAAACCAGCTCCTGGATTCATTGATTTTTTGAAGGGTTTTTTGTGTCTCTATTTCCTTCAGTTCTGCTCTGATTTTAGTTATTTCTTGCCTTCTGCTAGCTTTTGAATGGGTTTGTGCTTGCTTCTCTAGTTCTTTTAATTGTGATGTTAGGGTGTCAATTTTGGATCTTTCCTGCTTTCTCTTGTGGGCATTTAGTGCTATAAATTTCCCTCTACACACTGCTTTGAATGTGTCCCAGAGATTCTGGTATGTTGTGTCTTTGTTCTCATTGGTTTCAAAGAACATCTTTATTTCTGCCTTCATTTCGTTATGTACCCAGCAGTCATTCAGGAGCAGGTTTTTCAGTTTGCATGTAGTTGAGTGGTTTTGAGTGAGTTTCTTAATCCTGAGTTCTAGTTTGATTGCACTGTGGTCTGAGAGACAGCTTGTTATAATTTCTTTTCTTTTACATTTGCTGAGGAGAGCTTTACTTCCAACTATGTGGTCAATTTTGGAATAGGTGTGGTGTGGTGTTGAAAAAAATGTATATTCTGTTGATTTGGGGTGGAGAGTTCTGTAGATGTCTGTTAGGTCTGCTTGGTGCAGAGCTGAGTTCAATTCCTGGATATCCTTGTGAACTTTCTGTCTCGTGATCTGTCTAATGTTGACAGTGGGGTGTTAAAGTCTCCCATTATTATTGTGTGGGAGTCTAAGTCTCTTTGTAGGTCACTCAGGACTTGCTTTATGAATCTGGGTGCTCCTGTATTGGGTGCATATATATTTAGGATAGTTAGCTCTTCTTATTGAATTGATCCCTTTACCATCATGTAATGGCCTTCTTTGTCTCTTTTGATCTTTGTTGGTTTAAAGTCTGTTTTATCAGAGACTAGGATTGCAACCCCTGCCTTTTTTTGTTTTCCATTTGCTTGGTAGATCTTCCTCCATCCTTTTATTTTGAGCCTGTGTGTGTCTCTGCATGTGAGATGGGTTTCCTGAATACAGCACACTGATGGGTCTTGAGTCTTTATCCAATTTGCCAGTCTGTGTCTTTTAATTGGAGCATTTAGTCCATTTACATTTAAAGTTAATATTGTTATGTGTGAATTTGATCCTGTCATTATGATGTTAGCTGGTTATTTTGCTCGTTAGTTGATGCAGTTTCTTCCCAGTCTCGATGGTCTTTACATTTTGGCATGATTTTGCAGGGGCTGGTACTGGTTTTTCCTTTCCATGTTTAGTGCTTCCTTCAGGAGCTCTTTTAGGGCAGACCTGGTGGTGACAAAATCTCTCAGCATTTGCTTGTCTGTAAAGTATTTTATTTCTCCTTCACTTAAGAAGCTTAGTTTGGCTGGATATGACATTCTGGGTTGAAAATTCTTTTCTTTAAGAATGTTAAATATTGGTCCCCACTGTCTTCTGGCTTGTAGAGTTTCTGCCGAGAGATCCACTGTTAGTCTGATGGGCTTCCCTTTGTGGGTAACCCGACCTTTCTCTCTGGCTGCCCTTAACATTTTTTCCTTCATTTCAACTTTGGTGAATCTGACAATTATGTGTTTTGGAGTTGCTCTTCTCGAGGAGTATCTTTGTGGCGTTCTCTGTATTTCCTGAATCTGAATATTGGCCTGCCTTGCTAGATTGGGGAAGTTCTGGATAATATCCTGCAGAGTGTTTTCCAACTTGGTTCCATTCTTCCCGTCATTTTCAGGTACACCAATCAGACGCAGATTTGGTCTTTTCACATAGTCCCATATTTCTTGGAGGCTTTGTTCGGTTCTCTTTATTCTTTTTTCTCTAAACTTCTCTTGTCACTTCATTTCATTCATTTGATCTTCCATCACTGATACCCTTTCTTCCAGTTGATTGCATTGGCTCCTGAGGCTTCTGCATTCTTCATGTAGTTCTCAAACCTTGGCTTTCAGCTCCATCAGCTCCTTTAAGCACTTCTCTGTATTGGTTATTCTAGTTATACATTCGTCTAAATTTTTTTCAAAGTTTTTAACTTCTTTGCCTTTGGTTTTAATTTTCTCCTGTAGCTTGGAGTAGTTTGATCATTGGAAGCCTTCTTCTCTCAACTCGTCAAAGTCATTCTCCGTCCAGCTTTGTTCCGTTGCTGGTGAGGAACTGCATTCCTTTGGAGGAGGAGAGGAGCTCTGCTTTTTAGAGTTTCCAGTTTTTCTGTTCTGTTTTTTCCCCATCTTTGTGGCTTTATCTACTTTTGGTCTTTGACGGTGGTGATGTACAGATGGGTTTTTGGTGTGGATGTCCTTTCTGTTTGTTAGTTTTCCTTCTAACAGACAGGACCCTCAGCTGCAGGTCTGTTGGAGTTTGCTAGAGGTCCACTCCAGACCCTGTTTGCCTGGGTATCAGCAGCGGTGTCTGCGGAACTGCGGATTTTCGTGATCCGCAAATGCTGCTGTCTGATCGTTCCTCTGGAAATTTTGTTTCAGAGGAGTACCCGGCCGTGTGAGGTGTCAGTCTGCCCCTACTGGGGGGGTGCCTCCCAGTTAGGCTGCTTGGGGGTCAGGGGTCAGGGACCCACTTGAGGAGGCAGTCTGCCCATTCTCAGATCTCCAGTTGCTTGCTGGGAGAACCACTGCTCTCCTCAAAGCTGTCAGACAGGGACATTTAAGTCTGCAGAGGTTACTGCTGTCTTTTTGTTTGTCTGTGCCCTGCCCCCAGAGGTGGAGCCTACAGAGGCAGGCAGGCCTCCTTGAGCTGTGGTGGGCTCCACCCAGTTCGAGCTTCCCGGCTGCTTTGTTTACCTAAGCGAGCCTGGGCAATGGCGGGCACCCCTCCCCTAGCCTCGCTGCTGCTTGCAGTTTGATCTCAGACTGCTGTGCTAGCAATCAGCCAGACTCCGTGGGCTTAGGACCCTCTGAGCCAGGTGTGGGATATAATCTCCTGGTGCGCTGTTTCCTAAGCCTGTCGGAAAAGCGCAGTATTCAGGTGGGAGTGACCCGATTTTCCAGGTGCCTTCTGTCACCCCTTTCCTTGACCAGGAAAGGGAACTCCCTGACCCCTCGCGCTTCCCGAATGATGCAATGCCTCGCCCTGCTTCGGCTGGCGCACAGTGCACTGCACCCACTGTCCGGCGCCCACTGTCTGGCACTCCCTGGTGAGATGAACCCGGTACCTCAGATGGAAATGCAGAAATCACCCGTCTTCTGCATCACTCACCCTGGGAGCTGTAGACCGGAGCTGTTCCTATTCAGCCATCTTGGCTCCTCCCCTGTCACCGCAGTTTTGTTACATAGGTATACACGTGCCATGGTGGTTTGCTGCACCCACTGACCCATCATCTACATTAGGTATTTCTCCAAATGCTATCCCTCCCCTAGTTCCCACCCCCCAACAGGCCCTGGTGTGTGATGTTCTCCTCTTTGTGTCCATGTGTTCTCATTGTTCAACTCCCACTTACGAGTGAGAACATGCAGTGTTTGGTTTTCTGTTCTTCTGTTAGTTTGCTGAGAATGATGGTTTCCAGCTTCATCCATGTCCCTGCAAAGGACATGAACTCATCCTTTTTATGGCTGCATAGTATTCCATGGTGTATATGTGCCATATTTTCTTTATCCAGTCTGTCATTGATGGTCATTCGGGTTGGTTCCAAGTCTTTGCTATTGTGAATAGTGTGTGGCTCCATTTTCATACCTTACATGCACAGTATCCAATAAATAATTTTCCTAAAGTATCTAAGACAAACATCCCTGCACAAGCACTGTTATTTCTTCCTATTCCTCACCCAAAACAAATCACAACTTCCTTCAATAGGCTTAGAATCACAAATATAGTCTCTTATCCTTACTAGTGTATTCCATTTTAACCACTGTTAAAAATTTGGTCTATTGAGTTTTCTGCAGCTAATTTATGTAGCCATGTCACATTGCAGGGACCTGCAAAAATAATCTCAATGCTTGTACAGCATTAAGTTTGCCTAAGCCAGTAAACTTGAAAAACCAGATCAAATTTATTCTGTACATACAGATGAAGCTGCAATTTCCTACACAAATGAGCAAAAGAGGTGGTTGAAATTTTTTTTTTAAAAAATCTATAACGTATATATTTCCCTTTTTCTGGATGTTCTGGCCAGGCAAGAGAAAGAAATAAAGGATATTCAAATAGGAGGCAAGGAAGTCAGATTGTCTCTGTTTGCAGATGACATAATTCTATATCTAGAAAACCCCATCATCTCAGCCCAAAAGCTTCTTAAGCTGATAAACAACTCCAGCAAAGTCTCAAGATACAAAATCAATATGTAAAAATCACAAGCATTCCTATACACCACCAATAGGCAAGCAGAGAGCCAAATCATGAGTGAACTCCCATTCACAATTGCTACAAAGAGAATAAAATACCTGGGAATACAGCTAACAAGGGAAGTGAAGGACCTCTTCGAGGAGAACTACAAACCACCACTCGACGAAATCAGAGAGGACACAAACAAATGGAAAAATGTTCCATCCTATGGATAGGAAGAATCAGTGTTGTGAAAATGGCCATACTACCCAAAGTAATTTGTAGATTCAATGCTATTCCCATTAAGCTACCATTGATATTCTTCACAGTATTAGAAAAAAAATTATCTGGAACCAAAATCAGCCCATATAGCCAAGAAAATCATAAGCAAAAAGAACAAGGCTGAAGGCATCATGCTACCTGACTTTAAACTATACTACAAGGCTACAGTAACCAAAACAGCATGGTACTGGAACCAAAACAGATATATAGACCAATGGGACAGAACAGAGGCCTCAGAAATAACACCACATATCTACAACCATCTGATGTTTGACAAACCTGACAAAAACAAGAAATGGGGAAAGGATTCCCTATTTAATAAATGGTGCTGGGAAAACTGGCTAGCCATATGTAGAAAGCTGAAACTGGATCCCTTCCTTACACCTTATACAAAAATTAATTCAAGATGGATTAAAGATTTAAATGTCAGACCTAAAACCATAAAAACCCTAGAAGGAAACCTAGGCAATACCATTCAGGACACAGGCATGGGCAAGGACTTCATGACTATAACACCAAAAGCAATGGCAACAAAAGCCAAAATTGACTAATGGGATCTAATTAAACTAAATAGCTTGTGCACAGCAAAAGAAACTACCACCAGAGTGAACAGGCAACCTACAGAATGGGAGAAAATTTTTGCAATCTACCCATCTGACAAAGGGCTAATATCCAGAATCTATAAAGAACTTAAACAAATTTACAAGAAAAAAAACAAACAACCCCATCAAAAAGTGGGCAAAGGATATGAACAGACACTTCTCAAAAGAAGACATTTATGCAGCCAACAGACACATGAAAAAAATGCTCATCATCACTGGTCATCAGAGAAATGCAAATCAAAACCACAATGAAATACCATCTCATGCCAGTTAGAATGGTGATCATTAAAAAGTCAGGAAACAACAGATGCTGGAGAGCTTGTGGAGAAATAGGAATGCTTTGACACTGTTGGTGGGAATGTAAATTCATTCAACCATTGTGGAAGACAATGTGGCAATTCCTCAAGGATCTAGAACTAGAAATACCATTTGATCCAATGATTCCATTACTGGATATACACCCAAATGATTATAAATCATTCTACTATAAAGACACACACACGCATATGTTTATTGTGGCACTATTCACAATAGCAAAGACTTGGAACCAACCCAAATGTCCATCAATGATAGACTGGATTAAGAAAATGTGGCACATATACACCATGGAATTCTATGCAGCCATAAAAAAGGATGAGTTCATGTCCTTTGCAGGGATGTGAATGAAGCCGGAAACCATCATTCTCAGCAAACTATCACAAGGACAGAAAACCAAACACCGCATGTTCTAGCTCATAGGTGGGAATTGAACAATGAGAACAGTTGGACACAGGGTGGGGAACATCACACACTGGGGCCTGTCGAGGGGTGGGGTGCTGGGGGAGGGATAGTATTAGGAGAAATACTTAATGTAAATGATGAGTTGATGGGTGCCACAAACCAACATGGCACATGTATACCTATGTAACAAACCTGCACGTTGTGCACATGTACCCTAGAACTAAAAGTGTAATAACAAAAAAATCTATAATGTATATACTTCCCTTTTTCCTTTCTCTCTCCTTTCTGGGGAGGTACAGACAGAATACAAATACAATAAAGTCTAATTAATTCAGATTTTATTCTTTTAGATATATTTTTAATTCAGGCAAGAATCAGATATGATCATTCTGAAGGCTCCTATGTTAAAAAAAAAGTCAGGTATGGCATTTAAACTTTGCGATATTTCCTTTTTTAGTGTTTATTTTCAAAAAAGAAGTTTTCAACTAAGATCTAGGATTTCATACTCTATTTCATATATAAACGATGATACTAGTGGTAAATTTCTATCTATACATTTCCTGTGGTCTTTGATTTAATTGTATTTAATTGGTTCTAATTACTGATAAAACCTGAAATTATTTAAATGGAACTCCAAAAAGATCATCATCCATGATCTCAAATTTTCAGTAACTGGGAATAGCTTTCCAGTAAGTCTGTATTAGTAAGGCTGAATTAATATTAATTTTTTGGCGGGGGGACCTGTGGGTGATCAGATTAAAGAGTCTGGAGCCGAGGCCAGGCACGGTGGCTCATGCCTGTAATCCCAGCACTTTGGGAGGCCGAGGCGGGCAGATCATGAGGTCAGGAGATTGAGACCATCCTGGCAAACACAGTGAAACCCTGTCTCTACTAAAAATACAAAAAATTAGCCAGGTAAGGTGCGGGCGCCTGTAGTCCCAGCTACTCGGGAGGCTGAGGCAGGAGAATGGCGTGAACCCAGGAAGCAGAGCTTGCAGTGAGCCGAGATTGCGCCACTGCACTCCAGCCTGGGCGACAGAGCAAGACTCTGTCTCAAAAAAAAAAAAAAAAAAAAAGAAAGAAAAGAAAAAAAGAGTCTGGAGCCAACCTGCTTGGGGATAACTCCTAGCTTCACCACTTACAAGTCTGTGACTTCTTAATTTCTTAAGCAAATAACTTAACATTGTGCTTCAACTTCCCAATATGTAAAATTGGAATAATGTTAGAAGCTACTTCATAGAGTTACCACAATTAAATTTGAAGTGCCTGGCACATAGTAATCACTATACAAATTTTTTTTTCAAAATTAATTAATTAAAGCTGACTTTTGAAGTTTAATTTACTTAAGGCCTGCTTGAATTTAAATCAACAACACCCATATGCACTGTTTAGGCTCTTGCAGTACTGCCTAGTATATGTCTATGGTTGTAGTTTTAGGAAAAACCTATTTTATTCCTAGGTATTAACTTGCTATGTATTAAATTTCATGTGTTATTAGAAAAAAGGCATAAAATTGGCACATTAAAGAGGAGTAGGGCCACCTAAAGTGCTTGTGTGCTATGGAAGGTCACCTGGAACCATCACCATCAATAGGGAGCCCAATAATGTGGACAATCTCAAATCTCCAGGTCTCATGAACAGAATGGTCCATGAGACATGCAGATCACAAGGACCCTTTCAGGCACATGACACTGTTAGTTCCTAATGCTGTGAGTCAGGTGAATCTTGCAGCCCTTTGGACCCCACTCCACTGTCATGTGAAAGGCTTAGTTCTATAGGTAACAAGAGCACAGTGGGCTCCTAAACCATGAGAATCATGAGGCCACTGATATGCTTTGGATGTTTGTTCCCTCCAAATCTGATATTAAAATGTGACCCCCTAATGTTGGAGGTAGAGCTTAGTGGTAGGTGCTTGGGTCATGGGGGGCAGGTCCTTCATGAATGTCTTGGTGCTGTCCTCATGGTAATGAGGAAGTTCTCACTCTATTAGTTCATGTGTGGGCTGATGGTCTAAAAACAGCCTGGCATTCCTCCCTCTCTCTTGCTTTCTCTCTTGCCTTGTGATATGCCTGCTCCCCCTTTGCCTTCTGCCACAAGTAAAAGCTTCCTGACCAGAAGCAAATTGTGGCATCATACTTCTTGTACAGTCTGCAGAACCATGAGCCAAATAAACCTCTTTTATTTATAAATTACCCAACCTCAGATATTCCTTTATAGCAATGCAAAATGGATGAATACAACCACCAACCTTCAAGTGGAAGGCCCCCAATTTCCCTTTGAAATCGCATTGGTGCCACACCACTGTTGGTCATATGAATACTATGGTTATGTACCTTTTTATGGTACATAAATGTTCCCCTACCACAGTCATGTGGCAGGCTGAGCCCTTTCAGTCATGTAAGGACTGTGGGATCCTAATGTTGTGGGTCCTGTGGATCCTGCTCTTTTATGACCTTCACCATCATGTGGTCCTGGAAGTCACATAGGTGACCTATTGCTGCTGGTCACGTGGATTCTATGGTCATGTACCAACCTATGGTCACATGAGGTTGAGCCCTCTCAGTCATGTAAAGATCGAGTGCCCCTGAACCTTATTGGTCAGGTGGTTCCCATGGTTATGTGACCTCCCCTATGGTCCAGGTACGAAAACCTGCTCTTTAGGTGTAGAGAAAGTCTTTTGAATTTGACCTCCCGAGGAGTCAGACCTATAGATGTAGATGACCTTTAGAACTGGGATCCATGCCCTGGCTCAGGCCAAAGTTTGATCAGACTCTGGCTCAGATATCAGTCTTTCCACCAACATTTATATCCTGACATGGTGGACAATATTCTGGTAGGAGGAGCACTAGCTAGTACTAGAAGTTTACTCAGAGAATTGGGCTTCAAGGGTTGGCAGAGTGGTCTCTAAATAGCAGAGGGCCCAAGGGGGATGTGGGGGTTGAGTGGAGGTAGAGGGGAAGACTTTCCAAATGTGGTCAAACTTTTATATGCCTGGCAAAGAAAGAATGTGTGTGCATGTGTGTCTTGATCCTGGACTCACAAGAACTGTCAGTGGTAGAGTGAAGTGAAGGAGGAGAAAGCACTGAGGCAGAATGTAGGACTAGAGGGCTGGGGGGAGGGGTGTGGTAGTAGGGTGGTGGCGGTTGATAAACTTGTAAGTCATCTCTCGGCAGCAGGGCTGTAAAAGCTGGGTGGGACCACCCTCCCACCCCCACACTAAAGCCCTACCCATGCCTATCACCCTGCCTGATTCACTATCTGTGCCAGGTGATGTGGTCCACTGCCCTTCACTGACCATGTTGTTATTCAAGACACCTGAGATTTCCTAGATGCCAGTTTGTATAGACAGTTCCAAACTTAATATTAATCTCTGTATGGCTCTTATTTGATTTTGTAAAATGATTCCCTATTTAATAAATGGTGCTGGGAGAACTGACTAGCCATATGTAGAAAATTGAAAATGGACCCCTTTCTTATACCTTATACAAAAATTAACTCAAGATGGATTGAAGACTTAAATTTAAAACCCAAATCTATAAAAACCCTAGGAGAAAATCTAGGCAATACCATTCAGGACATAGTCACGGGCAAAGATTTCATACGAAGAGACACCAAAAGCAATTGGAACAAAAGCAAAAACTGACAAGTGGGATCTAACTAAACTAAAGAGCTTCTGCACAGCAAAAGAAACTATCATCAGAGTGAAGAAACAACCTAAAGAATGGTAGAAAATATTTGCAATCTATCCATCTGACAAAGGTCTAATATCCAGATTCTACAAGGAACATAAACAAATTTACAAGAAAAAAACAAACTAACCCATTAAAAAGTGGGCAAGGGACATGACCAGACACTTCTCAAAAGAGGACATTTATGCAGCCAGCAAACATATGAAAAAAAAAGCTCAACATCACTGATTATTACAGAAATGCAAATCAGAACCACACTGAGATACCATCTCATGCCAATCAGAATGGCAATTATTAAAAAGTCAAGAAACAACAGATCTGGTGAAGCTGTGGAGAAATAGGAACGCTTTTACACTGATGGTGAGAATGCAAATTAGTTCAACCATTGTGGAAGACAGTATGGCAATTCCTTAAAGACCTAGAACCAGAAATACCATTTGACCCAACAATCCCATTACTGGGCATATAGCCAAAGGAATATAAATCATTCTATTACAAAGATACATGGACACATATGTTCATTGCAGCACTGTTCACAATAGCAAAGATGTGGAATAAACTCAAATGCCCATCAGTGATAGACTGGATAAAGAAAATGTGGTACATATACACCATGGAATACTATGCAGCCATAAAAAGGAACAGGATCACGTCCTTTGCAGGGACATGGATGGAGCTGGAAGCCATTATCCTTAGCTAATTAACACAGAAACAGAAAACCAAACACATATTTTCACTTATAAGTGGGAGCTGAACAATGAGAACACATGGACACAGGAAGGGGAACAACACACACTGGTGCCTGTCAGGGGTGCAGTGGGAAGGAGAGCATCAGGATAAATAGCTAATGCATAAGGGGCTTAATACCTAGGTGATGGGTTAGTAGGTCCAGCAAACCACCATGGCACATGTTTACCTATGTAACAAACCTACATGTCCTGCACTTGTATCCCAGCACTTTAAATTAAATTAAATTGAAATTTTAAAAATAATATAATAAAACTACTACATATCAGAACCTAAGTCATTTAAGTCAGAGAAAATATAACTTTATGCCAGTAAATATTTACATGAAAAATAAAAATGAATGAGAACAAATGAATTAAGCATCTATTTCAAGAAATTATGGGAAACATATTAAAATAAAATAGAATAAAGATAAAAGCAAATAAGAAGATAGAAAAAATATAGAATAAATAATAGGCTAAAAGCTAGTTCCTTGACTGAACCCAACAAAAGATAAAAGATATACTAATATATCAACATAATGTGCTCAATATTTTAAAACTTATTAATGGGGTATATTGTATACACATAAAATTAACATATAAATGTACCATTTAGTGAATTATTTGGATTTTTATGGTCCTTATCAAAGTGAGATAATTTTTATTTTTATTAATTTATTTCTTAAATTGACAAAAATTCATATATTTATCATATACAACATGCTGTTTTGAAATATATACACATTGTGGAATGGCTAAATCAAGATAATTAGCATATGTATTACCTCACTACTTGCAATTTTGTGGTGAAAACACTTAAAATCTTTTCTTAGCAATTTTCAAGAATAAAATACATTGTTACTAAATTTAGTCACCTTGTTGTACAATAAATATTTTGAATTTATTGCTCCTGACTGAAATTTTTATTCTTCGACCAACATATTCCAACCCCAACCTCCACCCCAACTGGTAACCACAATTGTCCTCCCTACATCTATGAATTTAAATATTTTTATTAATCCATAATACTTGTGTGTATTTGTGGTGTACATGTGATATTTTGGTACATGCACACAATGTATAATGATTAAATCTAGGTCATTGAGATATCCATCACTTCATATATTTATCATTTCTTTATGTTGGAAATATCCCAAATCTTCTAGGTATTTTGAAATACACAATAGTATAATATTGTATATTCAATAGTGTGCTATGGAACACTAAAATTTATTCCTTCTATTTAACTATATTTTTATACCCATTAACAAACCTCTTTTCATCCCTCCCTCCACACTACGTTTCCCCAGCCTTTGGTAACCATCATTCTACCCTCTACCTCCATGAGATCCACTTTTTACGCTCCTACATATGAGTGAGAACATGCAATATTTGTCTTTCTGTGTCTGGCTTATTTCATGTAACATAAAATCTCCCAGTTCCATCCATGTTACTGCAAATGACAGGATTTCATTCTTTTTATGGTTGAATGATATTCCATTGTGTATGTATGTATAGATAGATAGATTGATAGATTGATAGATCGATAGATACTTAGGTTGATTCCACATCCACATCCTGGCTATTGTGAATAATGTTGTAATGAACACAGGAGTGCAGATATCTTTTCGACATACTGATTTAATTTCCTTTGGATATATACCTAGTAGTGAGATTGAGGGATTTTATGGTAGTTCTATTTTAATTTTTTGAGAAACCTCCATAGTGTTTTCCATAATGGCTATACTAATTTATGTTCCCACCAACAATGTCCAAGTGTTCCCTTTTATTCACATCCTCTCCAATAATTATTTCTTGGTTTTTTGATAATAGCCATTCTAACAGGTGTGAGGTGATATCTCATTGTGGTTTTAATTTACACTTCTCTGATGATTAGTGATTTTGAGCATTTTTATCATATATCTGTTGGCCATTTGTATGTCTTCTTTTGAAAAATGTCTATTCAGGTCCCTTGCTCATATTTTAATTGGATTATTTGTTTTTTTTCTATAAAGTTGTTTGAGTTTCCTACATACTTTGGATATTAACCCTTTATCAGATGTATAGTTTGCAAATATTTTCTCCCATTCTGTAGATGGTCACTTCACTCTGTTCATTGTTTCCTTGGCTGTACAGAAACTTTTTAGTTTGATGTAGTCTGGTTTGTCTATTTTTTTTTTTTGCTTTTGTTGTCTATGCTTTTGGGTCTATAGTCCAAAAATTATCGTCCAGACCAACACAATGGAGTTTTACCCATATGTTTTCTTCTAGTAGTTTTACACGTTCAGGTCTTACATTTAACTCTTTAATACATTTTGAGTTTTTTTTTAAATGTGTGAGCTAAGGGTTCAGTTTAATTTTTCTGCATGTAGATATACAGATACACAGTTGTCCTAACACCCTTTATCAAAGAACCTATCCTTTCTTCATTGTGTGTTCTTGGCACCTTAATTGACCATATATGCATGGATTTATTTCTGGGCTCTATATTCTGTTCCATTTGCCTCTGAGTCTGTTTTTATGCTAGTACCATACTGTTTCGTTTAATACAGCACTGTGGTATATTTTGAAGTCAAGTGGTGTGATCAATTCAGATTCGTTCCTTTTGTTCAAGATTGCTCTGGCTCTTTGGGGTGTTTTGTTTGTTTTTGTAAGTTTTAGGATTGTTTTTTCTATTTCTTTTTTTTTTTTTTTTTTTTTTTTGAGACAGAGTCTCGCTCTGTTGCCCAGGCTGGAGTGTAGCGGCATGATCTCACTTACTGCAAGCTCCGCCTTCCGGGTTCACGCCATTCTCCTGCCTCAGCCTCCCGAGGAGCTGGGACTACAGGCACCCGCCACCAGGCCCGGCTAATTTTTTGTATTTTTAGTAAAGACAGGGTATCACCGTGTTTGCCAGAATGGTCTCGATCTCCTGACCTCGTGATCCGCCTGTCTCGGCCTCCCAAAGTGCTGGGATTACAGGCGTGAGCCACTGCGCCCGGCCTGTTTTTTCTATTTCTATGAAAAAAATGACATTGAAATTTCAGTAGGAATTGGGTAGTATGGACATTTTGACAATATTCTTTCAACCCATGAAAAGGACTATCTTTTCACTTATTTATGTCTTCTATTTCTTTTATTCACATTTTATAGATTTTGGTGTGTTTTTTTCACTTCCTTGGCTAGGTTTATTCATTTTTCTTTTTTCAATTTTAGGCAGTAGTCAAGCTTGCATGAATTCATTCTTAAGTATTCTTTTTTGTAGCTATTGTAAATGGGATTGTTTTCTTCATTTATGTTTTGGATAATTTCTTATAAGTATATAGAAATGCTATTGATTTTTAACATTGTGTATCCTAAAACCTTACTGGATTTGTTTGCCAGGTTTAAAAGTTTTTTGGGGCCAGGTACAGTGGCTCATGCCTGTAATCCCAGCACTTTGGGAGGCCAAGACAGGCGAACCACTTGAGGCCAGGAGTTCGAGACCACCCTGGCCAACATGGTGAAACCCCATCTCTACTAAAATTAAAAAAATTAGCTGGGCATGGTGGCTCACACCTGTAGCCCAACTACTCAGGAGTCTGAGACACAAGAACTGCTTGAACCCAGGAGGCAGAGGTGCAGTGAGCCGAGATTGTGCCACCGCACTCCAGCCCGGACCACAGAGTGACACTGCCTAAAAAACAATAATAAATAAATACAGAGCTTTTTGGTGGTTTTTAGGGTTTATATATATAAAACACCCTAAAATATAATAATATACATATAAATGTTACGTATATAGATATAATATACATATACATGTATATACGTATATAATTATAATATACATGTATATACATATATACATGTATATTATATACGTATATACATGTATACATATGTATATACGTATATATTATATTTAATTATATAATATACATGTGTATGTATATATTTTTATTATATAAATGTTACATTTATATAATATAAATATACATACATGTATATTTTTTAGATATGTAATACATACACACACACACACACACACACACATATATATATATAAGACCATGTCACCTGCAAACAGGGACAATTTAACTGCTTCCTTTTAAATTTGAATACCTTTTATTTATTTCTCTTGCCTATTTGCTGTGGCAAGGATTTCTAGTACTATGTTGATTAGAAGTGTTGAGGGTGAGCATTCTTATCTTGTTCCTGATCTCGGAGGAAAAACTTTCAACTTTTCACCATTTAGTATGGTTGCTAGCTGTGGGTTTCTCATATATGACCTTTACTATGTTGAGGTACATTCCTTATATACCTAATTTGTGGAGAATTTTTATCATAAATGGATGTTGAATTTTGTCAAATGCTTTTACTACATCTATTCAGATGATCATAACATTTTCATCCTTCATTTTGTTCATATAATAAATCACATTTATAGATTTGTGTATGTTGAACCATCATGCGTCATTGTTGTAAATACCACATGATTATGGCAAATGACTTTTTTTTGTTTGAGGTGGAGTCTCAGTCTGTCGCCAGGCTGGAGTGCAGTGGCATGATCTCGGCTCCCTGCAACCTCTGCCTCCTGGGTTCAAGCAATTCTCCTGCCTCAGCCTCCCGAGTAGCTGGGACTACAGGCACACACCACCATGCCAGCTAATTTTTTTATTTTTAATAGAGACAGGGTTTCACCATGTTGGCCAGCATGGTCTCGATCTCTTGACCTTGTAATCCGTCCGCCTCGGCCTCTCAAAGTACCGGGATAACAGACATGAGCCATCACACCTGGCTGAATGACTCTTTTAATGTGTTGTTGAATACAGTTTGCTCTTATTTTGCAGAGGATTTTGCATCTATGTTTATCAGGAATATTGGCCTACAATTTTCTTTTCTTATAGTGTCTGTGGCTGGCTTTGGTATCATTGTAATGCTGGCCTCCTAAAATGAGTTTGGAAGTATTTCCTCTTCTTTAATTTTTTGAAGAATTTTGAGAAAGATTAATACTAGTTTATTTATAAACGTTTGGTAGAATTTGGCAGTGAAGACATCAGGTCCTGAGCCTTTCTTTATTTTTTACTTTAAGTTCCGGGATACATGTGCAAAATGTGCAGGTTTTTCACATAGATATACATGTGCCATGGAGGTTTGCTGCACCTATCAACCTGCCATCTAGGTTTTATGCCCCGCATGCATTAGGTATTTGTCCTAATGATCTCCCTCACCTTGCCCCCACACCCCGACAGGCCTCGGTGTGTGTTGTTCCCCTCCCTGTGTCCATGTGTTCTCGTTGTTCAACTCCCACTTATGAGTGAGAACATGTGGTGTTTGGTTTTCTGTTCCTATGTTAGTTTGCTGAGAATGATGACTTCCAGTT
Source organism: Homo sapiens (assembly GCF_000001405.40). NCBI lineage: Eukaryota > Metazoa > Chordata > Mammalia > Primates > Hominidae > Homo > Homo sapiens. The sequence goes on from NC_000023.11 coordinate 103,038,988, forward strand.
TCATCCATGTCCCTGCAAAAGGCATGATCTCATTCTGTTTTATGGCTGCATAATATTCCATGGTGTATATGTGCCAGATTTTCTTTATCCAGTTTATCATTGATGGGCATTTGGGTTGGTTTCAAGTCTTTGCTATTGTAAATAGTGCTGCAATAAACATACTTGTTCATGTCTTTATAGTAGGATGCTCATCGTTACTGGTCATTAGAGAAATGCAGATCAAAACCACAATGAGATACCATCTCATGCCAGTCAGAATGGCGATTATTAAAAAGTCAGGAAACAATAGATGCCGGTGAGGCTGTGGAGTAATAGGAATGCTTTTGCACTGTTGGTGGGAGTGTAAATTAGTTCAACCATTGTGGAAGACAGTGTGACGATTCCTCAAGGACCTAGAAACAGAAATACCATTTGACCCAGCAATTCCATTACTGGGTATATACCCAAAGGATTATAAATTATTCTGAGCCTTTCTTTATGGGAGACTTTTTATTACTGATTCACTCTCCTTACTCATTATTGTTCTGCTCAGATTTTTTATTTCTTCATAATTCAGTGTTGGTAGGTTGTATGTGTCTACGAATTTATCCGTTTCTTCTAGGTTATTCAATATGCTGGTGTATAATTTTTTTATAGTGGTCTTTTATGATCTTTTCAATTTCTGTAGTATCAGTTATAATGTCTTCTTTTTCATCCTTGCTTTCATTTATTTAAGTCATTTGTCTTTTTTTAGTCTAACTAATGTTTTGTCACTTTTGTTTATATTTTCAAAAAACTAACTCTTCAATTCCTTGATCTTTTCTATTGTATTTCTAGTCTCTATTTAGTTTATTTCTAATCAAATCTTTATTATTTCCTTCCTTCCTCTGACTTTGGGCTTAATTTGTTCTTTTTCCAGTTCCTCGAGTTGTAATATTAGGTTGTTCATGTGAGACTTTCTTCTTTTTTGTTACAGATATTTATTGGTCTATACTTTCCCCATAGAACTACTTTTGCTGCATCCCATAAGTTTTGTTATATTGTGTTTCCATTTTGTCTCAAGATATTTAAAATTTTCCTTTTAATTTCTTCATTGATCCATTGATGTTTAGGAGCATGTTGTTTAATTCTCATGTATTTGTGAAGTTTTCAAAATTTTTTCTGTTATTTATTTTTAGTTTTATGCCATTGTGGTCAGATACTTTATATAATTTCAGTCTTTTGAAATGTGTTAAGATTGTTTTGGGGCCTAGCATATGATCTTCTGGAGAATGTGTGAGCTTTAAAAATAATGTATATTCTGCTGCTGTTGGACGGAATTCTTTCTATATGCCTGATAGTTACCCTTGGGCTAAAGTACAGTTTAAGTCCAAGTTTTCCTTGTTGATTTTCTCTCCGGATATGTTCATTGTTAAAAGTCAGACTTAATGTCCCCTGCTATTTTTTTTTTTTTTTTTTGAGATGGAGTCTCACTCTATCACCAGGCTGCAGTGCAGTGGCACAATCTCACCTCACTGCAACCTCCACCTCCCAGGTTCAAGCGATTCTCCTGCCTCAGCCTCCTGAGTAGCTGGGACTTCAGGCATGCGCCACCACGCCCAGCTAATTTTTGTATTTTTAGTAGAGACGGGGTTTCACCATGTTGGCCAGGATGGTCTCAATCTCTTGACCTTGTGATCCGCCCACCTCGGCCTCCCAATGTCCCCCGCTATTATTGTATTATAGTCCATCCTACCCTTCAGATTCATTAATATTTCCTTTATATATTTAGGTGCTCTTATGTTAAGTGCAAATATACTTAAAATTATTATATCCTCTTGATGAATTGACACCATTATCATTATATACTGTCCTTTGTCTAATTTTACAGTTTTGTACTTAAAGTCGATTTAATCTAAGTATAGCTACTCCTGTTCTATTTTCGTTTCCATTTGCATGGAATGTATTTTTTCATCTTTTCACTTTCAGTTCTGTGTGTCCTTAAATTGAAGTGAGTCTTCTGTTAACATATATAGTTGGGCATTCATTTTTTTCCATTCAGCCACTCTCTGTCTTTTGATTGAAAAATTTAATCCATCTATATTCAAAGTAATTATTGAGAGGTGAAGACTTACTGCTGCCTTATTTTAATTTTATTTATCTAATTTTATGGGATACAAATGTAATTTTGTTACATGTATAGATTATGTAGTGGTAAAGTCAGGATTTTCTGGGTGTCAATCATCTGAATAATACACATTGAGCCCATTAAGTAATTTATCATCATCCATAACCCTCCAACCCACTCACCCTTCTGAATCTCCATTGTCTATAATTCCACACTCTACATCCATGTATACACATTATTTAGCTCCCACTTATAAGTGAGAACATGTGGTATTTATCCTTCTGTGTCTGACTTGTATCAGTTAAGACAATGGACTCCAGTTCATTGTGTTGCTGCAAAAGACATGATTTTATTCTTTTTATGGTTGAATAGTATTCCATTATGTATACATACCACATTTTCTTCATCCAATCACTCATTGATGGATAGTTAGGTTGATTCCATATCTTTGCTATTGTAAATAGTGCTGCAGTAAACATACAGGTGCAGGTCTCTTTTTGATGTAATTGTTTCTTTTCCTTTGAGTAGATTCCTAGCAGTGGGATTGCTGGATTGACTAGTAGTTCTACTTTTAGTTCTTAGATAAGTCTCGGTAATGTTTTCCATAGATGTTTTACTAATTTACATTTCTAACAACAGTGTATGAGTTCCCTTTTCTCCACATCCTCATGAATATTTGTTGTATTTTGTCTTTTTAAAAATAGCCATTCCAAAAACATAGCCATTCTAACTAGTGTAAGATGATATCTTATTGTGATACTAATTTACATTCCTCTGGTGATTAGTGATGTTCAGCATTTTTCATATGCCTGTTGGCCATTTGTATGTCTTCTGAAAAGTATCTATTAATGTTCCTTGCTCGCTTTTTAATGGGATAATTTTGTTGTTATTGTTGTTGAATTGTTTGAGTTCCTTGAAAATTCTTGATAGTAGTCCCCTGTTGGGTGCTTAGTTTGCAAATATTTTCTCCCATTCTGCATGTTGTCTGTTTGCTTTGTTGATCAGTTATTTTGCTACACAGAAGCTCTCTAGTTTAATTAAGTCCCATTTGTCTATTTTTGTTTTAATTACCTGTTCTTTTGGGGTTTTCATCATTAATTCTTTGCCCAGACAAATGTCCAGAAGAGTTTTCCATAGGTTTTCTTCTAGTATTTTTATAGTTTCATGTCTTACATTTAAGTCTTTAATCCATCTTGAGTGAATTTTTGTATATAGTGAGAAATAGTGGTCCAGTTTTATTCTTCTGCAAATGACAATCCAATTTCCCAGCACCATTTATTGAAAAGAATATCCTTTTCCCAGTGTATGTTCTTGTTGATTTTGTCAAACATCAGATGGCTGTAAATATGTGCCTTTACTTCTGGGTTTTCTATTCTGTTCCATTGATCTATGTGTCTACTTTTATGCCAATATCATGCTGTTTTGGTTATACAGACTTGTAGTATAATTCTAAATCAGATAATGTGATGCTTCCAGTTTTATCATTTTTGCATAGGATTGCTTTGACTATTCAGGATCTTTTTTGGTTTCATAAGAATTTTAGAATTGTTTTTTTCTAATTCGGTAAAAAATTAAGTAGGTATTTTAACAGGGATAACATTGAATCTGTAGATTGCTTTGGGCAGTATGATCATTTTAACAATATTGATTATTAAGTGTGTTATTTATACCCTCAAGTATTTTGGGGGTTTTCCAGTTATCTGTCTCTTGTTGATTTCTAATTTAATTCCACTGTGGTCTGAGAGCATGCTTTGCATGATATCTATTCTCTTAAATTTTTAAGGTGTGTTTTATAGCCCAGAATGTCATCTATCTTGATGAATAATTTGTGTAAGCTTGAAAAGAGTATGTATTCTGCTGTTGTTGGATGAAGTATTCCATAAATATCAATTAGATACAACTGACTCATGATGTTGTGTTTAACTATATCCTTATTGATTTTATGCTTGCTAAATCTGTCAATTACTGATAAAAGGTATTGAAGTCTCTACCTACAATAGTTGATTCATCTACTTCTCTTTGCAGTTTTGTAAGTTTTGGACTCATATATTTTGATGCTCTCTGTTAGGCACATACACATCCAGGGTTTTTATGTCTCTTTGGAGAATTGACTCTTTTGTCATTGTTCAGTGCCCCTCTTTATCCCTGGTAATTTTCCTTCCTTTAAATTTTTCTTTGCCCCGAGTTTATAGCTACTATAGCTTTCTTTTCATTAGAATTAACATGGTATATTTTTCTCAACCCCTTCACTGTTACATTATCTATGTCTTCATATTTAAAGTTGGTTTCTTGTAGAATATAGAAAATATATAGTTGAGTCATATTGTTTTATCAACTTTGACAGTTCATTTCTTTCAGCTGATGTACTTAAATTATTAAAATTTAAGTGATTATTGGTATAGTTGAATTAATGTCTACCATGTTTTAACTGTTTTCGAATTCTTATCGCTGTTATTTCTCTCTCTTTTTTGTCTTCCACTCTTTTTCTGTCTTCTCTGGTTTTAATTGAGCACCTTGTATAATTCCATTTTATCTTTTCTCTTAGCATATCAATAATACTTTTTAAAAACTTTTTTTAGTGATCACCATCGAGTTTGTAATACATATTTATAACTAATAAAAGTCCACTTCCAAATAATACTATATATTTTCATGGATAAGTACTAATTAATAGAGTATTCCCAATTTCTCCCTCCTTTCACTTAAAACATTGCTGTTATTCCTATCACTTTTCCATAGCAGTAATCACTGAATGCATTGTTGCCATTGTTATTTTGAATAAATTGTAACCTGATACGTTTATTAAAATAATAAAAGATTTTATTTTATCTTCATTTACTCCTTCTCTAATGTTCTTCCTTTCTTTATGTAGATCCAAGATTCTGATCTGTATTATTTTTCTCTCTGAAGAACTTCTTTTAACATTGAAGCATATATTATGGCAACAAATTTCCTCAATTTTAATTTGTCTGAGAAAGTCTTTTTCTGTCTTTTACTTTAATTTTTTTTATTTTTAATGTTTCTGGATACACAGTAGGTATATATATTTCCCGGGTACATGAGATATTTTGATACAGGCATATAATGTGTAATAATCATATTAGGATAAATGGGGTATTCATCTCATCAATCATTTATCCTTTGTGTTACAAACAATCCAATTATACCATTTTATTTTAAAATGTACAATTAAATTATTTTTAACTATAGTCACCCCGTTGTACTATCAAATACTAGATCTTATTCATTCTTTCTATTTTTTTTCTACCTATTAACCATCCCCACTTCCTTCCCAAACACCCCCCTGCATTCTCCTGCAACTACCGTTCCCAGCCTCTGGTAACCGTCCTTCTGCTCTCTAGCTCCATGAGTTCAATTGTTTTAATTTTTAGCTCATGAAAATAAGTGAGAACACGTGAAGTATGTCTCTCTGTGCCTGGGTTATTTCACTCAACATAATGACCTCCTGTTCCATCTGTGTTGTTGCAAATGACAGGATCTTATTCTTTTTTTATGGCTGAATAGTACTCCTTGTGTATATGTACCACATCTTCTTTATTCATTCATCTGTTGATGGGCACTTGGGTTGCTTCCAAATCATGACTATTGTGAACAGTGCTGCAACAAACACGGGTAGGCAGGTATCTCTTTAATATACTGATTTCCTTTTTTGGGGTATGTAACTAGTAGTGGATTTGCTGGCTCATATAGTAGCTCTATTTTTTGATTTTGAGGAGACTGCAAAATTTGTAGTTGTACTCATTTGCATTCTCAAAAGCAGTGTACAAGGGTTCCCTTTTCTCCACATCCTCGTCAGCATTTGTTATTTCCTAACTTTTGGATAAAAGCCATTTTAACTGGGGTGAGATGATAACTCATTGTAGTTTTTACTTGTATTGCTCTGATGATCAGTGATATTGAGCACCTTTTCTTATAGCTATTTGCCATTTGTATGTCTTCTTTTGAGAAGTGTCTATTCAGATCTTTTCCCCTTTTTAATTGGATGATTAGATTTTTTTCCTATAGAGTTGTTTGAGCTCCTTATATATTCTGGTGGTTAATCTCTTGTCAGATAGATAGTTTGCAAATATTTTCTCCTATTCTGTGGGTTGTCTCTTCACTTTGTTGATAATTACCTTTGCTGTGCAGAAGCTTTGTAACTTCTGCACAGCAAAGGTAACAATGTGATCCTATCTGTCCATTTTTGCTTTGGTTGCTTGTGCTTGTAGGATATTACTCAACAAATATTTACCAGTCCAATGTCCTGGAGATTCGCCCCAACTTTTTCTTGTAGTAGTTTCATAGTTTGAGTTATTAGGTATAAGTCTTTAATCCATTTTGATATGATTTTTGTATATGGTGAGAGATAGGGGTTTAGTTTCATTCTTTTGCATATGGTAACCAGTTTTCCCAGGACCGTTTATTTAAGAGACAGTGTATTTTTTGGCAGCTTTGTCGAAAATGAGTTCAGTACAGATGCATGGACTTGTTTCTGAGTTCTCTATTCTGTTCCATTGATCTATATGTCTGTTTCTTCTTTTCTGATATGGAGTCTCTCTCTGTTGCCCAGGCTGGAGTGCAGTGCCACGATCTTGACTCACTGCAACCTCCGCCTCCTGGGTTCAAGTGATTCTCCTGCCTCAGCCTTTTGAGTAGCTGGGATTACAAGCGCCCACCACCATGCCCGGCTAATTTTTTGTATTTTTAGTAGAGATGGGGTTTCATCATGTTGGCCAGGCTGGTCTCAAACTCCTGACCTCAAGTGATCCACCCGCCTCGGCCTCCCAAAGTGCAGGGATTACAGGTGTGAGCCACCACTATGTGTCTGTTTCTATTCCAACACCATGCTGTTTTGGTTGCTATAGCTCTGTAGTATAATTTGAAGTCAGGAAATGTTATTCTTCCTGTTTTGTTCTTTTTACTCAGGACAGCTTTGGCTATTCTGGGTCTTTTGTGATTGAATACACATTTTAGAATAGTTTTTTTAAATTTCTGTGAAGAATCTCATTGGTATTTTGATAGGGATTGCATTGAATCCGTAGATTTCTTTGAGTAGTATGGACATTTTAACAATATTGATTCTTCCAATTTGTGAATTTTGAATATCTTTACATTTTTTATGTCCTCTTCAATTTCTTTCATCAATGTTTTATAATTTTTATTATAGTGATCTTTCACTTCTTTGGTTAATTCCTAGGTACTTAATATTGTTGTAGCTATTATAAATGGGATTACATTATTGATTTCATTTTCAGATTGTTCACAATTGGCATATAGAAATGCTACTGATTTTTGTATGTTGATTTTGTATCCTGCAACTTTACTGAATTTGTTTATCAGTTCTCTTAATTTTTTTAGTGGAGTCTTTAGGTTTTTTCCAAATATAAGATAATATCATCTGTAAACAAGGATAATTTGACTTCTTCCTTTCCAGTGTAGGTGTGCCTCATTTCTTTTTCTTGTCTGATTGCTCTAGCTGGGACTTCCAGTATTATTTTGAATAAGAGTTAATATGGTTTGGATTTGTGTCCCCACCCAAATCTCATGTCAAATTGTAATCCCCAATTTTGGAGGTGAGGCCTGGTGGGAGCTGATTGGATCATGGGGGCAGATTTCCCCCTTGCTATTCTCTGATAATGAGTGAGTTCTCACGAGATCTGGTTGTTTAAAAGTGTGTGGCGCCTCCCCCATCTCACTCTTCCTCCTTCTCCAGCCATGTAAGACGTGCATGCTTTCCCTTTGCCTTCTGCATGATTGTAAGTTCCCTGAGGCCTCCTCAGCCATACTTCCTGTACAGCCTGCAGAAATGTGAGTCAATTAAACCCTTTCTTTATCCAGTCTCAGATAGTTTTTTATAGCCATGAAAGAATGGAATAATACAACAGTGTAGCAAGGGGGCATCCTTGTGTTTCAGATCTTAAAGAAAAGGCTTTCGGTTTTTCTTCCATTCTGTTTAATATTAGCTGTGGGTCTGTTATATATGGCTTTTATTATGTTGAGACATATTCCTTTGATACTCAGGTTTTTAGATTCTTTTTAAATCATGAAGCAATGTTGAATTGTATCAAATGTTCTTCAGCGTCAATTGAAATGATCATATGCTTTTTGTCCTACATTCTCTTGATATGATGTATCATATTGATTGATTTGCATATGTTGAATCATCCTTGTATCCTAGGAATAAATCCCACTTGGTCATGATGAATGCTCTTTCTAATGTATTGTTAAATTTGGTTTGCTAATAGTTTGTTGAGAATTTTTGTATCAATATTCAGGAGACATATTAGCCTGTAGTTTATTTTCTGATGTGTCTTTTTCTGGTCTTGGTATCAGGATAATACTGGCCTAGTAGAATTAGTTTGGAAGTATTCCCTCCTCTATTTTTTGGAATAATTTGAGTAGGATAGGTATTAGTTCTTCTTAAAAAGTTTGATAAAATTCAGCAGTGAAGCCGTTGAGTCCCAGGCTTTACATTCCTGGGATAATTTTTATAATGGCTTTGCTGTTCAGGTTTTGTATTTCTTTCTGGTTCGATCTTGGTACATTGTATGTGTCTAGAAATTTATCTATTTCATCTAGATTTTCCAATGTATTGGCATATACCTGCTCATAGTAGCCTCTAATGATTCTTTGAATTTCTGTAGTATTGGTTGTAATGTCTACTTTGTAGCTCTAATTTTATTTATTTAGGTCTTCTCTCATTTCTTCATAATGACTCTGGCTAACGGTTTGTCAATTTTGTTATTATTTCAAAAACTCAACTTTTTATTTCATTGATCTTTTGTATCATTTTCTTCATAAAAATTTCATTTATTTGTGCTCTGATTTTAATTATTTCTTTTCTTCTACTAATTTTGTGTTTGGTTTGTTCTTGCTTTTCTAATTCTGTAAGATGCATTATTAGGTTGTTTATTTGAAGTTTTCCTGCTTCTTTGATGTAGGCACATATAACTTTAAACTTCCCTCTTAATACTGCTTTCACTGTATTCCATAGGTTTTGTTATATTGTGTTTCCACTGTCACTTGCCTTAATAAATTTTACAATTTCTTTCTTAATTTCTTTTTTCTCTTTTTTTTTTTTTTTGAGACGGAGTCTTGCTCGTCTCCCAGGCTGGGGTGCAGTGGCATGATCTCAGCTCACTGAAAGCTCCACCTCCCAGGTTCATGCCATTCTCCTGCCTTAGCCTCCTGAGTAGCTGGGACTACAGGCACCCGCCACCAGGCCCAGCTAATTTTTTTGTATTCTTAGTAGAGACAGGGTTTCACCATGTTAGCCAGGATGGTCTCAATCTCCTGACCTCGTGATCTGCCCATCTCGGCCTCCCAAAGTGCTGGGATTACAGGCGTGAGCCACCACACCCAGCCAATTTCTTTCTTAATTTCTTAATTGAACCATTGATTGTTCAGGAGCACATTGTCTGATTTTCATATGTCTGTATAGTTTTCAAAATTCCTCTTGTTACTGATTTCTAGATTTATCCCATTGTGGTCAGAGAAGATAATTGATATTATTTCAAAGTTTTAAAAACTGTTTTCAGACTTGTTTTGTGACCTAGTATATGATATATCCTTGAGAATAATCCACGTTTTGAGAAGAAGAGCATGTATTCTGCAACCGTTGGATGAAAGGTTCTATAAATATTTACTAGCTCCATTTAGTCTATAATGGAGATTAAGTCTGATGTTTGTTTATTTTCTGTCTGGATGATGTCCAATGCTAAAAGTGGAGTGTTGAAGTCTCCAGCTATTATTGTATTGATGTCTTTCTCTTTAGCTCCAGTAATATTTACTTTATATATCTGCATGCTCCATTGTTGGGTGCACACATATTTATAATTGTTATATCTTTTTGTTTAATTGACCCATTTTGCATTTTATAATGATGTTCTTTGTTTCTATTTATAGTTTGTGTCTTGAAACCTATTTTGTTTGATATAACTATAGTGACTCTTGCTCTTTTTTGGTTTCCATTCACATGGAATATCTTTTTACATCCCTTTATTTCCATTCTATATTTGGCTTTATACATGAAGTATGTTTTTTGTAGGCAACAGATAGTTGGTTCTTATTTTTTATCAATTCAGCCACTCTACATCTTTCAACTGAAAAGTTTAGTCCATTTACATTCAATGTTATTATTGATAAGTTAGGACTTACTCTTGCCATTTTGTTATATGTTTTCTGTTGTTTTGTGGTCTTCTCTTCCTTCTTTTCTTCTTCCCTGTCTTCCTTTTAGTGAAGATTATTTTCTCTGGTGGTATGTTTTAATTTCTTGTTTTTGGCCGGGCGCGGTGGCTCACGCCTGTAATCCCAGCACTTTGGGAGGCTGAGGCGGGCGGATCATGAGGTCAGGAGATTGAGACCATCCTGGCTAACATGGTGAAACCCCGTCTCTACTAAAAATACAGAAAATTAGCCGGGCGTGGTGGCACGCACCTGTAGTCCCAGCTACTCAGGAGGCTGAGGCAGGAGAATGGCGTGAACCCAGGAAATAGAGCTTGTAGTGAGCCGAGATCGCGCCACTGCACTCCAGCCTGGGAGACAGAGAGAGACTGCGTCTCAAAAAAAAAAAAAAAAATTATTGTTTTTGTTTTTTGTTTTGTTTTGTTTCTGTTGTGTGTTTTTGATTTGAGGTTACCCTGAAGCTTGAAAATAATATCTTATAACCCATTATTTTAAACTGGTGACAAGTTAACACTGATTACATATACAAACATATAAGCATAGAGAAAACTAATAAAACTCTACGCTTTAACTTTTTTCATGTGATTTTTAACTTTTTTTGTTTCCATTTATATCTTAATGTACTGTCTGTGTGTTGGAAATTTGTCATACTTCTTATTTTATATCAGTTCATCTTTTAGTCTTTCTACTTAAGATATGAGTAGTTTACACATCACAATTAGTGTTATAATATTGTTTTTCTGTGTGCTCACTATTACCAATGAGTTTTATACCTTCAGATGATAGCTTCTTGCTTATTAATATCTTTTTTTTTAGATTGAGGAACTCCCTTTAGAATTTCTTGTAAGACAGGTCTGATGTTGATGAAATCCCTCAGCTTTTGTTTGTCTTGGAAAGTCTTTATTTCTGCATTATGTTTGAAGGATATTTTCACCAAATATACTTTGCTATGGTAAAAGTTTTTTTTTCCTTCAGCACTTTAAATATATCATGCTACTCTCTTCTGCCTTGTAAGGTTTCTAATGTAAATGTGAAGGTCTGCTGTGAGATGTATTGGAGGTCCATCGTATTTTGTTTCTTTTCTCTTGCTGCTTTTAGGATCCTTCCTTTATCCATGACCTTTGGGAGTTTGATTATTAAATGCCTTGAGGTACCCTTCTTTGTTTTGTTTTGTTTTGTTTGAGACAGAGTCTTGCTCTGTAGCCCAGGCTGGAGTGCAGTGGCGTGATCTTGGCTCACTGCAACCTCCACCTCCTGGGTTCGAGCAATTCTTCTGCCTCAGCCTCCCAAGTAGCTGGGACTACAGATGCATGCCACCATGCCCAGCTAATTTTTGTATTTTAATAGAGACGGGGTTTCAGTATGATGGCCAGGCTGGTCTCGAACTCCTGACCTCATAATCCGCCCACCTCAGCCTCCCAAAGTGCAGGGATTACAGGCATGAGCCACCGCACCTGGCTGGTTTGTTTCTCTTGATAGCAGGTCTTGTTAAGAAGAACGAAAGGTTCTGTGTATATATCAGAATGGTTACTTTTAGCATCCCCTTGTCAGAAGCAGGAAGGTATTTTTTTTCTGATCTTCACTGTGAGAAACTGGTAGGGCTCCGGACATAAACACACAAAAGTAGGGGTGGATACAGGCTGAGACTGAGCCCACCTGGAATTTCCAACTCTTAATCTTGTCTACACTGAACCTTCAGTAATTTGTCAATTATGGGTTATGTTTTCCTACCGTGGTACAAGCTCCAGTGGTGGTTTCTGCTCCTGGGCTCCTGCTCCAGGTAAGCTGTGATTCTTTGTATACACCTGTCTGTCTCTCCAATTTGGGGGGACAGTAGTTTGCCCTGTGACCTCAATTCTCTCATAGTCTAAGAATTGTTGATTTTCAGTTTATCAGTTTTTACATTGTTGGAGAGAGAGAGAGAGAGAGAGATAAAGAGAGAGAGAGTGAGTCCCGGCCAGAGTCTATCCCATTCCCGGGTTTCAGCACCAGAATGTAAGGTCAGCCAAGAGAAAGGAGGAATAGACCCAAATTCAGGCAAGTACGTTTATTGAACCTGCTGGCTACTCCACTACAGACAGAGAAGGCAGCTCTGAGCTTACAAAATGAGAGATTTATATGGGGAAGAGAGACCCTGGGGTTGTTTGCTGGTTAATTTTGCCACATATCACCTTGTGACGTTTATTACAGGGGTGTAGGTAAAGTTTGTTTATGCTTCCCACGACCTCCCCTGGTGCGGTCCGGATGGTTTATAATTGGGGTTTGTTTATTGCAGCAAGGTCTGATAAGTGATGCTGGCTTCACTGCAGCGCCTGGATAAGGGCATAGAAATGTAAAGAGGCTTGGGGGAAGGAGAAGAGTTGCAGAGTGTAGGGGAAGGGACGGGCAGCACGGAGAGGTTTGGGGGAAGTGTTGGCAGTACCAAGAAGTTTTTTGGGGCAGCTTGTCCCTAACAGTAGGCATGATATTTAAGATGAGTCCTAAAGAGTAAATAGTTGTTAGCCAGGGCAGGAGTGTGGTTAGCCTCCCAGGAGAAACAGCAAATGCACAGGCTCTAAGGCAGGAAAGTCCTCAGCCCATTTAGAACTAAAGGAAAGCAGTGTCGCTGGAGCTTAGCAATGAAGGGAAAGAGTACCTGTGTCAGAGTAGTGGCCAAGAGCCAGATCTTACAGGGCCTGAAGGGTTTTATTTTTTTTTAACTACCTGAATGCAACAGAGGCATTTATTGGATATAATGAGGGGAGGTGTATGCTCTAATTATCTTGTAAAATGTTCTGGCTGGGTGCAATGCCTCACGCCCATAATCCCAGCACTTTAGGAGGCCAAGGCAGGCAGATCACGAGGTCAGGAGATCAAGACCATCCTGTCCAACATGGTGAAACCTCATCTCTACTAAAATACAAAAAAAGTTGGCCGGGTGTGGTGGCACACACCTGTAGTCCCAGCTACTCAGGAGGCTGACACAGGGGAATCGCTTGAACCCAGGAGGCAGAGGTTGCAGTGAGCCGAGATCGCGCCACTGCACTCCAGACTGGTGGAAGAGTGAGACTCTTTCTCAAAGAAAAAAAAAATGTTCCTTGGATTGCCATATAGAGACTGGATTGGAGAAGGGTAAGAGGAGAAACCGAAAGACCAGTTCACTGATTATTCAGTGGCCTAAGATCTGTGATAGATACAAAACAATTATGAAACATAATTTAAGGCATCATGGGGTGTGGGTGGGAGCAGAACATGGGATGCCTGTGCAGGTCCACTGTTGCATGTAACAACTGCTGGGGAAAAAAAATTGAAAAATTATGGGGTCCTGTCAGCCCAATAAAAGTCTGAGAAGGGGAGTATCTGTAGAGCCAGAGAAGTTATTGTGAGGAAGATGAATCTGGGTCTGATCTAGAAAGGTGGATTGGATTGGAGGGTTTTTTTTTTGTTTGTTTCCCTTTGTTGTTGTTGTTTGAGATGTTCTGGAAAGGGCTAGTGAAGTAAAGAGAGTAACCTGGCCTAAGAAGTGAACAAACAGTGCCCAGTGGAAGCCTTTGCAAACCTCAGCAAGATTCAAAGCTGAGACAACCAAAGTGTTTGTTTTTCAGGGATGTTGTGCAACAACATTCAATGCTGACTTTCTATCTACTCCTGGAAGGAGAGGGATGCCCAACATGGTCCACAGAGCAGGGCAAGATTATGGGAAGGGAGGTGCTGTGTATGTGATAAGAGTAACAACTCTAAAGAATGTATCTATTTGCAGTTCTCCTCACTTGATTCTGTTCCTCAGTGACTGGTTTTGTGGGCATCCTGTGGGCACAGACCCACATGATTTCCCCTTAGCTCTAGTGAATGGCCTTGTCAGAGCTGGTACTCTGAAAAATGCTCCTTGTTCCGGTTTTAACCCCAGGGATCCAGGGATCCCTCAGATTTTTGTCCATTGGGGAGCTTTTATTGAGTCATATTATTTAGCCTCTCTCTCTCTCTCTCTCTGGATCCTCTATTTTTTTTTCTCTCCTCCCCTGGGTGTTGGCACTTTCTGGATTGCCTCAGTTATTTAAGCCCCGCTTCCTTTCCTTCCAAAGATTATTCAGCATGTCTTCTTTCTGTCTTTCACCTCCCACCAGGTCCTCTTGGAGTCCATAGTGTCCTCAGCCATTCCTATGTTTGAGGCTCCCAGTGTCATCTATACCTACCTAACATGAATTTCCCTCTTCCTGCCTAACAGAACTCCAAATATCTGGATGTCAATGCCATCCCACTTCACCACAAGCTTCAGAGGACAGGTCCTAGTTATTCTGAACCTGTCAATACCTGGAATTTACCTAAGGGCCATTACTGGTTGAGGGTGGCCAATCCTCTTAAAATGGCCTGATCATATTGAAGGGATGGCATTTTATTCCATAGTTAGGAAAGGTTTTCCCCTCTCTCCTGAGGGACAGAAACAAAGAAGAATGTACACTCTATCACAATAAACAGCCATCTTGTTACATTAGGGATAATTCCAGCCTTAGGATGAAGCTGACACCAGGCATAGCAGAAGCTGACCAGAAATGGAAGGAACCTGGATCCTTAACGACTTCATTTAGTTACTGAATCAATGGCCCCTGATGCCTGTCCTACCTACCTGTGCTCTTCCTGCTATGTGAGATCACAAACTTCCTTAATAGTTAAGCTAGTTCGAGGGGATTATTTTTTATATACAGCTAAAACTCCCTATGCAATATAATTGATATAACAACATTGCCTAAAAAGTTTTCCATTTCATTCTGCTCAGAACTACTCCATTATTTATAATGGCTGTATAGTTTTTCCAAGTATTATTTCATCTTAATGTACTAATCTTTCCCATTATTTCTAAGCATTAAAGTCTTATTGAGTTTTTTGGTTTTTCAAAAGTGCTAAAATAAACATCCTATTATTGCATATATTTACATTCTTGCACACTTGGATATTTTCAAAGCCCAGATACAAATTATTTGTATGACTACTCACTTGTGATATAGTACAGTAATAGGCATAGAATTTCTAGGTTATAGATATTCTTTTAATACTTATTTCCAAGCCACCTTCCAGAAATGTTGTACCAGTTCTCATTCTCACCAGCACCGTATAAAATTGCCCATTTTTCTGAACCCTCATCTCTAGGTATGAATAATTAATAATGTCATGGATTCAGAAGTCAGACTGTCTATGTTCAACTCCAGCCTCACAAGTATAAAGTAATGTGGCTTTGAATATGTGGTCCAATCTCCTTATAATAGCATCTGTAAGCAATTTATATGGTTAGGGAAATTGAATGAGTAAGGCGTGTAAAGCACTTAGATCATAAGTTGTCAATAAATGTTGGCTGATGTTATTATCAAAATTATTTGCCAAGTTAATACTTCAAAATGTTACTTGCTCTCATTTGCATTTCCTTGATTACTAGCTGATGTGGACTGAATGTTTGTGTTTCCCCAAAATTAGTATGTTCAAGCCCTAATCCCCAATGTAATGGTATTTGGAGGTAGGATCCTTAGAAGGTACTTAGGATTAGATTAGATCATGAGAGTGAGGCTCTCAGGAGGAGATTAGTGGCCTTATAAAAAGAAAAAGAGTCACAGGATCTCTTTCTCTGCCTGTGAAGATACAGCAAGAAGGAAGCCATCTATAATGCAAGCTGGGAAGAAAACCCTCACTGAACTCAACAATGCTGGCACTCTGACTCCAACCTCCAGACAGTGAGAAGTAAAATTCTGTTGTTTAAGCCACCTAGTCTATGGTATTTTGTTATAGCAGCTTGAGCTAAGATGTGGATGAAATTGATCATTTTTTCCACGTGTCTATTAGTCAGTCATAAAATTTTTTACCTTTCCTTTTTTGTCGTTTTTGATATTTTTATGTTCCCCTTTCCTTGATTGATTTGAATCAATTTACTATATAGTTATAATATTAATCCTTTGTCTTTCCTATATGTAATATTTTTCAGTATTTCATTTGCCTGTTTTTACATTGTACTTATACAAAAGTTTATTTTTTATGTAATAAAATCAGTTATTTTATGTTTAATTTCCTTGAGTCATATGCTGAGAAATGCCTTTAACATACTTGAATTAAATAATTATCTGTACTTTCTCGTACTTTCTCCCAGTTTTGTTATTATTGTACTCAATTTGTTAATCCATTTAACAACTTTGTTTCAAAGAATTCTTAAAGATATTTCAAAAAGATTATGGTTGCTTTTTTTTTTTTTTTTTTTTTTTTTTGAGACGGAGTCTTGCTCTGTCACCCAGGCTGGCGTGCAGTGGTGCGATCTCAGCTCATTGCAAGCTCTGCCTCCCGGGTTCACGCCATTCTCCTGCCTCAGCCTCCCAAGTAGCTAGGACTACAGGCACCCGCCACCAGGCCCAGCTAATTTTTTGTATTTCTAGTAGAGATGGAGTTTCACCGTGTTATCCAGGATGGTCTCGATCTCCTGACCTAGTGATCTGCCTGCCTCGGTCTCCCAAAGTGCTGGGATTACAGGTGTGAACCACCACGCCCAGCCAAGATTATGTTTAAATGTTAAGTGAAAAAGGAACATAAAATGGTATGTACAGTATGATCCAATTTTTATAGAATAAGATTCTATGTATGAATATTTCATGTAGAAAAATCTAAACAAAAAGAAACTGAAATATTTATCAATATTTAGTAGAATTAAGATTTTTAATTTTTTCTTTGTGTTTTCCAAAATGATTGTTTATCATTTTTATCAGACATTTTAAAGTAAGTTTTTTTAATTTTAAAAACATGGTATAGCTTTTAAATGATTTGGAATGGTGCTATTTAATAGAAATATATTATGAGCTACAAATCTAATTTTAAGTTTTGTAGTAAACATAATTTAAAAGTAAAAAGAAACAGATAAAATTAATTTTAATAATATATTTAACACAGTATATCCAAAATGCTATCACTTCAACACATAATCAATATAAAATTACTGATATTTCACTTTATTGTACTATGTCTTTAAAATCCTGTGTGTACTTTATACTTTTAGCACATCTCCAATTGCATTAGTCACTTTTTAAGTTCTCAATAGCCAAATATGGCTCATGGTTACCTTATTGTAAATTGCAGATTTGGAGCATAAAAAGTATTGAATTCCGCATTGGTCTGAATCTCAATCATTTGCTGAACGATTGCTTCATATCACTTTTGAAATGTATTTGATATGAATTAAAGAATACAAATTGAAGTGCCTCTAGGGGCCAGGAAGGTAACTAGGTAATGTAAACAAGCTTTACTTTCTTTAAAGCTGAGTAAGGAAAGTAAAACGGAAACACCTGCCTTTCTAAAGGATTGAAACCACCACTAGGCTACCTCCAGTCAACTGATGCAATGTGGGAATGCAACCCCAGGGTTTACAAAACTCCTGGTTTTTCATGAAAATCTAAAATCTCGATTTTTCCTGTGGAATTTATCAATTTTTAAATATCAGCAGTGATTCAAAAATCATATATCACTGTGTGATACAAACTATGTGCTTGTCAGATTTGATCCTCTTTAGGCCAAATTTTGACATCTGGGATCAATAAATACTTTTTAAAACCCACTAATGTTATTAACTTTTAAAGATTAGACTACCCATTTTTAGTGAATCAAAAGCATTTTTTCATTTTACTGCTTTATAACATTAACAGCTAGCATTTACTGAGAACTTAGTATATGAAGGGCATCTTGCTAAACACTTTCTACATTTCACAGGTAAGAGAAATAAAGGTAAGGGAGGTTGACCAACTTTGTTTAAGGTCACACACGGTACTTGTAAGTGGTGGTGCCAATATTTGAAGTAAGGTCTCCTGACTCCAAAGTCCATGCTTCTACAAACACTCCTTTAAACTGCCTAGGAGTATTCATGTCTAGGTAATCAACCAATCTATCCCTTCCCACCATTACACCTCCCCCACTTTTCACAAACACACACACACGCACACTCTCACACACTTTTCTTGGCCCTTTTGCTCATAAGAGTACTGTATACAGCTGACTTCTGTCTGCCTTGATCTCTTTTTCTTTCATCTTCCCCTCATTTATGCTCATCCTACATCTCCTTTACAACATGTATTTCCTTTTCCCACTTTCATCTTTCATTTTCTTTGCATGGGAATGTTCCTCTTTTAATCACATTGATGAGGGAGGCCTTTAAGCAAGTGGTGTGCTCTTGACAGCAAATTGTGCACATCCCTTCTCAACTCTGCGTTAAGTGACATCATGTTGGTAGCTGGAAATCAACTGTAGCAGGAGCATTTACATAGTGGAAATAGGCTAACACTACAAATAGTTTAATGGAAACTCAGTTGTTAAACATTTATCAATACACAACTGCCTTTGTCCTTGTTAGGACCTCCAATAGAAAGCTTATCTTTATATCTGCCCATCTACATTTCCTTTGGTTCTGTAAATACTGTCTTTTGGAATTCAAACTCTCACTACCTCCTTCAACGATTATATTGATTCATAGCTTGTGTGGTAAATTTTATTCCTTTAACATTCATAAGAATTTTATTTTCTAGTTCTGTTGGAACAGTTTACTATAAATTCCCCATGGAATGAAACTACTTTTTATTCTTTAAAAAAAATCCATTTTAGTACCTCAAGTATCCATTAGTTAATAGCTAATGGATCTGTGCTGAATGCATTTTCTTCACTGGGCTAGTCGAATATTACCGGCAGAACCCCCTTCAGCTCATTCTGCATTGTTTTGTGCCCTGTTTTTGCATCTCTCCTTCTCTCTTAAGCTGCCTCTTACCCTGCACTTATGCCATCTATTTCATAGTTCCTTTCCTTAAAATCTTCTAAAATTTGTCCTTGGTCTTCTAGTTTTGTTTCAGCCCCATGCTGTTTAAAGGATCTCCAAGTCTCTGCTCATGAGAGCATACTATTATTATTATTTTTCTTCCTGAAGCACTTCCATTGCCCCACCTCCATGGGACTACTTCCAGATGACGTTGACTAGATGAACCCAATCTTTTCAGTATCGTATTCACAGATATTTTCCTGCTTTATCCACAGAGATGGAAAATCATGTCTGTTGTCTATCAGATTTACTCATTTATAATGCTCACAGGACATCTTTATTTCCAAAATGTGAGGCCCTGAAGACTCACAAGTTATATCCTCCATGTACAGTCAGTTGTCCCTCAATGTCCATGGGGAACTGGTGTCAGGAACCCCCAGGAATATAAAAATCTGCAGATGCTCAGTTTCTTAAAATAAAATGACATAGAATTTGCCCATAACCTATACACATCCTCCTGTAAACTTTACACAACGTCTAGATTACATTTAATACCTTATACAATGCCTACATATAACTTTGTTAAATGCAGATTCCATGTAGTACTTGGCATATTGCAAATTCAAATTTTTCTTGTTGAAACTTTATAGAATTTGTTTTTCCAAATATTTTTGATCCACGATTGGGTGAATCCATGGATGCGGAACCCACAAATATGAAGGGCCTACTGTATTTATATTAGTCCCCTAAATTTTGTGTGTCTTGAGAAAAAAAAAAATGGCTTCTTGGTGACATACTCCATCCCTTCTTCAATCAAACTGGATAATGAAATGGTTTCTTATGCTTTTTGGTTTATCCTGTTGTCTCAGTCCCATGTTTCCTCTAATAGCACTGTAATACAACTTGTCATTGAAGGTATTTACTCAATGGCAATAGTGAATGGTAATCTTGTAATTTATGCCTGCATCTTTCCGACTTTATCAGCCTGCAGCCAGTTTTTCTTTTTTTTTTTTCTTTTTGAGACAAAGTCTCGCTCTGTCTCCCAGGCTGGAGTGCAATGGCGCGATCTCGGCTCACTGCAACCTCCGCCTCCCGGGTTCAAGCAATTCTCCTGCCTCAGCCTCCTGAGTAGCTGGTATTACAGGCGCCCACCACCACACCCTGCTAGTTTTCATATTTTTAGTAGAGATGGGGTTTCGCCATGTTGGCTAGGCTGGTCTCCAACTCCTGACCCATCTCAGCCTCCCAAAGTGCTGGGATTACAGGCATGAGCCACCATGCAGGTATTTTTTTTCCTTCTAGAGTTAAACAAGTTACTTTGACAAATCTGAGTACATGTAACTATTTGACAAGACTTCTGAAAAATGCAGATATCAGAGTATCAAATGATTGTTTGGGGTTACTCAGTTGTGTGTCACAACCCTTCCTTATCCTCAGACTGTCTTAAATTTTCATTGCATAAACAGACCAGCTTTTCTGTTATCATTTGCTAGACTTTCAGAGTCTGTGACCCCAGACCTATGTTGGATCTGAGGCGTTTTTTCAAACACGCATTCTTTTGTCAGCTTCTCCGTAGAAGGCTTTACATTAGGTGTTTCCTGTTATTTGTAATTTGATGAGGCCAATAGTGTTCCTCAAGCACATAATTTATTTTGTGTTAGTTTACATAGTTTCAGGTTAAAAATTATGAGACCTGGGAGGGCACAGTGGCTCACACCTGTAATCCCAACACTTTGGGAGGCCAAGGCAGGCAGATCACCTGAGGTCAGGAGTTCGAGACCAGCCTGGCCAACATGGTGAAACTCTGTCTCTACTAAAAATACAAAAATTAGCCAGGCATGGTGGCGGGCAACTGTAATCCCAGCTACTTGGGAGGCTGAGACAGCAGAATCATTTGAACCCGGGAGGCAGAGGCTGTAGTGAGCTGAGACTGTCATTGCACTCCAGCCTAGGCAACAAGAGTGAAACTCCATCTCTCTCTCTCTCTCTCTCTCTCTCTCTCTCTCTCTCTCTCTCTATATATATATATATATATATATATATATATATATATATATATAACTACTGAGAATTTGAAGAGTGGACATTAAGAAATTTTTGCCCATTTTTATGTTTGATAATGGTGCTGTGGTTGTTTTAAAACACCATTATCCTTTAGAGACTGTATTAATTATCTATTGTTGTGTAACAAATCACCCCAAAATTTAGCAGCTTACAAGAACGTTCATTTATTATCCCAGAGATTCTGTGAGTCAAAAGTCTGGGTGTGGCTTATCTGGATCCTCCACCTCAGGGTCTTTTAGAAGGCTGCAATCAAGATGTTAGCCTGGGCCACAGTTTTATCTGAAGACTAAGCTGGGCAAGAATCTGCTTCCAAACTCACCTTTGTTGTTTTGGCAGGATTCAATTCCTCGAGGGCTATTAGACTGAGGGCCTGAGTTCCTCACTGGCTGTTGGCTGGCGAACACTCTCAATTCCTTGCTATATGTGCCTCTCCAACATGGCAGCTTGTTTCATCAAAGCCAGCAAAAGTGGGAGGAAGGAGGAAGGAAGAGACAGAATGAATCTGCTAGCAAGATGACAATCACAATCTTCTGTAACATAATCACAGAAGTGACATCCCGTCACTTTTGCTGTATTCTATTGATTAAGACAGTTATTTTACCTGCACTCCATAGGAGGGATAATTACACCAAGGCATGAATACTCTATCCAAGGCTAACATGAAATTTACATATCTCAGTTCTGTCAATGGGAATTTTTATGTGTTTCAATTGCATTTGTAAGCTAACTGAATAGTTCTTTGGATCTGGATCTGTTGTTAGCTTGTATTTCTTCTTAACGTAATCCATGTTAAGAAAAATGCAGTTGAGTACAGAAGAAATCACCTAATATTCCACAAAAGATAATAAAATTCAAATTGTTATGTAATAAATCTAATGCTTTTTTCATGATCTCATCCTTTACATTTTAATGGTTCCCTGAACTGAATTCAGATATTCACCTTTATATTCTGCAAGTTATTATGGCTTTTAAGAACTGATATCAGCTGGGCACGGTGGCTCACGCCTGTAATCCCAGCACTTTGGGAGGCCGAGGTGGGCAGATCACAAGGTCAGGAGATCCAGACCATCCTGGCTAACACGGTGAAACACCATCTCTACTAAAAAATACAAAAAATTAGCCGGGCGTGGTGGCGGGTGCCTGTAGTCCCAGCTACTCAGGAGGCTGAGGCAGGAGAATGGCGTGAACCCGGAAGGCAGAGGTGCAACAGAGCGAGACTCCGTCTCAGAAAAAAAAAAAAAATTGACATCATAGTAAATATTTACATACCAGTAGCCATTTAGACATTAATGTGCATCAGAATCACCAGGAAAGCTTGCTAAAAACAAAAGTTCTGAAGCCCCATTCAGGGGATCTATGTTGGGACCCAAGAACTTTGTATGAATCCACATTTTCAAGAAATCCCCTGGTGATTCTCACACAGGTGGCAGATTAGCATAGTTTTAGAAACACTGTGACATTACTAAATGAACCCAGTGTTCCTTTAGGAATGGCAAGTAATCTAAGTTACACATCCAAAGTTATTTACTTGTTTAGAAACTGAACCGAGACAAAAACTCAGAGCTCCTGACTCAGTCATTATTAATTTTACTTCGGTTAAGTGCCTGCCTCGTCATGAAGAAACCACAGCATGACCAACAGACATTTTATTCCTGAGAATAGGAACTATGCTGGACTAGTGAGACCTACCTTTGAGCACTCTGCTAAACATCTGAAGGGAAAATCTGAGGATGAGAGTCTTGCATAATAGGTGTGGATGGGAGAAAAAACAGGTAAACACAGGTCTCACACAAATGACCTCATTCCAGTCATGTGAAGGAAATGCCACCCCCAACTTATACAAATTCCTGAGTTTATTTACCTGGCTAAGAGATCCAAATTTGATTAGCAAGTATTTTTTTTTTCTTTTTTTAAGAAAACTTTTAGGTTCCAGGGTACATGTGAAGGTTTGTTACATAGGTGAACTTGTGTCATGGGCTGGGGGCAGGTGGGGGGGTGGTTGTTGCACAGATTATTTCATTACCCAGGTATTAAGCCCAGCACCCAATAGTTATCTTTTAGGTTCCTCTTCCCCCTCCCACTCTCCACCCCTACAGATCCCAGTGTGTGTTGTTCCCTTTTTTGTGTTCATGAGTTTTCATTTAGCTCCCACTTATAAATGAGAATATGCAGTATTTGGTTTTCTGTTCCTGCATTAGTTTGCTAAGGATAATAGCCTCCAGCTCTATCCATATTCCCACAACAGACATGATTTCTTTATTTTTATGGCTGCATAATATTCCATGATGTATATGTATATTTACTTTATCCAGTCTCTCACTGATGGACATTTATGTTGATTCCATGTCTTTGCTTTTGTGAGTAGTGCTGATCAGCAAGTATTTATTAAGTGACTCTACTGCCTTCAAAGGTTATTTAAAAATGTTTCCAATTTTTCTTAAATTACAGAAAATATAAAAAATACATTAACCCATCTCATAGAATGAGTCCCTATATTAATCCTTTGGTATATTTAATTTCAGTACTTTTCTTTTCATGTATTAAGTACAATCAATATAAATTTTTAACAAAAAAAGAATATAGAGATTGCTTTTTAAAGGTGCTTTATTAACTTCACTATAATGAGCATCTTTCCATGCAATAGGTAAAATTCTTCTGCTAACAAAAATCTTACAGACTGGTTCAAAAACACAATATTCAATTAGAAGCTGGTAATAGGAGACCCACGTAAACAAGTGACAGGTAAAGGTTTACAACAAGGGCACATCATGAACATGTAAATTCGAAAGCAGGGGTCTGTTTCCGTAATAACTTTAGGGAAACCATCAGGATTCAGGGCATAAGGCAAAACTCATCATGATGGTCATGGTGAGGGGGGTCAGTGCTGACTGCCCGCAGACTATGACTCAACTGCTTTTCCCTCAGCTTTTCCATCAGCTGTCTCACCTCCTCCCCAATCCTTTCCATATTCTCTTCTCTCATCCTTGCCTGTGGTTCTCCAAGCCTATGCATCATATCCCATCTATACTGCAGGATGGGCTGCCTAACGCGGAACCGCCTACGATTTCCTCTAGGCACACAGTATTCACCAGCATCCAAAGGGAGGGCCAAGGGCTCCCCTTTATTAGCAACTTGCTCCTTTTCTTCATTTTCTTGGTTGGCATTTTCCATGCTGAGACTGTTTACTGCTCGTTTCTCTTTGGACTCCATTACTCCTAGGAGACAAAAGGAGAGAGAAGGGGCTGAACAGCTGGTGAACGCTTCAGTACCGAGGACAGAGGCACGGCTACTCATTTTTCAGGATTCCGCGTCATGGCTATCAACATGTTTTGTTTTGTTTAATTTCACGTTTCCCACCAGAGAGGTTTCGTGCGCCCACTAGGGGGCCCCCATTCGAGCCCGCCCCCCCCCCCACCTCTCGTGTCTTCCCCTACCTGCCCCCAAACCCACCATTTTCCCTACAGATCCATCCCTAGATCTCGGCAGGCACCAAAATGGAGGACGGGAGATGGGGGAGTTGGGAGGGGACCTCAGACTGGACTCTGCACCCGCCCCCACCACCGTCCCTCGCACTGACCTGGGCCTATCCTTGTAGTCTCCTCCTTCTCCCGATTCTCGCCACGAGGTGCGCCGCCGGGACACTTGGCCCCGCAGACCTGCAGAAGGGCTGGGGTGTGGGGAGGGGGGGCTGCTGCAGCGGAACGCTAGCTCCTTCTCCGCCTAGGGCCCTCCTCACTGCCAGCGCCCCGCGTCTCCCGCCCCCCGCTCCCACCCTCGGCCGCCTCGCCCCCCGTGGTGTTCACCGTTTTCCTGCAAGGACTCGGGAATGGTTTTCCATCGCTCTTGGTTGCTCTGCTGCCCCTGGAGCCCCAGCCGCCACTGCTTCCCCACCCCAGGGGACCACTATGTTCCCAAGAATGTTGGGGTGTGGAGAAAGCTGGCGGGGATCCCCTGCGCTGTTCTGCGCTCGTCGGGGGGGTCGGTGAGCCTCTGCTGGCCTAGCCAGGGCGCGCGGGCCCCGGGGCCCTTACCTGGTCCGCTTTCCCCCGGGCCGGATGCCAGCCCGCCGAGCGCAGGGCAGCGGGGAGCTGGTAGCGAGACACGAGTGACGACTGCACCGAAGGCTGCGTAGCTCTGCAGCTCCCGGTCACGTGAGGGCCGTGCGTCACCGCCAAGCTCACCCTCCTTCTCACCAACCCCCACGGGCCGGCGGCCAGTTAACTGGTACTCCCCCCTTTGGAACACACAGACACCCCCCTCCTCCCGTCTGTGCGCGGTGCCCCAGTGCGCACAGCCCCGTCACTCATCTCCGTCCTCTCCAATCTGAGGGCCCACAAGTGGCATCATCGCTTTGCGGTTGGAGTTTACCCATCTTCGGTTATTTGGGAGGGTCTGTACCCTTCCTTTCCCCCACCCCAAACCCCCTTCCTCTGGCCTTGGCCTTTTCTTCTTTCCTCTTCTCACTGGCTGTGTATATGCTTCCTAATAATTTCTCTTTATTTCCTTTTTAAAAATCAGCATCCCTCAAAAAATTGAAAATAATCAAATTTTATTTTTGAAAGAAACACTTCAACCTGGGAAAGTAATATATATATATAGTTTATGTTCATCTATAGCACACAGAAAACATTTTCTCTAGGCTCCACACCATCATTTTTAGAGCATTCTCACTTGTTTGAAAATTTTATGAAAAAAAGGAGAGAAAATTTTCCTGAACACAGTTGGTGTTTTCAAAATAATCTGTGAAGTAAATCTTCAGGAAACAGTTCTGTTGTCAGATCTTGGCCATTTTATGTAAATAATCTACGTTTTTATCCTTCTGGGACAAATTTCAAGTTTTATTAATAAACATTTCTATTTTATTCTATTATAATAAACATTCATTAAATATGAAAAAACATTTGCTGACAACTAATGCCACCTGCTAAAATTAGTGGCTATCACTGTTGATGGTTTGAAGACTTAAGCAAAAGGAAGAGCTGTGAGGCCAAGGCAGGTTGAGTGACGCAGAGATAGAGTATCCCTGCCCTGACAAGAGGTTGGGAAGGTGCTGGTCTTCCACTGTTATATTCGAGAGCTTCTTAATTCCTATGTTCAGACTCCTAATTCTGTTGCTTACTCCAAAAATATAGATGGACAGGTGACCAAGGTGGTGACCTTAATATATCACTTTGGCTCCTTCCTTCTATTTCTTCCCCAAATTCCCACCTAATGACTCACTTCTCAGCATAGTTGGGAGGTCTCTTCCCATTCTGGAAACCAGAATAGGGCTTTTCTACAGCTCTGTGGTGAGAGATTCCAAGAAAAGCCTAGAAGTAATTGAGGAGGTGGGAGGAGTGGGGAGCAGTTCTCAAACCTGCCTGCTCTCTTCTCTTTTTCACCCACCCCGGGGAAAAGTCTCTTTGGGACATTTTTGCTATCTCTCACCTGGCTTTTGTAGTGCAGCATACCGAGACCCTCACCCTGACTGTCTCACCTCCAGGTCACCCAGAAGAGCTTAGTCTTGCTGCAGGGTCACTATCTGCCAGTCCATACCCACTCTGATACCTCTTCATTTATGCTAGGGCCTGGGGAACACTCTCCACTGACCATTCTTACTACACTTGGCTTTCTCAACTCAGAAGCCTGTGGAAGCCCTTAATACTACTATTTCTTCTTTTTCTTCTTCTTCTTTCTTCCTTCTTCCTTCTTCTCTCTTCTCTCTTCTTCTTCTTCTTCTTCTTTTTCTTCTTTTCTTCCTCTGTCTCTCTCCCTCTCTCTCTCGGTCTCTCTCTCTCTCATCACTTCTTCTCACCTTAGACATGTTTATTTTCCTTTGTTTTCTACCTTAGTACTCACCCCTTGACCAACCCAGAAATGTGGCTATTATCCTTGAATCACTCTACATTGTCCCTCATATTCAAATAATAACCAAATCTGGTTAAGTCTCAATTTATATATGTGTGTGTGTGTGTGTGTGTGTGTGTGTGTGTGTGTGTGTGTGTGTATATATATATTTTTTTTTTAGATGGAGACTCACTGTGTCAGCCAGGCTGGAGTGCAGTGGCGTGATCTTGGTTCACTACAACCTCTGCCTCCCAGGTTCAAGGGATATTCCTTCCTCAGCCTCCAGAGTAGCTGGGACTACAGATGCACACCACCATGCCCAGCTAATTTTTATTTTTATTTTTAGTAGAGACGGGATTTCAGCCATATTAGCCCCGCTTGTCTCAAACTCCTGACTTTAGGTGATCCGCCAACCTCGGCCTCTTGAGTGCTGGGATTACAGGCGTGAGCTACCGCACCTGGCCTCAATTTATATCTTTTAAAAACAACTTTATGGAGATACAATTTGCAATCCATAAGATTGCCCATTTAAAGTGTAAAATTCAATGGTTTTTAGCATATTCATAGATACATGCAACCATCACCACAGTCAACTTCAGGATATTTTCGTCACCTCAAAAAGCGACCTCCTATTCTTTTGCTATCACTCTCCTATTCCCCCATCCTCTTCATACCAAAGCAACTACTAATACGTTTTCTGTCTATAGATTTCCCTATTTTGACATTTCATATGAATGAAATTGTATAATATGTATTCTTTGGAAATTGGATTTTTTATTTAGCATGATGTTTTCAAGCTTTATGATTCCAATATGATTACTCATTTGAGGAATTGCCAAACTATGTTCCAAAGTGGCTGAATATTTTACATTCCTACCAGTAGCATATGACGGTTTTGATTTCTCCACATTCTTGTCAACATTTGTTATTATCTGAAATTTTGATTCCAACCATTTTAGTGGGGGTGAAGTGGTATATCATGGTGGTTTTGATTTGCATATCCTTGATGACTAATAATGTGGTGCATCTTTTCATGTGCTTATAGGTCATTTGTATATCCTCCTTGGATCAATGTCTATTCAGATCTTTGTGCACTTTTTATTTGAGTTATTTTTCTTTTTATTATTGAGTTGCAAGAGTTTTTATATATTCTAGACAGAAATCCCTCACTACATATATGATCTGCAGATATTTTAGCCCATTCTGTGGGTTTTTTAATCAGTTTCATAATGGTGCCTTTTGAAACACAATGGTGTTTGGCCAGGCACGGTGGCTCATGCCTGTAATTCCAGCAATTTGGGAGGCCAAGGCAGGCGAATCACTTGAAGTCAGGAGTTTGAGACCAGCCTGGCCAGCATGGTGAAACCCCATCTCTACTAAAAATACAAAAAATTAACCAGGCGTGGCAGCACCTGCCTGTAGTCCCAGCTACTCTGGAGGCTGAGGCAGGAGAATCGCTTGAACTTGGGAGGTGGAGGTTGCAGTGAGCCGAGATTGTGCCACTGCACTCCAGCCTGAGCCACAGAGCGAGACTCTGTCTCAAAAGAACAAAAAAAGGAAACACAATAATTTTTAATTTTGATGAAGTCTAGATTACCTTTTTCTTTGCTGCTCCTGGTATTGGTGTCATATCTAAGAATCTTTTGAATTCAAGAGTCATTTGAATCTAAGAATCCTTTGTAATCCAAGGTCACAAATATTTATCCCTATATTTTCCTCCAAGAGTTTTATACTTCTAGCTCTTCCATTTAGGTCTTTGACCCAGTTTGAATTAGTTTTTTATAAGGCGGGAGGTAAGAGTGTAACTTCATTCTTTTATATGTGGCTATGCAGTTGGCCAAGCACCATTTGTTGAAAAGACTATATTTCTCCACTGAATTGTCTTGGAACCCTTGTCAAAATTCATTTGAGATTAGCCACATAGTTTTACTTTTGGACTCTCAAAACAATTCCATTGGCCGGGCGTGGTGGCTCACACCTGTAATCCCAACACTTTGGGAGGCCAAGCGGGGCAGATCACTTGAGGTCAGGAGTTTGAGACCAGCCTGGGCAACATGGCAAAACCCTGTTCCTAATAAAAAAATAGAAAAATTAGCCGGGAGTAGTGGCGAGTGCCTGTAGTCCTAGCTACTCAGGAGGCTGAGGCAGTAGAATCACTTGAACCCAGGAGGTGGAGGTTGCAGTGAGCTGAGATTGTGCCACTGTACCCCAGCCCAGGTGACAGAATGAGACTCCGTCTCAAAAAAATAAATAAATAAAATAAAAGCGAGAAATTATTAAGTGTAGTGAGGAAGGCATGTCGAAAGCCAAAATAAAAGCTAGAAATTATTAAGTGTAGTGAGGAAGGCATGTCAAAAGCCAAAATAGGGACAGGTGTGGTGGCTCACGCCTGTAATTCCAGCACTTTGGGAGGCCGACGTAGGCAGATCACAAGGTCAGGAGTTTGAGACTAGCCTTGCCAACATGGTGAAACCCCGCCTCTACTAAAAATACAAACATTAGCCAGGCGTGGTGGTGTGTGCCTATAATCCTAGCTACTCGGGAGGCTGAGGCAGGAGAATTGCTTGAACCCGGGAGGTGGAGGTTGCAGTGAGCCGGGACAGTGC
This sequence comes from Homo sapiens, assembly GCF_000001405.40. NCBI lineage: Eukaryota > Metazoa > Chordata > Mammalia > Primates > Hominidae > Homo > Homo sapiens. The sequence goes on from NC_000023.11 coordinate 103,068,497, forward strand.
CAGTGCACTCTAGCCTGGGCAAAAAAAAGGCAAAACATCCTTATTGCTAATATGGAGAAAGTTTTAGTGGTCTGAATAATAGATCAAACCAGCCACAACACTCCCTTAAGCCAAAGCCTAATGCAGAGCAAGGCGTTAACTCTCTTCAGTTGTGTGAAGGTTGAGAGAGGTGAAGAAGGTGCAGAAGAAAAGTTTGAATCTAGCAGAGGCTGGTTCACGAAGTTTGAGAGAAGACATTATCTCCATAATGTAACAGCACAAGGTAAAACAGCAAGTGCTGATATAGAAGCTACAGCAAGTTACCCAGAAGATTTAGCAAAGATAATTGGTGAAGGTGGCTACGCTAAATGACAAATGTTCAGTGTAGATGAAACAACCTTCCACTGGAAGAAGATGCTATCTAATACTTTCATAGCTAGTGCTATCTAATACTTTCATAGCTAGTGAGAAGTCAATGCATGACTTCAAAGCTTTAAAGAACAGACTCACTCTCCTTTGTTAGGGGCTTATGCAGCTGGTGACCTTAAGTTGAAGCCAATGCTCATTGAAGATTCTGAATATCCTAGGGTCCTAAAGAATTTTGCTAAATCTACTCTACTTGTGCTCTAGAAATGGAACAACCAACCAAGCCTGGATGACAGCATATATGTTTACAGCATGGTTTATTGAATATTTTAAATTAACTACTGAGAACCATTGCTCAGTAAAAAAGATTCCTTTCAAAATATTACTGCTTATTGACAATGTACCTAGCTACTGAAGAGCTCTGATGAAGATGTGCGAAGTGATCAACGTTGTTTTCGTGCCTGCAAATACAGCATCCATTTTTCAGCCCACGGATCAAGAAGTAATTTCGACTTTCAAGGTTTATTATTTAAGAAATACATTTCATAAGACAATAGCTGCCATAGATAGTGATTCCTCTGATGGATTAAGGCAAAGTAAATTGACAATCTTCTGGAAGGGATTCATCATTCTAAATGCTATTAAGAACATTTCTGAATCATGGGAGGAGATCAAAATATCAACATTAACAGGAGTTTGGAAGAAGTTGATTCCAATTATCATGGATTACTTTGAAGGTTTCAAGATTTCAGTAGAGGAAGTCACTGCGGATATGGTGGAAATAGCAAGAGAACTAGAATTAGAAGTAGAGCCTGGGCCGGGCACAGTGGCTTACACCTGTAATCCCAGCACTTCGGGAGGCTGAGGCGGGCAGATCACGAGGTCAGGAGTTTGAGACCAGAATGACCAAGATGGTGAAACCAAGTCTCTACTAAAAATACAAAAATTAGCCAGGCATGGTGGCGCGTGCCTGTAATCCCAGCTATCCAGGAGGCTGAGGCAGGAGAATCACTTGAACCCGGGAGGTGGAGTTTTCAGTGAGCCAACATCGTGCCACTGCACTCCAGTCTGGGCGACAGAGCAAGACTCCATCTCAAAAAATATATATAGAGAGAGCCTCAAGATGTGAATAAATTGCTGCAATGTTATGATAAAACTTAAATGGATGAGGAGTTGTTTCTTATGGATGAGCAAAGAAAGTGGTTTCTCAAGATGGAATCTACTCCCGGTGAAGATGCTGTGAACAATGTTGAAATGACAACAAAGGATTTAAAATGTGCCGTAAACTTAGTTGATACAGCAATGGCAACGTTTGAGAAGATTGATTCCAATTTTGAAAGAAGTTCTACTGTGGGTAAATGCTATCAAACAGCATCACATGCTACAGAGAAATCTTTCACGTAAGGCAGAGTCAATCAATGGAGCAACAACTTCATTGTTGGCTGGACGTGGTGGCTCACACCTGTAATCCCAGCACTTTGGGGGGCCAAGGTGGGCGAATCACGAGATCAGGAGATTGAGACCACCCTGGCTAGTATGGTGAAACCCCGTCTCTTCTAAAAATACAAAAAAATTAGCCGGGCGTGGTGGTGGGCGCCTGTAGTCCCAGCTACTCGGGAGGCTGAGGCGGGAGAATGGTGTGAACCCAGGAGGCGGAACTTGAGTGAGCAGAGATCATGCCACTGCACTCCAGCCTGGGCAAGAGAGTGAGACACCATCTCAAAAAAAAAAAAAAAAAGCTTAATTGTTGTCTTTTTTTAAATGTAAGAGTCAGGGGTCTCACTAGGTTGACCAGGCTGGACTCAAACTCCTGCAGTCAAGGGATACTCTCTCCTCAGCCTCCCAGGTGTCTGGGACTACAGGCGTGTGCCACTGCACCCAGCCACTGCTGCCTTATTTTAACAGATTGCCACAGCCAACCCAATCCTCAGCAACCATCACCCTGATCAATAAGCAGTCGTTAACATTGAGGTAAGACCATTTATCCTTTCAGCAAAAAGATTATGACTCACTGAAGGCTTGGAGAATCATTAGCATTTTTTAGCAATAAAGTATTTTAAAAATTAGGCTATTTACATCTTTCTTTTTTCTTTTCTTTTCTTTTCTTTTTTTTTTTCTGAGATGGAGTCCGCTCTGTCCCCAGGCTGGAGTGCAGTGGCGTGATCTCGGCTCACTGCAAGCTCCACCTCCCGGGTTCATGCCATTCTCCTGCCTCAGCCTCCCAAGTAGCTGGGACTACAGGCACCCACCACCACGCCCGGCTAATTTTTTGTATTTTTAGTAGAGATGGGGTTTCACTGTGTTAGCCAGGATGGTCTTGATCTCTTGACCTCATGATTCGCCCGCCTCAGCCTCCCAAAGTGCTGGGATTACAGGCGTGAGCCACCACGCCCGGCCTACATTTTTCTAAACATAATGCTATTGCACACTTAATAGACTATAATGCAGTGTAAATATAACTTTTCGAAATAATTTCAAAGGTATTACAAGAAAACTATAGAACAGTACCCCTTATGGATACTGATGCAAATATCTTCAACAAAATACTTGCAAGCTAAATTCAACAGGATATTAAAAGGTTATACATGATGACCAAGTGGGATTTATTCCTGGAATACAAGTGTGCTTCAACATATAAAAATCAAGTCATGTAATGTACCACATTAACAGAATGAAGGGGGAAAATGCACATAATTATCTCAATTAAATTAGAAAAAGCATTTGACAAAACTTATACCCTTTCACAATTGAAAACACTCAATAAACTAGGAATAGAAGGAAATTATATTAACATAATAAAGGCCATATATGAAAAACCCATGAGTAAAATCATACTCAATGGTGAGAGACTGAAAGTTTTTCCTCTAAGATTGGAATAAGAAAATAATGCCCACTCATGCCACTTCTATTCAACACAGTACTGGAAGTCCTAGCCAGAACAATTAAGCAAGCAAAATAAGTAAAAGGCATTCAAGTTATACAAGAAATAAAATTAGTTAGTTCTGTTTGCAGTTGAAATAATTTTATATGTGGAAAATCCTAAAGACTCCACCAAAAAACTGTGAGAAGTAATAAATGAATTCAGCAATGTTGATGGATACAAAATCAATACACAAGACTGGATGTAGTGACTCATTCCTGTAATCCCAGCACTTTGGGAGGCTGAGGTGAGAGGATTGCTTGAGGCCATGAGTTTGAGACCAGCCTGGGCAATATAGCAAGACTCTGATCTACAAAAAAATTATTTTAAAAATTAGCCATCTGTGGTGGTGCATGCCTATAGTCCTAGCCACTCAGGAGGCTGAAACAGGAGGATTGCCTGAGTGCAGGAGTTCAAGGTTACAGTGAGCTATGATCACACCACCGCACTCCAGCGTGAGTGACAGAGTGAAACTCTGTCTTTTAAAAAAAATTATTTACATTTCTATACACTAACAGTGAGAAATCTGAAAGAATAATTAAAAAACAATCTCATTTAAAATACTTATGATTAAACTTAACCAAGGAAGCAAAAGACTTGTACACTAAAAACTATGAAATGTTACTGAAAGAAATTTAAGAAGACAAATAAATGCAAAGACATCCTCTGTTCATGGATTAGAAGACATTGTATTGTTAAAATATTAATACTACCCAAAGTGATCTATGGATTCAATGCAATCCCTATCAAAATCACAATGACGTTCTTGCAGAAATCAAAATCTATCCTAAAATTCATATGGAAACTCAAAGGACCTGATTAGCCAAAACAATCTTGAAAAAGAACAAAATTTGAAGTCTCCCACATCCTGATTTCAAAGCTTAATACAATGCTACAGTAATCAAAACAGTGGTACTGGCAGAATGGCAGACATGTAAACAAATAGAATTGGTAGTCTAAAAACAAATCCTGGCATAAATGGTCAAATGCTTTTCAAAGGGTGCAAAGACTGTCCAATGAGGAAAATACAGTCTTCAACAAATGTTGCTGGGGAAACTGGATATCCACACAGAAAAGAATGAAGTTATACCTTTACATTATACCATATACAAAAATTAACTCAAAATGGATGAAAGACCAAAATATAAGAGCTAAAAGCATGAAACTCTTAGCAGAAGACACAGGGACAAGCCTCATAATATTGGATTTCACAATGATTTCTTGGATATGACACTAGAAGAACAGGAAACAAAAGAAAATAACAGATAAATTGTACTACATCAAAATGAAAGACTTTTGTGCATCAGAGGATGTAGCAATGGAATGAAACGGGAAAATATTTTCAAATCATGTATCCGATAAGAGATTAATAGCTAGAAAATATAAAGAACTCCTACAACTCAGCAAAAACAACAACAGAAAACAACCCAATTCAAAAATGGGCAAAGGACTTAGACATTTCTCCAAAGAAGATATACAAGTAGCAATAAACACATGAAAGATTTTAAGTGTGTTTTGGATAAAGAGCCAAGAGTGTGGCTGGATACCTTTTGCTAAAGACATTTAATGTGTGATTAATAAATCCAATTAATCCTCTCAGCTGAATCGAGGAAAAATATACAGTATCCAGAAAGGATCTGTGGATAACCCTCTTGTCTGATGGCATGGATCCCTTTGACACACACAGGAGACCCACAAGGTTTTTTCAGAAGAACGTTATACCACTAAAAAGACTGCCACTTTGACCTGAAGAAAACAAAAAAAGGGAAAAATGAAAGAAAGCTATCAGACATCTAGGATTCTACAGGCAGTAAAAAGGATGATAGAGTTACTTGACCGTTAACATCTGACATCCTTTAAGATAAAGGAAGAATGACTCAGAGGGCAGAGCCATGGATACAGAGGAGGACGCCAGTAGAGCAGTGATGCCTTTGTGGCCCAGACAATAAAGCATCAAGCCACAGAGGGTAATTCTCAGGCCTTGAAACCCGGCCAGGTTTCTGTTTTTTGTTTTTTTGAGGCAGAATCTCACTCTGTCGCCCAGGCTGAAGTGCAGTGGTGTGATTTTGGCTCAGTGCAACCTCCACCTCCTGGGGTTCAAGCAATTCTCCTGCCTCAGCCTCCCGAGTAGCTGGGATTATAGGCGCCTGCCACCACGCCTGGCTGATTTTTGTATTTTTAGTAGAGATAGGGTTTCACCATGTTGGTCAGGCTGGTCTAAAATTCCAGACCTCAAGTGATCCACCTGCCTCGGCCTCCCAAAGTGCTGGGATTATAGGTTTGAGCCACCACGCCCAGCAAAACCCTGCTAGGTTTCAAACATGCTTGAATCAGTGACTGCTTTTATTATTTCATATTCTCCCCTTCAGAATGGGGATGTGTATTCTATACCTGTCCTGCCAATGAATTTTGGAAGCAGGTAGCTTGTTTTCTGGTTTTACAAGTCCACAGATGGAAAGGAATTTTGCCCCTACATGGTTCATAGATCAGATTTCACTCATAACCTGATTTAGATGGTGAGATTTGGGACTTTTTGAGTTGAGGGTATTTAGACAGGATATTTGACTTACAATTGATACCAGAATGCATTAACTTTTGGATATGGTGGGATGGGGTGAATGTATTTTTCACATTAGATGGATAGGAATTTTCAGGGGCCAGAGGGCACAATGTAGGAGGTTGAAGAATGGCCTCCAAAAGATATGTCCACCTGGAACTTCAGAATGGGACTTTATTTGGAATAAACGTCTTTGTGGATATTAATGTAGGGATCTAGATATGAAATTACCCTGGATTAGGGTGAACTATAAATCCAGTGAGTGACTTTGAAAGGGAAAGAAGACCCTGAAAGAAAGACAATGTGAAGATGGAGGCAGAGATATCAGTTATGCTGCCACAAGCTAAAAATCAGCAGCAACCAGAAGCTGGAAGAGGCAAGGAAGGATTCTCCACCAGAGCCTTTGGATGGAGCATGGCTCTACTGGCACCTTGATTTTGGATTTCTGGCCTCCAGAACTGTGAGAAAAGAAATCTGTGCAGTTTTAAACCACCTAGTTTGTGGTACTTTATTATGGCAGCTCTAGGAAACTACTACATCAATACAGACACAATTCCCCACATGCACATGTGCGTGCACACACACAATGTTATTTTTCTGAAAATAAGTTTTTAGCTTTTTCTTCTAAATTACCATCTTATCTCAACGACTGCAGTTATGTTTTTGTAGTTATTATGGTTGGATCGCTTTTCATAGATTTTGGGGGGCCATTGCAATTGCTTTTTATTTTTTATTTTTAAATTATTATTATTATTTTGGAGACAGGGTCTTGCTCTGTCACCCAGGCTGGAGTACAGTAGTGCAATCTCAGCTCAGTGCAACCTCCGTTTCCTGGGTTCAAGTGATTCTCCTGCCTCAGCCTCCCGAGTAGCTGGGACTACAGGCATGCATCATCATACCCGGCTAATTTTTGTAGTTTTCGTAGAGACAAGGTTTCACCATTTTGGTCAGGCTGGTCTCGAACACCTGACAAGTGATCCGCCTGCCTCAGCCTCCCAAAGTGCTGGGATTACAGGCTTGAGCCACCGTGCCCAGCCGCAATTGCTTTTTATAACGATTTGAGATTGATATCACTTTCCCTTCTCTCTACTGATTTCTCTATACATGAAGGCTATTAATCCTATGTCCATCATATATGTGGGCAATTTTTTCTTCCCAGGTTTTCGTGCATTCTTTAATGCTATTTTTCCCCAAATGCGTTGTTTTTAAATTTGAATAGATTCGTATGGCTAAGAAAGTAATAACGTTCTCTGCATAAAAAATATCTTACTTGATGCACTAGGGACATAGAACATTAGCCTCCAGGCTTAACAGGGTTAAAGAGCACTCTCCACCTTTGAAGCCACATGGCCCTCTGGAGTACAGCTCTATCCTAAGGGTGGGTCCAAGATTTGAGACTCGACTCTAGGATTTCCCAGGAATTACTCATTCTCTTTGAATATCCCTTTCCTTTTCCGTAGAACAGAGATAATAATGCCTGACTCAAATGGATTTTGCAGGGATTTGACATAACAAGACACCATACTTTATTGTGAAAAGGAACAGAGATCCTGGGGGTAACAGGGGTGGACAAGTGCACAGAACAACTGGCCCCTTTGGAAGGATGAGAGTCAGCCCTGTGAGTTGGGCTTCGGCTTCTTAGCCCCAGCCAGATCTCCTGGTTCAGTCACAGGGAAATACATCTATTGGAACAAAAATACAGGGAAGATGATGAGGCTGAAGATTATGACACTTAAGGATTTCCTCTTAGGGCTTTGTTTTCAGGATCCTAGGTCAGTCTGTGTGAGGGCCTTCTCTAGGATCTTGCCCTTGGCCGAGAGGAAGTGCAGGAGGGAGCTGGGAGATCAGCAGAACCGGAAGCCCAAGTTCAATCCCCAGGCCACCCAACCTCTGCTCACTTGGCCTGAATTCCTAGACCTCACCTTGGGCCATGCAAGAACATGAGGAGCTCTGACGTAGTCACACTGGTTGTTACGAAGGCAGCTGTGGTGGAGGAAGGACAGGTAACATCCATTAGGACCCAAGTGCAGACACTCTGACAATACAATGCCATTTCTTAATCTATGCAACAGAAACATGTCTGTGTTTTCTGGAATTTATTGCAGCAGAAGGAACCCTGTGAAAAGCCAAATGTCTACCAACAAAGGAACAGGATCCATGGAACTGTGAAAGGAAAATAAATCTTGGGGTCCCAAAATCACTAAGCTAAAGGTAAAAGTGAAGCTGGGAACTGGGTCATGCAAACCTGCCTCCCCTTTTGGTTCCTAAATAAGATGGCTATAAGATGAAAAGCTACACGCCTCCCCCATATTTTGTCCGCAAGGAAATTCCTCGTGAGCTGCAACATCTTTGCTGTAAGGTGTTTCTGTTAAAATTTCACCATGACAATGTAAATTGATAGCTTATCTTTACAGGTACAGTCACCCCCCCATCCACCAGACACAAATGCGTATCTGATTGTTCCCCCACCCCATTTTCTCTATGTCATCTTATATAAAAAAATGCAGATTCACTGAGCCAGCCAAAGGCATGAGTAACTATCTTTCCCTACCCTCCCCCTTACGTGAAAATTGTGTACTTCTCAATATCCTACCCTTTCCCCTTTAAATCTGGAGTCCTCAAAATCATCTTTGAAAGGCATAGACCTGTCTCCCGGGCACATGTCCTTAACTTTGGCAAATAAACCTCCTAAAATGATTGAGACTTGTCTCATCATTTTTCTCGATTGACAGAATTCAGAGAAGTACTGTACACCTGTTCAAAATAACTAGGTAGCTGAATATGTATCAAGAGGGAAATGTACAGTATGATACTGAGTGAAATAAAGAAGCAAAGCCAACTATCTGCAAGTTCCCATTATTCACTCCCCTGCTCCTCCCAGTGCATACCAATCACTAATCACCATACACACCCAGCACTCACTTCTTTTTTTTTTTTTTTTTTTTTTTCCGAGACGGAGTCTTGCTCTGTTGCCCAGGCTGGAGTGGAGTGGAGCAATCTCTGCTCACTGCGAGCTCCGCCTCCTGGGTTCACGCCATTCTCCTGCCTCAGGCTCCCAAGTAGCTGGGACTACAGGCGCCCGCCACCACGCCCAGCTAATTTTTTTTCTATTTTTAGTAGAGACGGGGTTTCACCGTGTTAGCCAGGATGGTCTCAATCTCCTGACCTCGTGATTCGCCCGCCTCGGCCTCCCAAAGTGCTGGGATTACAGGCGTGAGCCACCGCGCCCGGCCCAGCACTCACTTCTGAGGCAACTGGTAGTTCATCCCCCAGACTGGGCAGAGAAAACCTGTACCATTTTCTGCTGCTCCTGGGAGAAGGCAGGCACGGAGCTGGAGAAGGCTGTGGGCACTAGGGTGAACAAGGCACTCTGGGTCCCTTGGTGGCTGGTATCCCGCACAAAGAGCTTGTCATTCACGATGCACAGACTGGAGGAAAAATGGGCCATCAGGTAGCCGGAGAGAAGGACACCTCCCCACCCGCTACAAGGATCTTTTTCCTACTGTTCAGCAACCTGATTTCTTCGATACCTCTACTGTGCCTCCCTCCTAGCTTTTTGGCTGGTACCCTCTAAACCTTCCACAGAGCCCACCTTTGGAGAGATTACCTACATGCTTCACCAGTTTTGTAGGTTTACCTACAACCCAAGGATGGTTTTACACTCACATTTGCCCTTTACAATAGCCCAAGGGAGTGGACACTGTAATCACCAGTTTCAAAGGAAGATTCTGAATTACAAAGAGGTCACATGCCTTGACCAAAGTCACAGTGAGTATTGCATCAGGAAAGAACTCATACTCTGACTCCAGAGCCCACACATTTTAAAAATTTTTTTCAATACAGGGTCTCACTCAGGCTGGAGTGCAGTGATGTGATCTAGGCTCACTGCAGCCTCAACCTCCTGGGCTCAAGATCCTTCCACCTCAACTTCCTGAATGGCAGGATGATAGATGCACACCACCACACCCAGCTAATTTTTAGTTTTTTTGTAGAGACAGGGTCTCACTGTGTTGCCTAGGCTGGTCTCAAACTCTCGGGCTCAAGCAATCCTTCCACATTCAGCTTCCTAAAATACTGGGATTACAGGCGTGAGCCACTGCTCCTGGCCCATACTCTTAACTATTAGACTAGACTGTCGGTTTTTTACAACATTGAGAACACCCCGAGGACTGCACCACCACATTCCCACACCACTGGCCCCAGGTTGGGATGGGTGCTCCCACCCACAACACAGCACTAACCTGGAACTGCTGCCAGGGGTAGCAATGAAGGTCCGGGTGAAGGCGAGAACAGAACCCTGAGACTGTCCTTCCACTTCAAAGACAACAAACAACATTGCCTTAGAGTTGCACAGGCTTTACGTGCTCACATGGTGATCCCCAATCAGAGTCTTGCTTGACACTCACACAGAAGGGGGCCAGACCAGGACAGTTGTTCACTTGGAGTGAGGCGGATGTGGTAGGAATGGGGAGGGCAACAACAGGAATAATCCGCTCCCAGTGATAGGGCCCCTATCATGTGTGGGGCCCTGTGAAAACCACAAGTTCACTTAATTCCTATTTCACAGTAGCCCAAGAGATGGGTTATTATTAGCCCCATTCTGCAAATGAGGAAACTGAAGGGTTAAGTAACTAGCACAAGTTCAGAGTAAAGACCTGGGATGAGAGCTGTCAGACTCCACAGTCTGTGTGCTTAACGCACGCCTGAGCTGTGCAGGGCAGACAGGCATGGGCCTAGGTCAGATCAGGGTGGTTTGTGGGCAGAGTTGGGGTGGGAAAACACGGAGGGAACAAGAGGAAGGAAAGGAACGAAATGAGGGAAGCTGGGGGAGTTCTGAGATGGAGCCCAGCCAGGGGGAGGGAGGAGTGGGGGATCTGGGGAAGGGACTCTACAGACACTCACCTTCCTTGAACACCCCGTTGACAGAAAAGCAGAGCATCCATTCCTGAAAGGGAAGATCTCAGGTGCTCAGGATCCCCCTTAACCTCCTACCCACCTCTGGCTTTCTGGGCCTGCCCAAGGGAGGAAGCAGGTACTCACCGTCTGGTACCACATGTCCACCAGGAAGGAGCTGAGGTCATGCTGAGTTTTAGGCAACGCACTGAGGGAGTCCACAATATCAAGTTTTGTGTGCTTCAGCAGCTCCCCCCGAAGGTCTGTAGAGGAGAAGAGAAGCAAGGATTTGGGGGGCTGCCACACCCCAGTTGTGTGATTGTTCCTGTCACACCCCCTTACCCTGCCCAGACTTCTCCATCACACACTTACAGGGGTCCTTGAGAATTTTTATATTCCTGCTATCCTTGAAGAACTTGCAGAAGCTGCTCCTAGAAGAAAAAGAGGAGCAGGAGTGGGTGGTCTGGCCAGTGCAGGCATCTCCAGGAGCTGGTGTCTTTCTGCAGGGGAGTCACATGGCCCTGGACCAGGGTCGGAGCTGTGATACTCACGGGGCTGAGTCCTCAGGATTGAAGGGAATGCTCAGGGAGAAGCAGGCCTCATCGTGGTAAGCACTAAGGAGACCCTGTCGATCTCCAGAGTCATAGATCAAGTAATACCTGTTGGAGACCAGTGAGGACAGGCTATCTCTGTGGCCTGGGTGCCAAATGAGTCTTGAAAGTCTGACTGTAGGCAGACTTGTACTTGGGTAAATTCATCTGACCTAGCCTTCTCTTGCCTCAGATTCCCAGGGATACTTACTGCTGCAGGAATTGCAGGACCAGATTCTTCAACATCTCAGATCCAAAGAAGCTTCCCTGGAATAAAGAGTCCCCAGGACCACAGATGGTACCCCCCCTTCCTCATGCACCACCCTGCTGGATCCTCTCTTCTCACCTTACAGGTTGGTAACCTCTTGTGGGCTTCAGTACCACATAAAGTTGCTCTGGGTGACTGCTGGCCATCCTGGGGAAGGCAAGAGGAAGTCAGTAGTGCAAAGTAGGGAGGTGGCACAGAAAATTACGGAAAAGGATAGACCCAGGAGAGGGTGAGATCAGAAATCAGGTGTGAAAGCGTTCTGGAAATTACGTGGGCAAGACTACAGTCGGGATTGCCGCCACCTGAAGCCTGTTGTGAACCTGTGTGAAGAAGCTCCACAGGCTCTGCCAAGTTCCCACATGGGTCCGTATTCCCTTCCCCCACTCCCTTGAGGTTTAAGGGTTAGCTCCAAAAATGTAACTGGGACAATATCTAAAGGGGTTTGGGGCAGTTGGGGGCAGCATCAGTCCCAATTAGGAAAGTCAATGATCAAGGAATACACTTACCAGGCATAATAATTTGGGGAACAATTCCAGGATGGAGCTGCCGAAAATCAAAACAAAATGGACAACGGTAAGTGAAACTGTGGAGCTGTCCTCCTCATGGGAGCAATCACACCTACGTCAGAGACACAGTGCAGTGTGTCCACCTACACTCCGAAGTTCCTGCCTCTGCAGCCCTGGGCAGCATTGGGAGCCCAGGCTTCAGGACTTTCTTCCCCTCCCTCCATCCCTCTCTCACCTTTGTCCAAGTCCCCACTGAAGGCTCTGCAGGGAGTAGGAAATGGGGTGGGAGCCCAGGGCTCTGCTACCTCACTGGATGTCCGTCAGTCTGCCTGTCCTGGCCCTGGCCAAGACCAGGTCAGCTCTTAGGGATGGCCCAGGATGCTGGGACAGGGAGGTGAGTGACGCAGGCTCAGGAGGCAGAAGGGGAAGGCAGGGGAATGATGGCAGAAACGGGGTGAAGGTAGGGGAGGGAGAGACAGGTGAGACATATGAGAGGAGAGACAATGGAGAAACAGGATGCAAAGCAAAGGGAAGGGAAAGATGCTCTACCGTGGTGGTGGAGTTCAGGGAGGAAGAGAGAAGAAAAGGGCTCCCCTGCTGCAGCCCTTTCCCTCACTGGCCCCAGCTGGCCCTGGGGACCGAGGCAAGAAAGGAAAACATGCGCCTGTTGGGCTGGGGCCCACTGGATGCAGCTGGAGCCTTTCTCACCTGTGTGAGCTCAGTCTGAGCTGGGCATGGGAAACAGAGCAGCCACGGGGACAGGAGACCTTCTCCCGGGAGAAGTGAAGGGTCAAGCCCCAGCTCAGCATGGGGTTCAGAGTCTGGGGACCCCCTCTCCCGACCACTGCATTCTCTTCTGATGGTCCCAGACTCCTGTGCCCCTCTGTGCTGATGCCTTGACCGAGGAATGCTACCCATCTCGGGCTACCCAGGGCTCCTCTGAGGACCCAGGCAGGATGATGTGAGGTGGAGAAGGAGGGAAGGAGGGGCAGTGCCCTGAGAGGCCTGTCCTTCTGTCTCCTCAACCTCCTCTGCCCTCTGCCTTCCACTCCTGCCTCAGGAATGTGGCCCGCTTCTGGTCCCTTGACTCAGGAAACCCAGGTTTCTCCCCAAGGAGGGCCCAGCTCCTAGCATTGGCCAGAGGAAGAGATGGCATGACAGCAGCCACCCAGGGCCTCGGCCCTCAGTATGGGGCAGGGAAGCCCCCATGCCAGCCTGGGACAGGAGAGGGGACCTTTTTGGAGCAAGAGAAGGAGAACCCCTCTCGGGACGGAGGAGGGAAGCCCCATATCAGCATGGAGGCAGGAAGGCCTGTCTCAGCATGAGGCCCTGGACTAAAGGACTCTTCTCGGTCCAGGGCACCAGCACCTGAATACTGCTGGTCCTGGGGAAGTGGGGGAGCCCCGCTTCCTGGAGCACACTCACAGAGGGCACGCTAGAGGAGGCTGGGTGGAGACAGGTGGGAAACACATCCCAGAGCGGGTGAAAAGGGGACCATGTCAGAGGAAGGAAAGGAGATGTCTAAGCACAGATGAATGAGTGACACAGAGAGAGGAGTGGGGCGAGGGGGAAGGAGAGGGTCTGTGGTCCTCCCAGAAGACTAGTGCTGCCTCCTCCTGCAGAAGGGCGCTATCAAACACAGGTCAGGGTCCCAGGTGGTGACAGAGGGTACAACTGACTTTATGTTGCTGGAGGTATCCGAGAAGGTCGTGCACACTGGGCTTCTGTCCGCACACTTCTCTCCTGGCTCTATCCCTTTCCACTTGTCCATCTCCCCTGCAGACATCACCTGCAATTATGCAGAAGAACCACGTAGACCCAGGAAAGAGCAGCTGGAGGGCCCTGCACCCTCAGTCTCCTCCCTTGCCAACAAATCCACTTCCTTGCCTCTTGTCACTACCCTAATGAACCCTCCTCCCCCTTTTTCTTCAAAGAACTATCTGAGTATTACACCTCATTTTATTTTTCAAGAAATTCAGCTTGTTAATGTTGGGGGCCTTTGGCATAATGTCAAGCATCTGGTAGGCTTTGTTGCTGTTTGGGTTCAAGGGCAAAAGCTATGGGGAGGAATGAATTAAGAACTAAGAGTGAAGGCCCCCAACAGGGGATATCTTAGACCAATTAGCCTCCTAGCTAATCTCTTCCACCTTCACCCTCAATCCCAGCATGAGCCTAAGGCCTCACTGTAGGTATGTTCTCTTCATGGACGTCCAGGGAGGCAGCCATGCACTTTCTAGGATTCGATGCCATCTTAGTATCACGGTTCACCATGTCTCCAGAAAGCAGAGAGGAGAAAATCAGAAGTCTGAGAGGGACCCGCCTGGTACAGCATCAGCACTAACCCCTCCCCAAGTTGCCAACCGTAAGTCTCCATCTCACACAGACACCTCTGCCCTCATCTACCATAGAATTACTTTCTCAGCCATACCTGGGTAAAATGGGAGTCTCTGGATATCAAGAGCTTCCTGGGAGACATCACACTGTTGGTTCATGGCCAGCTGCAGAGTTAGAGATGGGTTTCAGAGGCTCTGAAGTTGAGGTGGTGAAGGGGGCAATAGGTGGGGAAGAAGCAGTGGGTCTGGCTTTGTGTGAACAACTTGCCATGAGTCTGTGTTACCTTTATCTGCTCCACCTTTTCTGACTTCAGCTCCCTGTGCACAAAGTGGGGTATGCCAGCAGGGTTGACAAAGATTGATATCTGCAGAGAACCCAAGAGGGGCTGAGTAAACACTAGGAACTCTGACCCCCAAGATCAAGCAAGACCTTACCCTTGCCCTGCCCTCTTGCTCGATGCTAGCCCTGGTCATTCATTTGACACACACCTTTTCATTATCCTCATCCCAAATCTTGCCACTGACATTCTTCAGTGCATAGGCGATGCTGGCATTCTCCACAAAGAAGCTGGCATGCATGTTTTCATAGTGAAACTATAGGGAGAGTTGCAAGAGAAATGAAATATGAGGCCAGAGTCTCTGCTCATCCAGCCCCCAACCTGTCCTGTTTTCTCTCGTCTGCCTCACGGTCCTTTCTTACCTCAACTGGGACGAAGGGTACACTGCATTCATTCTGAATCAAATTCAGCAGCCACTTCTCATTGTATTTTATGCCAAAGGGAACCTATGAGTGAAAGAAAGAATGAGTGAGGAAAGGAGACTGACATAATGGAATTAAACGTTAAAAGTGGACCCAAATATGTTCCTTTCAGACTTTAAAATAGTTTAAGATAGGACAACATCCATTATTGCTAACTTATGTATTTCATTATTATTTCTTTCATTATTTCTAATATCTATTATTTCTAACCAAACATGGATTTCCTAAATACCCTTTCTTACTATTCAAATAGTTTTCTTAAAATAATCAATTTAAGATGTTTAATATGAGCTTTCTTTTATAAAGTCCCACAAGAGCCTACCTAAGGCAGACCAGGCCTGCCCCTTTGACAAGGACCCCACTAATTCAACCCCTCACACACTTAGTTTGAGCTAAACTGAAGCATCTGGTGTGGAGATACTCTATCTCCTTAGCATTCGTTTCCTCCTTTGATTGTAAACGACCTCTTCCGCTCTCTCTGCAGTCAGTCTGTTCCCCTTACATTGCTTCTCTGAATTTACTCTTAAGATGATCTAGGATGTTAACTCCTAGTAATAAAGGACAGATTACATACTTTCCTGCCCTTACAAAAGTATCTAGTGTCCACACAAATCCAACACAATTCCCCCTGTTCTCCTTCTGAACATTAGATCCACTTTGCCAGGACACTCACTGTGATCTTGAACCAGCTCCCTAAGGTCCCATCCGGCATGTTCCCCTCCATTCTTCTCTCTGGAGGTTTTTGCTCTCTCTCCATGTTAACGTGGGTTTGGTCTTGTTTACGAAAACTGCCTTTCCGATTATAGGGTGAAATAGTATAGGGAGTGCTGTGAGCAAGTGGAGAAAAGGTAGTTCACATATGCTCCGAAAGTATTTTATACACATTTGATCCACTGATACCAGGGCTACAATGAAGTTAAATCAACCATTAATCGAGTTCTGTCATTCCTCTCTCTGTCAAGTTGGAAAGAATGACATATTCAGCTACAGAGTTATGTATTTCACTGGCTGGTACATTCCAGCCATGCTGACTACTGGTCACTTACTATCTTACTGGAGAGTCCATGTGGGCACCATGCATTGCTGCATCTCCATCTTGCTGCTGATGGGATGAAGAATGCATGCCAGGATTGACAGGTTCAGACCTACTGCTAAATCTCCTTTGGTAAATATCCCAACATCTTGCTCTTCTTTGAACAACTTGATCAGTGTGACCTTAAATTAAGAACAGCACATCAACACTTAGAATACCAGAAAAAAATCTTGGGAAAATATAATGGATAATGAAAAAATTCACTGATATTTATTTATTTAGAGTCAGGATCTGGCTCTACTGCCCAGACTGTAGTGCAGTGGCATGATCACCACTCACTGTGGCCTTGTCCTCTATGGCTTAAGAAATCCTCCCACCTCAGCCTCCCAAGTAGCTGGGACTACAGGCATGTGCCACCACATCTGGCTAATTTTTTTTTTTTAGAGATGGGGTCTCTCTGTGTTGCCCAGGCTGGTGATTTTTATAATCTAGAAAGAAATATATCACAGTGCCAAAAAAAGTTGAAAGACTTCACTGTGGTTTCACCTCCTGGGAGATGAGTGTTGGGGAACATTAACAGCCAAGGAGAAAATAAGCACAGCAGAAAGGGTTTGGGTTTAGGTGATACTAATCTATGATGATAGTCCTTGCTCTGCCCTTTTCAGGCTGGGTAACATGGAACAAATTGCTTATCATCTGTAACCCTAAATTCCCACCTCTAATTGGAGAATAATAAAATCTACCCTAAAAGTTTGCTATTATGGCTCAAGGGTCAAAGGCAAGTTCCCTGCCTCAAAGAAGAATCAGATAAATGAAAACATTGCTGAAGAAAATATCCAGAATGAATCTTGGAGAGACATAATTATGGAATTAATTACCAAAAGAGTGAAAGAGAGAATTTAAAAAGATGTGGTAAGCGCAGCCGGGCGCGTTGGCTCTTGCCTGTAATCCCAGCACTTTGGGAAGCCGAGGTAGGTGTATCACGAGGTCAGGAGATGGAGACCATGCTGGCTAACATGATGAAACACCCTCTCTACTAAAAATACAAAAAATTAGCCGGGCGTGATGGCGGGCGCCTGTAGTCCCAGCTACTCGGGAGGCTGAGGCAGGAGAGTGGCGTGAGCCCAGGAGGCAGAGCTTGCAGTGAGCCAAGATCACACCACTGCACTCCAGCCTGGGCGACAAAGCGAGACTCTGTCAAAAAAAAAAAAAAAAAAAAAAAGAAAGAAAGAAAGAAAGATTTGGTAAGCATATCTAACACTACTTCTCCACTGTTCCCTCTCCTTATTTCTGGGACTCAAATTCCAGACCTCCAGGCCAGGCTGGTCTCAAATTCCAGACCTCAAGTGATCCGCCCACCTTGGCCTCTCAAACTGCTGGGATTACAGGTGTCGGCCACCGTGCCCGGCCTCTACAAAATTATTTTTTAAAAAATTAGCTGGCTGGCGGTGGCTCACGCCTGTAATCCCAGCACTTTGGGAGGCCGAGATGGGCGGATCATGAGGTCAGGAGATCGAGACCATCCTGGCTAACACCATCTCTACTAAAAATACAAAAAAATTAGCCGGGGGTGGTGGCGGGCGCCTGTGGTCCCAGCTACTCAGGAGGCTGAGGCAGGAGAATGGCGTGGACCCGGGAAGCAGAGCTTGTAGTGAGCCGAAATCCCGCCACTGCACTCCAGTGCAGAACTAATTTACACTGGATTGTGATAGGGCAAAGATATATATTGTAATCCTAAGGATAAACACTACAACAATGGCAGGAAGTTTCACTTTCTAGCCAAATGAGATAAAAATTTAATAGTTAAAACTATTAATCATTTCAAAGGAGAGGTGTGGAAAAAGAACTTAAAACAGGCAAAAATAAATATATAGTAATACGGTCTATTTAAACCAAATCATACCTATATTTTCATTAAAAGAAATTAAACTTAAGTATTCTAAATTAAAAGGCACAGAGTATCACACTAGATAAAAAATTCCATCAAATTATCCTGAAAAAAAAACATGTAAAATTTAATAATACAGAATATTTGAAAATAAGAAAAATGGCACGATTCATACCATTTACACACTGACTGACTGAAAGCTTATGTAACCATATTAATAAGAGAAAATATATACTTTAAGAAATACTAGAGAAAAGAACTCATAATGATAAAGGTTCACATCAACAAGAAGATATTAAGAAAGCAGGTGCGCGCACTGCCTTCATGGCACCTGGGCCTGAGGTGGGTGGCTCCTGGGCCCTCGCCAGCTCCAGGTGTGTGAGGTAGACTTCAGAAACCCGATTGAGAAGTGGAGAGACTCCCAGGGAGGGTCAGACCTGCCTCAATTCCGCTAAGGTCTTTCATTTCTTGTTCGCCTACTTTCGTGAAATCCTCACATCGTTTTAATGGTACTAGTCAAGACAAGAAAATCAACAGGCTTTCAGCCTTGAGGCAACACTGGTGTAGGAACGCTATGGAGCTCATCAGACTACATCACTGAAGAATATGATGCCTGAAAACTATTTAAAAATGCTAAAGATTCAACAGTGTGTGGTAGCCAACAAAGTACCTAGAAACAGGCCATATATTTGCAATATTTGCTTCAAGCACTTTGAAACACCATCAAAATTAGCTAGGCACTATCTCATTCATACTGGTCAAAAGCCATTTGAATGTGATGTGTGTCATAAAACCTTTAGACAACTAGTTCATCTGGAGAGGCATCAGCTAACTCATAATCTGCCTTTTAAATGTAGTGTTTGTCAGCGCCACTTAAAAAATCTGAAGACATTTGTGAAGCACCAACAACTTCACAATGAAACCTATCAGAATAATGTTAAACAGGTCAGAAG